>NC_000013.11:96252979-96877979 GCF_000001405.40 Homo sapiens
GTCTCAGGTATTTCTTTATAACAACGCAAGAACGACCTAATACAGGGAGCTCATGTGAATCGTGCTCAGAGACATGTGAGGTATTGCCCATTGGGACCACACAGGGTGCTAGGGTATGTGTTGGCTGGTTGAGAAGGTTCTCAGGTGAGTCATCCTGTGGGCTTCATGGGTGGGCCTCTTGGTGGAGTTTGTGAGCCAGTTAGTAGAATCTGCAGTTGGCTGTTGAGAACTGCAGGCCAGTTGCTGTGTGCTCCTTCCCCTACCCCTTGCTCCTAGATGTCCCCAGGTGATTCCGCTGTGCTGACTCCTTCAGTTCTAGGTGAGGTGCAACATAAGTGGACCTCTTGGGTGGCATCCTGCAATGCTGGGAAAGTGGGGCTCTCGCTTTTCCCCATGGAAGAAATCATGGGCCAAGGGGGCCTTTCGTACTTAGCTGTGCCACTTTGGAAAGGGATGACACAAGTGAAGTGGCTGCTGTCCTTACTCTCTGCCATATATCCACTCCCGATTTTTTTGCATCATTGGTATGCTGGATACTCAACTAGACTTCAGGGCTCCCACAAAGTACTCTCATCCATGAGTGGTCACCAAAATCAGTATTTCTCTGGAGAGATGAGAGCTGGGGCCTCATATTCCACCGTCTCACTGATGTCATGCCTCAGTTACCTTCTCATTTTTCTTTTCACTCAAAATTCCTTTCCTTCCCCCTGGCAGCAGACAGTGGCACTAGTGAATAAATTATTTTCTTTCTAGGTATTAAATAGCTACCATTTATTTACTCGTCTGCATCCAGATCAAAATGAATATAGTATTGCTGTTGGTATATGTGTCCATGTCCCTAATATCATGGGCTTTTCTATGATGGGGCTCCATTAATTTATCTTGTCATTCTTATTCTCTAAGGCAAGACTTTGCAAAAAGAAGGCATTGCATACTGAAAAAGATTGACCATTTTTTCTTTATTGTTTTAATTACCAAAGAAATATGTGCTTATTACTGAAATTTCAAACATGGCATAAATGTAGAAAGTGAAAAGGGTAAGTATTATCCTTAATTCCAATATTTGGAGTACAGCCTTAATTTTCTGAATGTGTATAGGTTACAAATATAACTTTTCCACCATAGAGCAAATTGGTCTGTAATATACTTTTTCCAGCCGGGCGCGGTGGCTCATGCCTGTAATCCCAGCACTTTGGGAGGCTGAGGCAGGCAGATCACGAGGTCAGGAGTTTGAGATCAGCCTGGCCAACATGGTGAAACCCTGTATCTACTAAAAATACAAAAATTAGCTGGGCGTGGTGTTGCGTGCCTGTAATCTCAGCTACTCAGGAGGCTGAGGCAGGAGAATTGCTTGAACCCGGGAGGCAGAGGGTGCAGTGAGCTGAGATTGTGTCACTGCACTCCAGCCTGGGCGATAGAGTGAGACTCTGTCTCAGAAAAAAAAAAAAAAAAAAAAAAAAAAAAAAAAAATATATATATATATATATATATATATATATATATATATATATATATATATACACATACATACACACACACACTTTTTTCTTTTCACACTTACATAGTGGACATCCCTGCTTATCAGTGCCTGGTGATCCATCTTATTTCCCAAAAGCCTGGCCCTTTACAAAGACAATTTGTAGCTTATTTTCACAGTTCCTGCTGGAAGAGCTCAGTTGGAATCAGCCAAAGAAAGTGATGTCATTTCAGGTTTCTAAGGTATGAAGATATGGAAAACTCAAAGGGAAGGACAGACTCCAGAGAGAAGCTCAGAAACAGTCTAGCTTAGCAAAACCAAAGAAAGTAGCCTTTTTGCCTAAAAGGAAAAATTTTGCTTTATAAGAAGTAACTTCAAGTTGTTCCAGAAAAGAGAAGGTTGTATGTTCTGAAAACCCAAAGAAAAAAGCTGACTAGCATGATTTTTGACCTTGTGGCTTTCTCCATAGCAGTGAATAGAAAGCCAATAATCTGTGAGAATTTTAAGTGGATTTCAGCTGTTTAAAAACCATTTGTAAAATGAACGCGTCAGAGTAAATGGTGAAAGTTAGGTTAGAAAAGATATTCCATTTTTCTTACTTTTGGAAATATACTTAACTTTTCAGAACCTTTTCAAAATTTATTCAACAAGTAATTAGTATCTGTTACCTAGCTGGAACAAGGTTAGGCATTGGAGACTCAGAGATAAGCATCTCCATCCACAGGGAGTTATCTTCTAAGTTAGGGCTGTGGGACGTCCCCTATCTGCTACAGGCTTACTGTGACAGCAAACAGTTTTTATGTTATCCTATTTTATTGCATGATGTCTTCCTGCAAACAAGGATAGCAGTCATGTACAAAAGCTGAGTTTCAGGTTAATAGCAAGAAGTCAAGAAGAGACAATCCCACAGAAGTGAAAACATTATCAAATTTCTAATTATAGTATCAAGTATATTATATAGGCCTAGATTTTCTAAACTTTACAATGTATATATTTGTCTAATACACTAAAAAATATATTAAGAATTAAGACCATGCGATTTAAATTCATTTACAAATTTTTTTCCCATCTAAAATTCTAGGGCTCTCAACTTCACAGAATTTTAGAAGATAGAAGATATGTATTTTAACATTGGGGCAGGCCTTCTGGTTGTGATTTTTTAGGAGATTCAGCAGGCAATTAGGTTGTGGACTTTCATGGAGACTTACCAACTTCCATATAAAACTTGCTGAAAGAGTGCTAAAACTAGCCTTTGTCTTCTCTTCATAAGAAGTCTGTAGAAAACTTTATCCATATGAACAGCTCTAGTGATTTCCAAGTTTCTCTTTGTATCTGAATCACTTCAGTGCTTCTCTGATTTTGATTCTGAGTTCACAATTTTACAGATCTCTCCATTTTTGCTACACCTGCACCTCAAATTGAAGGCACAATGTTTGACCCTAGTTCTGTCATTTATGTATGTCATTAAATAATTACCGTTTCCTTCACAAATAAACTCACCATTAACCAACTCATGTCCCATGAGCTTTTGATGTCTTGCTTTTGCCATGCTTAATGATAGCATGCATTTCTTAAGTTATATTAGCACTGACATTAGCATTTTTATTTTTCTGTCTTCTAATCTGCTTCATAAAACAGAAAAGATCAGCGAAATATTCAAATACTTACACAAATGTTATTGTATAGACGATGGTAGTGCCGTCATGCCATAGTGTATGCCATCAGGTGATATATGGTCACTGCAATTGGTACTAGAAGGAAATGGAGTTTCACCATATAATAAGTGACAGTAAAGGTTGTATGAAATGTGAGTACCTTGTCACATGTATTGAAACATTCCATCATCTCAAAAGTGTGGCGAGGGTGGGAACTACACGTTCCATTTTATTTCAACAGTGTCCGATTTATTAATTTACTTGATCAGTGCTACAGTAACCTTCAAGCCTCAGTTTTACTCTTTTTCTTTAAAGAGGATATTGATTCCTATCTACAGGGTTGTTGTGAAGATTAAGTCATGTGCTTACAGGGTTTAGTATAGTTCTGGCTGTGTGGTAGGGATCAGGAAGGCAGCTTCAGCCTCTTCTCAGCCAGCTGGTAGTACATGCCTGGAGAGCAGAGACCACTTTTTCATGCCTTTACAGGGCTTTGCACAAGTTGTTGCATAGTTAATAAGTATTTTTTATTTGTTAGATTTTCTCTGATTAGAATGATTTAGTAGTAGAGCTGAATTTTAGATGAAGAGTCGTAAGGCAAAGGTGGTAAATTTAGAGATCTTTAGATGAGCTGTGCATGGTCATCTGCAGAGATAATTCTCTCCTGGATGTATTAAGAGTTACAACCAACCCTTGGTTGTCCATGGTGAGAATTGCAGCATATTTTATCATCCAAACCAGTATCATTTTGAGAGTGAAAGAGTGTGCTATAAATATTTACGTCGGGACAACAGGAGGAATCTTGAATGGTCCTAGGCAACCAGGGGATATATGGTCTCTCTATTTGTGGTTGATGTGCTTCATTTGGGATCTGGTTTAACATTTCAGCTGGAGCATTTCTCAAAAGGACTTCCTGTTTCTGTTGAATTAATATCATAACTGCATTCTAAGGATGAGTGGACTTATTTCTGAGGATGGCCTTTCTCAGAAGCTTTAGAGATTCTTCCAAAGGCAGGAGTTTCGCCCCTTCACTGTACTTAATAGTGCCAGTACTTAATGGTACCAGGACCTTGAGATTAATGGGTTTAACAAGAGACTAGAGGATTTTCCTTCCTAATCCTACTACGCTGGCCTCAGAAGAGTCTTTGCCATCTATCTACTGTGCATCTGCAGGAAAAGTTTAATTCCAGTCAAGTAATAACACCTGTAATACAGAGCTCTGTGATTCAAAGTCAAAGATTATTTATAGATTATTTGCATCTTTCCAATTATCCATGCTGATACTCCTATCCAAGGTTGTTATAGGGATTATCATATTTATCTGAGAGGCAGCCTACCTGGAAATTTGAACAAAGACTAGTGCCAAACTGTTTGGGTTTGAAACCTTGCTTTACCCACTTATCAATTTTGGGACCCTTGACAAGTTACTTAATTTTTTCAATTTCTTCATTAATAATATAATAATAGTAGCTACTTCATAACATTGTTGTTAATTCATTTATAAATTAACATTTTTAAAATGCTCATTACAGTGCATACTACTTAGCAAGAAGCATATACATATTTCTAAGTAAAAGTATAAATAAAGCTTCTACATATAATCAGGTACTGATGACATTAGGTTTGAAATGCTTGCAGACATAAACATGGGAATAAAGGAAAGAATAAAATAAAAGTGAGTGCTATAGACAGCACAGAGTATTAGAGAGAAGAAGAACAGTAGGAAATACATTCCACAGGAGATTTTAAGATAGAAATCTTTGTGTTACAAGAGCTGATATTTCATTGGGTATAATGAACCCAAAAGACAAACGTCATTTTTTCCTTTGCTTTATTCTTTGAGTGCAATTGAATTTTGCAGGGATGCCAGTGCAGTTATTTTACTGTTGTTACTATTGTCATCACTGTCATCAATATTTTAATCATTGTCATAAAATATTAAATTCCACTGGACTTGATGGCAGTTCAGTACATCAGTTAAATCCAGTGGTCCAGCCTCAGGACTTAGAAGTTCTGAAGTGGTAGTTCTTTATTGAAGTCTGGATGAGACCGAAGTGGATTTAGTATGTCTATTGTTGAGTCCTTTAAATGAAACAGGAAAATGGAAACATTCATAGAACTGACAGCACAGTTTCTGGCAATGACTGCTTCTAAATCCTGGATAATATGATCTCCGAATCACTTCTACAGGATGATCTGAGCAAGGTCATCTTATTGTCTAGTTTCTAGTTCTCATGTCAGATGTTCAAAACAACAACAACAACAACAAAAACCCCAAGAAGTCTGAACATTAGAAAAACACAAAGAAACAGAGGAAAGGCTTTTGGGCTTTGGAATTAGGTAGAATTGTATTAAAATTCTGGCTGTGGGATTAATTGTATGAGCCCCAATTGTTTGTTGAACTCTCTGAGCTTGTCTATGAAATGGGATTGGCAGCCCCTCATACAGTCAGAGTAAAGATTAAACAAGATCATGTTTGTCAGAGCAATGGGCACTTAGGATAGGCTCTTTCCTTTTACCTGCCATTCACCAGGCTGTTTCTTGGTCATACAGATCAATGCCTTTTTGTTAGTATATCCCCAACATCCAACAGTGTCTGACCTATAGTAGATATTGAATGGATATTTATTCATTATCTAATGAATAATGGTCCAACTGAATCCATTCATTCATCATCCATTAATTATTATATGTCAGTTACTATGCTAAGGACTTGAGAAATAGTGATGAACGTAGCATGATCTCTTCCCTATAGGTGGTTATAGATTAAAAGAGAATTACATGGTAATGAGTGCACTGTAGAGTCTGTAGAAGGGATTATGGGTGCACAAATGAGGAAGTGTCTCACTCTAACTGGGGAGAGCTTCACAGAAGAAGAGGTATTTGAGCTAAGTCCACCAAGCAGATATAGTGAGGGGAAGGATATTCTACACAGAGGGAATTACATATGCAGGAAATTAGGGGAAGGAGAGAGCACATTAACTTGCTGTAAACTGCAAGCACTTTAGCTTATCTGGAAAGCAGTGTGTGTGTGTGTATGTGTGTGTCTGTGTGTTTGTGTGTCCGTGTATGTGTGCATGGGTGTCCTTGCACTTGTGCACAGGCTGGAGGACCCGGGGTGAAAACTCAGGTGGTGGCAAATCATGAAAGGCCTTTCAAGACATGATAAGGCACCTAAACCTTATCTTAAAGACATTGGAACCTGTGGAGGATTTTATGCAAGTACTGACAGGCACAGACCTAGAAAGCTCCCCTGACTGTCATAGGAGATGACTGTGGTCCAGGTGAGAACAAGAGGATGTGGAAGCACAAAGTGGCTCTGGGAAGAGCAATGGGATAGGTCAAAAATGCTAGGATACAAGAATGACAGGACTTTGGGGCTGATTGGATGTAAAATCTAGACAAATCCAACCCCAGTTTGAGTTGACTCAGCAGCAATTCTTCAATATTTGAAGAGCCGTGGAAAACATTTTGTATTTTCTTGTGATTTTCTAATTTTACTATAAAGATAGCATTTTAACATGTGAAAGCCACAACCCCAACCTGTCATCTTTTAAATTTTTCTTTGATTCTGTCTGCCTCATGTCTTTATAGACATTTAACTTCAATCATTGAGTTTTGGATTTTTCTATCCATTTTACCTTCTCCTTTTTCTACCTGTTGTTGTTTAACTGGAAAACAAAATAACTATTGATTAGCATCTCTGTCAGAGAAAGAGTAGTCACAGATAAAGAGGAGAGGTGAAATTTTTGTTTCTTGTTTATTTGTTCAAATTATATTTCTATTATAAAGTTTAAACTGTTGGCTGCATTAAACCATGATTTGGGTATGTAGCAATATTTTTCATAAAATATTATTTTCTTGGTGGTGCCCTCACTTGAGTGATGATTATATTGTTTCCTTCTGAATTCTGTAGAAACACAAAATGAGTCAATAATCAGAGCCTTCTATGTATCTTCTTTTGTTGCTACTGTCAAAAATAATGAAAGCATCCAATACAACTTCTAAATGTGAATATTCTTCGATATCCTTGCTTGAATCATTTGATCACTACTTTGCAAGGATCCTAGCTTGAATGGCCTTTGAAATATTTTCTTTTTGCTGGGTGCATTTATTTTTTCCCTTCCTTCCTTCCTTCCTTCCTTCCTTCCTTCCTTCCTTTCTTCTTTCCTCCCTCCCTCCCTCCCTACTTTTTTCTTTTCTTTTCTTTTTTCTTTTTTTGAGACGGAGTCTCGCTCTGTTGCCCAGGCTGGAGTGCAGTGGCACAATTTCGGCTCACTGCAAGCTCTGCCTCCTGGGTTCAAGCCATTCTCCTGCCTCAGCCTCCCAAGTAGCTGGGACTACAGGTGCCCACCACAACACCCAGCTAATTTTTAAAATATTTTTACTAGAGACGGGGTTTCACCATGTTAGCCAGGATAGTCTCGATTTCCTGACCTCGTGATCCACCCACCTCGGCCTCCCAAACCAAAGTGCTGGGATTACAGGCAGGAGCCACCGTGCCCGGCCCTCTTTTCTTTTCTTTCTTTTTTTCTTTTCTTTTTTTTTTTAGATAGAGTCTTGCTCTGTCACCCAGGCTGGAGTGCAGTGGCACAGTCTTGGCTAACAGTAACCTCGGCCTCCCAGGTTCAAGTGATTCTCCTGCCTCAGCCTCCCAAGTAGCTGGGACTACAGGCACGCACCACCACACCTAGCGAATTTTTGTATTTTTAGTAAAAATGGGGTTTTGCCATGTTGGCCAGGCTGGTCGCGAACTTCTGGCCTCAAGTGATCCGCCCTCCTTGGCCTCTCAAAGTGCTGGGATTACAGGTGTGAGCCACTGTGCCTGTCCTGGATTTTCTTATAGTTAAGTCTGTTTGCCTCTAACGTTAACCCCCTTTATAATGGGTGACATTCTGGGTTTTCTAGTAAAAGCCAAATAGGAATCATAAGAACAACAATTCATATATTTGGTCATATTATTTTTTTTATGGGAGACTGTTCAATTGAACAAATTCATTATTTTAAAAAATGTCTTTGAATTGTATCTTAAAAGTTTTATATTTAGTTTCACAGAAATTCATTAGTAAATACCAGTAAGTTTTAATAACATATAATAGGAACTGATTGTTTAATGGTTGTAAAGCTAATATAAACAATTTAAAGTCATGAATATATATATATATCCCTAAAAATATATATATACACATATATATGTGAATGATTTTATATATATATGTATATATGTATATACATAATGTAGTAATGATAGGCTTGAAGTGGTTGGGGCTAAAGTTGGATATAGAGAGTACCAATTGTAAAAGGGCATATGGAACTGTGAATGAAAAAGGAAATTGATTGCACACTGCTGCTTTTAAAATGTTAGTAAACATCCTTGATGATAGATTTTATTTTCAGTATTAAATATGCACAAATACAAGACTATAGTGGATCTGTAGCAGAGGGCCAGAAGATGGCCTGGTGAAATGGAGAAAACAGAGGAAACTGCTTTTCCTCAGCTCTGGCAGCTGAACGATTTTGCATGAGTCACTCAATCTGTTTAGGCCTACCTTTCTTATACAGAAAGTCAGGAAACTGAAACAGTTGAACTTTAGAGTCTTTAAAATGCTATTCTCCAAAGTGTGGCAATTGGTGTAAAGATAGAATGTGTAGAGGCTGTGGCTCTGTAGAGAATATGGTCCCTGTTTTATTTTTTAAATTGTTTGGTTTCTGACATTGAAATATGAAGATAAAGGTATTTTATGGTTCCAGACTAATCCATTTCAGCCTAGTCTGGTCAGTGTGTTTGGAATCTACAAGAACACAGGTAACCTGAACCAAGGCTCTTATGGAAGGAACTGAGAGAAGGATCAACCGCTTTTGTAGAGGTACAATAAGAACCCTAGAATCATCTTAGAAAGTAAATGTGTATTACCATGACAGTGAGATGATTTATCCCTGTGGTGTTTATCTGGGATGAATGAAGGTTATCAGAATGGTGCATCACGACTGTCATTCAAAATGTCTCAAAAGTAAGATATCAACATCATCACAACTAGGTATCTTTATCCCCAGGAAATTAAGAAGGGCCATTTAACTCTCTGACTCTAAATAAATAAGAGTGAGAGGAAAAAGTTATTAGCAGGTGGAAAATGTAAAGAAAAATAGAAATAGAAGGCAAACGTTTTCTATGTTTAAAAGACTGTTAGGGCCCAGGGACCTCTTGTCTAGTCTGGAGTTGTTGGTTGAGCTTTAAGACAGAAGCATTAAAGTGGGAAAGTCTGAAATCCCTGAAGAGTCTGGGTGGATATTTCTGTCTTCTGTGACGTATGTGTCTGAGGATAGCATGTGTCTTTTTGGGGAAAAATCAAGAAAATTATGACCAAGCCTAGATTGTAATTGTTCCTTTACATAGTACCTTTTAAAGTTTTTGACTTGATGAAATGAAAAATCAGACAGTAAAAAATACAAAAGTAAGATTATCTGTGAACAGTTTTTAAGAGTTACATGGTCAGTTTTGTGTCCGTCTACCCATTCTGGGTTTACCAGAGCAGAAATTAGTCCTTATTCAGCTAACCTGACTGTTGTACTCATGCATCAACCAGAGAGCTGGGAAAGTTCCTTTCTCTTTAGCTTTCAAGAAAGGATGTCTCTTAAAAGAACAAGAACTAATCAGAAGTGACATCTGCAATTAAGTCAAAATAGGGCATACGATATTATCAGATACGAGTATAGAAAGTTTTTTTTATTTTGTGTGACTTCCCTGAATTTATTTATATTATTAAGTATGAGTACTTAACTGTGTTTCTTAACTTGTTTTATACCTCAGACGTATTTGTTCATCTGTGGTAGCTTATGTATGACCTCTCAGAATAATGTTTTCTTAAGTGCATAAAATAAAATACATAGGATTACAATAGAAACCACGTATATTGAAGTATTGTTTTTAAAGTTTTACAAAACAAAAATTTGAAATTAGGTAGATGTCTTAGGTACCATGATTTTGAAGTAATGATGAATATAGTTACTCTTGCAAAATAGCTGTTAAAACCTCATGTGATGTGAAAATATATGTGAATTCTACTGGTGACAGTCACAAGTTTGGCTAATACTATGGTGACATGTCACTTATCTTTATAATTCAAGGAAACTTAAATTTCCACTGGAGGTAGAGAAAATAAAGTTTCAATATAGTTTTCTATCCAAACAAATGGACTCCCTAAGTTCTACTCTTGATCCCTTTGAGAGTTCAAGGAGCCCAGGTTGAGAACCATTCACTTAGAAAGTTTTTCCAGTCCGTATTCTACAGTTGACTTAACTTTCACAGAAGAAGGGAAAATACATGTGAGCACCCACATTAATATAAGAAATGGAAAATAAATGAATCATAATATTTATTATAATTAGAATACTGGATCTAATTGAAAATAATGATGTGTTTGGGAATACCTTTCTGGCCCTAGCTTTCTCCTTAAGACATAAGAATATCAATATTGTTTGGGTGGAAAATTATTCAAGAAATGTGAACAAATTTTCAGAAAATGAGGATATTTTTAGTGCCCATGATACATAGTTCTTAAGTATTTAATGAATCACAAAAGATTTAGTATAGATTATAGATAGCGGAAGCCAAGATTCAGACATTTATTACCTGGAGTAGACCATTGGCTTACAAAAGACAGATATGGACAAGAACAGAGCAGCCACTGACCTAGGTCCAGATCTGGATGTTCCACTCTGATTTACAGTGTTTTCTTGATTAACAAATCCCTGGGAGGGTTGGGTAGGGGAGGAGACAGGTTTTTTATGACAGTTATTGAGGGGTGAGGGAATTTGCTGCAATGGCAGCCACATGCCTGTTCTCAAAATGGAGCCTGGCCTCCTGGGTTGTGGGGACCACTCTCTGGCCCACCTTCCAGGGCTAGGAGCCAGCCAGGGTGAGGGATTCACCTCTATACTCCTTCCCACTCCTAGGTATATGAGAATGTTGGAGAATTAATGGCTTCATCTGGATGAACATCATGCCTGGAAAACAAACTCATGCCTATGATTTTTTTTTTCTGTTTTAATCTCAGATAATGCAGTTTCTTATAGCAAAGAATGCTGCGAATGCATCTTCCATGTTTATGCAGGTATCACTATGCCTCCCTGGACTGGCTGTGCAAATACCAGAAGAGGTACTGAAGTGAGGTAATGGGTGAGATCTCCAGAATAAAGATTACAGAGGGACTGTGCCTTCTGTTCACATAGAGCCATTTTTAACTAGCTTTCACTGAAAGGGGCTCCAGAGCCTGTAAAACCAAGTGCCAACTTCTCCCTTGCTGCAGAAAACCCTGATTTCTAGGAAAGTGTTTTGGCTGGCCCTGGCTTGTCCATACTTGGGAGGCAATTCACACAGCCCGTGGACCATAGCAAATTAGATTGCTTGTATTTCTGGTACTACCAAATAATGAACAACCTGGTCTCTCTTTAAAGTTGTTCTGTCTATAAAGTGGAGCCTGGCCCTCATGAATGGCTGAAAACAAAGTATCTAATCAACTCTGAGCATAAACGTATGTAACTTCTATTCAAGCCCTTTTCCCAGTTTTATTTTACAGTGCAGGGAAGTGAACTCTGGGGATCTGGGGAGATGAGAGGTTTTGCAGCTCTCCAAAGCAATCCAGTGTCACCATGGGTTATTTCTAAATGGCAAAGGTATAAGGCTTGGTTTGTACAGCCTTTTTAAAAATTATTTGCCAGTGTTATAAGTTGACATTTCAAAATGCTGAAATTTGAAAATAACTTTTTAAAAGTTCTAATTAAGCAGTAATAAGTGGAATTGACATTTTCTACCATTCGCTGAGCAGTTCCCTAGCTAATAACCCCTGTGTATCAAATTCCCAACCCAAAGACATTATATAAATATAGAATGACATTGTGGTACTGGGTAGGAAATTGGGGTCTTAGAGTCCAACTTACTTCCACTCCATTCTTCATACCTCTGCAAAGTGCTATTGATGTTACCCTGCAAAGAAAAAAGGAATTACTCTTTCTTGGAAATTTTGAATTGAAATTGACTTTCTTTAAGCAATCTTAATTTAATTAATATGCACACACTTTTTTTTTTCCAGACAGGGTCTTGCCCTCTCACCCAGGCTAGGTGCAGTTATGTGATCATGGCTCACTGTAGCCTCAAACTCCTGGCTCAAGTGATCCTCCCACCTGAGCCTCACAAGTAGCTGGGACTACAGGCACGTAACACCATGCCCAGCTAATTAAAAATTTTCTTTTTTTATAGAGATGGTGTCTCATTATGTTTCCCATGCTGGTCTCAAACTCCTGGACTTAAACAATCCTCCTGCCTCGGCCTCCCAAAGTGATGGGATTATAGGCATGAGACACCGTGTTTGATGAGCACAACACTGTTGACTCTGATTCATTTAGCATCCCTTGTAACACTCCAGCTATTTTATGTAGTGTGAAAAGTAAAAATTCCTATTTTGGAATTTAAGAACTATAGGCACATAGGCTGACCCAAAAGAAGGAAAGCTTTATGATGGAGTAATTTAGGATTATGATGGAATTGCAGACCCGTGGTGATGCGGGGAGGGGTCAGTGGACAGGACCATGGTGACCTTCCTTCATCTTGACCAGAATAGAGCCAGTTTATACTTGTTGTCATGGTCTTTCTTTTCTCAGAAGGTTACTCATTTGGATGATAAAATAGATGGTCACCCTATTTAATTGCCTATGAATTCCATGGTTACTCAAGATATAATGTAAACAACACTGGAGGTAGAATAAAAATATCTGGCTTCAATTCAAGTCTGTGAGGAATATTGGGTAGTTTGCTTCACTTCGTTGTGGCTTTTTCCTTATCTGTAAGATGGGGATAACCTCTGTAGAGTTAAGTAGAATTCTGGACTACTCCATGAAGTAGGAATTATCATCCCCATATTATGATGCTCTTGCAGGGTTATTTTTTTTTAAATACCCTGCAAGAGCACCATAGCAATGCTTAGCAAGTATGGATGCAAGACGTTTTAGTCTAGTCTGAATTTACTGCCAATAATTGGGTCTCTAAGTAGTTGATATGTTGAATCATCTGATGTTTTGTGGAAAATACAAGTTGCTAACTCCCCTTCACTGGGCGCCTCAGATCAGAGTGTCATTCATGTTAACCAGTTTTGGGGACCCAAACTTCTGTTAGAAGAGGTATGGTCATTCCTGACTCTGATCCTGAGAGGGTTTGGTGCAGGCATTACAATATGCAGAGATTGGAGAATCATTTGCAAAGGGAATGTGAGGTTGGGTGTAAAGATTCTGAGATTACCTGGGACAGAGGTCTGGGCTGAAGGACAGGATAAACAGCAAGTTACTTTTTGTTGTTCCCACTTTACACAGTAGATATGTGTCAATAAATATTTGAAAGTAAAATTTTACATTATTCATTCATTTCTCCACTCAAATTTTGCTCATCTTTTTTTCCTAAAAGGGTGACAGAGTAGTTTAATTGACAGAACAAAGGGCTGGGAGACCCAATTTTAGATTTGCACTAATTCCCATTTTGACTGTGGGTACATCCCTTGAAATTTCTAAAATTCTTTTCATTTTCAATGATTAGGAATGTTGGATTAAAAAAATACACTATAGCTAATATATTTGACTTTAGACTTTAATGAGTCTTTCATTCATGCAACAAGTGCTTATTGAACGCCTGTTCAATAAATGCCTATATGCCACACACATTCCAGCTACCAATAAATCAGAAGTGAACAAAATAAATATAGTACCTGCCTCCAAGGAATGGTCAGTCTGCGTATCCTGAGCTGTATGTTCTAACCATTTCTGAAAGATTGGTGATATGGTTTGGCTGTGTGTTTCCACCCAAATCTCATCTTGAATTGTGGTTCCCATAATCACCACATGTCATGGGAGGGACCTGATGGGAGGGACCCAGTGGAAGGCAATTGAATCCTCGGAGCGGGTTTTTTGTGTGCTGGTCTCATGATAGTGAATAAGTCTCACAAGATCTGATGGTTGTGTAAAGGGCAGTTCTCCTGCACATGCTTTCTTGCCTGCCACCATGTAAGATGTGCCTTTGCTCCTCCTTCACCTTCCACCATGATTTTGAGGCCTCCCCAGCCATGTGGAACTGTGAGTCCATTAAACCTCTTTCCTTTATAAATCATCCACTCTTGGGTATGACCTTATAGCAGCATGAGAATGGACTAACACAATTGGCATCTCTCATCTTGTACATTAACAGGAAATAGTATTTCAGGTTTCTTCTTCTAATTGTATTTAACCATTCTAAATCTTTTAGAATTTAAATCTAAATTCTAATTCTAATTTAACCATTTCTAAATCTTTAAATCTAATAAATTTCTGGTTTCAACTTAAGCTATTTTATTTCTACTTTTCCTCAGTGGGAAGGGAGAAAATCTATTCTCCTGATTATTTGAATGTCCTTTGTGTTATTAAAAATCTGTGTTAGTCTTTCCAAGGCACTGTGTAAATAATACCATGTAGTTTAAGTTTCATCATGAACTCAACTATTAGCTTACATCTTAATTTCTTTTATGCTAGTATAAACTGTTTTATAAATTTTAATGTCTGAGGCTGATTTTATAAGTGCTATATTATAACATTAGCAAGATGGTTCCCACTAGGATGAGAAATTGTGTGAAACTGATAAGTCAAGAATTTCATGTGGTGGAGAGGACAGGGAAGTAGGCAGGGGAAGGGGCAGTTATGTTGCTCCTGCTGGGAGGTTGGTTACCATTGGGCTTATCATGTGAGGATCTTGTTGATAGGAAGGACTAAACATGGAACAGATTCTCACCTAAACACTCAGGCCTCTTCTCATGACTTGTAGGCAGCTTCCTTCTTGCTGTGTGCTCACAAGACCTCTTCTTTACAGACACACACACTCAAGTGCAAAGAGAGAGAGAGAGAGAGCAAGCTCTGATGTCTCTTCATCTTTTATAAGGACATCAGTCCTGTTGGGTGAGGGCTCTACTCTCATGATTTCTAATTGTAATCACCTCTTTAAATGCCCTATACTTAATATAGTCCCACTGGGGGTTGGGGCTCCAATCTATGAATTTTGGGGAAACACAATTTAGTCCTGTGTTAGTCCATTCTCACACTGCTAATAAAGACATACCAGAGACTGGGTAATTTATAAAGGAAAGAGGTTTAATTGACTCACAGTTCCACAGGGCTGGGGAGGCCTCAGGAAACTTACAATCACGGCAGGGGAAGCAAACATGTCCTTCACATGGCGGCAGCAGGGAGAAGTGCAGAGTGAAGAAGGGGAGGAGCCCTTTACAAAACCATCAGATCTTGTGAGAACTCACTCACTATCATGAGAGCAGCATGGAGGTAATCAACCCCCATCAATTACCTCCAACTGGGTTCCTCCCACGACACATGGGGATTATGGGGACTACAGTTCAAGATGAGATTTGGGTGGGGACACAGCAAACCACATCAAGTCCATAGCAATATGGCTTAATGTGAGAGCATATATCACATTTTTGGTTTGAGAATATGGTATAAAGCAACTCTTCCTAAAATTTCATTAGTAATCATGATAACTCTTACTGGATATAGATGTGAGATATTCCTATATTATACAACACTGAAAGACACCAACTTGAAATGGTTTGATTTAATTATACCATTTATATTTTGTATATTATATCTTGTATTTACATGCAATATAACTTGACATAAAAAATTTGAAGACACACGCACACACATACACACACACACTTTGAAAACTATCCATGAATCACATTCCTTCAAATCTGGGAGCTGAGTAGGTTGACCACAGGTAGCATTATGCTAGCCCATGAGCTAGCACCACTCTGGCTGGTAAGCAAAAATATTGGAAATAAAAGTATCCCATGAACCACACTTGACTTTGTAGCCTGAAAACATTCCTGAATGATTGTGTAACTGTTATTATATTGTACTGTTATCTTTCTGTTCAGTGCTCTTACAATTTATAATTGTTTGTATATACCATAACAATGGCTCAGAACTCATTGAGTGGTAGTGTTGTTAAACATGCCCCCAAATCAAGAGCCACAGAATGAAATTAGATGTAATAAACTGTGTAAAGGGTCAAAGTTTTATGGTTTTATGGGGCATGTATTCATGTGTAATTTTATACTATTTGGTATACATAAAATGTATATTTAAAAATGAAATTAAATGGCAATTGTGCTAGATTTATGAAGTCTTGGGTTGCATCCCCTTGCCTTACAATTTATTACAATAGAAAAATTAGTGTTGAATTATGTGAGTTTTGAAAAATGCATGGTGTTTATCAACCTATTCCTCAAACAAAATGTGACCGCTTTGTGCGTACTACAACTAAGCATCAATAGCTTGTTAACCTAGAGACAAGGTGGGGGGAAGTCATTCTGCTTTCCATGAAACGTGCACTTCTGCCTGTTCAGAATTTACATCTCTGTGATTATTTAAATAATCTGTAACTGAAAAATTGTGTCCATTTCCTTGAATTAGCACCAGGATGAAACTGACTTAATAATATCAGGAATACTAGACCCAAAGGAAAGTCGTCTTTAGCTTTGACTGAGTTTTCATGCTAAAGTCAGCTTTTCCCAAAATTATTTGATATGTGAAGCACACCTCCACCCAGAATCACTAATGTGCAATTTTGTCAGGAAGCAAGATGATAAGCAGGATGATCTGATGTCCTTTGCAGTCTGATAAATGTAGGTAATTGTTGGCAGTTCATAATGTAGCTATGTTAGATTTTGTCTTTTCGTTGAGCCCAGCTTCTCTGCACTAATCAACTATCTCAGCCACTTGGAGAATCAGCTGATAAACCTTGTTGGTCTCTAGCTCTCTGTATACAATCCCTTCCTTCCAACAAGACTTATCAGAATGCAGCCAAGGGCAACCAAACTGTCCTTTGGTCAGCCGTGAGAGCTTAGACGTACCTGGTTATCTGTCCAGTGGTCTAATTCTTTTCCCCAGATTCCACTCCCAATTTGTCTCTTTATATACCCATTCCTTGTAAAAGAGGCAGAGACACCACAGTGTGCTCTGTCTCTTTGCACTTGAGTGTGTGTGTGCACAAAGAGGTCATGTGAGCACACAAGGAGGAGGAGGCTGCCCATGAGCCAAGAGACTGAGGACTCAGAAGGGAACCTACTTTGCTGGCACTTTGATCTTAGTCTCTGAGATGCCAGGACTGTGAGAAATAATTTCTATTGTTTAAGCCATCCAGTCTATGGGATTTTATTATGGCAGCCCAAGCAGGCTAATAGACCTATTATTCTTTAAAATGGAATATGTTTATTTCAGTTTTGATTTTTTCTAAGTTATCATTAGTGATTATACACATTCAATTGTCTCTTTTAATTTGAAACCTATTATTTTAATTTAATTAAATTTAAAAAGTTGGATTATGAATTACCTTCACTTCTGAAAATTAGACCATTCATGTTGACCAAGCTTAGTGTTATGAGGATTCATTCAGTCACTCATTTAGAAGTAATGCTGAGGGTATATAAAGAGTTGTGCTGGGCATCTGGAAGAAGAAAGTTAAAGAATTAATGGTCCCTGTCCTCAACAAAATTGTCTGTTGAGTGACAGAGAAAAGAAATGCACATATAACAAGACTACAAGGCAGACTGGAGACTGGGAAAAAAAAGGAAGCTTGAAACGATGGAGCTCAATGTCATACCCTCTCTCTTTGCACTGTGTCTCCATCAGCCTTTCATTTGCTTGCCAGGACCCAGATCTTTCCCTCCTCACAGAGTTCATATATGCTTTTCCTTCCCTGGAATGTTCTTCTCCACCCCTTCACCTACCAACTTTCAGAGCTCAACTCAAGTACCGTTTCTTCCAAGTCTTTAGGAAGTTTCCCTGAAATGCCTGGTTATGGCAGAGTCTCTCTGGTCTATGCTATTGAGTAATTAGGTTTCTGGTACTTATCACAGTTTCCAGTGACAGTTTGGTAAATGTTTAACAGCTGGCTCTATGGGGGGAAGAAAAGTGCCCTGGTGTATAGAGTTTGCTGATTTTGGTGGTGTAAATACTCCCAGCATGGTGATTTCAAGCTGCCAGTGTGATGATATTGAATGTCGAGTTGGAAAGAGAGGCTCAGTAGCAAGCCATTACATAGCATTTACACCATACAGATGCAAATATGTGTGTGAAGAATCCCAAGAGCACAGAAATAGTAAAATAGGAAGTGGTAAGCTTTAAGTTTCTCATATAATTAATTTAAAATTTATATAATTTAATTTTAATATGACTATTTAATGACCGGGTTGTGCAAAATTCCTGCTTTCACTAGCAGCTCAACCAGTAGGAGCTGGCTCCAGCACATCACTGACAATCACACAGTTACAGGTGTAATCAATTATTCAATGCCTGTATTCCCCATGAGTATGTAAGCTCCTAAAGGCAGGGACTGTTCTTGCCTTGCTGTATCAGTGAGTTTTGGGTTGGGACAACAGAAGCCACTTAGATATTCTGAATGGAAAGGGGCTCATACAAGGAACTAGAAACTTACACTACTTTGGAAGGTCATGGATGCAAGTGCTTGGGAGAAGGTGACATGTAGGAATTTACGCAGAAGCTGTCTGAGAGAATCTCCCAATCTCAGTGGGAATTTCATCTGCTGATCTTAGCAATTCTCAAGAACTAGACTTCTGCTATGAGTCTCCTTGCAACTGCTGCCAGAGAAGTCCAAATCCCACATGGACACCTCTCATTGGATAACTCTAAACTGACACCATATGGGATGGGCATCCTAAAGACTTGTTTCAGGGCTCTCTGCATTTCCTAGAATCTTTACAAGGGCAGAGATGCTACCAAAGGGATGATAGACAATCTGCTTCTGGCTCACTAACATTAGCACCAGCACTTAGAATAGTGTCTTACAAATATGAGATACTTAGTACATCTTGGTTGAATGATTGAAGCCAAGGTATTTATTTAAAGTCTGTAACACAGCCATTGTAAAGAGTAATAGCCTTTAAAGCAAAAGATTTTTTTGGGCATCTCACTAAATCATCCTGACCTAGTACATGTGGCAGTTCAGATAAGTCTGACTTAAGAAATAGTATTCTGAAAGTTAATGTATAACTTGCTTGGAATTCAAAACATATTTCTGCATAATAACAATGATATAAATGGTAGTGAGGTCTCTAGACTGGTCCATAAAAAGCCATTTCACTCACGACTGTGCTGAAATATAACACTAATAACATAATAGCTCACAACCTTTTAAAATATTCTGTGAGAGAAAATGCATTTCAAGTCCCAATTCTGGTGCTAGAGCCCCATTTTTTGCTTTTTCCTCTCTGGTGATGAGTATAGGAATTCCTCCTCCCCAATTCCTGTTTAGAATTTGAGCAAGGGGAATAGAAACTTCTTGATGTATTCTCAGTTTTAGTCATAACAGAGGAAGTTAAGTTTTGAGTACCCCAATAGTAGTAGATGGAAAATTCTGGGTGGGGGAGAAAGTTCCAGTAGCTATAATGCAAAAGAAGTAAATTCTATGTAAGGGATATTGCTAGTGCTTTATATTAGGGTTTTTTGCATTGTGCTTATTTAATTAAAGTCAGAGTTTTCATTGCAATAGACTATAAGCTATACAGTTAAAATTAAATTGGAACAAGCTATATTAAAATTTACATTGAGATATTCTTTAGTAGGTCTTACCAGGTGAGTGAACCATACCTTGGGGATATTAACTCTGGCAGTTCTTAAAGGAATCACTTAGTAAATTACTGCTACAGTGAGCCAAAAAAATACCCTAAAGAATACTAAGTGCGTGAAGCTTCTGCAGGAGGGATCATGTCTTATTCATTGTGTTATCCTTCAAGAGTTAGCACTAAGTCTAACAAACAAGGATACAATGAATGTCAAATGAAATCATGCAGCTTTTTCAAACAGCTAAATTTAGAAAAGGAATCCTACACTAAAATAATAGAATTGAATCTAAAGATCCACGTAATATTTCATTAGAAAGACTAAGAATGATAGGAAAATTGATATACAGTTAAGGGGAGCTAGAGTTTCTAAGTCCTTAGTGCTGCTCGCCAAATAATGCAAGTTCTTGGCCTTCTGGGTAGGATGGCCCTTCCTGATGCTTCATGATGAGGTAGGGCTATGGCTAGTTCTGACCAATGAATCATTGATAAAAAATAATGCTTGTAGATAATTCTTATAGTCCAGGGCATTTAATTGCTAGTTTGAGATGCTAGGACATTTTTCCCTCTTGACTGTGTGACTGGCAGAGTTTCAGATACTGACTGCTTCATCAGCTTGGGTCCCACGTGATGGCTGGTGGCAAAAATGAGAAGTCAGTAGGGTAAGCATATAATTTTTCATTCCAACCAGACCACTTTTGAGACTAAGAGGAGGCTGAGACAACAGGTATAAACCAGAACTGTTGTGAGAGTAAACAGGGATGTGTAGTCACTTAGAACTGAATCTTTGTTCCTTTAAGCTACTGAGGCTTGGAGTTGTTTGTTGCTGATGCATAACCTCTTTAGACTGATAACTGGAGTCACTGCCAGAACTGAAGGTGACATTCTCTTTCTGGATTGCTTTTCATTGAGTGTGCAAGTATCGGTTAGGTTTCAAATAACAGAAACTCAACTGAAATTAGTTGAGGCAAAACCAAAGGAAGTTAGCAGCACCTGGAGTCTAACAAAGAGTTAAAAAGTAAGACAATGAGAAGGCATGGAAAGAGCTGAGCCTCAGGAACAATGATTTTGGGAACCAAACCCTGCCAGGCCCTTCCTTTCTACCTTCTGACTCTATGTCTTTCTGTGTGGCTTCCCTCCCTTCCTTCCTTCTTCCCTCCCTCCCTCCCTCCCTCCCTTCCTTCCTTCCTCCCTCCCTCCCTCCCCTCCTCCTCCCCCCTCCCTTCTCCTTCTCTCTCTCTCTTTCTCTTTCTCTCTTTTCTTTTCTTTATTTGATTCTTTCTTTCTTTCAGACAGGGTTTTGCTCTGTCCCCCAGGCTGTAGTGCAGTGGCATGATCATGGCTCGCTGCAACCTCAAACTCCCGCTCTTTCTTATTAAGGCCAACTTTTTTGCACAGTGGTATAAAATATGGCCACTAGCAGCTCCTGAATTCCAAAGTTCTGACTGTTTCCATCATCAAAGAAGGACAGACTTACACATGTTCTCTGAATCCAGTTTCAGAACTCCCAGGCAGAGATTTCTGTTGGGCATAAGCTTGGAAAAATGTCAACCTTTTAACCAACCAGCTGAGGCCAGGAGGTTGAGCCCTGTAGGACCAAGGCAGTTTCCCTAGGAGCTGCATTAGACTAGGGAGAGGATCACCTTCAAGAAGAAGGTGAGTGGGGTGCTAGGAAGACAAGAACCATAGGTAGTTACTCCATGTGTGTCTATAATGTGTGCAGACACCATTAATAAGGTAGTTGGGTGGAACTTTTCTTGAGTTATTGCTGGAATTTGGAAACATGTATAACATTCTTTCCTCTATATTTTCTTTGGTGATTTCTTTTGGATAAAAGTCTCACATTTGGAAACAGCTAGCTGGAAAATGATGAGTTGTGGGGACAAGGGACTAAGTAAAGCTAACTGACCCACCTGAGCATTGAACCAGAAATGCTGCTCTCCATAGAATTATATTCTAATCAACCAAGCGAAGCTGTGGGAACATAAATGACATCATGACATTGAAAGTGACTTTTTAAAGCTGACCATAAAATTCCATTATCAGTGATTAGCTAACTTAGTCCTTCACACACACACACACACACACACACACACACACACACACACACACACACACACACTGAAGAATTAGATGACATCAACTGAAGCCTGCCTTCAAGGTTAGATAGTGGGGCCTATGATTCTGTTGCAGGCTTCAGCGCTGGGTTTATTTCCTAGTGCCTCCTCTCCAGCCACACCTTAGCACAGTGTTTCACTCATTTTCAGCGTAAATCTTGGGAGTAAAAAAACCTCCTCCCAACAAGGTTACCAGCCAAAGTCTCCTACAGCTCTGAAGATACCTATGATGAAGGGTTGTGTTGTGATGAAAATAATTGCTTTAGTTAGCCATTAAACAGCCTTCAGGGTCAACATGACGATGGGTTCCTTTCCATGTTTGATTTAGTAGAAGCAGTTAATGGTTTTGTTTTTATTATCTTTACCCCCTGCTTCAGAATTATTTACTTAGCACATGGAAGGCAACAGATATTTGTTATTATAAAATCAATTTCATGCCTGACTAGACCATCTCTTCCACCTTTGTCATTACTCTTTGAGCTTTGGGTGTTATCATGGGTTCATTTATGTTTATACAACTAGATGGCAATGGGCCCTACCAATAATTATTTGGGGAATTTGAGTCATACAGCAACCGGCAGTGCATTTTCATTCTCATTTTCAGAGAATTTCCATGTATTCATTTTTTCCCCATTTCTATAGAAATTTCTAATCACAATAGAACAATGTTTCCAAAGTCATGGTATCACAACATACTTTCTCCAGTTACCTACATGATATTAAGAATGAATTATGTATCTAGGGTAAAAATGCAATATGAAAAAGTAGTAAAACACACATCCATAAGCTATCATTTTGGTTTAAAGCATTCTTCTTTGAAATCTTTGTTTCCTCAAGTTGTGTTCCTTTGTTTTTCACAGCTTTTATGCAAGGCTCAAGGTGACAATAAAGACTTTTCTGAAATGTCAGTAGCTGTGAAATTAAATAATCCAAATGCCAGTACCATTCTTCTTCTCTCTGTCTCTCTTTTTTTTTTTTTTTGGTGGTGGTGGTTCTGAATTAATTTCCAAAGCTTACATAAAATTCTGTGTGCAAAGCCTCTCCATGCCTGTTAAGCACAGCCTGGGTGTAGAGTTGTGGGTATGGGGCAGGAGTTAGTCGGCCTGGTTCCATTAGGACTTGCCCTCTGTTCCCATCATGCCTTGCCTCTCCCATATGCCTTACCATTCCCATCATGCCTTGCCATTCCCAGCATGCCTTGCCATTCCCAGCATGCCTTGATAGCCTCTGACTGCCCTTTGTTGCTGGTGTGGAGGTTTTGCCAGTCAGTGCAGTTTCACTAGGAGTCAGAAGTAAATTTACTATCCCGCTTGTCTAAGCAGCCCACCATTTTTCCACTGAGGCAGGATTCCTGCCTTGTTCCTCCCTCCAGCCCTGTCTTCTGTTCTGTGGAACTGGACCCAAGACATTACCCTGACTGATACCCAACAGACCAGTTATCTGGAGCATAATGCCATTCTCTGATGCCATCACCTAATCTTTCCTTTTGACTTTGACCTTCAATACCCTGCAAACATTTTTTGAGCAAGTCCCCAAACCTGACTGGGAGCACTAGCTCAGGTTCTTATTGGCTGTGTGATGCTCAGCAAGTTGGACAAATTCTGAAACTCAGTTTCTTTATTTTGGAAAGAGGACCAGTATAAATAGTCACCTGTATGTAGCTCACAATTGTTCTAAAGATTCAATACAGTAAAGCATGTGAAAGTATCTTGCACATATTGCTATACAGGTTAACTATTTTATTTCATTGGATTTCTGTTGAAATATAAGCTCTATAATCTTTATTAGCTAATCTCTCCTAGAGAATTCTTTGCTGGTGTTGTAGTTTAATGTTTGGCATAGGTTATGTGGAAGATTCTTAGACTTTTAAGTGTGCCAGAATCATCTGGGGTGATTTATAGAGATGGGTCCATGCCCACAGATTCTGGCTTTAGGTTTACCATAAGGCTCAGGAACCTGCATTTTGAAAAGCACCATGTATTAGTTTGCTTTGGCCACGCTACCAAGATACTGCAAGCTGGTGACTTAAACAACAGTCTTGCAGTTCTGGAGGCTAGAACTCCCTTCATGCTCTTGTTGGATAAATACTGCCAAGAGAGTAGATTTACTCACTATTCAGTTCTCTGTCCATGAAATCCTCACAACTGGAAAGAATGAAATGTTTATGCACAGGCCCAGTCCTGCTTCAGCCTGGGACAGATTCCACCACTCTTGCCAAAGTCCCTGTTTGGACATATTCAAAAATAAGTTGTTTTCTTTCTGGGATGCCCTTCCTGTATCTTGCTAAATATACTTTCTCCATATTTCAAGTTCCATCCAAGTCCATGTACCCAGTGAAGGATTCCTTGAATAGCACAGTCTTCATGGATCTAGCTTACCTGTGACGTTATGGTTGAATTTTACCCTCTGTCTTTGTCTTGTGTCATTTACTGTATTATAAATTGGTTGCAACCAGAGATTATGTGTTATGTTCTGGTATTTCTCACCACTTCTATTATAATGTGGAGACCTAGCAGGTGTACAGTCGATACCACTGTCTTATTTAAGAGCTATATGAAGGCAGAGACAAAGATTAGAGCTTCTGTGCTACTAAGTAAGAATTTTTGAAAAATACAAGTCAATTTCTTTATTTATTCAGAAAGGTGATAGATTTTCCAAATATCCTTGTCAAAGGTTGATAGTTGAGGATATTGTACTAATTACATGGAATATATGCATTCATTAAAATTATAACTATGATGATTATATATCAACATGAAAATGTCACAAATTCTTTTTTAATTTTTAAGTGAGTAAAACATCATAAAATTATATTTATACTACAATTACCGCTATGAAAAAGCATGAATAAAGGCTGGGAGAGAACACAGATATGAAAATAGTTATATTTGGGTGATAGGCTAATGAACAAATTATTTTCTATTTTTAATACTACAGTACTGCTTTCATGAAAATCATGGGAAACATAACAGTGACAGACAGTTTGGATTGTTGTCAGCTATGGGAAAAATATTCAGTTTTTGGGAATGGAAAATGACATGAGCTATACAGAGATTTCAGCAGTCTTCAGTGCATGAGCTAATTCTGACAGCATTGTGCATTAAGTTTTAGCTTAACTAATAATGAGGACTCCGTTAATACAGGAGGTATTTTAAAGACATGGCTGACATGGCTAACCTGTCTTAGGAGAGCCATCTTGGAAACTTGCTATTTATCTATACTTATTGTAAGGTCGATATTTCAATTTCCTCCCAGGAGTAGAACTGCCAGTAGGATATCTGAAATTCAAGACCTATGACAATCAATACCTTAAACTTCTTGTACTCAAAATCCACATACAAGCGCTTTTTGGGACTGTCTTGCATTTTGTTTGTGTGGCAAGAAACAGTTTCTGGTCTTTGAATCATCATGTCCTTTTCCAGCATAATATCCTGTGGGGTTTTCATCAGGGAAGAAAGGCAGCACACCGGAGTAAGATTTTGCTATGATTATCTCATCATCTCTTTTCATTTGCAGTGCCACTGGCAAAACTCTTTTTTAAAGAAGGGTTCAGCAAAATGATTGGCACTCGGTAAGTGGCTGATATTGAATAGGAAAAGCCAAGAGCTAATTTGAAGTCTTTATATAATGTTCTTTGTTTAAAAAATTGAAGAGAAAAAATCCAAAATTAGAAGACTAAGAACTAGAGCAGTCTTGCACCATACTGTTTTAATTGGCTGTTGCTCATGAGAAGAATCAATAATTTCTTTTGAAGTTTCGCATCAACTGCTTAATTTTGATCAAGTCTTATAATTAATCAGGTGTGAATAAAATGAATCAGCTATAATTTTAACCATGTTTTCTTAAAAAATAACTACAATGATATAAGTAATGGGTTATCTAACCTTATTCAAGGTTTTATAAATGATTTGAGCAGTATTTTAGAGGAACTACAACTTATCAATTAACTCATGAGTTTTGGCAATCACATTTTCAATATCTTTTAAGAACAAATTTATTGAAATGTTAATGTAATTTTGTGTTCTTCAGGTATTATACCTGTTTTATTTTAACCATCAAGTAGTAATATAATTCCTGCTGAATTTCCAACACTGTGTCAGCCCTCATGGAGGCAGAACAATGAGTGAACAATGAGCAGCCCAGGTTACGGACTTCATCCTCAAAGATCTTATAATATAAATGGAGGAACAGATAATACATTAAACCATCAGAGAGTAATTGACTTTCAATGTATCATTTTAATTGTATATAAATAAAGTAATTTCAGAAAAGGAAGAAAGCTTGAATAGCCAAAGTTCACACAGATGGTGAATGTCACAAACAGAAGTCAAATCCAGGCAATCAGAACCCAGAGTTTTTTCCTTTAATCATTATGCTAATGCTGTCTCTCCACATACTTACATTAATGATTACATTGAATTTGTTTACTCATATATTTATTGAACACATACTATACGCTGGGTACGGTGTATATTTTGGTAAACAAGGTATATATGGTCTCTAGCATTGTGGAGTTTATAGTTGAGGACTAGGAGAATATAGACGTTAAACAAATAGCTATATAAATTATAAGTGATACGAAGGAGCAAGTTTCAGAGTGTTAGAAGCACTCAACAGGAACATCTAATCTTGTCTCGAGAGGCTAGAAAAAGGTTGATTGCAGAAAGAAAACTGCCAAATTAAGAACTAAGAGCTGAGTAGAATTTATCTAGACCCCAACCATGGCCATTCTTATTAAAGAATCCTGCTGCTTCTGTTAGCTGCTCATCTACTTTCTTACCTGCTCTATTTCCCTTTCTTCTTTCTTACCTTCTTTATCTCAGAACTGCTCTTTTGTCTTTTGCACATCACATAAAAGAGTAGTCATTAGCATTCAGTCAACCTGCTTCTTTAATTCTGTATTGGGAGTAATTTGGCAATGTTTGGAGATTCTGAATTGCACCTATAGTTTGGTGTTCAGAGGTTTCTTCTCAGTGTCACCTCATAAAACTATATTTTTTGCTACTTTAATTTTATCTTTTAAGATTGTTAATATTTTTACAAGATATCTAATCATTTTGTATAAAAAATGGCAAGGGACTACAACTCCCTAAAGCGTTTGAATTTTTGCTCCTGTGGCTTCAACTGTATGTGGACATAGCTTCTGGGTTTGTCAGCCCTTTGCCTTGGTGTCCTCAATCAGTAGCTTGGCAACATATTACACTGGCAGGTTCTTATTGTCTGTCAACATAAAGCTTGCTTTGTGTACAGTATTAGCTCCTGGATGGTTCTGCAAAAGCGATGTGTCACTGAAATTTTCTTTTTTGACAAGTCTCTTACCTGGTGGTTAATAGCTGCGATGAAATATTTTTTCTTCAAGAAATGAGCCATTTCTTCTTGGCCATATGTTCTAGTCTTTGATGATATATTTGCCAAAAAATTGCCAATGAAACCTTCTTTTTTTCTGTCCATTAAAAAAAAATCTACCATTTCTCCATTCTACGTTTATTATTTCTATCAGCAAAGTGATATGTAACTGCAGCCTCTCAGGTATTATACTGTAAACCAATTGAGTGATTGCCTTCAATGTGAGGGACCCAGTGTAGAGAAAGAAGAGGTGACAAATTCAGGATGTATTCCATTCAGCAATAAATGAAATAGAAAAGTAGATTTTTTTCTAAATTGTTTGAACAATCAGAGAGTTCAGACTCCCCGAAGAGAGTATATATTTTGTAATCAATATAAAATGAGTTATGTTTTTGTCCCTCTTGAGCTACATAACACAAAACCTGCTGGATGTATTTACAGTTGCAGAGAAATCTAGAAGATAGGTCTAGTGTAGTCTGTCTTAAAAGAGCTTTGTGGCCTGTGCAAAATTCATGAAGATGTACCTCAACATGATAGCCATTTTCTGGCACAACAGTTAATATTGCAACAGAATAAGAGAAGTACATGTGACAGAGAGACAAACCACACATACAAAGACACCATATCTTTGTAAAACAAATGCTAATTTCAATGTAAGATTCAAGTCAAAGTAACAACAGGGGCTGTGAATTGTAGATACTGGTTTTTCGTATCCTGCTTCTCTTAAGGGCAGCTCTTTTTAGCATACTCCCATGCAGCAACAGAAATTTGTATCTTTTTTTTCTTTTTTGAGATGGAGTCTCGCTCTATCACTAGGCTGGAGTGCAGTGGCACAATCTCGGCTCACTGCAACCTCTGCCTCCTGGTTCAAGCGATTCTCCTGCCCTAGCCTCCTGAGTACCTGGGACTACAGGTGCGCGCCACCACACCCAGCTAATTTTTATATTTTTAGTAGAGACGGGGTTTTACCATGTTGGCCAGGATGGTCTTGATCTCTTGACCTCGTGATCTGCCCACCTCAGCCTCCCAAAGTGCTGTGATTACAGGCGTGAGCCACCGCGCCTAGCCCAGAAATTTTTATCTTTAAGAATAGTTGATTGCTTTGAGCTCTGTAAAGAAAATCAGCCAGTTTCTCATAAATGTGAGTATTGTTAACAAGAAAACTAGAAACAACTGTGCATGCTTTTTTTGGTATCAACAAAATAGGTAAAATTGCAGTAAGAATGATTCAGACAACTGTGAGGAGAAAGACTAGTAGTACAGGTAATGCCTCTCTAGCACTACAATAGAATATTGAGGGCTATTGTGGGATTTTTGTCCTAATGGCTTTAAAAATAGCCATACTGTCACCAGTCTGAAGTGGTTAACTTGCCTGCATTCAGAAGTATTTACTAGACATCTTGAAATTACTGGAAATGTTTTTGCACTGGGACTTGAATTATCGTTCTGGTTCTAGTACTAATTTGTTCTATGGTCATAGGCATATTTCCAAAAAGAGAAAATGAAGGAGTTATGTTGGATACTCTTTGAGGTTACTTAGAGCTGTGAATTCTTTCAGACTTCCCTCATGAAACATTAGGTAACCGCAGTCTTCATATTTTGCACGACTGTCTGTCATCCTCATGGCAAGATTACTTGTAGTCAATGCTACAGGAAAAGCTCAAGAGATCTGTAATAAGAATTTTTCAGTGGGTCCACTTGGTGACATAGCTGGACTTAAGAGCACTGGTCATGATAATACTTATGTAAAGTTCTGTACTTATGTGAATTCTCTGAATTTTATAAGTCCTGTTGATAGGTTAACTTCTGTTGTATTTTAATCTTCTGATTCTTCTCAGTAACTATTCTAAACTTTTCAAAATGCCTTCACATCTAATGTACCTTCTTTGGTCTGCAAAATAAGCCTGGGAAGAGGGTACGTCATGAGTCCTCTCCCTCAGCCCAGTCATGCAAAGATGTGAGAATGTTGGAATGGAGGTGGAAGAAGGGGGTGACTCTTCTGGAGTCGGTATCCCATGAAAGAGAGAGAAGTCAGTAGCCAGGAAGTCTGGTCAAAGTCAGTGGCTGGGAGGAGTCCAGCTAGATGTGCATTGGCAGAAGCATGACCTTTCACCAGGTGAAGGTCAACATCCAAGGGGTGAAGGAATAGTGAAGTAGGTGCGGAGCAGACAAGATGTTTCAGGAGACACATCCATGTGTATTGAATTCCCATGCAGAGTAGAGGAAGAGCTGGGTATACTCAGTAACCAATGAGGAACGTATGTGGGTCAGTGGGGTAAATGGCCTTACCCAAAGTTGTTCTGTCCTCATGCCATGGGATGCCAGGAATTAAACCTACATCTTTGGCGTACAATATCTCATTAAAATATTTAGTTTATTCTATTTCTAAATACAATATTTAGTTTCTTCTCCACCCTCTCATTGTCAGGATTAGGGTACTCCAAGTATGTTGAATAATATGTAAGTTCTTAGGTAGAATTTTTACACTGTCTCATGATGCAGTAACCTGAAAGCAAATTTGTGAAACAATATCCTGGTCAGGAGGTGTATCATGAAAACCCGAGGCTGCATATTTCCTCAGTAAGGTTGCTTTCCTTGCAAGCAGAGTTTTAGAATTCAGGGTTTACTCAAAGGGCTGTTGTGATCATGAATTTTTAAAATCAGTTATTGTTTAATGTAAAATAGCAAATAAGGAATACAAGCCTGGTTACCTAAGAGCAACATTGTTAGCTGGAAAACCCATTCACTCTACAGCTGTCCCCAGTTCCAAAAGTCCCTGATGAGTAACCTGGCTGACATCTCTTGAATATCTCTCCCTCACTGTACTCCAAGCATCTGCTATCCCAGACTCAATGTTTGTTTCTGTCATTTCAGATACGTTGATGATGGTGATGCAGAGTGTTTATTTTTCTTTGCAGAAAAATGCAAGCAAATGTTTGATCTATAAGTTCATTTATTTGTATATTTGTTTCATTATTACCTTTCCCCTTCTAAGTAATAAAGTATTCTTTATCATCCACCTGGATTAAATCATTGTTGTTCTTGCTTAGTAACTCTACAAGCTGCTAAGTAAGTCCTTTCCAGTTCTCCATCCCAGCAAAAGCTGTTATTTATGACTGCAAAGATTATTTTCATGCTAATGAGGTTGTTTCCTCATTTTTGAAAATGTTTATCATGTAATATTTGAACATATAAACTGTATGTAACATCATCCTAACAGGAACACCTGTGAATCCCCCCTTCCATTAGGAACTGGAACAATTCTGTTGCATCTGTCTTGTCCTCCTCCTCTACTTCATCTCTGTGCACCCCTACCCCTAGAGGGAATAGTGTCCTAAATTGCCTTTTAATATATAGTTTTGTCACCTACACCTGAATGACCAAATAATATACCATTTAGTTTCACTAATTTTGTAATCTCAAAATAGATATGTGTATGTGTATAATTATCTATAATTTGCTTTTTTCCAACAAAATTATGTTTCTAAGGCATTTCTGTTACTCCTCCTTATGGGACAGTGCTTTTAAAAGTTTAATGTGCATACAGATCACCTTGGGAGCTTGTTAAAACATGGATTCTGACGCAGTTCGTCCATAGCGGGACCTGAGGTTCTGTATTTCCAGCAGGCTCCAGGTTTTGCTCATGCTCTGGCTTGCGGGTCACCCTTTGACTAGCAAGGTTATAGAGGGTACAGATGGTTCACAATGAATAAGTGTTGTCTTACTCTAAAATTGATAGTTTGCTTATTAAATGCCAGCATACCTTCCTGAAAACGTACATTTTTGTTCCATTTGTTTCTTTCCCCAAATCTTAACAGAAAGATGGAGATTCCGAAAAGAATTGTGGGACCAGCTTCCTTTGACCCAAGCACAATGATGAGCAATGCTTTTATCTAAAAGCCGTGAGGTGATAGGGAACCAAATTTTTCCCCATTGATGTTTTGGTTGTGTATGAGTCAGGGTTCTCTAGAGGCACAGACCTAATAGGATAGATGTATATATGAAGGGGAGTTTATTAAGGAGTATTGACTCACACAATCACAGGTGAGGTCCCACAATAGGCTGTCTGCAAGCTGAGGAGCGAAGAAGCCAGTCCAAGTCCCAAAACCTCAAAAGTAGGGAAGCCGACAATGCAGCCTTCAGTCTGTGGCCAAAGGTCCAAGAGTCCCAAAGCTGAATAACTTGGAGTCTGATGATGTTCAAGGGCAGGAAGCATCCAGCATGGGAGAAAGATATAGGCCAGAGGTCTAAGTCAGTCTAGTCTTTCCATGTTCTTCTGCCTGCTTTTATTCTGGCTGTGCTGGAAGCCGATTAGGTTGTGCCCACTCAGATTGAGGGTGGGTCTGCCTTTCCCTGTCCACTGAATCAAATGTTAGTCTCCTTTGGCAACACCTCACAGACACACCCAGGAACAGTACTTTGCATCCTTCAATCCAGTCAAGTTAACACTTAATATTAACCATCACAGGTTGGATGCTTTTTTTCTAAGGTTTTTGTAAAGAGGATACTGGTCTGCTTGCTTGCTTGCTTGCTTGCTTGCTTGCTTGCTTGCTTTTCTCTCCTTCTTTCTTCTTTCTTTCTTTCTTTTTTTGAAAACAGATTTTCAGGAAATGAGAATGTACATTGGCTATGCATATATTAATATCTTAGGGCTTTAAGATTGAATGCATATTTGCTTTCTTTCTTTCTTTCTTTCTTTCTTTCTTTCTTTCTTTCTTTCTTTCTTTCTTTCTTTCTTTCTTGAAAACTGAGATTTTCAGGAAATGAGAATGTGCGTTGGCTGTGCATATATTAATATCTTAGGGCTTTAAGATTGAATGCATATTTTTACTTATTAGTCTTGCACTTCATCGCTTCATGATCTTTGGCTTTGGTAAGGTCTTGACAGTGTAAGATAATCAACCGGTAAAAAAAGAACAGGAGGCCGTGTGACAGAACTTCAAGCACCTCTTCAGTGTGATTCAGCTGAAAGATCTACAACTCTGACATGTTGATGATTTATCATCCTTGTGCTCCCCAGCACATAAATTTCAAGGAGCAGCTGACACTTCTGATCATCTTAAAGATATACTATTTAGCAATAATTTAACTTCCAGAGAGACTAAAAGATACTTTTATTTAGTGCTATTTATTCTACTTCTAAATTCACGATACTAAGTTATGAAACTATAATCACCTTACATTTTAAGAACAGCCATTTAGCCATTGAGAGGATGGAAAATATGGTCACATATGTGATTTAATAAAGCTGTACAGAATAGGGAATTGGGCTCTTAGATTCTAATAGTTATCTGCCTTAGTGAGAGAAATTGGTGTTCTGAGGAATAAGTCATGAATTAGTTCACACAATATTTACCGTTACTCTAATGATGAATTTGGTAGGCGTGCTGTGGACTGGAGAGTCTTTCTGGCCTGTTTGGAGATATAAGAGGCGAAGTTTAACTTAAAGGACAAGGTATCTTTCGATTGCAAGGAAGAGAAACTTATCTCAAATTGGTTTAAGCAAAAAGGGGAATTTCTGTGCTCGCATAACTGGCAAGTCTTATGGTTCTCTAGCTTCAAGCATGGATAGATCCAGGGGCTTAATCAAGTTATCAGATTGATATCTATCTCTCTTCCTTCTGCCTCCCTTCCTCTCTCTTTTCCTCTCTCTCTCCCTCTTTCCCTCTCTCTCTCCCCCACTTTCCCTCCTTCCCTCCCTCCCTCCTTTTCTCTTTCTCTCCTGCCTGCCCTTCTCTTCCTCTTTCTCTCCCTCTTTCCCTCCCTCCCTCCCTTTCTCTCTTTCTTCTTCCTGCCTCTCTTTCTCTTCCTCTCTTTTTCTCTTTCCCTCACTTCCTCCTCTCTCTTTCTCAGTTCTGTTTTCCTTGGTGTTGGCTTCATTCTTCCCAGTCATTGTCCAGGTTGGCAACCTGAAGCTTGAGGCTGACATTGTCTGACAAGTGGCAATCTCAGAGAACAGAGTGAGGCTCTTTCTGTGTAGCTTAGGCAGTTCGTTCTCCCCTTCTGCTTTATTTTAGCTTCTCCTTCTTTTTCTGCTTTAACGATTTGATTCTTAATCATTTAGCCCTGAAATCCCTCCTGTTTCCTTCCTGAGTTACCCCTCTTTCTCTATAGACCTACATGCAGTCTTTGAAAGCTCTGGATGTGTGTGTGGAGGGAGGGGGTTTATTTAAAATTTTATCGTGTAATGTTTAACATCCTGTAAAAATGTTCATAATACATTAATACAAAAGCAGATCTCCAGTAGCTGTAGACTATGGCATCCTTCAAAACACAGATGAATAGAATCTGTAGGTCTATAGGCATGAAGACATACAGATAACAACAAGATATGCAGTAGGATATTCTCCACAGAGTTAACAGTGGTTGTGGCTAGGAAAGCATTAATTTCAAAAATTTAGCTTAGTGTACTTAAGTCTTTACTTTGGGCAGTTTGTATTACCCAGAAATGGCACCTTCACTCTCCTGATGGGAGATATGCTTGTCTGTGCTTGGCTCTGTTACCCTGGGAGTTGATTTGAGAGGAAGACTGGGGGTTTTAACACTGGATATGTGGACTTTTGTCTAATGCTCCTGTTTTCAGAATGGTACAGACACTTACCCTTAATTATACCTTATTAAGGTATAATTAATAATTATGCCTTAGGTGAGGTGGTGTGTATATGTATGTGTGCATGTGTGTGTGCCTGAGTGTGCATGCGTGTGAGTGTGTGTGCGTGTGTGTGTGTGTCCAGGCTGTGCTGAGCAAAGCAGCAAAGCACATCTGGGAGAGAAACAGAACACCCAGCACCCATGGCAGCAATGCCAGGGCACAGCCTCTCCTCTGGAGGTCCTTGGAAGACAAGAAGATCTTTGTCACCAAGGCACAATGTAGTAGAAGTTGACTCCAGCAGCCACAGTCCCTAATTCTCAATGTTTTTTCATAAAAGTAAATCGGATGAGCCTCTATATAACATCTCAGACATCCCTGTTGAATTCATAATTAAAAATCTAAATGAATTATTTTTTATTAAGGTATACTTTCAAATGCTTAATATCCATGAGATAACTCTGATTTACTTCAAGGAGTCTTAACCATAAAAATATATAGAAAAATCTTATATAATGCCTTAAAATATTTTAATATTTGGCAATTTTAAGATCCTTAAGGAGCTTTAGCTTTTTAGAGCTATTTTAAGATATTTAAAGAACATTATCCACATATAGCTCAATATAAGTCATTACTTACTATCAAGGCACGTGTGGAAAGTAGTTATAGTGAACATTTTAAAATGGAATAATACCTAACATAAAATTTAAAGTAACATTGGTGATTTATTTAATTTTTCTTTTCATGGAATTTATGGCTTAATGCTGAACATAATTACAATATTTTTTATCCCCAGTTCATACAGAGATGAATATTTCTACTCTAGTTAATTCTTCATTCTTCTTGCTATTAACTTAGTATGTTAGTAATTGTCATAAAATGGAAATAGCTAATAAGCATTGGGTGTTGTATTAGTCTTCCTTCTTAGCTTCTGTTTCTCCCATCTCCTTCTTTTTATTCTTTAATTCTTTACTTTTTTAATGAAAAAAATCATAGCAACTAACATTTAGTTGCTATGTGCTAGGCTCTCTGCTAAATGCTTTGCATATCCTAGATTATTTAATTCTCACAGTGATCCTGTGGGGATTGATGGTTATCTCCATTTTGCAGATGTGGAGGCTGAAGCTTCAAAGTTTAATTAGCAAGTTTGAAGCTTTGTATGCTGTATAGCAGTGAGTCTCAAAATGTAGTTCCTAGACCAGAAGTCTCAACTTCATTTGGGAACTTGTTAGAAGTGCAAATTGTTGGGACTCACTGCAGATTTACTGATTCAGAAACTTAGAAGGTGAGGCCTGGAAATCTGTTGTAATAAGCCCTAAGGGTGATTTTGATCTACACATAAGTTTGAGAGTCACTGATGTAATCCCTCTCTGAACCTGATCTGAAAATTGTTCTATATTGTTGGCTTTTCCATTTATTATAAATATACACATATGAATTTGTTATTGTAATTTATATTACATTTTTTAACCTCTGAACAAATTATTAAAAACTCTTGTGTTTAGATAGATTTCTTATAATATAGTTTATTCTGGTGATGGTTTTTTAAAATTTGTATTTTGGACTAGATTACTCAAAATGTTACCAGCTAGAATCTGAGAATGCTGTAATATATTAGAAAAAATAGGTACTGTGATCAACTAGGGTTACTGTCTGGGAATATAAAGATGGGTATCAGGAAATCTATGAATATAATTTGCTGTATCAACAAATTAAAGGAGAAAAATTCATTACATTCCTTGAAAAAGTGATAAATTTAGCAGCCATTCCCAATAAAAATTCTAAGCAAAATGGAAATAAAAGGAAAATACTTCAGCGTGATAAAGACCATTTACTAATCAGCATGATAAAGACCATTTACTAAAATAATCAGCAAACATCATCTTAAATACTAAAACCCTAAATCATTTTCATTGAAATCTGGATAGAGAAAAAGATGCCTTATTTTGCTCTTATTATTAACAATGTTTTGTAGGTTGAAGTAAATGCAACAAATCAGGAAAATAAAATCATAGATATAAATATAATTAAGGAAATAGTAAAGTCAACTTTTTTTTCCTAAAGAGATTTCTTACATATCTAGAAACCCCAAGAGATGCTGCTAAAAATGGCTAGAATTGATGAGGGAAGTTTATAAAGAGCCTGATTATAAGAGAAATATTCAAGCTTTCTTTATACTATTAATAGTCACTTAGAAATGGAAATAGGAAAAGTATTCCAGTCATAAAAATGGCAAAAAATTTAAAATACTTAGGTTTAATTTTAACAAGAAAGCCACAGAATTTATAGGAATGAAATTATAAAAAATTATTGAAGGATATAAAACAAGACTTAAACAAATAAGAGAACTAATACTCTATTTGTAATATGTAAACTCAATGCCTTTTCATTTAGAAACTCAAGTTATTTTTTGAATTGAATTAAAAAATTCAAGATTAAGAAAAGAGAACACTGGAGAAAAAATAAAATATAAAGAAGAATAAAAAGCCATTTTCTTGCTGGATATCAAAACATACTGTAAAACAACTGTGATGACAACAGTGTTGTGTGGGAATAGAGCAAAGATAGATTGGTAGACTGGAATAAGTACCCTGAAACAGATCTCACTATATATGGAAACAATCCATGATAAAGGTGACATCTTATTTCACTATGAAAAGAATGATTTAGTTAATAAAGAATTGCTCACACAACTGGCAATCAAAATAAATGGTTACCATTATTTTACATATATGCAAAATTAATTTCAAGAGAGTAAAAGATCTAAATTAAAAAATAAAATTCAAGAGGAAGATTAATCATACCTGTATTAACACACAGGTTGTGGAGAGCTTTCTAACCAAAACAGGAAGTCTAGAAGCTATTAAAGAAAACACTTTTGGCCACCTAAAAGTAAAATATTTGAGTATGGCAGATGCTACAAAGACAGTAGACTGGCCATAGCTTGAGAGGATACTTTTGATGTATGTTTTCCAAGGAAGTAGAATCTGAGACTGTGATTCAAGGGCGAAGCTTTATCTGTGAGGTGCAAACCCAGGTTAGCGAGTGTGAGGATTAAAGAAAGAGAAGCAAGAGAACATGACGTGTTACTGCTTCCCAAAAAGACATATAAGATGCAGCAAGTCACTTGGCTGGCATATTTTCTCCCCATATGACCCTTCTCAAATGAGCTGCAAGGAGGACTTATCTTCCGAGAAGTCTATGGGAAGGGAGGGAGGACAGGGAATTTGTCTGCCTAGCTAGCCCCCCTCTGTATCTTGTTTCCTGTTGGTCATTGATTGTCCTATGGGCAGTTAGCTTGCAGAGGGTGTCACTAGAGCTCCTTAATGCTCCCCCTGATGCCAGTTCCCATGTTCCCCATTGCGACGTTTCATGTTAGTCTAGAAGTGGCCCAGAAACTGAGCATGTGGTTGGGCAGTGCAGCATAGCAGGGGCCAAGGGGGATGGCCTGACTCATCCAGGGTTCTTGTCTGGTTGCATCCCTGTGGTGTTAATGGGTTCAATAGGCAGGTAATATGACCAAGGGGATCCAAGGAGAGGCAGGAGATTTGTATTCGGTACAATTGCAGAGATAAAAAGGCCTTTCAAAGAAGTGCAAATCCCAGAAGACACCCTGACAAGGTGAGTGACCACCTCGGTAGATTTAATATTCAGGGCATGTGCCACAATAAGAGGATTGGAGCCAAGAACTGCCCCATGCCTCTGAGGGTTCCTGCTTTTTCTCACATGCATCCTGCTGCCACTGCTCTGGTCAAAGCTACCATGATCTCTTGCCTGCATTAGGAGCAGGCAGCCTTTACATTGGCCTTCCTACCTCTACTCTCTTCCCACTGTCAGTCTATTCCCAGTATAGCAGCCAGAGTAATCTCATTAAAATGGAAGTCACAGCACTTCATTCCTTGGCTCAGAACCCACCTATGGCTTCCCACCTCTTTTAGCGAAAAAGCTAAAGTCCTTAAAATGACCTGTAAAGGTCCACCTGATGCAGCTGGTTGTCACCTCTCTGATTTCGTCTGCTACCACAACCACCATGTGCCTCCTACCTCCAGCCACAACTGACCTCTTCACTGTTCCTCCCACAGGCCAAGCATCCTCTATCCCAGGGCCTTTGCACTTGCTGGTAATGCCCTTCTCTGGGCTATCCATTGCCTTGTTTTCTTGCTTTCATTCTCACCATTTACTCAGAAGCAACCTTTTCTGTGAAGTCTTTCCCGACCACCCTTTAAACATTCTTAAACTCATCCCTGACATTTTATATTCTTTATATCCTGCCCATTTTTTCTTTTATTTTAGCATTTGCTAATATAACATACTGTGTATTTTACTTACTTATTTTTTCTATCTTCTGTCTCTCCCATAGAATGTGGCCCCATCTCTGTGTCATTCAATACGTAATCCTTAGGGCCTCATATAGTCTCTGGCATATAGTAGATGCTCAATAAATATTTGTTAAATGAGTAAATGACCAATGAAACAATAATAAGGCCTGGATTCTGCCAGCCTTGGGCTTGTTTAGTATTGATGACAAGGGTTGGTGGTTGTGTAGAAACAGAGTGAGGCACTCTTGATTTCTCAACATGCCTGGTGCAGTCCATGTTTTGGGAAAGGATAGGAACTGCCATGTTCTTGAATATGGGCTAGGAAACAAGGAAAATCCACGTGCTAGTGTGGAAAGATGAAGAAATCTTATTGGGAATATAAAATGTCTGATTTGGATTTAGCTTGATAATAAGCTTTTGATTTTAATAAAAAACATGGATGATCCTGACAAGTGAATAAGATAAATGCATTTATTTAAAACAATTATTCTCAGAAGATAAAACTCTTTTCGTTTAATAATATGAAGTTATCGAAATATTGTTTTGTGCTGTGATGAAGCTTTCTGTTAATGACTTAAAACTGGAAAAAGAAGTGCTGCTAGCAAAATTAAAACCAAAATGTAATTGATTTGGGAAAGCTTATCTAGGCAGGATTCTATTCCAATGAAATCAATGTAAAATAATGATCTGATTCACCATGCAGGAAGATCCTAATGATTGTTTTTTGGACAAAAAGTACATTCTTGTTCATACCATGGAGTACATATTGAGTACATATGGTTTGTCTCATTTGTCAAACTCGTGTTCCATAGAAAGCTATATTACAAGATGCTAAGAGTTATGTTGTAAGTTTTTTTTTCTGTGATTAAATATGCTTAGAAAACCTTGACTTATGAGATGGTAAATAGCTAAGAGAGGTTTTGAAATATGTTATAATTCCCATATCATGGGATACTTTTTTTGTAAAACATGTGTTAACATGTGTGAGAATGGTGTTCTATGTGAGTGAATTTAGGATACATTTAGCATAAAATGTTAATATGAAGTTTTTAGAAGTTTAGAGTAAATGTGTGTGTGTGTGTGTGTGTGTGTATAAAAGTTTAGAAGGTTTATATTACTTTAAAGTGATAGTTAATTTTGACTTTTCTGATGTTAATTAAGCATCTGTACATGAAAGACCATGATAATCCAGTTATTTTATTTCACAAGGTAGGTTTTGTATTTTAAATTTTATTTCTTTGAGCCGTGGAGTGATTCATCATGGATTTGAGGGGGTGTGTCTGTTCAAATGTTTGTTATTAAAAACAGCCATTTAAATTAAAAGTACTTTATTAAAGCCAAGTGGTATTTTGTTATTCAGGACATTTTGTAATCTATGCAAGGAAATGGATTAATTTTCAAATTCTTAATTTTAGTTACCTTTCTATTAAAAGTATAAAACTATAAATATAGTACTTCAGCTAAATAAACAGTAGGTTGACAAATATTTATTGAGCTTGCTACTGTGCCAGGTACTAATAGGCACTGGGGACTGACAGATAAGAACTCTGTTCCTAATGAGAATTCATTGTAAGGCAGAATTCAGCTTGGTGAATAAATAGCAAGATTATTAGAATAACTTTAGTCTTCTTTCTAGTTATTAAATTGAAAAGAAAACAAGTTTTCTGTTTTATTCCATTTCAAACAATTTCACATTTTACAGTGAAAATTCTAAATAATTTAAAACATTTGTTAGACAAAATGTGCTGAACATGAATTGCTGCTTTTATATGCTGTATTATCAAGTCCTAGTTCTCAAGTCATATATTTAGTTCACAACTAATGGATGATGATTAGTGATGATGAATCCTCTGGTTTCTCTTTAGAAATGAGAGATTGTGGAGATATTAACATATGACACCTCCACCCCCAAATCAATATTTTATTATTGAATAAAATAGTATAGATATTTATGAAGTAATAGTGCCCTGAAAGACAACAATAAAAACTTATAAAATTATTAAACAATAGGGTTGAATTAGGAGCATGACCATCTTTTATTTGATATTTCTTCAGAATAAAATAGGAACTCTACTAATAGTTTTTGAAGGGCAGGGTTAGCTACTGATGATGTTTTGCTCCGATACCTTGAGTTTGCCTGTAATATTATGCCTTTTCTTTTGAAGTTCAGAATAAGGGCCATAAGTGGATTAATCACTTAGTTTGATATATCCAATTACCCATTTGATACTGTTCTTCAGATAGATAGAGAGAGTGCACCATGTTTTCAATACAGTCGTCTTAGATGAACTGACTTCTAGTTGACTCTTATAACAAATTCTCATACGTGTGCATATAGACATATACACATATATGCAGTACACTTGTATGTACATAAACTCACACACAGATAAGACATACACACATATATATACACTCCCCCCTCATGTTTGCCAAGATGGAAGTGTTATTCAGAATCACTAGATTGTTGTTAATTCAGTATTTCATAAGTATTACATATTTTTCCTTTAATAATATTATGAAACCATGATTCTCAGATATTCATGTCACAACCAACTCTTAAGCAGTTTATGATTGAATTGGGTATCACCTCTGGAGCATATTGGTAAGAGAATGAAGTGGAAATTGTCCAGAAAGCACTGTCTTCATGATGCACAAAGGGAGAGGCTGAGATGTCAAGGTGTGCAAACTGATAAGCCACATCATCTCATAGGAAATCCCCCAGATTGAGGATTAGGGTGATAGAGGATGTTAGTTGTCCATGCACTTTTCTTACCTTGGCATTTTCAAGAGTCTCACAGTTGCATGGTGGTGGCAGTATCTTTAAATTGTAATTTAAGATCTATAGATCCATTGTGGCTTAGGGAGCCGATAATAGGACCATTAATGTCTAGAGGAATGACATTACGTTTCTTGGGTTATCAAGCTCAGATGGATTTGGTAAAGCTGTTATTGGCATTTTTTCTTCCTGTCTCTAGGCAAGAAAGGAATAATTCTCTCTTATTACACAGAGAGACTTCTACGCAGAGAATTACTTATACACATTATTTAAGTGTGAATGGTTATTTAGGAAACCGATATTATGGTCACTATTTGTTACCAATACAACATTTAGATTAATTTCAGAGCAATTTCTATATAGGTATCTTGAATACCTTCTGTTGATATTTCAGGCAGTAAGTCTATACACTTATATTCCTAGTGTATGGTATAAAGAAATAATTCAGCATAGCTGAAGTTATTACAACATTATTTCTTGGTTCACCAACAATACCTCAAGTTAAAAGAAGGAAGTTTTTCTTTTTCAGTTTTGCAGTCACACTAGCCACATTTTAGGTGCTCCATAACCACATGTGGCCAGTGGCTCCTGCTTGGGGGAATGCAAACCCAGGATGTTCCCCACATTGTAGAAGATTCCACTGGACAGCACTCATTTTCTCATTCCAGAGGAGGAGTTAACTTAAATAGAACAATATAGGTTGGTGAAGGAATTTGTGAAATAGTATTCATATTAGAGTTTTGTGTAAAAAGGCCATGATTATAAGTTTATATGCTTATATAAAAAAGACTAAACCAGGCTGTTTTTATTATCTTTGACCATTTGTAGGGTAACTTAACTATTTAGATTCTTTTAAAATATGCTGATATTTTATACTGAATATTTTAGGTAATAAAAACGTGGATCTTGGTAATGAACATGGGTTTTTTTCTGAATGAGGAGAGTGTATTTATATAAATGTGATATAGAATGAACGCATGTGATGGAAACCCTGCCTAATCCTTAATAGCATTGCTATAATTCTCTATAATTTAAAATTTCCTTCCTTAGTTTTGTAAATAGAATTAGTTATGTTAAAGGAGTCATAGCAAGAAACAAAACCACTGGATTTTTATAGTCAGGTTTTAAAAAATAGTATGTGGTTAAGACTAGGGCCATGGTAACAATTACAAGAGGATGATCAACGAATGGGCTTTACTTCGCAGCTGTTTCACCAGATGGCCATGGCTAGGTATTTTGTACCTTTTAAACAGGATACATATAATAGAATGAAAATGATTCCATTGAAACCTTACAGATTTGCTGATAATAATACCTCCATGTTTTCCTTTTTTAGTTTTCAACAGAGATAATATTTATTATATAATAGGTTATGCTCACCTCTTACATTTTTAAAGAAACATTTTAAATATCAGAATAGAGAAGTGTTTCTTGTTGTTTTTTTTCCAAGTGTCATTGTGATTTAGAAGCAGTTGCTGAGGAGAAGCCATGTTAACATAACAACAGTTGATGCAATTGCAAATCTTTCTGTTTAAATAAAGATTTCTGTTTTTAAGGGCTGAGGGTTCTCCCCACTGAGCAATCCTGGCTTCAGTACAGATGTTGAGCTCTCTTTAAAAAATAGTGCTGAGCGCGATCCAGGTGTTTCCCCATTGCCCAGCACTTTGATTAACCTTTTATGAAGTATCTGCCCACAAAAATCTGGATTAGTATGCTCCCGTGTGTCTTATTAAAAGCCTGCCAGGCTTTATTGAACACTGTGTTTATACTTTCTGTTCTCTGGACAGTTTTGGTGTCTGGTAAGTATCAAATGGAAAGCATCAGCATACACTACGTTAACAAGGATGTCTGATGTTAGCTGCTGACTTGAGTTTGGAACAGGAAACATCAAGGTTTGATGCGCTGATTGTCAGGGAAGAATGACTGTGGTTACACACATAGGAGGGGCATTGGTTTCCCATACACAAATGCTTAATGGAGGGCCTACTTTGCTTCGTTGGGAGACATGTGAATAGAATTTTCTGCTATTATCAAATCTTTGAGATAGGGTTTCCAAGTGTGTGCCCATTGTCTAGTCTAGTCCTGGGCCCTCAGTACAGGAGCCACTAGCCATATATACTATTTACATTTAAATAAAAATTAAACAAAAATTAAAATTCAGTTTTGCATTCGCACTAGCCACATTTCAAGTGCTCCACGTGTGTCTGGTGGCTCCTGCATTGGGAAATGAAAACCTGGGACATTCTCCCAATTGCAGAAAATTCTACTGGACAGCACTGTCCTGAATTTTAAATACCAGACTGACCTATACACTACAGAGTTTCTATTTATACTCTACACTTGTAAAAGGATTTCTCCAATGAGCTTGTGGATTCCTTTAAATTTACAGTATTAATATCAAAAGTATCAGCTCCTCCCTAGAGGAGCAATCAGCTCCCATTACTTCTAGCTTAACATTGAATCTTTGGGTGAGAGATTAGACTTTGATTTCAGAATGGGTTCTTGGCATAGCTAATGTTTTTTAAATACCTGGGTAAATCACAGGAATAGACTCTTGGGAAAGTGATGGTGGTCTGTAGATTGTGAACTACAGAACAACGGTGAGAAAAGCTGGCACAAAATTCCTAGTGTTTAGAAAACGCTAACATTTTTCCAGGCTATTTGTTTTAGTATTTTATAAAATTAACAAAATAATTTACTATTTATATAGCTGTTAAGATGACTTTAAATGGATGAGATCCTGATTATGTTACCCTGATATTCATTTTTCTACCCACATTGAATGAATGGGTTCAGGCATTTTTAAATTTCCCAAGTTATATCTCTTTTATAATAAGAAAATGTCTTTTAAACCTTTATAGTTTCATTCGAATGTTTTACCAGGAACATTTCCACCAATTTTGCTATATCGTCCCTTCTCTTTATTCTAAATTGATAATACTTTAATTTATTAACACAGTTCCTTGGATACCAACATTTCTTGCCTAGTTTATAGCTTTCACCCACAAACTAGTTTTGTGGTCTCTAGTTTGTCTCCTCTCTGGTCTATTCTCAATACTGCTCCTAACTTTATCTTGCTAAAATGCATGTTTGATCATGTCCCAAACCAATTAAAACCCTTCTGTTAGATTCCCATGGCTTGCTATATTACAGACTCTTTAGCATTTTTTTCAATGGCCTATCACATTGGGTCCCTAGTTACTATATTTCAAACTAACTGTTTTTTACTGTTTTAAACTATATTTCAAACTATTTTTTTTCCTATTTATCTGAAGTATTTCTAATAAATACATAAGTCTTTATAATGAACTTTTCCCTTTCTGCACAGGTTTCTAGTTTCTCCCCTATCTACTAGTTTTCCACAATGACCATTTTACTTTACTGTGCACATTGAGGTGGTTTTCTTTCCTCCTTTCTATTTCTACATTTTCACTTATTTTCTTTCTCTGCCACTCTTCTCAGGGAAAGAAATATTGCTTCTCCTATCAAAGTAATTAAACCAAAGCGGAACTCTTAATCCATCTTTTAAAACCTGCAGTGGTTTCCCTGTAGCGTGTAGGTTAAAGTGAAAAAGCTCTTTGGTGTTCCAGGAACAGCAGGGTTCCTCCCAAATCACTTTGCCAGCGTTAGTTCTCACACTGTTCCTTCCCTGAGTGGTCCCTGCAAATGGAATCATTCTCTGTGCCCTTGTTTTGCTTACTCCCTACCTTGCCCAATAATCTTTTTTCTAAGTATAGTTCTCCTCTCCCTCATTTGTAATCATTTTTGAGCTTCCAGACAAAAGATGTGTCCCAGATGAAGGCATTTGTGATTTCCCCAGTATGCAATGCCCATGTCCTCATCTGCACTCCTATAAAATTTTATTATCACTTCTACTGGCATTCATAAGCTCGCATACTCATAGAGGAGCTTCTTGGTAACAATTTACTGCTAATTCAGCTTCTCTTATTCCCTACAATGCCTAGCACACAATCTTGCATATAGTACATGCACCAAAAAATGCATCTTGAATGAATGAATGAGTGGAATAACTTATTTCCAAGCCTGAACACTTTATTAAAAACTATTTACAAAACTATATTTATTTTAAATAAAAATTTCTTAAGAAAAAAAACCTGTTGTTTTGGCTCTTCCATGAATGAATTCTGGATTAGGATGGGGAAGTAATTAATTTCTTACTTTAACTGGTTAGATATGTTGTATTTAGATAATTACTGAAATGGTCCAGCTTGCTAGATTTACATACAGAGAGCTGTCTTATTTAATAGTAGTAATTTCATGGATTCTTTGTGCTCTGCTTATATGATAAGATGTCAGGATTTTCAGTAGAAAGGAAATAATTTCAAATTAAGTAAACAGAGATGCGTATGCACTCAGATAAGCATGGTTTGGCGTGTGCACACACAAAACACATAGCATGTGATGGGAGGAAGGAAATGGTGAAATTGAAAGATGGGAAAAGTAAATGGGCTTAAGGCAAAATCTACAGTTACACATTCTTAGAAGCCTTCCTGCTGAAATAAATAGTATAAAGTAAGTTTTCTCTTTAGGCTCGTTGGCAAAGAACACTACTTAGATCAGACACCCGGGTTTGTAATTGTTCATTTCACAGAGAATTCTCTGAGGCTGAATGCCTTGCCCTCTTCCTGTGCACATTCTTTGAATCCTGAGACATCTCTAATAGTCTGCTACCTAAATCAAGATAAAGCAGCACCCAAATTGTTCTACAGCAATTGCAAAATTTTTTTATTACTGAACTCCATTTCAGCTTTGTAGATATTAGTTGACCTGTCACACAGAATGAGGTTATCGTGTTTGACCTCTGTGTCCTCTGCCTATTTTAAGGGCAGAAAGTAACAGCTCAGCAGAAGTGAAGCTGAGTACCTATTCTTTGTCATGCAGCTTTACTTCTACCAAATACATGGAATTAAGTGGAAGAAATTTTATATTGCAGGAAAAAAGGATTACCAATACCTGTTGGAGATAAAGGAAAAGCAATATCCTTTTTAAATTTGTAAGTTCAGTTGTAGTAGAGAAAAATGTATTTTGGAATATTTAACTTTTAGGTAAGCTAGAAGTTTAAAGGTACCCTGTTTCAGTAATTGTTTCTGGATCTTTTACGCTAGGGAAATGAAAAGTCCAAATGTACTGTTTCTTTGGGCTATTTCTCATGGTGGATTAAACTCCTTAATTTCAGCCCTTAATCCAGGCACAGGGAAATTCAAAGACAAGAGAGTCGCTGCTTGCGTAGAATTCGCAATCTATTGGTTGCAGTAACCAAATAAAGCAACAATGAAAATATGGTGACACAATGTAAGTTTGAATACAAAAGTCTACGGAGGTAGGACTGCACCTGTCTCATTTACTGCTTCGTTCCTGGCATCTAGCACAATGCTTTGCACATGGCGGAAGCTGAATAAATATGTGTTAGATGTGATATGGGATTTTGCAGACAAGGAACTTCTAGATGTAGTACTTGATCCAGTTCATAGAGGGCTCCCCACTGGTGCCACCTGAGCAAAGTCTTGAAGGTAATGTAAAAGTCACCATGCATAGAGAAAACGGCCACCAGATGGAATTGACTGTGAAGGGCATTCCAGAACAATGGAACAGAGTGGGAAAAGCACAATAGCATGAGAGAACATGCAATGTTTTTGTTGGATCCAGTGTCAAAAGGAAAGTCTCTAGAGGCAGCAAGTCCATATTATGAAAGAACTTGGGGGATAAGTGATATATTTGCACTTTAGCATGAAGTCTACCAGGAGTCCATGAAACATTTAGCAGAGTGGTATACTCAAGTTTGCACTGAAGAAAAAAATTCACTGTGACATTGGCGTTTTGAAGGAAGGGGAGAATGGGATAATCCAGACCAGAAAATTAAAATATTCCAAATTATGATATGAACAAGTTATATTAGCCTATTCTCACACTACTAAAAAGAACTACTGGAGACTGGGTAATTTATCTTTTAAAAAGGAGGTTTAATTGACTCACAGCTCCACAGACTACAGGAGGCATGGCTGGGGAGGCCTCAGAAAACGTACAATCATGGCGGAAGAGCAAAGGTGAAGCAGGCATGTCTTCACATGGCAGCAGGAGAGAAAGCGAAGGGAAAAGTGCTACACTTTTTTTTTTTTTTTTTTTTTTTTTTTGAGACAGAGTCTCACTCTGTCACCCAGGATGGAGTGCAGTGGTGTGATCTGGGCTTACTGCAACCTCTGTCTCCCAGGTTCAAGCAATTCTCCTGCCTCAGCCTCCTGAGTAGCTGAGATTACAGGTGTGTGACACCACACCTGGCTAATTTTTGTATTTTTAGTAGAGATGGAGTTTCACCATGTTGGCCAGGCTGGTCTCAAACTCTTGACCTCAGGTGATCCACCCGTCTCGGCCTCCCAAAGTGCTGGGATTACAAGAGTGAGCCACCACACCTGGCCGTGGTACACATTTTTAAACAACCAGATCTCCTGACCCACTCAATAGCAGGCAAACAGCAAGGGGGAAATTCATGGCTATGATCCAGTCGCCTCCCACCAGGTCCCTCCTCCAACACTGGGGATTACAATTAAATCTGAGCTTTGGGCGGTGATACAGAGCCAAACCATATCAGAAGTCTTACTACAGAGGTAAATTTACCAGAACATTTTATCAGTAGAAGAGAATATTCTTTCTTTCATGAAAAAAAGTTTAGAGAAGATGAATATTTATTAATCATTTATCTGGCTTTTAAAAATCAAGTCACTCTATGGGTTTTTCTTTTAATATCAAGAATCAAAGGTAGACTTTATGTCTTTTTATATTAAAAATATATAGCTTAATATGTTCATAAAATATGTTTGCTCTGTTAGGTTGCAAATTAAAAAATTGATAAAAATGTATAGTTTAATTTACTTTGAAAGATGTTTAATAATAGTAACAACTTAATGACCTCAAGAGAAATATTTTTAAGAATGTTAATTGGACAACATTTTGCGTAACATCAAAAAATACCAGAAGTACCATTAGAAGGAAGACATTGAAGTCTAGAGTTCTGGAAGAGAGAGGCATTTGCCTTATCTGGGCAATGATTCTCGTCTGTGATTAGCTTTCTCTTTCAAATGAAACAATGTCTGACTGACAGAGGATGCCTTTAACTATTATGCTGCACAAGAGATGTATGCTGAGTTAGTCCCTGTGCAAACCAAGATGTATGGTCATCTCTGTGAACAACCCACATTGCATTGGAAATAATTGTCAATATATATTTTGATATATTTCTTATTCACAATGTTAACTTCTAATCCTCCTCCTATATACAGTTAAACAAAACAAAACATAAAACATTTCACCATAATATTTGCCAATCTTATATACCTTGGTCTGAAACACTTTGGCAAGAAGAGAGAACAATGGGAAAAGAAAGTTTATTGATTATCTCGCACTTAAAGCCAAAGTAATAAGATGAACTAGGAACATTCTTTGAGGCCTATCAGACTGATCCAAATGTTCAGGTTGTAAAGGGGAATGTAGGGGTGGCAAAGTGCAATGGGAAGAAAGCTTTGCTCTATCAGCCAAAGACTGGGGTACTGGTCCTGAGTCTGTCTCTCTCTATCTCTGTGACCGTGATATAATACTTAACTTCTCTGAGCCTCTGGATCTTCCTTGTCTTTCAGATGAAATCTGAATTGTATGAAATAAGAAATAATTTTCTGGCCGGGTGCGGGGGCTCACGCCTGTAATCCCAACACTTTGGGAGGCTAAGGTAGGCGGATCAGATGTGGTCAGGAGTTCATGACTAGCCTGGCCAACATAGTGAAATCCCATCTCTACTAAAAATACAACAAACAAACAAACAAAAAAAATTAGTTGGGCACGGTGGTGGGTGCCTTTAATCCCAGCTACTCGGCAGGGAGAATTGCTTGAACCCAGGAGGCGGACGTTGCAGTAAACCGAAATTGCACCACTGCATTCCAGCCTGGAGACACAATGAGACTCCATCTATAATAATAATAATAATAATAATAATAATAATAATAATAATAATAATTTCTAAAAGTAAGAAAAATATCTACCCTTTTAATTCATGGAAGAGATGCATGTTAAACTATAATATGATAGCATTAAGCTAATCAAATTGGCATGTATAAGAAAAAGAACATCACAAGATTGGGTGGCAGTGGGGGTTATATTAATAGTTTACTACTGGAGGTGTATCAATTGAGGAAGCCTCTCAGGAGGGCAACCTGACAATATGTATCAATGGCCACAAAATTTTAAAAAAAATTCTAAAACTCTATTTGACTACCAACTCCCTTTCTAAGAATTTACCATCAGGAAGTAATCAGATTGTCCTACAGAGATTTATGTACAAAAAGATCCATTGTTGAGTTATTCATAGTAGCATAACAATTGGAAATTAAAAAATTGTATTAAGGGACTGATTAAATAAATTATTACATATGCAGCTGATGATAACAAAATTTCATAGCCTTTTAAAATAGCCTTGAAGATTACTTAAGGATATGGGTAAATCTTTATAAAAAGGATAAGTAGGTATTCAAATAGATAAATGGTTATTTATAACTCTTTATCTATTGTTGAATAAATAATTCACAAAATTGTATGTGTAATATGATAATTACTTTGCAAGAAAGTGCATGTATAATATGAAAACTATGACATTTATATACATGGGATTTATATGTAATGACTATAAGGACAACACCAACATGTTAACAGTAGCTATCTCTGTGTTGTGAGATTAGAGAGAACTTTTGCTTTCTATTTCAAAATTTTCTTCAATAAAATATTGTTTATGTATTTCTCAAAGGATAATAATATACGTATAATATATAATATTGAGATATAATAAGTGTGATAATATAATGATTACACTTTTTAAAAGTTTGCTAAGCTAGATGATTTATAGTGTGCTATCTCTTGTTTTAAGGTTCTATATACCTATAATTTTATCCTAGAACAGGAGTTGGCATACCATGGCCCTTAGACCTCATCTGGTCTGCTACTTTATTTTGTAAATATAGTTTCATTGGAACACAGCCATGCTCCTTCACTTATATGCTGTTTATGGCTATTTTCATGCTACAGTGTTAAGGTTGAGTGAATGCGATAGAGACTGTATGGCCTGCAAAGTTCTAAAATATTTACTTTCTGGCCCTTTACAGAAAACGTTTTTTGACCCTTATTCTAGAGTATTGAATTGGAAGTTTCTATCATTTAAAAATGCATGAATTCAGTGAAAATACAGTTTCATATTAATGTTTAACAGAAATGTTGATGCCTAAACTTCTCTAAAGGTCTATATTTTAATAATTTTGTGAATATTGAATTCGCACGGCTAAGAAAGGTCAAAATCCAAGTTGACTCTTTTGCTGAAGAATCAGAGAAGCTTAGATCTAGTGAGGACTGCAGAGATCTGGGCTGCTGCCATTCCTTTGTGACCTGACCTTGTGGGCTACAAAATGTTATTTTCAATCTAGTTTTGCAGGAAGGAGAAGGGGCTAAGTGTTGCTTTTTTGCAAAATGGTTACTCTGCTTTCCAACTGAAAGTGAAATGTTACATTCATTTCAATAGCAAATATTTATTGCCTGAGGCATTCTGTGGGGGGCTGTGCTGGGAAGGATGAATGAAGAGTCCCTGTCTTTAAGGAACTCAAAGAAACAAAATGGAGAGATGAACATTCTGGACAAGGGTAGAATCAAAGGAACACAGGCCTGTATGGCACAGGAAAGATGCCTGAGATCTGAAAAAATATCAAGGTCTATAGGTATTTGGAAAGACGAAGGTAAAATATATGAATAAATCTGTGAAAGAATTGAGTGAGAGTTTTGCATTGATTTTGGCTGTGATTCTTTTTCACTTTGTTTTATAAATATCTAATCGAATTCACCTAAGATTTAATGACTGGAACTAGGAAGATTCAGCTTAAAAATATGACTTGGGTAGGGCTCAGTGGCTCACGCCTGTAATCCCAGTAGTTTGAGAGGCTGAGGTGGGTGTATCACCAGAGGTCAGGAGTTCGAGACCAGTCTGGCCAATATGGCAAAACCCCATCTTTACTAAAAATACAAAAATTAGCCAGGTGTGATGGTGTGCACCTGTAGTTCCAGTTACGGGGGAGGCTGAGGCAGGAGAATTGCTTGAACCCGGGAGGTGGAGGTTGCAGTGAGCCGAGATTGCACCATTGCACTCCAACCTGGGGGTCAGAGAGAGACTCCATCTCAAAAAAAAAAAAAATGTGATTTTTACCTTTCAAATATTTTCAATTTTGGCATATGTTTTCTACTCATGCAGATTCTGTTTTGATTGGCCCTCACGTTACTAGGTTAGTCATTGATTATTTCTTGGATTATTTTGAGGGTGGAGTTGCATCTCATCCAGAATAGACAGAAAGAGGCACCAGAGTCTTCTGTGCTTCTAAATATTTTCTTCTCAATTCTTTAATTAGACACGTATTTGATTTAAAATGCCTTTCTTTGCATCAAAGATGTGATTAGTCTTAAGAAGTATTAAATTATTTATTATACATTAGTGCCAAGGCCTAATCAAGGGACCATCTAATGGAGATGTGCCTTAGTTAATAGGAGTGACTGATGTGACTGATGATGGTGGGAGGGTGAAAGGGTGATCATTTTGGAGCTGGGGATGTCTTTGGAGGACACTGAGAACTCACCGATTGCCTGAGGAAGAAGAAAGAGAATAACATATATAATGTGGAAGGTTTCAAAACTGAACTACATGAGAATCACTGTTGCATGTTTTTCTTTCTTTCTTTCTTTCTTTCTTTCTTTCTTTTTTTTTTTTTTTTTTTTACAGAATCTCGCTCTGTCACCCAGGCCGGAGTTCAGTGGCACGATCTCAGCTCACTGCAACCTCCGCTTCCCGGGTTCAAGCAATTCTCCTGCCTCAGCCTCCTGAGTAGCTGGGACTACAGGCACCTGCCACCATGCCCAGCTAATTTTTGTATTTTTAGTAGAGATGGAGTTTCACCATATTGGCCAGGCTGGTCTCGAACTTAACCTTGTGATCCACCTGCCTCGGCTTCCCAAAGTGCAGGGATTACAGGCATGAGCCACTGGATGTTTTTCTAATGATTTTCCTGCTCTGAGCTTTCTGTATTTACATCCTTCCACATTTATTTATTCATCAAGAGATCACAGGAATCTAATAATTCTTCTGAAATTGATTCCTGTCTCTAAATTATAGCCATTGTATACATGGATCTTATTAGGAATAGGAAGCCTAATGGATTTTTTTTGGAAAAAAATTAGGGAAATACTATTGACAATGATAAACTTGGTTGTCAAATATTATCATTCATAATTGCTTGATATATTTATAAATATTTCTGAAAAATTCATATTTATCCCCTAAGTAAATATTTAATGTTACCATACTTCATGAATATTTTAATCTTTATATTCTTTGATAGGCAATAAAGTTTGATAGCAAATTTTTGTTGAAATACAAAGAACATGTAAAATGCATCATTTATGGAGTTTTCTAACTTGCTTTATTCTTCTCATCAAGTTTCAGACAGCTCTGTGTTTGCACAAATTATACAATTTATGCTGTAGGATCTGTACAGATTTTACTGTGTAAATATACATATTCCATATAGAATTTCTCTGTATGAAAATGAAAATAATGTACATTTTTTACATTATTATCTTCACATAAATAATATGTGACTAATTTTAGAATCTAATACTGGGTCTTATGTAAATCATTAATAGTTTAACATCCTCAGTAGTTATACCTAAAAATAATTATTAGCTATTTTTACTGCAATTTACATGTGTCCCACAGTAATATACATAATGTATATATTATACCTTGGGCATACATAGTTGGTTCAAGATCAATTTGTTACTTGCTTTGATATATATTGTTATCTGGGTCATTGTTTGCCTTTCCCCCTTAGTTAATTTTTTTTTTTTTTTTTTGGAGACGGAGTTCATGGTTCATTTCTATTAACATTTATGTACCAGATTTCCTTTCTTTCTTTCTTTCCTTTTTTTTTTAGACAGGATCTCACTGTGTCACGTAGTGGCCAGGCTGGAGTGCAGTGGCATGATCTTGGCTCACTGCAACCTCTGCCTCCCAGGCTCAAGCAATTCTCCCACCTCAGCCTCCCGAGTAGCTGGGATTACAGATGCGCACCACCATGCCCAGCTTTTCTTTTTCTTTTTTTTTTTTTTTTAAGACAGAGTCTCGTTCTGTCACCAGGCTGTAGTACAGTGGCGTGATCTCAACTCACTGCAAGCTCTGCCTCCTGGGTTTAAGCAATTCTCCTCCCTCAGCCTCCCAAGTAGCTGGGACTACAGGTGCATGCCACCATGCCCAGCTAATTTTTGTATTTTTAGTAGAGACGGGGTTTCACCATGTTGGCCAGGATAGTCTTGATCTCTTGATCTTGTGATCTGCCCACCTCGGCCTCCCAAAGTATGCCCAGCTAATTTTTATATTTTAGTAGACATGGGGTTTCATCATGTTAGCCAGGCTGGTCTCTAACTCCTGTCGTCAAGTGGTCCATCTGCCTTCGCCTCCCAAAGTGCTGGGATTACAGGCGTGAGTCACCGCACCCGGCTGGTTAAAATTTATCCAAATTATTTTTGCTTCAGATGGCCTGTATGAAGGTGCGTTAGATTCTGTCCCTTTTAGAGTGACAGTGCTCATAAGTTCTTTATCCTTTCCAGGAAGACCAGAAGAATCCCACTGACTGCTGGGGGAAGGGCTCATCTTTTGAGTCAGTTGCTGTGCTTGTCCTGTGTGCACGGCCTGTGTTCTTGCTTCTGTGTGCACATTGATAGCTTCTTTTTGTGTTCCATGATTGCTGTCATGAAGTGCTTCAGTCAAATAAATTAGCTCTGTATCTTCAAGAGAAAATAGATTTACCTCCCTACAGAACAAAATTCTAGATGATAAGAAAGCTGGACTTTAATAAATAATTTTCATCATCATCATTTATACCAAGCAGCTTTTGGAAGTGGCTTACCTGGAGCTGATCCTGGATTGGCTGCACAACAGATAGGCAACACTGATTCAAGTAAATACAAAGGAGATTCAGACAGCTCCATCAATGTTAGGATCCAAAATTCATACACCAAATAGATGATTTAATAGCAGTATGACCCCCAGGGGAATAATGATATAGGAAAGGGTAGTGGTAGTGTGCCATTAAATTTCTGTTGGTCTTCTACATTCAGTTAGTCTAGGAAGTCATTAAGAAAGAGTAAGAAAGAGGAGGGATTTTAAGATGATTCAGTGAAAGAAAGTGTGCTCTCTAATATCATGTCTTGGGTAGCAAATCACTATTTGAGTGTTTTTCCTGCATTCATAATCTTAGGCAATTATTTGGACACATAGGCATAACATATCCTCGAAACAGAGAGCAATAGCCACGCATTTCTGCAAACAATGAGAATAATTATTAAATGATTCCTGGAAAATATGGAAAAAAGAAACTTACATCACTAGATGAATGATATCTTAATTGTGGACATTTTGCAACACTATAGGCAGTTTTGATTTTTTAAATGCTACTTTTGATGAGTCTGTTAAAAAAACTGCCGAGGTATATTTATTAATATAATACATTAGATAGGCTTGAGATGACTTCTGAACCTGTGGTGTTTACTAATTTTTTTCTTTTTATTGATTTATTGTGACATAGGAAATAATTTATTGTATTTTGAGTTATTTAAAAATTCTAGTAATAAGATATCTTCTTAAATGGGCAGTAAATATTATATGAATATTAGTTCATGATACAGAGTGGGATTTATTAAAATGAAATTTATCACCAAGAACAAATTCCTATTTCATATACGTATTTTCTTAATATACTTTCTGTGTGCTACTGTAAAGATGCTGTAATTTGCTTTTTGAAATTACAGCTCTCCACGATGAGAGGGAAGCTTGATTTGATTAATTATGCTTACAAGCTGTTAGAGTGGGGGAAAAAGAAAACGGTTTTGACTTTAGTTTTTGCATAATTGCTGCTTTTTGGATTTACATTACTTCCATCAGTTGTTGAGAAATGAAGAACTAATTTATTTTAAAGAGAGAGAGAAGATGAAGAGTCAAGGGTATCAATACTGAAAAGTAATAACATTTAACTACCACTTTAATATGGTGATCAGTAAGATGAGAGAAAGTATTTATTAAAATGATAGTGCCAGACTTCATGGATATTTTTCAGTCTATAAGAAAATAGTTATTCTTATATTTAGAGGACTGATTCCTTAGATGATTTTCGTTTTACTTAACTGACACCATTAGACATTACGTTAAAAGGAACACAATCAATTCCTTATATACTGCTTCACTGAAAGCATTTGCAATGATCTTCGAGGTTGGTATTCATTATCCTTCAAGAAGAATAACAGATTCATTTCATTTCTTCCTAGTCAAATAATTATAATTAGACAGAGAATATTTATTGCTGGTACTGGAACAATGCTTTAAATGTCAGAAAACAAAATATAGGCAACCCAATATCCAAAATCAGGCACCTGAGTTTAAACATTAGATATAGTGGTCATTAAAATAATCAACATGGTTTCCTCTTCTCTGTAATTAATGAGTAGATATTTGCATCAGGCAGCAGACTTATGTAAAAGACTTTAACGGTGGAAAAGACTTATTTAAATCCATCTTATTAACTCTGGAAAGGTAGAGGTGAAGGTAATTTCTGAGGGACCATTTTCATTCTTGCTTCTATTTCCATTCCATCCTTATTCCTTTCTTCCTGTATGCTCTTAAGTCTGGTATTCAGCAAGAACCCCTCTGAACAGCCATGTTTGGTTAAGATTAGCTTGTTCTTTTCAAGCTCACAGCTTCATAAATATGCATTCTATTCTAGGAAGCAAAGATTCTATCCATGACAATTTGCTGTCTAGTGGTACGCATGATATAGTCTGTTATAATGGGAAAATTGCATACACATGTTGACTGAAGAGAGTTTTACCGATAGGAAATCAAGAAACTTCCTGGGAAGATTAGGAAAATTAACCTTTGTCTAGCGTTAAGGAGAGAAATTATATTTGGCATATTTCCTCTATATTTGTACAAAATATTTACATAGACTTCAACTGTGGAAAAACAATTTTAAATATTTTCTAAGTGAATTTGAGATCAAATACACACTTGGCATAGTTTGCAAATATTTATTTTCCTCAAATTTTATTCTAATATTGTTATAGGTTGTGTACCGGGATCCCATGGTACTTGCATCTACTCTTAGTGTTTACCACCTTCTGGTTTTTATTATTTGTTTTTCTCACTTAGCCATACATTTTTGAAGAAGGAGGGGGTGGCATTTACTTTAGCATCTGCTTGGTTTCATGCTAAGCATAGCGCATAGGCATAGAGAGTGTTCAATAGGTACTGTCTAATTGAATGGTGATAATCAACATCAATGATGATAAAAATGACTTGGTTTCTGACTGTGATAAAAATTTAAATGTAACATTTTAGGAGGATGGTGCTAGCTTATTTATTTGAAATATTTAATTGAATTCCTGTCCCAAGTAGTTAGTTTACTTAGTGGAAAAATTTTCACATATAACAAGGCTACTTAAATCAAGTTCTATAGTCTGCTGGGGCTCCATAGATAGGTTTAACATTAATGCAAACTCTGAAATAATTTGCAAAATGTTGCTTGCATGTGCATTTTTCCAGAGAGAGAGAATCAAAGCTTTTAATAGATTCTCAAAGAGCTCTGTGACTTAAATAAGATTTAATGACTGAGTAGTTGTTTTGGCAAAAAGTCCAGATTTTGTCAGTTGTCATATGTTCTCTCTATTCTTATCATTTAAATTAAACTTTGATAAAAATGTAATAAGATCGTATGTTCCTATTCAACACTGTATTCAATTTTTTTAAAATTTAAAAACACATCAGTGTCCTTATTTTTAACTATAATAGGAAACTTTACATGAGAAGAATATTGTTAGAGAAAATCAATAGCTAATAGTGGGGAAAGAAGCTATAAAACTTAGGTATAGTGGATATATAGTTTATAATTCAACACATTTTACATAAATGAAATACATTTATAAATGCATAGAATAAAGACAAGAAAGATGTCCTTGAATTGTCTACAATGATTATTCCTAGGTGAGTCTTACAAGATTTTATTTTCTTCTTTTGGCTATTACAATCTGTATTTTAAAATCTACTCTTCAAGAATTTTATATGTGTATAGTGAGTATTGCTCAAAAATTTTTTCTTAGTTCTTTGCATTTTTGTCATGCTGATTATTTTTCTTCAAGCATTTAAATATCAACACATGCATATACATGTTCACATATGCATACACAGATATATGTATATAGAATCAAACAGAGAGCAATCTGCTTCAATGACATTAGAATAACTTAAACATTATTGAAATGAAATTTATTTATCATTGTGTTGTGGGACTTAATGCTTCCATGGCCAATAAATCTATCCTTTGCTTAAGAGTCTTGGGTTTGCAGAAGGTGGAAGGGTTGTCTCAGCTTTTTGGATACAGGTAGAAAGTTTGAGAGATTCTAAAAATGGGCTGGAAAAAAAACAAGTTAAATCTAACAACCAGTACTGAAAAGAATGGGAGATGCCCATATTATCCATACAATTAGAAAAGACGAGGAAGGAGATTTGAGATATGCTCTCTCTCTTTCTATCTCTGTCTCCCTCCCTCCCTGCCTCCCTCCCTATCTCCCTCCCTCCCTCCTTCTCTATGTCCCTCCCTCCCTCCCTGCCTATCTCCCTCCCTCCCTATCTCCTTCCCTTCCCACTCTGTGGCACACGTAAAAACGTATGCGTGCATCACAACATACTGCATCCACGTACTCCTTTATTGTATGTGGCATTTTTTTGGGTTCTTCTCTTTTTCAGTGCTACCCTTAATATTCATTTAACTACAGTTCACCTTAAAAATGTGTTTTTATTTAGCTGAAAGCTAGGGGCTTATTAGCAAATACTGTCTGTTGCTTCCTACTACACCTGTCCCTTCCCTGTATGTGTTGCATGTATACCTCTGACCACCCCCATGAAACAAAGGCCCTTGAAAATCATGAAATTCAGACTTACATGTGGAAGTTCAAAAATATTTTTACCTCAGATGCAGATAACTCCATGAAGCCAAGAGAGCAAATAAGCAAAAAGTACTCTAATGAATGAATTTGATAACTGGGTTTCTTTTTTAAATGAAGCTATAAAATACCACCATGCTATGTACCACATTTATGAAAAGAATCCTGGTATGTGCATAGCCATGTAAGCCATCAGTAAGTCTCATATTCCATTGATAGGGAACAGTTGGGGAAGGTGGATTTGTGAGCTTAGTGAAGAACCTTGGTAATGTTGCTATCCTACTTGTTCTTTCATTTCTATCCTCTCAGTTCACATGCCACAACCTCTGTAACTGTGGAATGGCAGCATACACACATTTCTTGAATTAACAAAATGCATGAAATTTAAACTTTGGCAATTGGTGGGAAGTTGTGGGGGCTGGTGGGCGCTTTCCAGAAGTCTGAAAGGAGAAGGTAGAGGAAGGAGATAAAGCTCATCAAAGCAAAGGGGCCACCTGTCCCCTTATTCTTTGATACTCCCGCCAGAGTAGTCGTCATGAAACATGGATTTAAAGCAGGTTAAAATGAATGCCCAAGTGTTGGCTAGAAAGCATCCATACTCTGTCTTTTTAAGGTAAACTGGATTTCTGTTGAAAAACCTCTTTCTCTTCTACACATATGTCACATATTGGAGGTGGATGTGATTCAGACCAAATAGAACATTTTGCAATATCCTGTTCGGAGTAATTGATTCAGAGTTCGAAAGAGATTTTCCAAGGGCTGGGTAAATCTAAGGAAGATGTAGGTCTGTAGTTTCTGGCAACTGTCTAGCCACCAAGTAGAACTTGGAAATAAAACCATTGTGGAGAAGAATGAGCTTCAAGAGGGAGAGAGTGTGGGCTCTGGGGACATTGTTTAAGCCTCTAAATAAATCTCTGCTAGCTTTCTCATTTTCTTTGGCTATTAAGTTCATTTTTTTTTTGTTTCATTAACTTAGAGTTGTTTTTGTCATCTAAAACACAAATATTTCTAACTGATACAATGTCTTCCCCCTCCTGAAATCACACAGATTCTATATTAGCTGCATAGTAACATAGAGCTCCTTAGTACCCAATGGGCACTGCATAATCTGAACCAACACTGCCTTTTGGCTTCTTTAGATTTTGTTCTGCTAAGCTTCTAAATTCTTAAATTGTCCACTTAACCCAATAGTATCCAGCCCCTCTTCATTTCTAAGTAATGCTTTAGTTGAACTTCTCAGACTTGGATATGTAGTATTTTCCAATTTGCGTTATGGTTCATTATTTGAATTATGAGTTATTTATATATTAGAAAAATCACCAATCATATATTGTTTGAGTTTTCTTCATTATTAGTTTCTAACGTGATTACATTGTCGTCAGTGAATGTGATATGTCTATATTCAACTTTTGTAATATGTACATATTTCACCTTATAATTTTATAATAAATTATAGTTTGTTAATTTCATTTAAATTGTTTTAAATCTGTTTTAGTTTAGTTTCTGTTATTGTTCTCTGTCATCAGTTGGTTACTGAAAGAGCTCTGTTAAAAATCTCCTTAATAAAATTAATTTTTCAAGTTCTCATTTATTCTGTCAAATATGGCTTTATTTATTTGGAATTTATGTTATTAGCTGTATATGCATTTAGAATAATTATGTTTTCTTGGCTGGACACAGTGGCTCATGCCTGTAATCCTAGCACTTTGGGAGGCTGAGTCGGGCAGATTGCCTGAGGACAGGAGTTGCAGACCAGCCTGGCCAACGTGATGAAACCCCATTTTTACTAAATATACAAAAATTAACCAGGCACAGTGGTGGGTGCCTGTAATCCCAGCTACTTAGGAGGCTCAGGCATGAGAATCGCTTGAACTTGGGGGGCGGAGGTTGCAGTGAGCTGAGATCGCACCACTGCACTCCAGCCTGGGTGACAGAGTGAGACCCTGTCTCAAAAAAAAAAAAAAAAAAAAAAAGTGAAATTATTACATTTTCTTAGAGGATTGAATGTTTTAGTATTATGTAGTTATCCTCTTTTTCAGTAAAAATATTTATTGCCTTAAAATGTATTTGTTAGTATAAATAGTGGTATCATCTTCCTTTTGGGTAGTGTTTGCCTGTAGACTATTTCCATCTAGGTTACTGGAAGCTGGCAACTGCCTCGAGGTAGCTGCTGGATTGAGAGCCTGCTTCCCATCTTGGATTCTTGCTCTTGCTTTCTATTATTTTAGGATTTCCTTTATTTTCTTATTGTCTTGCAAACTCAGCTGTGCCCTAGAACAGGTTTTTAAAAAGAATTGCATCCAACATTTTTAGGAAGTTTATTTTATCTAGTATCTTATGAGAAGTAAAAATTCTTCTCCATTTTCTGCCCATTTAAATCCCTATCATGTTTAAAGGCTCCAGAGCTACCTCTTTGGAAAGCTCTTCTGTCAGAAAGAATTAATCCCTCCCTTTGGATTTCCCCATATTATTTATGCCTCGATTTAGCACTCATTTCATTTTGTCTTAGACAATTCTCATTTACGTATCTTAGGTCATGCAGTTCTTTTCCACTTACCTTCAATGGTGTCTTCCCTCTTCTTGCCCATTTTCCTAAATGCTGTAGATTCATCCCAAGTCTACTACAAATGTAATGTCCCCCATGATAGCCTCAGATATTCTGTTCCTCACTGATGTGTTTCATTTCTGAATTCCTATTATCTTCTTAGCTTAAGTCACTGAAATAGCACCTCTGATTCATAAGCTTGCCTTGTTCTCTAATTTTATGATGGTCCAAGATAGAAACCAGAAAGAAGTTAGTATATTCTTGTTCTGACCCGCACAGGTGTCTGTGTGAGTCTCCTTGACTCTTTAATTGTAGACGAGATTGACTTGATTGACCACTGCACACTGAGCATTTGCCTAAAATCCTCCCCAAGGCCGTAAGTGGTAGTTCATGCCTGTAATCCCAGCACCTTGGGAAACCAAGGCGGGTGGAACACCTGAGGTCAAGAGTTCAAGACCAGCCTGGGCAACATGACAAAACCCCATCTCTACCAAAAATACAAAAATCAGCTGGGAATGATGGTGCATGTCTGTAGTCCCAGGTACTTGGGAGGCCAAGGCAGGAGAATTGCTTGAACCCAGGAGGCGGAGGTCTCAGTGAGTCAGGATCACTCCACTGCACTCCAGCCTGGGTGAGAGTGAGACTCCATCTAAAACAAATAATAATAAAATAAAATCCTTCCCAAGCTCTTTGGCTTTTCCCAGGCTGGAGTACAAGTGTGGTTCTCAAGTTCACCCAGATATGAAATCCATTATCTTACTTAGTTTCGACAAAGATACTCACACACATAAGGCAGTTATCTATACGCTTTACTAAGATATTGGGAAATTTTTATTCTAGCAATGCAAGGAAATTTAACTTTATTATTTTTCAGATATTTTCTTAAAAAGTTACTCATCTATCCCATCATCAGAAAGAAAACGAAAGAGAAATTCTTCATGCCTTTGAAGTCTTTGGATGTAACTCAGCATTGCCAGACTAATGCTTATTCTATTCCCAATAGATAAAGCAGTCTATATGTCTTTGGAGAGGGTAGATATTTTATGTTAAAAAAATAGACCAACATTGTGAATAATTGTTGCACTCATCAACATGGATGAATTTCAAAAACATATTGTGGAATGAAAGAATCTCAGAGGAGAATAAATTCAGAATTATTCAATTCAAATAAAGTATAAGAACAAGTAAAACTAAACTATTTATTGTTTGAGGTTATGTACAAAGGTAATAAAAATAATTTGGGGGCATCTGGGAATCCTCTATTTATTGGCCAGGGAGTCAGATGCAAATATTTCATTTTATTACTGATTCTTAAATTGTGCATATACATGTATACATTTTCATATACTTCATATAATTTCAAAATATAATAAATAATAGATTAGGCAACAAAAGCAAAAACAAATAAAATATACCAATATCAACAAAGCAGAATGTGTCAGAAACTATTAAATTTCCCAAGTCTAACACTAGATCTGCAGATGAACAGACCTTACCTAAATGTTTTTGACCTTGGGAAAAAATAAAGTACAATTGTTACTAAACAGAAAGTCTTTCTTCATGCTGAATATATCAGCTGTAGAGGAGAAAATCAGTGACTCATAACATACTACACCCAGTGTCTGCACAAAGGATTTAGATTAATTATTCTTGGTTGGTTCAGACATATTTCTCTAAGATCTTGACAACTGATATTGGTTGGTTATGACCCAAGCCATTACAAAGAAACCGAAGAAAGGGACTGTAATCATTTCTGTGAAAACAGAAAAGTTTAAACATAGCCAATTATTATTAATATTTGCAGAATAAACAAAAATAAATGTAACACATTGTTTAAGCTGATAACTAGGGATCTTTACTCAGAGTGTAAGAATATGCTTTTAAACATTTTATTTATATTTAGAACAATAACTCTGGTACAAGTTTGCATTTAGGTTTTTAGATTAATACAGGATCCTCTTTCAGAGACTAAAAATGAAAAAAAAACTAACAATTTTTTCCTATATAGAATGTTCCAAAGCTCATGATAAAATTAAATCTTTATATAATACAGAATGCAGTTTCCTCATTTGTATGCATTGCTTTATTTTCTTTTTATTCTGCCTGTTACCCAATATAACAAATAAAAATGCCATTTTTTTTTAAAAAAAGGACTGTTTGTGTTAATCATATGGCTGTATGTATTTTCACAGACTTTATATCTTTAACCTGAGAGAGTTTGTATTAATATTTCTCAGCATTTTCAATAGCAAGCTTGCTAGTCATTTGAATAGGTAAAATAGATACCCAAGGGAGATGTGACTTTTTCATGAAGTCAGTGGGTTTTCTTTATAAGAAGACCAGGTTCCCTTTTATCCCCTTTTAAGAAAAATGAGAGTTGACACCATTGTGCAGCAAGCCAGATATACCTCAGCACTTGGCTTCTCCCCAGAACTTCGGAATGCTCACTTCTGGTTGTATTTTTAAAAATAATCATTATTGTGTTGATATTTACAGTTTGTATTGAACACATATTTGGAGTATAGACTCATGGTAAGTGCTATTTTGTTTTCATAAACCAGTACTTGTGGACCACTATAGACGTATAAGGTATAAGATTATATTTATATATATGCATATGCATGTATATGTATACACATACACATATATGCATATGCATGTATATGTATACACATACACATATGTGCATATACACATGCACTACATACACCTGTGTGTGTGTGTGTGTGTGTGTGTGTGTGTGTGTGTGTGTGTATGTGTACAGTGGATGTGTATGACTGTATGTAAAAGTCTCATTTTAAGCAAGGGCTTCAAAACGAAGAATCAAATAAAAAGTAAACATAACTTCCCTAAGTTCCAAACTATCCCAGGGTGCTCAGCTCCATTGCCTCCCTGGGTTTTCTCCAAATGCAACTTATTTGTCATGGATTTGGAGGACCTGTGAAGATGAAATGCAGCTCTAGCAATGGAGAGGGGATAGCTAGGGAAGGTCTTTGTCCATTCAACACACACTTCAGGGGAGAAGCCCACTATTCTGAAGTTACCATTTGGCCTCGTCTCCCCTAAATGATGAGAAAATTGCAAGTCACATCCAGTTTGTTAGTTTTATTTCAATTATAATAATTTTAGCTGAAAGCTAAATTAGAGCTTAATTTTAGTCACAGCCAGCAGGAGCAGATGCTACTTTTCTGGCTCCTGGACATTTCTTCTCATATGAACAAACACGCCTACCCCCTTTCTCTTTTCTCTCTACTTTCTGTATCCCATCTAAAGCAACATAGGAAAAAATGGATAGACATTCTTAAATCACAAATAATCACTTTTTATTTACTATTTTGTGTTTGCGTAGAAATGATTTTTGTTTATTCTATAAGCGCCTTCCACACTGAAAATAGCACAGTGTTGATCAGAAGACAATTATATAAAAATAAGACTTTTATTTATTTTTTAAAATGTCAACTTTTATTTTAGATACAGAGGGTACATGTGCAGGTTTGTTACATGGGTATACTGCACCCAGGTAGTGAGCATCATACCCAATAGGTAGTTTTTCAGCCCATGCCTTCTTTCTTCCTCCTTCCTCTAGTAGTCTGCAGTGTCTATTATTCCTATGTTTATGTCCATGTGTATTCAATATTTAGCTCCCATTTATGAGTGAGAATATGCAATATTTGGTTTTCTGTTCCTGCATTAATTCACTTAGGATTATAGTCTCCAGCTCCTTCCATGTTGCAGCAAAGGACATGACTTCATTCTTTTTATGGCTGTGTAGTATTCCATTATATATATATATATATATATATATATATATATATATATATAAAATTATATATATATATATATATATATCATGGAATATATATATATATATATCATGGAATACATATATATGTCACATTTTCTTTATCCAGTCCACTATTGATGGGCACTTAGATCTTCCATGTCTTTGCTATTGTGAACAGCATGGCAATGAATGTGAGGGCATGTGCCTTTTTGGTGTAATGATCTATTTTCCTTTGGGTATATACTTAGTAATGGGATTGCTGACTTGAATGGTAGCTCTGTTTTAAGTTCTTTGAGAAATCTCCAAACTGCTTTCTACGGTGGCCGAACTAATTTACATTCTTAGCCAACAGTATATAAACGTCCCCTTTTCTCTATAGCCTTGCCAGCATCTGTTTTTTTTTTTTACTTTTTGTAATAGCCGTTCTGACTGGTGTGAGATGATATCTCATTGTGGTTTTGATTTGCATTTCTCTTATGATTAATTATAATGAGCATTTTTAATATGTTTGTTAGCCACTCATATAGTCTTCTTTTAAGATGTGTCTGTTCATGTCATTTGTTGGGGGGAGTTATTTTTTGCTTGTTGATTTGTTTTAGTTGCTTATGGATTCTGGATATTAGATCTTTGTTAGATGCACAGTTTGTGAATATTTTCTCTCATTCTGTAGGGTGTTTCCTCTGTTGAGGGTTTCTTTTGGCGTGCAGAAGCTCTTTAGTTTAATTAGGTTCTACTTGTAAATTTTTGTTCTTATTACAATTGCTTTTGGGGACTTGGCCAAAAATTATTTTCCAAGGCTGATGTTAAGAAGGGTATTTCCTAGGTTTTCTTCTAGAGTTTTTATAGTTTGAGATCTTACATTTAAATCTTTAGTCCATCTTCAGTTACTTTTTGTATACGGTGAAAGATAAAGTTCCAGGGCCAGGCATGGTGGCTCATGCCTGTAATCCCAGCACTTTGGGAGGCTGAGGCAGGTGGATCACCTGAGGTCAGGAGTCTGAGACCAGGCTGGCCAACATGGCAAAACCCTGTCTTTACTGAAAATACAAAAATTAGCCAGGTATGGTGGCAGCTGCCTGTAATCCCAGCTACTTGGGAGGCTGAGGCAGGGAGAATTGCTTGAACCCGGGAAGCGGAGGTTGCAGTGAGCCTAGATCATGCCATTGCACGCTAGCCCAGGTGACAGAGTGAGACTCCTTCTCAAAAAAACAAAACAAAACAAAACAAAACAAAACAAAAGAAATAAAGGTAAAGTTCTAGTTTCATTCTTCTGTATATGACTAGCCAGCTACCCCAGCACCATTTATTGAATAGGGATCCTTTCCTCATTACTTGTTTTTTTTGGCCTTGTCAAAGATCAGATGGTTGTAAATGTGTGGCTTTATTTCTGAGCTTTCTATTCGGTTCCATTGATCTGTGTGTCTGTGTTTGTACCAGTACCATGCTGTTTTGTTTACTATAACCTTATAGTATAGTTTGAAGTTGGTCAGTGTGCTGCCTCAGATGTTGGTCACCTATTAGGTCCAAGTTCTAACAATGACATTGAAAGAAAAACTAATTTTTGACGTACAGATATTCACAAAGGAAAATGTTAATTCTGCCTTAATATCTGTCCTTAGCTTAAAAAAAATAGCCTTATTAAGATATAGTTCATCCATTTAAAGTGTACAACTCAATGGTTTTTAGTCTATTCACAGAGTTGTGCAACCATCACTATAGTCAATTTTGGAACATTTTCTTCAGCCAAAAAAGAAACCCTGTGCCTGTTAGCAGTTGCTCCCCATTTTTCTCTAACATCCCTTAGTCCCTGGCAATCACCAGTCTACTTTCTGTATCTATGGATTTGCCTATTCTGGACATTTTCTATAAACAGAATTTGAAAAAAGTGGTCTTCTATAAATTGCTTTAACTTATCTTTAACTTATCACAATATTTAACTTATCACAGTATTTATCACAATGTTTTCAAGGTTCATCCATGCTCTAGCTTATAACGGCACTTCATTTTATTGTGGAATAATATTCCTCTCTATGGATAGACCACATTTTGCTTATCCATTCATCAGCTCATGGACATTTGGGTTGTTTGAATGTTTTGGCTCTTATGAATAATGTTGCCATAAACATTCATGTATGAGTCTTTGGGCATATTTTTTAAAATTTCTCTTGGATATATACCTTGGAATCGAATTATTGGGTCATAGGGTAACTCTATATTTAACTCTTTGAAAGACTGCAAGACTTTTCCCCAAAGTGGCTGCATCATTTTCCATTCCCATCAGCAGTGTGTGAGAGTTCCAATTGCTCCATGTCCTAGGCTTTTAATTGAATTTTTGATGTTGAGCCACACTAGAATAAAAGTCTATACTTAGCTGCAACATTACAATGTTAACACTAGAAGCAATATTTAACAAGCTTGTTATGACTTTTGCAGGTGCATTTTAGGATTTCGTTTTAAAGCAGGTGCATTTCAGGATTTCGTTTTAAAGCACTTGAGAACAATCTTTCTATAGCTCTTTGCTGGGAGTCAGAAAGTTTTCCAATACTAGAGCTCTCTGAATACTGGGAAAACAAGATTGCTGCCCCAGAAATTACTTTTCTTTGTTCTCTGTGGACATCAGATATGAGTCTGTGGTTTGGGCTTCTGATTAGTTTGTTCGTACGTGATTCAATGGTGGTGAGTTTTTCGGTTTACTCCTCAAATGACTTTTTTTTCTTTCTGCATGCTGGTGGAAAAGGGAAGATGAAAAACAAACAAAAAGAATCTATCAGAGACCTCCCTGATGCAGTGTCTTGGAGAGTTCATGTGCAGCTTCATCTGGAATTCTCCTCTTTTTTTTGTCCTGAAAAGTCACTCTTGTGCACACATGAACACTTTGATCTTCTACACACTGTTTTATTGGCAAGATGCTTGTCTTATATTCCCCCCTTTGGATTCTGAAATGTTGTTTACTTCTTGTTCACAGCTCCAAGTACATTTGTGTCTCTTCCTTGACACCAAACTGAACTGTTAGGAGAAGAGATACTGAACCTTCACAGTGCCTTGCATTATATTGTCTCCTATCCCAGAGTTTTCATTGAGATGTGAGAACATTCAGTTCTAATAAGTTTTAGTTGCTTTTTACAATTGTACATAAGCAGTGTTGTTATTGAAATAGACTGTGCCGAGGCATAAATATGTACAGAAAGCTGACAAAGAAACACAGAAGGCTTGAAAATGGGCCTTTCTATCTTTGAGATTGGATTAAGATGACACTCACCACAATGCTGATTTCTACTTTAAGTTTTCTCTACACTGGGGTGTATCTTATTTACTACTATTTGAGATGGCATTTCAGCTGACTTCATCACTGTCAACAGCTGCTAGCCCCAGCATGGCCCAGCAGCTGGTGTGGAGGGTTTGGGGCTGGGCCCAGCATCCCCAGCGTCGGGGAAGATCAAGAATACTGGGGACTCCTATTTCCCACATGAGTGAGACGTTGGGTCAGTCTGTTGACTTCGGTCCTTGGGGAGCCCCACTTCCTCACAGACACTCCTGCTTCTGTGTCATGGCCCATGATGTCAGATCAGATTGGTGTGGTTGCTGGTCCAGGTCAGCTTGGCATTTGTCTCACACCCTTGCATATTATAATGTGGATTTCTGACCCCTTCCTGGGGCTGGTGCATGCAGGAAGCATGATTTTCTTGGTCCAGATGCTATTCTTTGCACAATTATCCCCTTTCATTCCCTCCTGATTATGATGAATAATCAGCAGCCTTTTTTTTTTACTTTGTCTAGTGAACTCAACTTTTTTTTTTTAAAAGAAGTAAGTTAAGGTTGCTTCTTTCAGCTTATACGAAGACAATAGGATATTTAAAAATGTGCTTCAGTCTATCTGCTTTGAATCTCATGCTGTTAGACTAAGTCACCTGTGATCCCTCCACGTTGAAGTTGTCTACCTATCCCCATATTATTCCCCTCAATCCTTGAAGATTGTCTCACTTTACAGCACTGTCGTAATTTCTGGTGATCTCATGATCTTTTCTGTATTCTTGCCCCTCATGTCCTTTATCACCACTCCTTTGCAGATGATTTTTTTTCCTCCAGTCTTCCTCAGCTAGTCCAGACTATTTATCATTGTTACTTATCATGTGAACTCCTCCACATCTTAATTTCAAGAATCTCATCCTCTGATCACCATGTCCTAGATTCCCAACTTATTTTCTCTGTATCATGTTTCCAGTATTTCTTCATCTTCTCAGGGAACTACAATCCACTGGCTACCTCCTTTTCACTGTCTCTCACTGTCCTCATTCCTGAACTTCCTCCTCACTCAGCATAAATTCCATAGTTGGTCATTTTAGCCCCTCTCTTGCCCTTTCCCTTGATGTTCCTGCTCCTCTGTCACTTCATTGGACTTTCCCAGCAATGCCTCAGTCCGTGGCAGATTCAACCCTCTGCCTCTCTGCATCTGTACCCATGCAGATGAATGTGGCCTGGGAAAAAATAGACAACCATGCTGGTAGGTTTCACTTAAAGTTACAGCCATGAATCTCAAATGAGCTTGTACCATGCTTCCCTGGCCCATTCACTCTGCACTCTCCTGGACTATCTCATACATTCCCCACCAAACTCCCAACAGTTCTCCATCATCATTCTCAGCTGGTGACTTTATTCTGACTTCACTGAAAAAAAAAAATGGAACTCATCAGAGCAGAACTTCTGGATTCCCATCATCTCCTCTATCCACTCACATACTCTGCCTTCATAACAATGACCACAGACAAACGTTTTCCTGTCTATATCAAGCCAATCCCTCAACCTAATTGGTAGTTTCTACCACTCTATCTGTTCAAGAACATTATTCCAGGATTTTCCTGCTTCCTGACCTGCATAATCCAGTTTCCCTCTCTATTTGGTTATCCATATCTACATTTTAAAAACGCTACTTCTGGCTGGATGCTGTGGCTCGTGCCTGTATTCCCAGCACTTTGAGAGGCCGAGGCGGGCGGATCACTTGAGCTCATGAGTTTGAGACCAGCCTGGGCAACATGGAGAAATCCCATCTCTCCAGAAAAAAAAAAAAAAAAAACAAGCATTATCCAGGTGTGGTGGTTCACGCCTGTAGTCCAAGCTACTTGAGAGGCTGAGGTGGGAGGATGGCTTGAGCCTGGGAGGCGGAGGTTGCAGTGAGCCGAGATTGTACTAGTGTACTCTAGCTCGGGTGACAGAGCCAGAACTTGTCTCAAAAAATAAAATGAAAAATAAAATAAAATTTTAAAGTAAAATAAAATAAAATGCAATTTTTTTCTCCTATGAAAAGAAAATAAACTCTTGCTTAACTCAACATCACTCTCAAGCATCTGCTTTCTCTTAACCACTTTACAGCGAAACTCTAAAAAGAATCTACTGTCTCCGTTCTACATTTTCCTTTCTTTCATGAACCCGTTATAATCAGGCTTTCTTTCTGTCACTCAATTGAAACTGTTTTGTCAAGGCCATTGATGGCCTACATGTAGCTAAATCCGATGGTCAGTGGTCAGTTCTCTTCTTACCTGCCCTATCAGCAGATTCCACACAATATCAGTTCCTTCATTTTCAAACACTTTTTTCACTTGATTTCCAGGACACTGTGCCCGCCTGGTGTGCCTCCTACCTCACAGGTGATTCTCCCCAGTCTTCCTCGCTAGTTCCCTTTCACCCCTTCAACCTCCTTGCACTGGTTCATCACAAGATTCAGTCCTTGGACCCCTTCTGTACTTCTCCATGCTCAGGACTCCAAATACTACCTATATTTTACACTTCCAAATCAATACCCCCAGCCTACATATCTTTCCCTCATGATTAATATATCGAATTGCATATATAGTGACACTTCTTTTAGATATCTGATAGATTATCTCAATGTAACATCTCCAAAACAACCATCTGAACTTCTCTCCAAATCTACTCCTTCCACAGTCATCCCTATCTTAGTAAATAGAAACTATCCTCTGGGTGTTCAAACTAAAAATCTTGTATTATCTCTAACATCTTTCCTTTCTGATACCTCAGACTCAACCTTTAAGCAAGTCCTATAAATCTGTCTTCAAAACATACCCAGAGGATGACTACTCTTTGCCACCTTCACCACTACCCACAGGTCTTCCTAACTGCCCTCTTGACTTTCACCTTTGCTTTCTTGAACTTTATTCTCAACATGGCAGCCACAGCCTCATAGTTCATGGCACTCCTTTGCTCAAGGCCTTTTGGTTCCAGCCCATTGATTGACTCGTTGCTGTTTGTGGAGCACACACCCTCTCAGGACCTTTGCCCTCCCTGTGCCTCCTTCCTGGAGCCCTGGCCCCCATGCCTCCTTCCTGTCTTTAGTCAGCATCATCTCCACTGAAGAACCTATTTAAAGTTGCAATCTGCTGCCTTCTGGCACTTTCTATTTTCCTTCCCTTCTTTATTTTGTGCAACAATTATAACCATCTTACATGCTATATATTTTACATCTTAATTTGTTTATTTTCTTCCCACCACCAGCAGAATATATACTTCATAAGGGCAGGAATTTTTGTCCATTTCGTTCAGTGCCAAGAACAGTGCCTGGCACACTAAGCACTCAATAAATAGTTGTTGTCGCAGGAATACCATGTGGGATTTAAATTGGGCTTTCTTTCTTATTATAACCTACCTCTTCCCACAAAGGATATGAGGTGACAAGCCTCCTATAAATGAATCACATTGAGAAGCTGGATGCTTTATTAGTCCCCTGTGCCTCCATGCTGGCCATGAACATTTGCAGTAATAGAAGGTAGTAAGCTGGACTCAGAGAGGAAACTGATAATGACAGTTTTTAGCACTTAACAGGCTTCCAGAAGTTACAGAAAACTCCTTTAAACATCTCCAAAAACTTTATTGAGTGGCTAACCACTCCACCAACATAACATATCTTTAAGATAGGAGTATAAGGTACTCTTTTTTGGTATATTAAAGAATCCTAAGGAAGAGATTACAAATGCTGTGATCTCCAGCACACCCGGAGAGCATAGCGTCCTGGAAATCAAGTGAAGAAGGTGTTTGAAAATGAAGGAAGTGATATGGTGTGGAATCTGCTGTTAGGGCAGATAAGAGGAAAACTGACCCCTGACCATGTGGTATATTAAAGAATTCAAGGGAAGAGATGACAAATGCTGTGAGAATTCATGATATTTAGTTAGTACCTGTTAGGGGTTGAATTGTGTTCCTCTCTCCAAAAATATATTGAAATTAGAAATCCAAGGCCATTGTGAATGTGACCTTATTTGGAAATAGGGTCTTTGTAGATGATCAGATTAAGATGAGGTCATTGGGGTGGCCCTAGTCCAGTTTGACTGGTATCTTTATGAAAATGGAACATTTGAACACAGAGACACATACAGAGAGAAGATGTGAAGCTAAAGAGGGAGAACACCATCTATAAGCCAAGTAATGCCTGGAGCTATCCAGTAGCTAGGGGAGAGGCCTAGAATAGATTGTCTCTCCCAGTTCCCAGAAGGAACCAAGATAACTGATACCTTGATCTCAGACTTCTGGTCTCCAGAACTGTGAGACAATCCATCTATGTTGTTTTCGCCACCTAGTTTGGGGTGCTTTGTTATGGCAGCATTACCTGATTTTAGTTTTGTTATTGTATGTAGCTTGGGCATAACATTTTAGGATGGACAATTTGTTTAAATCGCAGAGCTTTAGATTTTAATTATCTAGAAAAAGTTTCCACCTATCACTTACTCACCAGTAAAACCATGGTGTATACTGTAACATTCCCAGACATTCAATGAAAAGAAATATTTTTTCCACTTTTTATATGCATAATTGAGAGGGCTGACTTTACAAATAGAATGAAAGATCATATTGTATTATTTAATGCTATACTTTTAGAAGTATTTTTGATAAGTATTTCTTTTGAAATGCAGTTATATAAATGATACTCCTTCAGCGTTTTCTAAGGTAAGGAAATAGTTTTACACACAGTTGACCTTCTGTATCTGCAGGTTCTGGAGCCAAGAAATCAATGGCCTCATCTTAATCTGATTATCTACAAAGACCCTATTTCCAAAACTCAGACCAAAAATATTCTTTAATAAACAATTAAAAATAACAATACGACAATAAAAAATAATACAAATGAAAAAACAACACAATAGAATAACAAATAGTTGCCATGCAACTGTTTGCATGGCAGTTATATTTTATTGGGCATCGTAAGTAATCCGGAGAAGATTTAAAGTATATGGAAGGATGTGTGTAGATTATATGCAAATCCTATGCCATTTTCTGTCAAAGACTTGAACATCCAAGGATTTTGGTATCCTTGGGAGTTCTGGAACCATCCCTCATGGGTACTGAAGGACAACTGTAATCTTAAACATTTAACATTAATGACTGGGACTATGAATGGAGTCTGGAAAAAAGGAGTTTATTCTTTGAGGGGACAAAATTGGTCATTTAAATTGGTTGAGAAAGTTTTTAAGATATTGTGAAATCCACTTAAATTGACAGACTTTAACGTTAGTAAGTAGTGGTTTTGTGTGTTAAAATCATTTCCCTCCTGTATTCATTATGTATCGTAAGATATGGTAATATATACACAGAACTGTATTTTAAAAATACTTAATTTAGTTTGACATTATTGTGAGAAAGAAAAGATCTAAGAAGAGATCAGTGGCTTAAAATTCCCTAGTGATAATGAACTTGGAGGAAACCTTGTATACTAAGTGAATTATAGTCTAAAGATAGTGGGAAAACTGTACTCAAATAATAATATTGAAAAACATCCAATTTATTCTGCTTATGAAGACATAATTTGAAACATCTGATATATTCATTTTTTCTTTTTTTTTTTAATTTTTTTTTATTATACTTTAAGTTTTAGGGTACATGTGCACAATGTGCAGGTTAGTTACATATGTATACATGTGCCATGTTGGTGTGCTGCACCCATTAACTCGTCATTTAACATTAGGTATATCTCCTAATGCTATCCCTCCCCCCTCCCCCCACCCCACAACAGGCCCCAGTGTGTGATGTTCCCCTTCCCGTGTCCATGTGTTCTCGTTGTTCAGTTCCCACCTGTGAGTGAGAACATGCGGTGTTTGGTTTTTTGTCCTTGCGATAGTTTGCTGAGAATGATGGTTCCCAGCTTCATCCATGTCCCTACAAAGGACATGAACTCATCATTTTTCATGGCTGCATAGTATTCTATGGTGTATATGTGCCACATTTTCTTGATGCAGTCTATCACTGTTGGACATTTGGGTTGGTTCCAAGTCTTTGCTATTGTGAATAGTGCCTCAATAAACATCCGTGTGCATGTGTCTTTTATAGCACCTTGTTCTGTAATCCTTTGGGTATTTACCCAGTAATGGGATGGCTGGGTCAAATGGTATTTCTAGTTCTAGATCCCTGAGGAATCACCACACTGTCTTCCACAATGGTTGAACTAGTTTACAGTCCCACCAACAGTGTAAAAGTGTTCCTATTTCTCCACATCCTCTCCAGCACCTGTTGTTTCCTGACTTTTTAATGATTGCCATTCTAACTGGTGTGAGATGGTATCTCATTGTGGTTTTGATTTGCATTTCTCTGATGGCCAGTGATGATGAGCATTTTTTCATGTGTTTTTTGGCTGCATAAATGTCTTCTTTTGAGAAGTGTCTGTTCATGTCCTTTGCTCACTTTTTGATGGGGTTGTTTGTTTTTTTCTTGTAAATTTTTTTGAGTTCATTGTAGATTCTGGATATTAGCCCTTTGTCAGATGAGTAGGTTGTGAAAATTTTCTCCCATTTTGTAGGTTGCCTGTTCACTCTGATGGTAGTTTCTTTTGCTGTGCAGAAGCTCTTTAGTTTAATTAGATCCCATTTGTCAATTCTGGCTTTTGTTGCCATTGCTTCTGGTGTTTTAGACATGAAGTCCTTGCCCATGCCTATGTCCTGAATGGTAATGCCTAGGTTTTCTTGTAGGGTTTTTATGGTTTTAGGACTAACGTTTAAGTCTTTAATCCATCTTCAATTGATTTTTGTATAAGGTGTAAGGAAGGGATCCAGTTTCAGCTTTCTACATATGGCTAGCCAGTTTTCCAAGCACCATTTATTAAATAGGGAATCCTTTCCCCATTGCTTGTTTTTCTCAGGTTTGTCAAAGATCAGATAGTTGTAGATATGTGGCGTTATTTCTGAGGGCTCTGTTCTGTTCCATTGATCTATATCTCTGTTTTGGTACTAGTACCATGCTGTTTTGGTTACTGTAGCCTTGTAGTATAGTTTGAAGTCAGGTAGCGTGATGCCTCCAGCTTTGTTCTTTTGGCTTAGGATTGACTTGGCGATGCGGGCTCTTTTTTGGTTCCATATGAACTTTAAAGTAGTTTTTTCCAATTCTGTGAAGAAAGTCATTGGTGGCTTGATGGGGATGGCATTGAGTCTGTAAATTACCTTGGGCAGTATGGCCATTTTCACGATATTGATTCTTCCTACCCATGAGCATGGAATGTCCTTCCATTTGTTTGTATCCTCTTTTATTTCCTTGAGCAGTGGTTTGTAGTTCTCCTTGAAGAGGTCCTTCACATCCCTTGTAAGTTGGATTCCTAGGTATTTTATTCTCTTTGAAGCAATTGTGAATGGGAGTTCACTCATTATTTGGCTCTCTGTTTGTCTGTTGTTGGTGTATAAGAATGCTTGTGATTTTTCTACATTGATTTTGTATCCTGAGACTTTGCTGAAGTTGCTTATCAGCTTAAGGAGATTTTGGGCTGAGACAGTGGGGTTTTCTAGATATACAATCATGTCATCTGCAAACAGGGACAATTTGACTTCCTCTTTTCCTAATTGAATACCCTTTATTTCCTTCTCCTGCCTAATTGCCCTGGCCAGAACTTCCAACACTATGTTGAATAGGAGTGGTGAGAGAGGGCATCCCTGTCTTGTGCCAGTTTTCAAAGGGAATGCTTCTAGTTTTTGCCCATTCAGTATGATATTGGCTGTGGGTTTGTCATAGATAGCTCTTATTATTTTGAAATACGTCCCATCAATACCTAATTTATTGAGAGTTTTTAGCATGAAGGGTTGTTGAATTTTGTCCAAGGCCTTTTCTGCATCTATTGAGATAATCATGTGGTTTTTGTCTTTGGCTCTGTTTATATGCTGGATTACATTTATTGATTTGCGTATGTTGAACCAGCCTTGCATCCCAGGGATGAAGCCCACTTGATCATGGTGGATGAGCTTTTTGATGTGCTGCTGGATTCGGTTTGCCAGTATTTTATTGAGGATTTTTGCATCAATGTTCATCAAGGATATTGGTCTAAAATTCTCTTTTTTGGTTGTGTCTCTGCCCGGCTTTGGTATCAGGATGATGCTGGCCTCATAAAATGAGTTAGGGAGGATTCCCTCTTTTTCTATTGGTTGGAATAGTTTCAGACGGAATGGTACCCGTTCCTCCTTGTACCTCTGGTAGAATTCGGCTATGAATCCATCTGGTCCTGGACTCTTTTTGGTTGGTAAACTATTGATTATTGCCACAATTTCAGATCCTGTTATTGGTCTATTCAGAGATTCAACTTCTTCCTGGTTTAGTCTTGGGGGAGTGTATGTGTCAAGGAATTTATCCATTTCTTCTAGATTTTCTAGTTTATTTGCGTAGAGGTGTTTGTAGTATTCTCTGATGGTAGTTTGTATTTCTGTGGGATCGGTGGTGATATCCCCTTTATCATTTTTTATTGCATCTATTTGATTCTTCTCTCTTTTTTTCTTTATTAGTCTTGCTAGTGGTCTATCAATTTTGTTGATCCTTTCAAAAAACCAGCTCCCGGATTCATTAATTTTTTGAAGCGTTTTTTGTGTCTCTATTTCCTTCAGTTCTGCTCTGATTTTAGTTATTTCTTGCCTTCTGCTAGCTTTTGAATGTGTTTGCTCTTGCTTTTCTAGTTCTTTTAATTGTGATGTCAGGGTGTCAATTTTGGATCTTTCCTGCTTTCTCTTGTGGGCATTTAGTGCTATAAATTTCCCTCTACACACTGCTTTGAATGCGTCCCAGAGATTCTGGTATGTTGTGTCTTTGTTCTCATTGGTTTCAAAGAACATCTTTATTTCTGCCTTCATTTCGTTATGTACCCAGTAGTCATTCAGGAGCAGGTTGTTCAGTTTCCATGTAGTTGACCGGTTTTGAGTGAGATTCTTAATCCTAAGTTCTAGTTTGATTGCGCTGTGGTCTGAGAGATAGTTTGTTATAATCTCTGTTCTTTTAAATTTGCTGAGGAGAGCTTTACTTCCAAGTATGTGGTCAATTTTGGAATAGGTGTGGTGTGGTGCTGAAAAAAATGTATATTCTGTTGATTTGGGGTGGAGAGTTCTGTAGATGTCTATTAGGTCCGCTTGGTGCAGAGCTGAGTTCAATTCCTGGGTATCCTTGTTGACTTTCTGTCTCGTTGATCTGTCTAATGTTGACAGTGGGGTGTTAAAGTCTCCCATTATTAATGTGTGGGAGTCTAAGTCTCTTTGTAGGTCACTCAGGACTTGCTTTATGAATCTGGGTGCTCCTGTATTGGGTGCATATATATTTAGGATAGTTAGCTCTTCTTGTTGAATTGATCCTTTTACCATTATGTAATGGCCTTCTTTGTCTCTTTTGATCTTTGTTGGTTTAAAGTCTGTTTTATCATAGACTAGGATTGCAACCCCTGCCTTTTTTTGTTTTCCATTTGCTTGGTAGATCTTCCACCATCCTTTTATTTTGAGCCTATGTGTGTCTCTGCATGTGAGATGGGTTTCCTGAATACAGCACACTGATGGGTCTTGACTCTTTATCCAATTTGCCAGTCTGTGTCTTTTAATTGGAGCATTTAGTCCATTTACATTTAAAGTTAATATTGTTATGTGTGAATTTGATCCTGTCATTATGATGTTAGCTGGTGATTTTGCTCGTTAGTTGATGCAGTTTCTTCCTAGTCTTGATGGTCTTTACATTTTGGCATGAGTTTGCAGCGGCCGGTACCGGTTGTTCCTTTCCATGTTTAGCGCTTCCTTCAGGAGCTCTTTTAGGGCAGGCCTGGTGGTGACAAAATCTCTCAGCATTTGCTTGTCTGTAAAGTATTTTATTTCTCCTTCACTTATGAAGCTTAGTTTGGCTGGATATGAAATTCTGGGTTGAAAATTCTTTTCTTTAAGAATGTTGAATATTGGCCCCCACTCTCTTCTGGCTTGTAGGGTTTCTGCTGAGAGATCTGCTGTTAGTCTGATGGGTTTCCCTTTGAGGGTAACCCGACCTTTCTCTCTGGCTGCCCTTAACATTTTTTCCTTCATTTCAACTTTGGTGAATCTGACAATTATGTGTCTTGGAGTTGCTCTTCTCGAGGAGTATCTTTGTGGCGTTCTCTGTATTTCCTGAATCTGAACGTTGGCCTACCTTGCTAGATTGGGGAAGTTCTCCTGGATAATATCCTGCAGAGTGTTTTCCAACTTGGTTCCATTCTCCCCATCACTTTCAGGTACACCAATCAGATGTAGATTTGGTCTTTTCACATAGTCCCATATTTCTTGGAGGCTTTGCTCATTTCTTTTTATTCTTTTTTCTCTAAACTTCCCTTCTCGCTTCATTTCATTCATTTCATCTTCCATCGCTGATACCCTTTCTTCCAGTTGATCGCATCGGCTCCTGAGGCTTCTGCATTCTTCACGTAGTTCTTGAGCCTTGGTTTTCAGCTCCATCAGCTCCTTTAAGCACTTCTCTGTATTGGTTATTCTAGTTATACATTCTGTTAAATTTTTTTCAAAGTTTTCAACTTCTTTGCCTTTGGTTTGAATGTCCTCCCGTAGCTCAGAGTAATTTGATCGTCTGAAGCCTTCTCTCAGCTCGTCAAAGTCATTCTCCCTCCAGCTTTGTTCCGTTGCTGGTGAGGAACTGCGTTCCTTTGGAGGAGGAGAGGTGCTCTGCGTTTTAGAGTTTCCAGTTTTTCTGCTCTGTTTTTTCCCCATCTTTGTGGTTTTATCTACTTTTGGTCTTTGATGATGGTGATGTACAGATGGGTTTTTGGTGTGGATGTCCTTTCTGTTTGTTAGTTTTCCTTCTAACAGACAGGACCCTCAGCTGCAGGTCTGTTGGAATACCCTGCCGTGTGAGGTGTCAGTGTGCCCCTGCCGGGGGGATGCCTCCCAGTTAGGCTGCTCAGGGGTCAGGGGTCAGGGACCCACTTGAGGAGGCAGTCTGCCCGTTCTCAGATCTCCAGCTGCGTGCTGGGAGAACCACTGCTCTCTTCAAAGCTGTCAGACAGGGACATTTAAGTCTGCAGAGGTTACTGCTGTCTTTTTGTTTTTCTGTGCCCTGCCCCCAGAGGTGGAGCCTACAGAGGCAGGCAGGCCTCCTTGAGCTGTGGTGGGCTCCACCCAGTTGGAGCTTCCCGGCTGCTTTGTTTACCTAAGCAAGCCTGGGCAATGGCGGGCGCCCCTCCCCCAGCCTCGCTGCCGCCTTGCAGTTTGATCTCAGACTGCTGTGCTAGCAATCAGCGAGACTCCGTGGGCGCAGGACCCTCCGAGCCAGGTGCCGGATATAATCTCGTGGTGCGCCGTTTTTTAAGCCGGTCTGAAAAGCCAAATATTCGGTTGGGAGTGACCAGATTTTCCAGGTGCCGTCAGTCACCCCTTTCTTTGACTCGGAAAGGGAACTCCCTGACCCCTTGCGCTTCCCAAGTGAGGCAATGCCTCGCCTTGCTTCGGCTCGCGCAGGGTGCACGCACCCACTGACCTGCGCCCACTGTCTGGCACTCCCTAGTGAGATGAACCCGGTACCTCAGATGGAAATGCAGAAATCACCTGTCTTCTGTGTCGCTCGTGCTGGGAGCTGTAGACCAGAGCTGTTCCTATTCGGCCATCTTGGCTCCTCCCCCCATTTTTTCCTGTTTTGTTTTTTTATTCTCCAAATTTCATATCATAGTTTTAAATTTTGTTACACAACAGTTTTGTAGAATACATAAAAGGACTATAGATTTGGAGGTATATGGCTCTTGCAGACCATGTAAAATTTGGATCTTAGTTCTAGCTCTAGTTTTGCTTACTAACGGTAACCTTTGAGAAAATCTTATCTTTTTATTTTCAGCATCTGTAAAACTCTAACAATCTGTTGAATTTGCCTCCTGAAAATCTTTGTGGAGCCTGCCAAAGTTCAGATATGTGGTTCTGTCTTCTGAGAATGTAGTCTGTGTGGCACCATTTGAAATGTTCCCTTGTTTTAGGTGGACTTTTTGTCTTCCTCTGCTACTGGCTGTAATTTCCCTTAATTGTTAGAGGCCCTCTTTGGACATCTCATTTGAAAAAGTACTGCTCAATCTGTGAATCTTGAAGAATGCCACTATGACCGAAGGGATTGCAACGAAACAAAATGAAGGCATTTTACATTTTGTACAGGAAATTGCTTAATATCTAAACCATGAACTGACTTGTGTAGTGTAGTGTCTATTTATATGTTCATCAGAAACACATAATACATTGTCCTGGATATTTGTATCTCCCCCAAATTCATATGTTGAAAGTTAATCACCAATGTGATGGTATTAGGAGGTGGAGTCTTTTGGAGGTGATTAAGTCATTAGGGCTGAAAGATTCCTCAGAGAGCTAGATCAGCCTTTCCACCAGGTGAGAACTCACAGAGAAGATGCCATCTATGGTCTAGAAAGCAGGTCCTCCTTAGACACCAAATTTACTGGCACCTTGCTCTTGGACTTCTCAGCCTCTAAAACTGTGAGAAATAAGTTTCTGTTGTTTATAAGCTACTCAGCCTTTGAGATTTTGTTATAGCAGTGCGAATGGACCAAGACACATGGGTAAAACATTTATTTGACCACATCTACTTAAAAAAGGAAATGGAAATGCAGGCATGTTGCTGGTCCTTCTTTTGGGCCATAGGCTAATATTGAGAACCATAACTGCATATTATGACATCTGAGTTCAGAATCAAAGCAAGGGGGACTCTTTGGAAAGATTCCATGTCTATAATTCACAGTGTAGATGTAGAGCAATTTCCACCAAATGCTTGTGTTCTTTCCTGGAAGATCATTAACCTGAAGTGATTACTTTTTAGAGAGGACTGCTGTTAAGACTTGTGGTAAAAGTCAGGTGCAAGACCAAGGAAAGGTGACCAGGGCAAGGAAGAGAGTTTGGGAGCTGAGTCTCTCTCCTCTCTTTTTGGGGGTCTGCAGTGCTGGTTTGTATGGAGGGCTTTGGGAAAGCCTGTAGCTTTACCCAGCTGCTGACAAGCTTTTGGAGTAGCAATAGTTCTGGGATATGCAGGAGAAATACATAGGGGTGGAAGTTCGAGTTATATACAGGGTAGAAGAATGCAGTAAAGCATTATAAACAAATTCTGTAAGATGTGGATTTGGGGGTAGGTGCTTTATAAGATTTAAATATTTTTTTGATGGCAGGACACTCCACACTGACACATGAATAGATGAAAGGCAAAATACTTGGTTACTTACAGCTCCAATTGAAAGAAGGCTTCCAAAGCTTCCAGGCAGGACCATACAGTGAGTTGCATCAAGGGACAGGGTAACAGCAAGCTGGAGCTCCAGGGGGAAGCTTATATATAGCAAGTGGGGTGGAATTAGGGAAGTTTTGATGGTTCTCTGTGGGTTGGCTTATTTGAATAATTCTGCAGGTTCTGGGACATAGGGTACCTGTCTGGTACCTGGCACCACGGCCTGTAGGGTGGGTACACTGTGGCCCAGAATATGAGAGCTCTATCAGGGAAGTGACTGTAGTGCAGATTGAATTAGCTGGGCAAAAAGGGGAGCTGACTGGCTTCTAGCCAGGGCCTCAAAACTGGGTAAAGGCTGCTTACAAAAATTATAGTAGTGATAGAGTTTGAATATAAGTTCATGCCAAGTCTCGTGTTGAATTGTAATCCCCAGTGTTGGAGGTGGGGCCTGGTGGGAGGTGATTGTATCATGGGGGTGGATCCTCCCAATAGTGAGTTCTTACACAATGTGGTGTGTGGCACCTCTTCCCAACTCAAACTCTATCTTGTTCCCCACTTCACCTTCCACCATGAGTGAAAGATCCCTGACGTCTCCCCAGAAGCAGATGCCAGCATTATACCTCCTGTACAGCCTTCAGAACCATGAGCCAATTAAACCTCTTTTCTTTATGAATTACTGCATTCGTCAGTTCTCACACTGCTCATAAAGACCTACCTGAGACTAGGTAATTTATAAAGAAAAAGAGATTTAATGAACTCACAATTCCATATGGCTGGGGAGGCCCCACAATGATGGTGGAAGTCAAGGAGGAGCAATTCATATCTTACACAGTGGCGGGGAAGAGAGTATGAGAGCCAAGAAGGAGGGTTTTCCCCTTATAAAACCATCAGATCTTGTGAGACTTATTCACTACCACAAAAACAGTATGGGGGAAACCGCCCCCATGATTCAATTATCTCCCACCGGGTCCCTCCCACAACACTTGAGAATTATGGGAGCTACAATTCAAGATGAGACTTGGGTGGAGACACAGCCAAACCGTTATCAACTACCCAGCCTCAGGTATTTCTTTATAACAACACAAGAATGGACTAACACATAGGTATAAGTTCTTTATAGTCATTCTTCAAGTACCTAGTTGATGCTTCTTCTTAGCTCTCCCATCAGTTGGTTAGTGGCAAAGGAGGATAGGTGTTCAGAGAACTTAATGAGCTTAGAAAACATCTTCCAAAACTTGTGTACAAATTGGGCTGGGGGCTGGTGGGCATCTTGACCTCCCATGGAGGCTGAGGATCTTGTTGACATGAGGAGGGTGTTTGTTGTTACTAACTGGGGGTGGCTGGTGCAGGAGGTGTCATGTGTGCCATGTGCCCATCAAAGTCCATCCCCAGAAGCTGGAGAGCCTGGGACCACACCAAGGGAGAAGGTAGAAACGACATCCAATGTGAGGTGTCCCAGGAACTCTTGCAGGTTAAAAGAAGTTGAAAAGTTTCTAGAGTCACCCAGACCTGCTTTTGACCAAGGTAGGCATTCCAAGTGATGGTATATTTACTGACAACACCATATTCGTCATTCAGTGGTTTGAACTGACCTTGGTGATGAACAGGGTGGTTTGGGGGCCCCTGTGACGTGCTTGACTGCTGGCTTTGCCCACGGAGCAGCACAGTATCTTGTCTTAAGAAAGCTGGCCTCCCTTTCTCATCCCTGTGGCTCTGGTTATTTGGTACCTCTGTAAATAGGACTCTACTTACTGCATACACCAATGTCTTTTAGCTATAGCTGGGGTGAATGTTTCCATGGCAATTCTAACTTCTGGATGAGGAATCTGTGAGGGGGCAGTTTTAGCTGGTATGCATGGCTGCAGTTGACTAAGGTACCCACCCACAGAGTGTAGTTTTATAAATTAGCTGGAGATTGGTGTAGTCCTCCTCTTTAGAGTTGATTTCCTCCGGCCTTCAGGGTCCTCGTTGATAGGATATTAATGGCTTGCATATTTCACTGTTTTGTTTTCTTAAAAGATAGATAGAAAACAAAGAAAAAGACTCCTTTTGTGAGTGTCAGGGGTAGAATAATTCCTTGATATCTTCTATATATGAGACTTTCTTTAGAATATCGGTGCCTAGGAAGTATTATAATAAACCTAAGTGTTTGACATTTTTAAAATACTGTGAATTCTGGTTAGTTTATCAGTATTTTCTTAGTTATTTATGTCTTAAATGTCACAAAATATTGCATCCCTAAGCATCTGTTAATAAGGTGAGAGTTTTGACTAATTGGAAATGATATATAGAGAGTATTACATTATTATTCACATTTTCATATTTTTTGTTGAAATACTCCAATTTTCTTATTTTTATCATATTTAAATAGGTGCTTAAAAAAGGACAACTAGTTCTATAAGACTTTTAACAGAAAAGTAATTCCCTGTCCATCCTTTGCTCCCCAGATTCCCATGTTTCAGAGACAACTACTTTGAGCTCTTTGAGCTGCTTCTACTATTTGCCTCTGTGTTTCTAATACCATGAGTTTTCCATTTTAGGTATTATCTACTGACTTATTGGTTGTCATGGGCTGAATTATGTCTCTGTTAAAGTCACACATTGGAGCCCCAACCCCCAGTGGTGCAGAATGTGACTGTACTTGGATATTGGGTCTTTATAGAGGTAATTAAGTTAAGATGAGGCCATTAGGGTAGGCCCCAATCTAGTCTGATTGGTGTCCATATTAGAGGAGGTGATTAGGACACCAATATGTACAGGGGGAAGAGAATATGAAGATACCAGAAGAAGATAGCCATCTGCAAGTCAGAGAGAGAGAAAAGGCTTGGAATGAAACCAACCAACCCTGCCTACACTTTGATCTTGGACTTCAGCCTCCAGATCTGTAAGGAAATAAATTTCTGTTGTTTAAGTCACCTAGTCTGTGATATTTATTACGGTAGCCCTAGCAGACTAATATATTGGTATGGAAGAAAGATAATACTTTAGCTTTCTTATACTCTCATGTTCTTATCTTGAGTTTACATATATAAACATCTAAATTTATTAAATTATTCTTTGGGGTTGGAATATTATAAAACTATTACAGGTGAGCCAAGAAGTATGCTCTGATTAAATAACCTTTTGTTCTTCCCAAAATTAATAACTGTCCCACTTACCATGTGATTAGTTTTCTATGACCAGTTACTACTTCATCCTCAACCCTGACATAAGTATACATCTCTTTTCAACATTTAAAAACAGGAAGTGATTTATCAGTTTTTTTTTGTTTGTTTGTTTGTTTTGAGATGGAGTCTCACTCTCACTCTGTTGCCCAGGCTGAAGTGCAGTGGCCAATCTCTGCTCACTGTAAGCTCCGCCTCCCGGGTTCACGCCATTCTCCTGCCTCAGCCTCCCAATTTAGCTGTGACTATAGGCCCCTGCCACCATGCCCGGCTAATTTTTTGTATTTTTAGTAGAGACGTGGTTTCAGTGGTTTCACCATGTTAGCCAGGATGGTCTTGATCTCCTGACCTCGTGATCCGCCTGTCTCGGCCTCCCAAAGTCCTGGGATTACAGGCGTGAGCCACCGCGCCCAGCCAGTTTGGATTTTTTTCTTAAGGAAATTTCTTCTGGATATTGCTGTCAGCTCCATCTTGGAGTGTCACCCTGAGAAGGGTTCGTGGGATGTGAAATGTTCTATTCCTACAGTTGTTTTCATTGTTTCCAGTTTCCAGCATTGCTGTTGAGATACCTGAGGCCACTCTCACTTCTGACCCTTTGTTGTGACTTCACCTGCACCTTCTCTACTTGGAACATTGTAGTTCTCAGTGCTCTGATATTTCACTGTGATCTACATCAGGGAAGGTATTTTTTCATCTCTATAGCTGAGAATTTGGTGGGCTCCCTCATTTAAGAAATTCATCTTCTAGAATCTGAACCATTAAAAGAAAATATTTTAATTTTATAATTTCTCTCCCTCTATTTTCTCTGTTTTTTTCTTTTGGGGGCAACTGTTATTTGGAAGTAGGACCACCTAGATTGATTCCTGAATTTTCTTATAATTTATCCCCTAGAGTCTAACTTTTTAACCCAGTTTCTAGAAGATTTCCTCCTTTATCTTCCAGTCCTTTAAGTCATTTTTCCATTTGTGTAATCATATTTTAATTTTTAAAAATTCTTTTTGTTTTGGACATCAGAACACAGGTGGCACTTGTTTCCTGAATAATTTATAGCCTCCTTTTTCTATTTTTAGATGTGATACTTTCTTATCTCTCTGAGGATATTTAAAATATAATTTAAAAGATTTTTTTTTTCTCTATTGTCTTTGCCATGTTTAGGTTCTTGTTTCATTTTGACTACTTTGGTCCTCAGATTTTCTAGAGGCTTTTCTCCAATGTTTGGTGGCCTCTGGCTGCAGTTGCTATGTAAGGGTGAGTCACACAAAGGCTACTTGAAACTCCACAAATGGCCGGTGAGCCACGTTGCTAAGATCACCAACTTTCAGATGTGGAGGTGTTTCTCTTGGGTCTCAGTGCACCGGGGAAAGGTGTACTTGGCTGCAGTATTCGGGGAGCTACTAAGGGAAGGGGACCCTGGGGCTCACACTTCTCTCTGCAGATTTTCACTTATCCCTGGTGTACTGTACATCTCTGAGCTCAGAATCCTTCTTTCTTTCTGTCTCCAAGGTAATCTTGCCATTCTCTGCTGGAGCATGAGAGGGGCAGTCACCTGGCCAAGAAGAGTTAGAGAGAGCATCTGGAGACCTCAGTGCTTCTTTCAACAGACATTACCAATATCTGTCAGTTGTTCGTATGCTGCCCTACTTCCAGAGACTCCCGGTGCCTCGAATTCCTGGGGTTTTGGGTTACGGAATCTCTAGCTTCAGGACTTCCTCCTGCCAGCTTTGGTGTCAGCCCTCCCCTCTTGTGTCAGTTATACCAGTCTCTTTGCTTCTGTCTCTCTCCTTCTCTCTCTTTATAGTTGTAGGGCTTCACCTTTGGTGCCCCTTTCTCGTCATTTGGTGGGATACAGGAGGCAGCGGCAGTACCTACATCAATTCCATCCATCAGATTTCTGGAGGAACTAACTTACACTGAAATTCTCTTTCAAAAAAACAAGACTCTTTGCTTTTGAGATCTTGAACAGTCGAGGGTAGGAAGTGGTGCTTTCTTTCTGGGTTCAAAAATTGGTGATCATGATTTTTTTTTCTTTTACAGAACAGTCAGTTAAACTGCTGCCTGCTGTACGTTGGGATATAGATGTTGTGCTTACCAAGGATGAAATATTAGGGAAATAGGGAAAATTTAGGACATGAAGTGTGCAGCTCCTCCATGAAGCCTTTGGTGATACCCTTCAAGAAAGAGAAAAGACTGAGCCAAGTGTGGTGTGTTTAAACAACAAAAACAACAAAACAACAAAATGACACACAAGAACAATTAGTTTTGTTAAGAAAACAGTATTAAGTTGGCAAACTCATTGATGAAGAACAAACCCTCTTTGTCTGGAGCCTAAAATCGTTGTTGGTTGGTTTAAAAGGCAAATTCTCTCTCTAGAGCAAGCAGACACAGGGAGGTGGATTTTACACAGGAGATAAAATGGGGCCAAAAAAGAAAAAATAGCCTGAGTTATCAGGATCTCTCATATTCTTCTCATGAAGCTTTTCCACCTGCAAGGTGATCAAGCCTGAGGGGAGAAGGTGCTTGAGGGGTGCTTCCTTGCCCAAGGCTATAGTTTCTAATTGCCTGAGAGCAGAAGCCACTAAAGTAAAAGCCAAGGGCAGGGCCCAGGAGCCTATGTCAGGGAGAGGAGCCCCCAGTATCAAAGACTATCAAGCGATCAAATAGACCAAGAGTTTATTAAGTAATTGAAGAACTGGATTGTTCTTCAGCCAGTGGATTATAGCCATGGCTGCCCAGCTCTTCAGACAATCCCTAGGCCTCCCCAGACCACCCCCATCAATTGGGAGTAACAGTGGGTTACTATCTTTATCCCAGTCTTGGAAAGAGGCTCTTGATCCTCATCTGTGTATCTATCTGTGGGCCCTGTGTGGATACAGAGGACAGTGGAAAAGGAAGGTGCTCTTTGTGGGTGTTAACCACAAGACTTTAGAAGGCAGACGATCAAGAAATTATTTCCAGAAGGAGGTGGGGTTGGCAAGTTTGCTGATGAAGAGTTAACCTTCTTATTCAGAACAGAGAGTCCTGACTTTTTTGGTCCAGTTGCGTAAGGTGAACCAAGAAGCTCTGTGCAGTGTTTTCCAGACTTTCCCCTTTTCTGAATTACTTTTTCATATTAATTTTTTAAATTGCCACTATGTTGTTTTATGGGCTATTATGTATTAGGTATGTTGGAAATAGTTTATCTTTTAGCCACATGTTGCTGAATCATAGGAAACTCTATCTGGACCTAAGAAATCAACAACATGTCACCCAGAGGTCCTGGACTTGGAACCAGTTGCAGGAACAAATACTATCTGTGGAAACAAAAAGCAACACAATCCAAAGGACACCTTACATGGGAAGGACATTTGGTGGTTGATTCAGAGCAGTGAGTTTGGAGATAGATGGGCCTCGCTCTGTCATTTACACTGCTCCCTTGAGCACATTAACTTCTCTCAGCTACATTTTCTTCAAATATGAAGGACGGATGATAATAATCCCTGTGACATAGGGTTGATGTGAAGAGTACAGAAGGCAGCATTTGAGAAGCACTTAGCAGAACGCCTGGCATAGAGGGGGCGTTTGATCAGTGGTAGCTGTGAGGACCCTGATTCTGATGGTGATCACACTATAGACACAGGTGCAGTGCCACACTAGGTGCCAAGACACTGAAGAACTGGAGGGACCTGCTCAGGTTTCCCAAGCATGCCACCAGCACTTCTCCCTGGGTGTCCTTTCATTTACATGTATGTTTCTCATATCAAGCCCTACTCTGCCTGGGCATTGCCATGCGATTTATAGCGTTCCCATCTCAGGGCTTAACATACTATTCTATATAAGAGATGGTCAGTATGTTTTTTGAATGAATATCTATTTATCACTAATTCCATCCTTAAACCAATATTCACCCCAAAAATCTTCAACTGCCTTAGCTTCCAGTTTATTTTTTAGGGAAATATTGGATGTTTTATTCTCAGACATAATCACTAAACTAACAAAAAAAGTCATTGAAATTCAGTCTTTTCTGGTTGTACATGGAAAAATCAAGCATTTATTCCCAAGTAGTCTTCTACAGTGTTGGGAGGGAAGATGGCATACATTTGCTATGGAATAAAAATAATCTATAAAATATTCTTTATTTTATTTAGATCTGTCACAGAATTTGGCCAGTTTTCAAATGGAGAAGAGAAAATGCCATGTATTGCTTTTAAAGACATTTACAGTGTTTCGAAGTGGTATAAAATATGAATATTGTTAATTTTTACCTCTTCAATGTATAGATTAAAACAATCAAATAAAGACTTACTCCAATTTTTAAAAAATATGTTAAACTTGAGGCATACTTTTTGACTATTATTGGGAGGGGCTCGTATTTCATTTTGGAGAAGGACTAATTTTTCTTCACATTGAGCAACCTTGAACCACATCAGTCTTAAAAGGAAGCAATTTATAAATATATGTGCATACATATATGTGGACAGTTTTGAACATATCTGGTGCAGCCCATATATAAATCAATAATTTTTTGTAAATTATATTACATACAAATTCCTTATAGTGAAGGGCCAACTCTAACAAATTCCCTATGTGATGCTTTTCAAACTAGAATATTCTCACCCTGGGGATCTACAGTAATGTGCCCACAGGTGTTGTGAGGCCCTAGGGTGAATATGACATGTGACATAACTACCTGGGGTGTCCACTTAAGTGGAAATTTTGTTTTGAAAAGATATGGAGGGGGAGAAATGGAGATCGATGGGCTCTTTTAGGTTTCTCTTAGATGGAATTAAAACATTTTTATAACAAAACATAGGAAATTGGGTAAAAATTCTTATGGACTGTTTAAAAATGGAAACTTTGAGAATATGTCTCACTTGCTAAAAGTAGGACTCCCAAACTCCATGGGATGCATTTTCATTCTTCTCTACCACTAGTGTTAAATTTTCAAATAAACTTTACTATAAAGAGTTATTTAGTGTGCCTATTGTAATTTACATATTTAGCAGTGATTTTAAGTGTACATATCTTCAGTGGATGGAGTATATTCTAAGTGAGGTCCCAGATGAATGTCCTGAAATTGAACATATCTGTGTGTACTTTTCTATTTGTTATCTTCTCTCCACCACTGAACCTCTTTTCTCCCCCTCCACAAAAAAAAAAGTTCATTATTTTCATCACAACAATAAAGGGATCTATGATAAAAATAATATTTAGAACTCATTGATTTAAATTTTTCTTTAAATTTTGTCATTCACAGTTTGAGGTATCTATGGGCAAATCATTCCTTTTCATATTTGGACATTTATGATTTGAGACTCAATGTCAGTTTGTGTTTCTTTGCATATCATTTGTTATATTTATTTGTCTATCATATCTACTTCCTCTAGACTGAGTTCCATGAAGGGTAAAATACATGACTATTTTATTCAGCTTTAAAGCCTAGGTATCTAATACTATGCCTGGCTCAATCATATGTGTTGGGAGTTGAGCTGAATCCCAAAACACATTCATAGAGTTCCCCCGAAGCATCGCCCTTGTAGCCAACAGAACATTCTGTCGCACATTTGTTTGAACTTAAATGAGTCAATTATCATGTTTACTTGCTAATGTCATCCTATCAATTGTGTTTTAGAGTGGGATATTTTGAAGAATAGCTTCTCCTTAACAAGACAGAATCCACACAAAGCAATAATCTGTCTTTACTCAACCCAGACCTAATATGTTAATTCTGATTTAATTTAATTTTCTTTGGCTCATGGCACTGAAATTTTCAAATGGTTCATTTGGTGCTTAATTATCAGCTAAAAATTTCACCCTGTCTAGAGGGAAGCCACGCTGTGTCAAGTGCAGATCATTTATCTCCGCACATTTCTGGTCTTCTCACTGTTGTTAGGCTTTGTGTTATTCAAGAAGAAATGTTTCCATCTGTGACTCATTTGGAGATAGCAGATATATTTTAGAAGGTATATATCTTAGCCCTAACCATTGCAGGTCTAAATGCTGTGTCTTGCAACTTCATGTCTGTATTCTGTCCTCAATTTTGTACTGCTTCTCTGTTCTCTTAAAGGGTCTTGGCATAACAGCCAAACTAGCTGTGGTGTCATGGATACTTTCCTTTCATCGGAAGGGAATTGCATACTAATAGGAGTTTCTGATTCTTCAGCATCAGTGACAACCAGACTCATTAGTCTATGCTTTTTCTGCCAGAGCACTTGCTATCTTGCTACCCTTTATCCCTCCTGTATGAGTTTACTGCTGCTGTTGTAACCAAGTACCACAGACTTAATAGTATCAAACAAAACAGATGCATTATCTATCGGTCAGAAGTCCAACACTTGCCTCACTGGGCTAAAATCAAGGTGTCAGCAAGCATGCATTCTTTTCTTGAGTCCCAGGGAGAATCCGCTTTCTTGCCTTACCCAGCTTCTAGAGCCTGCCCACGTTCCTTGGCCTGTGGCACCTTTTATCTTCAAAGCAAGTAATAGGAAGTTGAGCCCTTCTCATATTGTGTCACTCTGACCTCCTTCTTCTACTTTTAAGGATTCTTGTGATTACATTGGGTCCACCTGATAATCCAGACTGATCTCCCTATCCTGAGGTCAGCTAAATTCCTTAATTCCCCTTTGCTGTGTAACATGACATATTCATAGGTTCTGGAGAATGTGACATTGACATATTTGGAAGGAAGTATTATCTTTCTTGCTACACTTCCCATTGTGTTTTTTTCTTCTAACTCTTATACTTTTATTTATCTTTCCATTTCCCTTATTTATTTCCTGCCACTCCTTAATTACAGTTTTTTGTTTGTTTGTTTTTGTTTGGTTTTGAGATGGAGTCTCACACTGTCGTCCAGGCTGGAGTGCAATAGTGCGATCTTGGCTCACTGCAACCTCCGCCTCCTGGGTTCACGTGATTCTCCTGCCTCAGTCTCCCGAGGAGCTGGGATTATAGGCGCGTGCCACTACGCCTGGTTAATTTTTTGTATTTTTAGTAGAGATGGGGTTTCACCGTGTTAGCCAGGATGGTCTCAATCTCCTGACCTTGTGATCCGCCTGCCTCAGCCTTCCAAAGTGCTGGGATTACAGGCATGAACCACTGCACTGGGCCTCGTTATTACAGTATCTTTACTTGTCTCTTTATCTTATTTATTTTAACCTTATTTAACATATACCTATATGGTGTATATTATATAGGTGTGTATACGTAGGTGTCAGAATAAGCTCTTAAAAATGTTAACACTTTAATATTCCTAAGAACTCTATAAGGTTGCCCTATGAAAGGATCTACTTCTAGGTCCCAGAGAAAATAGTAATTTGTCTAATTATTCAATAATCAATACAATCCTTTCTTATTCATAAATTTCACTTATGACTGAAATAAACTAATACAACTATAGAAATAACATGTGAGGAAGGGGATGCTTGTATATCTTCTGTGAGATAAGTATAGTTGTCTTCATTTCCAAGATTGAGTCTCAAAATGTAGACTTGCCCAAGGCCAGACAGTTTGTAGCTGATGGTCAAAACGCCAAACTTACAATCTTTGTATCATATGATAGTATCTTGACCTTATATTTATAGGTTTGATTATGCATTGCTGCTGCTCTTTCTCTTTGCTACTGATTGGTCATTTTTTGAACCTAGTGAGTGGGCATATTGCATTTTGGTGTGTGTTTATTAAATTTATCCTCTCTCCTGTGGTGGTTAGTGGTACACACTGACCCTGAACTGTCCTCTATTACAAAGAAGCGTTTGGTTTGTATTTCACTTCCTTCATTTGATGTTCCTTTCATGCTGGCTGTTTCTGTTTAATGAAGGTCATTGCTTGTGAACAATGTTGTTGTTCAGGAATACTATCCTAGGAATCACTGTGATGAACCTGCTGATTGAGGTATTATACGAATGCCTGTTTTGCTCATAGATAGATGAGAAATCTTATGACATGATCTTGTAGCTTTCTCTCTTATTATTTGCTTGTCCATGTGTAAATAATGACAGAATAGGGAATTCTTTTTCAATTGTGTGAGGATCAGATTTGAATAAAAGTAATAGAGCATGATCATATTTCCCAGTAAAATTATCTTCAGGTTTCATATGGAAGAAGCATTTGGGTTAGTAATAATCTTGGCCCACAGCACTGATTAAGGCAGCATTTGAGAAACATCCTAGAATGAGGGATGCTAGAGACATTTTGTCCTTGTTTTGTTTTAGAGATACATTTGCATTGAATTAGGCAGGCTTCAGGAGGATTCTTCCTTAGAGTGAGCTCATAGTGCCTGTTTTTCATAAGGCTATCATCAATCCCTGAGAAGTACAATTGCTTAGAAAACAAAATACAGCCTCTAGCAATTTACCTGAAATATTCTTATTTATATTGTTGTTTCAGGGCTTTGTTATTATCAGGCTAGACAGCTTTTTTCTAAAGCGTGTTTGTCTTAGTGACTGGATTAATTTTTAGGTGTGTGTGCATATATCTAGTGCCCGGTATTATTTATTAGAACTGTATGAAGATGTTATGTTGCTAATGGATTCCAAAAACCAGTAGATGTGAAAGGATTCTATTTGTCTTGTAGAATCCATTTACTCCCCACTCATATCTACCATTTACATTTTCTACTGTGTCCTTCACATGTACTAGGGGACAATATCGTACCACATTGTTTGTGGGTATCCTCTGTGGCAGCAATCCCCAACCTATTTGGCACCAGGGACCAGTTTTGTGGAAGACAACTTTTCCACGGATTGGGTTGGGTGGGGATGGTTTTGAGATGAAACTGTTCTACCTCAGATCATCAGGCATTAGATCAGAGGTGTCCAATATTTTGGCTTCCCTGGACCACATTGGAAGAAGAAAAATTGTCTTGGGCCACACATAAAATACACTAACATGAATGATATCTAATGAGCTAAAAAATATAATCACCAAAAAAATCTCATAATATCTTAAGAAAGTTTATGAATCTGTGTTGAGCCACATTCAAAGCTGTCCTGGGCTGCAGGTGGCCCATGGGCCACAGGTTGGACAAGCTTGCATTAGATTCTCATAAGGAGCACGCAGCCTAGATCCCTAACATGTGCAGTTCACAATAGTTTTCACACTCCTGTGATAATCTAGTGCTGTTGCTGATCTGACAGGAGGCAGAGCTCAGGTGGTAATGCGCTCTTGCCTGCTGCTCACCTCCTGCTGTGCAGCCCAGTCCCTAACAGGCCATGGATCAGTACGGTCCATGGCCCAGGTGTTGGGGACCCCTGCTTTATTGAGAGAGTAAAGTATATCTGATTACTTATCTATGTTAAGTTATCTATTGGAACTAGTTGTGTTTGTGATTGTATTAAATATTACTTAAAATAACAAAGCTGGCTGGGTGCGGTGGCTCATGCCTGTAATCCCAGCACTTTGGGAGGCCAAGGTGGGCGGATCATGAGATCAGGAGATCAAGACCATCCTGGCTAAAACGGTGAAACCCTATCTCTCCTAAAAATACAAAAAATTAGCCGGGCGTGGTGGCAGGTGCCTGTAGTCCTAGCTACATTGGGAGGCTGAGGCAGGAGAATGGCGTGAACCCGGGAGGCGGAGCTTGCAGTGAGCCGAGATCGCGCCACTGCACTGCAGCCTGGGCGACAGAGAGACTCCGTCTCAAAAAAAAAATAATAATAATAATAATAAAACAAAGCCAGAAAAACAGGTATATAATCTCGTGTTTGTATATTCCTGCTAGAGAATTGGAAATGTGCTAAAACTTGGGCATGTTTTACACTGACTGAGACACACTAATGGTGGCCCATGAAACTGGCCTGTAAGGCAGACTGTCTCACAGATGGCGCCCAGAGATTCCAGCCCCTGGGGTTAATGATCTTGTGTGATCCTTTCCCCTTGAGTAACTTTCTTCTAGTATAGAATATGGTAGCATTGAGAGGATGTCACTTCCATGATTAGGTTACAAGAAATCATGACTGCTATCATGCTGGCTGACTTTATAGCCTTCTTTGCTTGCATGCTTTGATGAATCAAGCTGTCATGTTGGAGAGGTCCCCATGGCAAATAATGGAGAGCAGCCTCCAGCCAACAGCCAGTGAGAAGCCGAATCCTGCAAATAACTACATAGGCAGGGCGCGGGTCTTTCCTTGGTTGAGGCTACAGATAAGACTGGAGCTTTGGCTGCCACCTTCATTGCAGCTTGTGAGAGACCCTGAAGCAAAGGGCCCAGATAAGCTGTGCCTGGATTCCTGATCCACAGAAACTATGAGATAATAAGCCGGAACTGTTTCAAGCTGCTAAGTTTTATGATAATATGCTACACAGAAATAGATAATGGATGCAGCCTGCTTTCCTGAATTTGTTTGCCAAAGCATCCATTCTGTCATGAAACATATGGAGTTGCCAACAAAAGCACGTTATGGTTGACCATTCATCCCAACCACTTTTATGCCTCATTCTGGTCTTTTGCTGCCTCTTTTAAGACCCAGGCTTGATGAAATTATCATTATTTCCTCAGTCATTGTTCAGAAAATTGAATTTTGTAAATGAAACCTGGGTGAAAGCGCCCTTGTGTGCTTATTCCAACGTTGCTGTTTGGGGGAATTTTTAAATTTTATACTGCAGGACCACCTAATATTTGAAATATATAATAAATTCCTTCTTTATGACTCAACCATGGTTAACATTAATAGAAATTAATGATATAATCAGAAAAGATGTTGGGCAGTGATGCCACATTGTTTTTGGCCTTATAATTCAGAGGAACAGAACATATAATACATGGTCTGTGCTTGGGAAAAATTCCACTCTATCCTCAGCTCCCTTTTGCTATATCTTTCTTTTCTCAATCACCTATTGGATCCCAGTCGAATGATACTCTCCAGGTACTTATCTGACTTCCCCTCTTCACTCCACCCCTTTCACTATAACTGGGCTGAGTACGCCGCTCTGTGCTTTCATTCCAGAGCACTTCTACTGTAGAGTTGTTGTTTAATTCTTGACATTTCCCAGTAGGCTTCAGGCCAATTAAAGCAAGGAACATAAATCTCTTATTCATCCTATATCTCTAGCACCTAGCACACTCTTTGGCATAGAGTAAACACTCAGTAAATATTTGGTGAAGAAATATTTTTTGAATAAATTTAAATGTCAACACTATGCAATCAGAGAGTTCTTACCAATGGAATCAGAAAAAATATGGGAAGAGGTACTTGCCCTAGCAAAGCTGCATGGAAAGAAAGAAAGCTAAGACTTTCTTTTCTGCATATTAAAGCAGCACTTGACTGGAAAATTCAAGGATGTCAACTGAAAGAAACTAATACAACTATAGATTCTGCAAGAGTGAAGGCCATCTTGGAAGGTGTAACATTCAAAATTCATTAGAGTCAAGTTGAGGACCTATTATTGTAGTTCCAATTACTCCTCATCAGGAGGTGTTGGCTATTCACATAACACTGAAAGCTGTGGGTTGTGTCGTATTTAGAGGGTCTGAGGGAAGGTGCCTCAAAGTACTTCAGTGTCTGAAATAGTACTAATCAGTGACTAACCATGTAAGATGAAACTTAGCTTTGCGACATAAATGGCAAATATGCTTTCAATAGCATTGTTTTTTCCAAATAACTATTTAAGATTACTGAAACCAACATGTGTACTTGTGTATTCATTGAAAAACTGTTAAATGTTGTGTTGTAAAGGTGCCCTCACAGAGGTACTTGAGCTTGTTTTTACAAGGACTGCAGGCATCTATTTTGCCACTCAGAGAGCTAGCATCCAAGGCAGTTGGAATAGCCCGGCTTCAGAGAGGTCTCAACTCATTTCCCAAGGCACACTTAAAAGGTGTGGGCACATCTTGGAGCAGCCAATCTCTTTTCATCTGCATCTCTTTAGTTCACACATGATCTTGAAGGTTGTACTTTTTGCTCAAAGAGGAGCAGGTGAAGAAAAGCCTGATAACTAACCATGTCCTTAGTCACATGTGGCAGCTGAGTTTTACTAATCACATCACCAATAAAAGTCAGGGATGTTTTGAGTGCAGACAACCAATAGGGAAAGAGATTTAAAAAGTTTAGGGGTTACAAAATTAAAATTTCATGCCAATTTGTATCCTGGAACACTGTTTTTGTCTAACTAGTGATACCCTAAATGTGATACTTCCTATAAAGAGGAATTTGTAAACCTCAATGAAAGATTTGATTTCACATACAATCCAATGTTTGACTCTAATTCTTTTCTGAATTGCAATAATGATAAAGTAGTAGTGCAATTTTCAGTTAACATTTTTGGATTAGTGGAGATTGGTCTGCTAAGTTAAGGTTAAAAAGCAAAACAACTTGTTCTGAAGTTTTTAGCTTTTCTCCATAATTTCAAATAAGCACATCAAGAGTTTCTTTTCTGCAGTATTTTTTTTTGTGTGTTTGTGTGTTCTACATTATATTCTTCTTAAGAAAGTGATTGTGTGGTTCTTTTTTATTAGTTTGTTTTGGAATCATATTGTTCTTTGTTTATTTCTCTCTCTTTCCAAACAATTCTCTCCAAAAGTGCTGCGTCACATTTTCAAAAATTGAAATAGAATGTCACAACACCTTCTGAGAAAGGAAACATCCAGGGATATAATACTTCAACCTCATGAAGATTCAGAGTATAGGGATTCACTTCGCTTCTGAAAGTGTATTAATGGTATAGCTTAATGCAAGTTTTAGCTTGCCAGTGATGTTTCCTTATAGCATGTTTATCTTTCAAACTTGTATTTTTGGACTTTATTGCAACATAAGACAAAAATTTAAACTGCTTTGTTCATTTCAGTTCAGCAGAATTAAAAGAGGAAGAGAAAAATTTTACAAAGGAAATATGATTGAATTGTTAATGCCATATGACCTCAATATGTTTGGTAAGCAAAGATTAAGGAGAATCTATTCATATAAAAAGCAAATAATGTTGGTGTAAATGTTGACTGCAGTTCTTATCAGGAATAAAGGAAATTAACAAAGTATTTATTTCCAAGGAAATCATCTAACTCCAGTTCAGGTGGTATCTGAAGTAAAGATGAAACTCTGTCTTTCATTACTAAGTCATTGGAACAATCTTCAGAAGCTATGCTTCTGAAGGGCATAGCTGGGTATTAGAACAGAGTATTTTGCTGAGTCCTAAGTGTGTAGACTCCAAATCTGCAGAGTTCCAACAATCATGAAATTTCCTTGCCCAGATTGCATAGTCTGCCTTGTTTCTGCTATTATTCATGTAAATTCTGTAGCTACATTAAGCCAGGCTACTGAAATTAGTATTGAAATAAATCCAATTTTCCACATCTATTGTTTTTCATCATGCTCACAACAGATGTTAAGACTTGAAAGGGTTTGAGCTGAACATGTCTGTGGTTCCAAGTTAAGAACAGAAATAGCCAGCTTACATGTTATCGTCATGGTCTGTACTCTTGCAAATCCCATAATGTTTGGTGTGAGATGACTCTGCTAATGTTGCTCAAACCTGCTCATAAATCTGGCATTGTGATCAGTCACTTTGAAAAGTCTTGGCATAACATTTGTCTGTAAAGCATAGAAAAGGGTCTTCTCAAGCATAAATAGCATTTATATGCAAGATATGTTTCCAGAATTAGAATCTATAAAATGTGGGGGTCTCTAACTCTAATCTTATATGTTCATTTTGCCTGCAGTATAAGGCGCTAGATGTTCTTCTGTTAGACATAGATAAGGAAAAAATTGACACTGAACAACTGTAGGAAATAATGATCCTTTTACTTTACCTAGTTGTTATTTTGGCTTTCTTTCCTCCACATGGATATAATAACGAAATTGAAAATCCTTGGAGGGTGTTTTAACACCTGCTAGTGTATTTCCTTAGTGCAGCACAATGAAGAGACAGGGTTTGCAAGCTTCCAACATTATTAAAAATCAATTTATCAGTTACAGTGTAGCTTTCTTATTTTCCCAGGTCTCAAAAATGCTCCCCATTGCTTCCTGTCCATCCAATTTCATTTTGAAAATTGTTTCTTAACTTAAATATTTCAGAAATTGCATTTCTTTTGAAAGTTATTAAAAGGAAAATTATTTGGGAAGACTTTTTTCCCTAAGCAATGTTAAGACATTATTCCCTTTTAACTTTAACCTTTTTCATTGAGAACCATGTTTTTATCTATTTCTGTAGTTCTAATTTCCACTTCCCATGGTTTAGAGAAATAATTAATTATATTGGTTAAAGGTCACGTAGCATTAAGGATAATAAATGAAAGATAATAAACTATGACAACTGCCATCTCTTACATTTTTAGTCATATTATTAAGAACCTGAAAGCAAGGTTTAATTTGTTATAATTCAAAAATTAGAGGTTATGAGGTTATAAAATAAAAATGTTATTTATTTCAACTTCCCCAAACTGGGGAAGGTGGCAGTCTTTTTTTTTTTTTTTAAAAAAAACAAGGTCTTGCTGGGTTGCCCAGGCTGGAGTGCAGTGGCATGATCATGGCTTACTGCAGCCTTGACCTACTGGGCTCAGGTGATCAGCCTCCTGAGAAGCTGGAACTAGAGGGGCACACCACCACATCTGGCAAATTTTTCTATGTTTTGTAGAGACAGGGTTTCACTGCATTGCCCAGGCTGCTCTTGAATTCCTGGGGTCAAGTGATCTGCCGACCTTAACCTCCCAAAGTGCTGGGATTACAGGTATGAGCCACCATGCCTGGTTGGTGACAGTGTTTAACTACAAGAATATTCAGAATAATGGAAGAAATCAAACTGATGAATACTGATGGTCTATAATGTCTTCTACCGTAATATATTTTTAGAGGTAATATTTACTACTTCAGCCAGTGAAATTTACAAAGGAGAAAGAAATAGCTATAAAATGGAAAATAGAAGGTGAAATTATTATTTGCATATGGTATGATTGCCCATCTGAAAAATGCAAAACAATCAGTGTAGCTTCTAGCAAAAAGAATTTAGCAAGTTGGCTGGATATGAAATTAACAGAAAATTAACAGTATTAAATTGATAATATCAATATAATTTAGAGAATAAAATGGAAGGAAATAGAACAGCAACACAAATAATAAGGGAAGTTATGCTAGACCTAGGTGAACAAGATTTAAAGTATCTACTAATTTTAAAAAGTCTTGAATCAATGGAAAGACAGAAGTTCTACTTAGGTAGAAATATTCAATAATATGAGGAGGTCCATTCTATGTAAATGAGTCTTTAAACTCAATGCCTTTCTAATAAAATTGCCAATAGGAAGGTGTATTTGTTATATATTGTTGTATAACAAATTAACCCAAATTCGATGACTTAAAACAACAATTTATCTTTGCTATTTCACATAGTTTCTGTGTGTCAGGAATTTGCGAACAGTTTTGTTGGATGGTTCTGGGTTGGAATCTCTCTTGAGTTTGCAGTCATGCCTGCTATCATTTGAAGTCTTGATGTGAACTGGAAGATTCACTTCCAAGATGGTTCATCCACATGGTGATGATCATTGGCAGTAGGTGTCAGTTCCTTCCCTGTGGGCCTTTCCAGAGGCCACTCAAGTGTCTTTACAGCATGGCAGCTGGCTTCCCCAGAGCACGCGATCCAAGGGACACGGCGCAGTGGAAGCAGAAGGGTCTTCTATGGCCTAGTTTTGAATGCCACACATAATCATTTTCATAATATCCTGTTGGTTACACAGGCCAGTCCTAGTTAATGTGAGAGGAGACTGCCCAAGGACATGACTTCTAGGAGTCATAGGTCATTAGTGACCATCTTGGAGGCTGCTACCATAGAAGGTTTAAAAATTGGGAAATCAGTCCCAATGTTTATAACAGAAAAACAAATATCTGAGAATAGCCAGAAAATGTTCTAGAAAGAAAAAGCTAACATTTATTAAACACGTAGTCTTTACCAGGCATAATTATAAGCATTCTGTACAAATTATATCAGTTATGCCTCCTGACACCTCTGTGAAGTAGTTATTATTGTCCCATTACAGGTGGGAATTGGGGACACAGAGAGATTTAAATAACTTCTCCAAGGTCCCACATTAAGTGGCAGAGCCAGGACTTGAACCCAGGCTGTGTGGCTCTACAGCACAAATCCTTAACTCTAAGTGGAAAGAGGGTTGAGTGTTTACTAGAGCTAGCGTATTCTTTTTTTTTTTTTTTTTTTTTTTTTTGAGACGGAGTCTTGCTCTGTCACCAGGCTGGAGTGCATTGGTGTGATCTCGGCTCACTGCAACCTCTGTCTCCCAGGTTCACGTGATTCTCCTGCCTCAGCCTCCCGAGTAGCTGGGACTATAGGTGTGTTTTGTATTTTTAGTACAGACAGAGTTTCACCATGTTGTCCAGGATGGTCTTGATCTCTTGTGTATTCTTAAATCTACAGTAATGAAGATAGTTCTTCATTACTGAAGATAGTACTAATAGGGAGACAAATTAATGGAAGTGAATAGGTTCAAGTACTTATGAGAAATTAGTGTAGAATATAGGTGGTCTTTCACATTAGTGGAAACAATTTAATGTATGGTATTGTGGCCACCTGGCTAACCATTTGGGGAAAATTAAGCTAGAGTCAATCATTCTTTACACTAAAATTCCACGAATAAAGGATGAAAATATAAAGCTTAACTGAATGAAAGTATTAGAAGAAAATGTTACCAAACTTTTTTTTTTTCAAATAAACGGGAAAAGTGTTTTTGTAACCTATAAGTCATATAGAAAATGATTAATTTGACTACATATGGAAAATGTATCATAAGTAATCAAAAGATAAATAACAAACTAGGGAAAAACATATACCTTTACTTATGCAACAGCCAAAGCTTTGATTTCCTTACGTATAAAGAGTTCTTTTAAAATCATAAAGAAAAGATGTTTAATTCAATGACAAATTATAAAGAGGTAGCTATTGCCAACATATAAAGGATTTATAAACATACAAAAAGTACTCAGCTTCGCATTTAAATAAACTTATTTTCACCTACCACACTGGCATATGGCAGGAATGAAAATTTTGCTAATTCAACAGTGTTATCAAGGGTATAGGGGAAGAGGTAACTGTCACATACTACTGGCATTATCTCTCAAAATGAAATATTCCTTGATGTTTTGACCCACTAATAGTTACTCTAAATGCACTCTATCCCATGTGCTTAAAGATATATGTACAGTTAATATTGCGCTATTGCTTGAAACAGTAGGAAGTAAGCAAATAACTGAAAATTGTCAACCATATGGAACTGGTTAAGTAACTTATGGTATAACTACACAGTGAAAAACTATGCATGTATTTATTAAAGAGAGTTAGCTGACAGGGATATGCTGATATGAAAAGTGATGCAAGTACAGTTTGGGAACCCTAACATGCAGAACACTGGTTGCTATAAAAATCATATTTGTTTAACAATAATGTCAACAAAGGATTCACTTACATTTATTTTTGTACATTTGAAATTTCTGCAAGGAAACTCAGATAAAAACAGAGCTATTGAGAAGTAGGACTGGGGGGTCTTGAGTGGGAAAAAAAATCTTAATTTCAATCATTATTTTCCATTTTGTACTCTTTTACTTTTATGATCATGTATCTATATTACTTTTACAATACAAATTAATACCTAATTAAAAAATCTGTGATAGGGTTTGTTTTTATGATATATGATATGAAACTCCATATATCTTCAAATTTATGTCTGGCCCCATGAAGAATTACATAATGTTACTGCTTATTAGGTGGAAGTAACAAATAATAATGTACATGTTACCATTACAACAATGTAAATTGCATAGAGGTGACTTAAAATGTAAAAGAAAAGATAATGTAAGTGTTGTGAGATTCTGTTTAATCTTCAACACAAATTTACTCTCAGCATTAGTAGTTTAAAGTACCCTGAAAAAAAAGTCCATTAAAATCGAATGAAGGAACTACTTGCTATCAAATATAGAACCATACTGTGTGTCAGTATTTCCAAGTGTATGATTCCAGACTATTCTGATTCAAGCTACCGTAAGATAAGGAATAATTTCCCCAACTACCTAAATTATATTTCCCATAGAAAATATCAAAATCCACTTAAAATGAAATTCCATTGAATATCTTAAGCAACTAAACAAAAAACTAACCAGCATTAGAATGTGTCCACCTCCAGGACTTTGTATGAAGCAGATATAAATGGTCAAATTTAGACAATTTAAACATCAAAAAAGGATAACTATAGTGATGGATTAAAGCAAATTAAATAAAAAGTAAAAGCATGATTGCTTTGAAGAATCTGGGCAAAGTAAATTTAAAACCTCCTGGAAAGGACTCATCACTCTCAGTGCCATTAAGGACATCTGTGATTCATGGGAGGAGGTCAAAATATCACCCTGAACAGGAGTTTGGGAGAAGTTGATTCCAACCCTGATGGCTGACTTTGAGGGATTCAAGACTTCGGTGGGGAAAGTAAAAGCATGAGTCTATAGTTACACACACACACACACACACACACACACACACACACACACACACAAACACACAAACACACACACACAGAGGCATAGATGATAATGTGGGTTTGGTTCCTGACTGCCACCATAAAGTAAATATAGCAATAAAGTGAGTCACATAAATATTTGGTTTCCTAGTACATATAAATGTTATGTTTACAGTATACTATGGTCTATTAAGTATGCAGTTGTATTATGTCTAAAAATGTACTTACATTATTTTTTAACTATTTTAATGCTAAAAAATGATAATTATCATCTGAGCCTTCCATGAGTCATAATTGTTTTGCTGGTGGAGGGTCTTGCCTCAATTTTGATGGCTGCTGTCTGATCAGGGTGGTGGTTACTGAAGGTTGGGTGACTGTGGTGATTTTTAAAAATAACAATAAATTGATTGACTCTTCCTTTCACAAAATATTTCTCTGTAGCATGCAATGCTGTTTGATAGCATTTTTATGCACAGTAGAACTTCTTTCAAAACTGGAGTCAATCTTATCAAACTCCACTGCTACTTCATAACTAAGTTTATGTAATATTCTAAATAACTCATTGTCATTACAACAATGTTCAGCATCTTCACCATGAGTAGTTTCCATTTCAAGAAATCACTTTCTTTGCTCATCCATGAGAAGCAACTCCTTACCCATTTAAGTTTTATCATGAGATTGCAGCAATTCAGCCACATATTCAGGCTCATATTCAAGAGAACTCATTTCATATGATATGATATGAACTAATTCTCATATTCAAGAGAACTAATTCTAGTTCTCTTGCTATTTCTACCCCAACTGTGGTTACTTCCTCCATTGAAGGCTTGAACCCTTCAAAGTCACTCATGAGTATTAGAGCTTCTTCCAAAATCCTGTTCATGTTGATATTTTGAATTCCTTCCATGAATCATAAATGTTCTTAATGACATCTAGAATGATGAACTCTTTCCAGAAAGTTTTAAAATTACTTTGTCCAGATTCATCAGAATAATTGCTATCTATGGTAGCTATAGCTTTACAAAATATATTTCTTAAATAATGAGACTTGAAAGTAGGTATTACTCCTTGATCTATGGGCTGCAGAATGGATGTTGTGTTAGCAGTAGCAGCATGAAAACAACATTAATCTCCTTGTACATTTCCATCAGAGCTCTTCGGTGGACTAGGTGCATTGTCAATGAGTAGTAATCATTTGAAATGAATCATTCTTTCTTAGCAGTAGGTCTCAACAATAGGCTTAAAATAATGAGTAAACCATCTGTAAACAGATTTGATGTCATCCACGCTTTTTTGTTCCACTAATAGAGCACAGGTAGAGTAGATTTAGCATAATTCTTCAGAGCCCTAGTATTTTCAGAATTGTAAATGAGCATTGGTTTCATTAAAGTCACCAGCTGCATTAGACTCTAACAAGAGAGTCAGCTTATCTTTTGAAGCTTTGAAGTCAGTCATTGACTTCTCTTTAGCTATGAAAATCCTAGATGGTATTCTTTTCTAATATGAAGCTGCTTCACCTACATTGAAAATCTAGTGTTTGTATCCACTTTCATCAGTGATCTTAGCTAGACCTTTTGGATAACTTGCTTCAGCATCTCCAACAGCACTTGCTGCTTCACCTTGAACTTTTATGTTATGGAAATGGCCTCTTTCCTTAAACATGAACTCACCTCTGCTAGCTTCAGACTTTGCTTCTGCAATTTCCTCACTTCTCTCAGCCTTCCTAGAATTGGAGTGAATTAGGGCCTTGTTCTGGATTAGGCTTTGTCTTAAGGGAATGTTGTGGCTGGTGTGATCTTTTATCCAGATTATTAAAACTTTCTTCATATTGACGATAAAACTGTTTCACCTTTTTGTCAATTGTGTGTCCACTGGAGTAGCACTTTCAGTTTCCTTCCAGAACTTTTCCTTTGCATTCACAGCTTGGCTAAATGGCGTAAGAGGCCTAGCTTTCTGCCTATCTCAGCTTTCAACATGCCTTCCTTATCACTCAACTTAATCATTTCTAGCTTTGTATTTCAGGTGAGAGATGTGTGACTCTGTCTTTCACTTGAACATTTAGAGGCCATTGTAGGGTTGTTAATTGGCCTAATTTCAATATTGTTGTGTCTCAGGGAATAGAGAGGCATGAGGAGAGAGAGAAAGCTAGTCAGTGGAGCAGTCAGAACACACACATTTCCTGATTAAGTTCACCATCTATTTATTTATTTATTTAAGACAGGTCTTGCTCTGTTGCCCAGGCTAGAGTGCAGTGGTGCAATCATAGCTCACTGCAGTCTTGAACTTCTGGCCCCAAGTGATCCTCCCACCTAGGCTTTCTGAGTAGCTGGGACTACAGGTTACAGGTTCTCGGTATGTTAACCAGGCTGGTCTCAAACTCCTGGCCTCAAGCCATCCTCCTGCCTTGGCCTCTTAAAGTGTTGGGATTACAGACGTGAGCCATTGCAGCTGGCCAAGTTCACCATCTCACGTGGGCTTGGTTGTGGTGAGCCAAAACAATTACAATAGTAACAGCAAAGATAGTATCACAGATCACTATAATAGATATAATAATGATTAAAAAGTTTGAAATATTTTGAGAATTTCTAACATGTGACACAGAGACACAAAGTGAGCAGGTGCTGTTACAAAAATGATGCGAATAGATTTATTCAAAGCAGGGTTGCCACACACCTTCAATTCGTAAAAAAAGTAACATCTGTAAAGTGCAATAAAGTGAAGTGCAGTAAAATGATCTATGCCTGTAGAGTACATATATGGAAATCTCTTTTAAAAAATAAAAATGGAAGAATGCTAACTAATACATATAGAAGACAAGACAGGTTAAGAAAAGTACAGCATTGTAATCCATTTTAATAATTGATCAGACAAGGATCATCAGTGAATACTAAATCTTTTGGAGAAAGGTGGTGGGGCATACTATCTCATCACAGGCTACCTATCTAATACAAAGTGAAAATGTGCTTTATGTTGTACCTTATCCATGTGTTTCTTGGTAGTGGAACAATCTTGTAGTCTATGACTCCAGATTTGATGTAGTATCACTGGGGTAATATTCTTGCCAAATATGTTACATCTGGTCTCATCATGAGGAAACAATCAGGCAAATGCAGAAAGGGAGACATTGTGACAGACAACTGGCCTGGGTTCTTTAAAAAAATTAATGTCATAAAACACACAAAAAAAGCAGAGAGAATATTTAAATTAAAAAAATTAGAGGGACCTAAAAACAGAATGCAGTGTGTGGAGTTCGGATAGTGGGTTAAAAATAAAAAGAAAAGAGAGAAAACTATAAATGATATTTGGGGGCTTTGGGAACAACTGGAACAATTTGAATATAAATTGTATATCAGTTTATATATTGAATTTCTTAGTTGTGATTATGGTTTTGTAGTTATTTAGGAAAATATTTTTATCTTCAAAGACGCATGCTGAAATATTTAGGGGTATTATGCTGTCTGCAACCAACCTTCAAATGATTAAGAAAGGAAGTATATATATAATCTATCTATCTATCTATCTATCTATCTATCTATCTATCTATCTATCTAGAGAGAGATGACACAGAGAGCAAATGTGGCAAAATAATAATTGATTAATCTGGGTAAATGTACACAGATATTTACTGTAATATTCTCTGGGTTTGAAACTTTGCAAAAATGAAAAGAAAAATATAAAATATGTGTTAATGGCTTACACTCTTTCCAGTGGATGCTTTAGAAGGTACTTGGTGCTGACTTCATCTTTACTTTTGGGGGCAATTACAATGTTTAGGGGAGGGTGCTTGGGAAAGGCCTAACTCGGCAAGATGAGTGGGGTTCTCATTCTTACTAGAAACAAATACATTATGATTGATAATGTAAATGAATATACTTACAGCAGCCTCAGCTATGATCACTTTTTTCATCCTAAAACTTTTTGTATCTTTAATGAGATTGTTTGTACTCCACAGTTGACTGACTGTCAGAGTATTGAACAGCTCATCATAAAAGATGTTTGCTTTTAAAATTATTGAACTGGATTTCTATGTAAGAATGTGGAAAACTGTCTACTTATGTAGGTTGATTAATCAGTACACTTTTAGAAAACCTTCTTTTCTTTCATTTTAACCATTAACAGCCTAACAAAGTGTGATTCTCATATGAGCAGCTCGGTATCACCTGGGACATTTATTATGGTTTCAAATTAATCAGAACATTGGGGATGGGGCCCAGAAACCTGGTTTTAACAAGATTTGTATTACTGAAATTGATAGGTTCTTTCATTGACACATAGGCTTTCAGGAATGGCACCAGTCACTTTGCTGGTCATGTAGGGCCTTGGGGAAGGGAATCAGCATCATGCTGATTCTGAAGTTATTCATACCATTGTTCTGAACATACTGCAGGCACTGAAAAACTTCAGATTTGGCCTTAGAAGATAGGGCAGGAGAAAATGGATTAATATTTTCAAGGAGAGCAAGTTGCAAAACACTTCTGTCCATTATTAGTTTCCAGCAGGAGTTGAAGGGAAGATTTGGCAGAGGAGAAACTTGCACTGAAGCAGGAGTTGACATGGAACTGGAGGAACAAGGATACACTCCAGCCACCCCTATTCCACCACTGAGCAGGGGTGAAGGTCCATGGGGAAGTTGGAGAAGTGACGTAGTCTAGGTCATCCACATAGAAAGTGAGGGCACACTTCTGGAGGACAGGGCAGAGATGAAGTGAACAAGATGCTTTGCCAGCTTGGGGTGCTCCTAAGCTAGGAGCAGTGTTGGAGAAAATAGGAACTAGCCCTGTCATTGAAGGATGGGGTGCTGGCACAATCCAACAGCAGCAGGGGACCTTCCTTGGGAGGCTGAAAGAGATTCCACTTTGTAGGGAGGATACAGAGAGACTCAGAGGACCTTAGCATCTGGGCCAAAAGTATAGGCATCCTTTTGATGTTTTATAGGAGCTACTGACAAAAAAAAATAGGGGAATGTCTTATTCAGTGCTCCATTGTTGGGGTACAGAACAAAGGAAATTAATATTGAATCCCTCTAGGGATTGTGAATGATTAGACCTTCAAGCTGGTTGTGGAAAAAAAGAAGAGAAGAAAGGCAAATCTGATATTTAGTACAGGCAGGATGGGCCAGGGAAGGGTGCTGAAAAAAATTTCAATCACCCACTGTCAGAAATAGCTACTAATATCCTGTCAGGCTACACTTCTATTGATACCAAGGTAGAAACATTACGGTTGTTTTGAAATTCTCAAGAGACAGAGACTACCCTGACTTATGTTGTTTTTGTATTATCAAAAAAAAAAAAAAAAAAGTCCGGTGCAGTGGCTCAACGCCTGTAATCCCAGCACTTTGGAAGGCTGAGGCAGGTGGGTCACTTGAGGTCAGGAGTTTGAGACCAGCCAGGCCAACATGGTGAAACCTCGTCTCTACTAAAAATACAAAAATTAGCCAGGTGTAGTGGTGGGCACCTGTAGTCCCAGTTACTTGGAAACTGAGGCAGGAGAATACATTGAACTTGGGAGGCGGAGGTTGCAGTAAGCTGAGATCTTGCCACTGTACTCCAGCCTGGACGACAGAGCAAGACCCTGTCCCAAAAAAAAAAAAAAAAAATGCAGGAGGAGGCAAAAGGGCATTTTTCTACCATATATTTGTGAGTGCTTAACCAAAAGACTAAGATACTGGAAACACTATGCAAGAATGGTATATTAGTTAGATAAAAGGGTTAAGATTACTAATTGGGCTATTAATAGCTAACAAGTTGATTCTCTTGATTTAGAGAGTCTTTTGATACATATTATTTGATTAAGTATGATTTGTTATACCTGTGAGTAACACGGGCACACTTTTATCCCCATATTGCAAATGAAGTCCAGGCTAACAGTAACTGACATGGCTCATCCATAGAAGACCATGATTTCAATCCAGTCTCTGACTCCTTACTTTATCACAGTGCTCTGTTGAGCCTATATAAAAAACCCTTTTGGCTCTTTTTAAATGACTTTCTTTATTTTATCTTATTCTGAATAATGTGTAATAGAAAAAATATAAGAAGTTTTAAAAGACTAATTTAAAAGGCTGTTAGGGAAGGCTAAGATAGTTTCATCTTCTCATGTCTCAGTTTGTATCCTAATTCACATCATTTAAAAGTAACACTTAACTAGATTCTTCCCATCTGACAGACTCAACTATTTGAAAACAACAAAAGGGTGAGTTATCCATCCCTGGAAGTGCTAAAACAGAGAGCGGGCTGCTTGCTTATTTTGGGATTAGATAATCTTTAAGATCTGAGTGCCAAGACTCCATCAGAAGCTGGAAGCAAGTGAAAAACCAGTGGTAAAAAACCTACCAACCAGCCAAAGAACAGCAAAACCCAGTTTCTCCAACAAAACTCAGTTTCTCCATAGTTAAAGTAGATGTTACAGTGTCTGGCTATCTAATTCAACTTATTTGGTTCATTAGAGATGCCTTCATGTAGGCTTCAGAGTCCTGCTTCTCTTGTTTGAAAAACATTACAATCTTATTTTTTATGATTTTCTAGATCAGTGGTTCTCAATGTGTGACTCTCAGACCAGCAGATTTGGGATCACCTGGGAAACTGGTTAAAATGCAAATCAATCAGAAACTCTGGTAATGGGACCCAGCAACCTGATTGTAACAAGCCCTCCCCGTGATCCTGATGCAGCTCAAGTTTGAGAACTGCAGTGCTAGGTAATAGGTGAGCGGAAGTTGCAAGTTAAATTCAGTGGAAGAGTAATAGCAGAGGGAGGCTAGCTAAAAACAAAGAAATTGAATAAGCCATTCTGGTCAAGGAAGATTTAATGTAGGGATTACCTGTGCAACCCCTGTTACTACTGTGATAATGCAGTATGATTTTGTTTTCTAAAAAACAAAGTAAATAATATTTAATAACGATTTCTAACAAAATATTTTTAAAATTAAAAAAACTGTTCTTATTGAATATAATTTGATTGCAGAAAAGTTTATTTAGCTCTTGGGTTAGAATGTGTTGTATTCATTGGGTTATTTTTAATTTGTTAGTGGTTTTAGATAGGATAGGCCAAACTACTATAACAAATCGACTCAAACACGTACAATCTTATCTCTGTTTTATTTAAAGTCCGAGGTAGATATTTCTGAGCAATAGGAAGCTCTCCTTTACTCAGTGATTTGGAAATCAGGCTTCTTCTACTTTATGTCTCTATCATCCCTCGTGCCTTGCTGTGTGAATCTCACTGGTGGAAGAGAAAGAGAGAGTTGGTGAGTCACACCCAATTAAGAAAATGCTCAACTCATGGATCTCTCTTCAAGAGAAATGAACACATACATGTTCATGCAAAAACCTGCACATGAATTTTCATAGCTTTATTATTACCCAAACCTGGACACAAACCAGGTTTTCAATGGGTTAATAGTTAAACAATCTGTGATATAGCCACACTATGGAATATCACTCAGTAATCAAAAGCAAGCAACTATTGATATATGCAACAAATTTGATGAATTTCAAAGGCATTATGCTGAATGGAAAAGCCAGTCCTAAAAGATTGCATACTGTGATTCCATTTGATTCCATTCCACATGATTCCATTTATAAGACATTCTTGAAATTACAAAATTATAGAAATAGAGCATGGATCAGAGGTTGGCATGGGTTAGGGATGGGAGAGGGAGGTCATGATTATAAAGGTTTAGCACAGGTGACAGAATCGTTCTGTGTCTTGATTGGGGTGGCAGTTACACAAACCTATACATGTGATCGAATTGCATAGGACTGCACACACACACTCACACACACCACACACACACGAGTGCTTGCAAATCTAAATACATTCTATGGATTTTACAAATGTCAATTTTCAGCTTTTAGTATTCCATTATATGTATGCAGGATGCCATCAATGGGAGTGGGTGAAGGGTTTATGGGGTCTTCCTGTACATTTTTTTTTTTTTGCAACATTCTGTGAGTCTATAGTGATTTCAAAATTTAAAGTTTAAAGCAAAGAAGTTGACCCAGAAGTGGCACACATCATTTCCTAAGCCTTCATTGACAGGGACGAATTGCATGGCCACACATAGCTGCAAAAGTACAGGGGAAATTGGAAGAGGAGAAAGGATTTTGGCAGGCAGCTAACTTTCTCTACCATAACAAAAAACACTAATTTCCCAGTGAAACCCAATTGCTAAATCCAAAGGCCTTTATGCCAATCCATACTACATTCTTCTTATTATTCTCCTATAGCCTTATCTTTTTTAAACACTTGTGTGGTTACATTTATTCAATAGCAGCAATCAGTCTTTTTAGACCATCACCACAAAACACCCCTTCATCCCAAAGTTAAAAAAAATGGAAAAGTCAAAAGAGTAAGGTATTTTTTATAATGATACTTCATCAGGTTATAGATGAGAGAAACAAAAGATGAGAAGGAAAGGGTGAGATGAAAATAAAGTTCCTTCAATTGTATGTATTCTATTCAGCAAGTTTCAGGGCTCTATAAATATTATGTAATGAATTTTTTTTGAAATGAAAAAAGAGAACACTCGCTATTTCTCTCCTTTGTTGTAATTATTTTTAAAAACTAGAAAATAAATGAAAATATAAGAAAAGAAAAATACACCTTTACAAAATAATCTTTTTAATGTTTATTTCGGTAAATATTGGATAAGTTGAATGAGTCTAAAATTTATTTTACTCAACATTCTTGAAGAAAAAATAATTTATAAAAATACTGGAAGCACACCCATTTAGGTACCTGTTACTTAAAAAAAGAGGTAAATAATGAGTGTTGGCAAGTATGTAGAAAAATTGAAACCCATGTACACTGCTGGTTGGAACATAAAATGGTGCAACCACCATGGAAAACAGTTTGATGATGCCTCAAAAAGTTAAACATAGAACTAGCATGTGATCTGGCAAATTCAGGGACTCAAACAGATACTTGTACACCCATGTTCATAGCAGCATTATTGATAATAGTCAAAAGGTGAAAACACTCTAAATGTCCACAACGCATGAATGGATAGAGAAAGTATGGCATAGCATATATCTACAATGGAATATTATTCAGTCTTTTATTATAAAGGAATAAACTCTGATGCATGTTGCAACAGGGATGCACCTTGAAAACACTATGCTAAGTAAAACAAGCCAGACACTAAAGAACAAGTATTGTATGATTCCACTATTATGAGGTACTTAGAGTAGTCAAGTTCATAGAGAAAAAAAGTAGAATGGAAGTTACAAGGGTCTGGGGGAGGGAGGAGCTGAGAGTGATGGTTTAATGAGTACATAGTTTCTGTTTGGGATGATGAACAAGTTCAGGAAATGGATAGTGGTGATGGTTGCATAATGTTGTGAATGTACTTAATGCCACTGAAGTGTACGCTTAAAAATAATTAAAATCTCAAGTTTTGTGTTATGTATGTTTTACCACAATAAAAATATAGGAGGGAATACTATTGGAAGAAAAATATTTTAAGACTTTAAGTCAACGGCTGTTTCTGCTACTTTCACATATTACACAGGATTATGTCAGACCTTCATCTGAAAGATGAAGGAACAGATTATCTCAATTAATTTTAAAATTCATTTATGATCTCCCTTCTAGGTAGTAAACATTGTCTAATACAGAATTGCCAAGGGCTGATACAAAGTGTCTATTTGTTTTATTTTAAGTACTTATTTAAATGGACATACTTCAAACTCTTAGATTCTTCCTTTCCCTCCAATGTGACCCAGTGGGGTTGGACCAGGCACTCTGTTTTGCTAGGTCAGGTTTAGTCCAGGTTTTAAGTCAGAATGTCCAGGTGTGAACTGACAGAAGCCTGGGCAGAGATGTTTTAGATGTACTTTGCCAGGTCTGGGAGGAGGAACGCCCCTCACTGGACTCTCTGATGTTCCTCCCTGACATGCTCATTTTCAGAATGTGCCACCCTGTGCCACGTGAGGCATTGTGGGGATTCTGGGTGTGGTTTAACTAAAAGCATATGTTTTGTGTTTATGAATATTCTTGTTGTGTTATTTTCCAATTTTCTATGCCAACCTGCCACACTGGCATTGTCAGAGCATGAGGTAGGGGTACAAATATTAGTCTTGATCAACCACATTTAACAAATATTTATCCTATTTTTTCTCTTTTTTTTCTGCTCCATCTTAGGCATTGAGATGTTATAGGTAAAAGTAAAAGATTAATAATAAGGAGTTTAAAATCATACTTGTTATACTATTCTACTTATATTCTATGATTCTTCTTTGTGAAAACTCTTGTGTCAACTGTAACATGTATTGTGCATTAAGTAAATGTTAATAAAAGTTGTTTCTAACATTGTTATTTGTGACTATCTAAATAGAAAGATTAAAGAGAGGCCATGAGTATGAAGTATGAATATTTTCAAGTTTATCAGACTAGGAACCATATGTTCTTCTAGGAAACATAGTTGTAATGCATATAAGGGAAAGAATATATTTTCCAGGAAAAAAATCGAGATTTTTGTGTTACAGTTTCACCACTTACTAGCTGATACACTTGGGTAAGTCAAAAGCCCTGAACCTAAATTTGCTAATATTTAAAAATAAGAATTTTAGTAAGACGACTCCATAAGCTTGTTGTCATATTAAATGACATAATTTACAAAGAAATCCTTAGAAACTCTAAGGCACTTTACAGAGGTATTTAAAATGATCATATCTACTGCTGAATTAGTCCTACTCCTTCCCTAGGGAGGTGACTAAAGGATTAGAAGATGTTGAATTTTTTATACACTTGAATATCTTTGAATTCTTTTCAGATATATGTAAATTAAAATTTTTCATTTTCTTATAATTTAATATGTATAAGAATCTGGCTGGGTGTGGTGACTCACGCCTGTAATCCCAGCACTCTGGGAGGCCGAGGTGGGTGGATCACCCGAGGTCAGGAGTTCGAGACCAGCCTGGCCAACATGGTGAAACCCTGTCTCTACTAATGCAAAAATTAGCTGAGCGTGATGGCATGCACCCATGCTCCCAGCTACTTGGGACGCTGAGGCAGGGAGGTTGCAGTGAGTCAAGATTGTGCCACTGCACTCCAGCCTGGGTGACATAGCAAGACCTTGTCTCAAATAAATAAATAAATAAATAAATAAAATGTGTAAAAATCATCTGGGGATCATGTAAGGCCCTAGAGTTCAAGGCCCATGCACAGAAATCTTTCTTTAGTGAGTCTAGGCTGGTGGTTCTCAATTTTGGGTGCACATCAGAATCATCTAGGGTGTTTCTAAAAATCCCCATGCCCAAGATGCACCCCAGACCAATAACATCAGAATTCTAGAGGTAAGACCCAGGCATAGTACCCCAGATGATTCTGGTGGGGGTAGCCCAAGAACCGTTGCTTAAAAAAAGAAATTTCTTGATATGGTTTGGCTGTGTCCCCACCCAAATCTCACCTTGAATTGTAATAATCTCCATGTGTCAAGGGTGGGGCCAGGTAAAGATAATTGAATCATGGGGGCAGTTTTCCCCATACTGTTCTCATGGTAGTGAATAAGTCTCGCAAGACCTGATGGTTTTATAAAGGGGATTTCCCCTGCATATGCTCTCTTGCCTCCCACCATGTAAGATGTGCCTTTGTCCCTCCTTCGCCTTCTGCCGTGACAGTGAGGCCTCACCAGCCATGTGGAACTGTGAGTCCATTAAACCTCTTTTTCTTTATTAGTTACCCACTTTTGGTTATGTCATTATTATCAGCATGAGAACAGACTAATATGGTCTCTAAGGAATAAATTGCTAAACTGAGCCATGAATAATTATGATTTGCATTTTTCTCTTGTATAACGGAAGATGCCAAATAGATTAAAAGCCATATTTAACATGGTTTTTGTAAACGGAAAGCTGATATAAGACACATACCTTAATTCTTTATGGTAAAACTTTAAGTAACCCTGAAATTATATTTCTAGGCAATGGTGACATTATAAAAACAATATTGAAAAATTAACGATAAAAGGATTTGCATTTTAAAATATTTTAATTTCAGGATAATAGGGTTCAAATTATTTTTGCACGGCTTCTTTCAAATCTAATGTGTATGGATTTTCTTCTCTGTAATTAGTGTGTTTTAAGTAAATATTGATCCACAACTTCCTCAAATCATAGCTGTTGACTATGACACTGGTACACTCTTACTATGCTTTCTTTCCTGGATTCACACCTAATCTCCTGCTTCTCAGTTTTTATTGGCTCTTTCTTCTGTTCTTAGGACAGTTCCACTTCTTAGATGTTAACAATGATGGAAGTGAAAGGGATGTAAATGAGTTAACCTTGAAGCTCTTTGCAAAATGTAAAGAAGAAAAACATGTTACCCATTATTATTGCTGGTGCAAAGAATTCAAGACTGTTCTAGACGTCAGTTACATTGAAGCAACAGTGGAGGAAGTAAGCAGATCATATCCAACCTAATCGGAAGGGCTTGTCTTGAGAGCCAGTAGGTTTTGTAACCTAATCTATTTGCCAGCTGCCCACTCCTCCCCTTTCTTTCCCTTGGTGACTGTTCTAACTTTACATCCACACTGAGCAGCGTTCTTTCAACAAGTTTCTTTTGATAGCTCAATGAAAACTCATTTCATGATGTTTATGGTTTTTTCCTTTTGTAAATGTACGAAGTCGAAGAAAGTGCACAGAGCACAATATTTCACCCCCAAAACTCCAGACTCCCCACGTGTTTTTGCTCAAGGTTCCTTATGGTTGCTTTGCCTCTACCCCACAGAGCCCAGCATTGCTGGGAACGCCTTTATTGCTTTTCTCAGACCCTGTGAGTTTCCCTCTCTCATTGTGTGCATAATAGTTCACTAACTCTAGGTTCTTATTCTATGCTTGCAGGTTGAAACCTATTACCCATCCAAAAGTAAGGGGCTGGCAGTCATAGGACGACCCTATTTGGATTGAAGATAGGGTACCTGTAAATTATATAACAAAAATTTCAGGAACTTGGTAGTAAAAGGAAGGCTAGTTTGTGTCATAGCATGTTGTATATAAATGCCTATTATATTAAGCTTTACTATATTTGAAGAGGACATATTTACAATCCAGCTGGTAGACTCGTTCGATGAAAAAAAGGACTTCTCACATCATAAGCATGAATCCAGACTCTAGCCAGCAAGCCTGATATTCAGAGCTTTTTTTTTTAAAAAAAAAACATAATTTTCTTCTTCATTTTGAATTACATGGTATAATTCAGTATCTACAGCATAATTCTTCATTTTAACAGAAACATAATAAAACTGAGTAAAAATTCAATTTTTGTCAGTTATATATTTTCTCTCCTTAGTCAGCTATCAATTATTTAGAATTTGTTTCTGTTAGAAATCATTCCATCCATTTTTCCTCTTTCTTTTGTTTTTGACTTTAGGCAAAATATTCTGGATTCATAAGGGAAAGGAAAGGAGATTCAACTGGAGTAAGTTAGTTATGATATTGGAAAAGTTGGGTAATGATTTAAGAGTGGGACTACGGGAACTGCTGACACATGCCGATGTTTATTATAATTAACAATCCAAGTCTTTACAGACTTCCTAATCCCTCTTTCTTTGTGTAAAAGTGTAAGGGACATGTTTGTCCCCAGGAAACATTTATCTTACTATCACTGGGGTCTAGGAGAGACATAAAATTCCATCACAATGTACTCTGTGTTTGGACTGAGGAGGATTAAGTCTGTAAGAGAAAAATGGCATCTCACTGGTGTTGTGGGGGTGGGGAGGGTGGGTGTGAGAGTTGAGGGGAGGTTGCGTACCGATAATCTTGATGGCATGATATGAACCCAGTGCATTGCCATAGGTTCATCCCTTCCTCTAGAACAAGAACCAAATCCTCCATTAGTGGGGTCACGCCCTCTTGCAGCATATTAAAGAGAGGGGCAGACACTGCTTGGAGCAAAGCCACCAAGCAGCAACCGGGAGATACTCCTTTGGAACCAACTGCAGGACAGTGTGCAGACAGATACTTGATTATCAAATCAAAGGATCACCCCCTCTTTCCTCAGTTTTCTGCTTGGTGAAGCAGAAAGCAGATGCCTTAAGGGACCTAATTGCCTTAGGTATTCTTAACAGCTGTCTGAGGACACCGTGTGAGTATAATTGGGGATCCCACAATATCACCATGTTTTGAGCTGCCACTGAAGTCTTTCTAGGCAAAGCCTAGAGAAAGAAGATGCTGCAAGTTGTATTTTTCATACAAACGTGCAGAACTTCTAGCAAGCCCTGCACATTTGTTAGCACCTCACTGGCCTCTGTCACCTGAGTAGCAGACACACAACAAGACTGATGAGCACAAGGGTGAGGATGGTAGACACCTCTTCAGGGTGATTTCTTGGGCTTTGCTGCACATCAATCAGTACAAAGTGGAGCAGAAGGTATAAAGCAGGGTGGGTTTTTTCCCCCTCTGAAGAAAGGGAGGGAAAAATGATGAGGCTTTAAGTACTATTCACCTGGAGAAAATTCGGAATGCCAGGGCATTGGTGACTGTTTTCAGAAGATCTTTTTTTTAAGGCTATGTTCTTTCTACCATTTTTTTTTAAGTTTTAGTAGAAACTGGGTGAAATTCCTGACAGTATAATTATATTGATGAGTTAGTGGATGGCTTGAAGCCTGAATTTTCCACTAATAGAGCAAGTCACTTCTCTCTGGCCCCAGTTTCCTAACATAAAATAGGAGGTTTGGTCTAGATCAATGATTTGTAACCCTGGCTGCATATTAGGACCATCTGGCAATGATAAAAACAAAAACAAAAGAGAATAAACAAACCCATGACTGGTTGCCAGTCCAATAAATTTTGATTTATTCGGTCTCAGGTGGGGTCTAGGCATTGCTCCTTTAAAAAGTTCAACAACCCCGAGTGATTCTAATATACAGCTAGGGTGGAAAACTAGCTAAAGTTATTTTCTGTAGCTAAAGTTATTTTCAGCTGCAGTGTTTCAAAACTGTTTATATGCAGCTTTTCTCTCTCCCTTCAGAACAATGAAATTTTTGTCAGTTCATTTGTTGATTGCTTATTTTTCTTTAAAAAATTTCTAATATTTTGTATGTAAAAATTTTTATGTAAAAAATTCTGTAACATATATGTAAGTTATGAAGCATAACAATATGGAAACCCATCAACACATTATCTAGCTTAAGAACTAGAGTGTTACCGTCACTATTGAACTTCCTGATATGTTCCTCTAGAATGTCATGTCTCCAGACCCTCTCAAGGGTAATCAGTGTTATAGATTTTGTCTTCATCACTCCCATTTAAAAAAATCCATTATTGGCCAGGTGTGGTGGCTCATGCCTGTAATCCCAGCAATTTGGGAGGCTGAGGCAGGCAGATCACCTGAGATCAGGAGTTCGAGACCAGCCTGGCCAACATGGCGAAACTCTGTCTCTACTAAAAATACAAAAATTAGCCGGGTGCAGTGGTAGGCTACTCGGGAGGCTGGGGCAGGAGAATCGCTTGAACCCCTGGAAATGGAGGTTGCAGTGAGCTGAGATCGTGCCATTGCACTCCAGCCTGGGTGACGGAGCGAGACACCGTATCAAAGAATAAATAAATAAAAATAAAAAATAAAAATGTCGATTATTACTCTATGCCTGTATTACTAAACAATATATTTTTTGGTTTTGCTGGATTTTGAGCATCATATAAATAATTATGTTATTTTACACAATTAGCTGTTTTTCACTTGAAATTATTTCTAAGTCATTAATGCTGTGTAGCATTATTTCATTTTCATTGCCATATAAAATTCAATTTGTGTGAACATGGCATAGTTTGATTGAGTCATCTTGTTAATGAATATTGGGTTATATGTTACTCTACCCCATATTGTGAACACATGACATTATCAACCTTTAACATTTTTGGCAATCTCATATATATATGAATTGGTATTTCATGGTGGTCTTAATTTGCATTTACCTGATTACTAAATATCTTTTTAGAAATCTTTTTTATAGCTTTCTTGAAGTAAAATTGACAAATAAAAATTGTATGTATTTAAGGTGTACAATGTGATGTTTTGATATACATGTACAATGTGACATGATTACCACAATCAAGCTAATCAACCTATCCATCACCTCACATAGTTACGTGTATGTGTGTGTGTATGTGATGAGCCTACTTAAGATCTCTCTTAGCAAATTTCAGGTATATAATACATAATTTTTAGCTATAGTCACTATGCTGTACATTAGGTCTCCAGAACTTACTCACCTTTTAGCTGCAAGTAAGTATTTTTTTAACTAACATGTCCCCATTTCCCCCACTCCCAGACCCTGGAAACCACCATTCTGCTCTCTGTTTCTGTAAGTTTGACTTTTTAGATACCACATTTAAGTCAGATCATTCAATATTTGTTTTTTGTGTCTGACTTATTTTTAGCATAATATCTGCCAGGTTCTTCCATATTGTTGCAAATGGCAGGATTCCCTTCTTAGTTTTTTAAAGGATTAATAGTATTCTATTGCATATATATGTATTCTATCTGTTTATATGTTTATGGGTTTTCTTTATCCATTCACCTGTTCGTGGACGCTTAGGTTGTTTTCCTATCTTGGCTATTGTAAATAATGCTGCAGTAAACATGAGCATGCACATCTCTTCAAGATAGTGACCTTATTTTCTCTGGATATGTATCCGGGGTGGGATTGCTGGATTATATGATATTTCTATTTTTAATTTCTTGAAGAACCTCCAAATTGTTTTACATAATGGCTATATCATTTTATATTCCTACCAACAATATATAAGGGTTACCTTTTCTCCACATTCTTGTCAGCGCTTGTTATCTTTTGACATTTTGATAATAGGCATCCTAGCAGGCATGAAGTGATATCCCATTATGATCTTGATTTGAATTTCTCTGATGACTACTGATGTTGACCATTTTTTGCATACCTGTTGGCCATTTGTATGTTTTCTAAAATGTCTATTTAGTTCCTTTGCCCATTTTATAATAGGGCTTTTTTTGTTTTCTTGCTATTGAGTATATGAATTCCTTGTATATTTTGGATACTAATTCCTTATCAGATATATGGTTTGGAAGTATTTTCTTCTATTCCTTGGGTTCTCTTTTTATTTTGTTGATTGGTTCCATATGCTGTATAGGAAATTTTTAGTTTGATGTAGTCCCATTTGTTTCTTTTTGCTTTTGTTGCCTGTGCTTTTGGTGTCATATCCAAAAAAATGTATTGCCCAGACCAATGTCATGGAACTTTTCTTATATGTTTTCTTCTAGGAATTTTATGGATTTAGGTCTTATGTTTAAGGCTTTAATTAATTTGGGTTGATTTTTGTGTATAGTGTAAGAGAAGGATCCAATTTCATTTTTTTGCATGTGAGATAAAGATCCATTTTTTGTTTTTGCATTTTATCCATGTGGATAGCCAGTTTTCCCAGCAGTATTTATTGAAGAGTTCACAGATTCTTTTGCTTGATCAGTTCTGCTACTGTGCTCTCTATTGTATTTTAAAATTTCATTTATTGTGCTCTTTTAGAATTTGGATTTTTTAAAATTTCCATCTCGTATTGAACTTACCCTTTTGTTCTTAGGTCAAAGAGAAATTTTTTTCTCTTACAGTTCTAGAGACCACAAATTCAAAATCAAGGGCTTGGCAGGACCATGCTCCTTCTGAAGGCTCCAGGGGCAAATCCTTCCATGCCTCTTTCAGCTTCTGTTGGCTCCAGGTCTTCCTTGGCTTGTGGCTGCTGCATCATTTTAATCCCTTTTTCTATCTTCACATGGCCTTCTCTTCTTTCTATGTCTCTCCTTCGTACATCTCTTATAAGGACACTTGTCATGGGATTTAAATCCTACTTGGATAATCCAAGATGCTGTCATCTTGAGATCCTTGGTTATATCTGTAAAGACCCTTTTTCCAAATAAGGTCACAGTCACATATTCCTGAGCATTAGGGTGTGGACACATCATTTTGAGGGCCACCATTCAACTTACTAAAGGACCCTATCTTCCTGAAATTGAAGTACATGATCTTTAAATATTCCAATATCTGGAGACCATGCATAGTGCATACATAAATTGAATAGGACTATATATGTATTTTGTTAAATGATGTTCTGAAAAAGGATTTTCGTGATGTATCATTTTTATTAAAATAAAAAGAGTGAGAAGAGTATAAATGTGATTGTTACTTAAATAATTTAGAAATCTGACAGAATGAAGCTTTCTGAAGCATAAGCTTTCCATTTTCTGTGTGTCATTACTTGCATTCCCCACCAATTTGAAAATGGGACTGTTTAGATTTTTTTCATGTTGTTAACAAATATGTGATTTAAGGAGATGTAAGAAGACTGTTTTATGTGAAGCTGTGTGTGTTAAGCAAATTTTTCCTCAAGCATTCTCTGCTTATTTCAATCATGGCTGCTCTCATCAATTTGATTGAAATAAGTGGCTGGGTTTTTCCCAATGTAATCCCAGGGGTATACAAATCATGGTGTGCCTGACACACTGATATCGACATGAAAAGCACTACTATGTCTGACTATCACAACTTCCAAGTTGCAATTATCTTATTTTGTTGTGATGTTAGTTTAAATCTGCTTTCCTTTTCCCTTTTAGGGTTTGGACTATGCTAATCATGCTCTGCATTCAGGGGGAACAAAATGATGGTTTTGTAAGAAGCAGCATTATAAAGTTATTTGGTCTGGTTTCTTGCCCCCAAAGCGATAAACACCTTGACTAGACCAGTGCAATCTCTGTCTTTCCAGAAAGAGAGTGCCTGTCTTAATGCTTATTAATCTGTTGCACAGTTAACTATCCTGTCAAATGTCCTTATATTATTATATTATTGTTTTAATCTTTACAGTATTTTTGTTTTTATTGATTTATCAATAAAGAACTGAAAAGAGGGTTAAATACATTAGGAAGATAATTCAACCTAATTGACAATCAATAATTGGGACATTTTTATAATACTAATTTTTTGAAGTTATTTTTAATGTCTTTTTTATAGTTTTATTTTGAGTCTTTTGCAAACTTCAAGTCTTTTCCAGCTTTACCTATTAATATCTGCTACTTATGGTTATCTTGGCTTGTGGGATTTCCCATTCTCTGTGATTTCATCAGATTTCTCCTTCATGTAGCATTCCTCAAATCTTTGTCCCTGTCTCTTCCTGTAGTTCCAAGCAAGAGCAGATCTTGAGGACCTTCAAGTCATCCCTCCAATGGGCTTGCAGGAACACTCCTTGTCCTTTTTCATTTCCATCTTCTGCAAAGACCTTGAGTAGCTTTCTTTAGTCATTAGATGTTTGCCATGGGATAAGGGCTAGGAAAATGCCATGAGGGTCTTGAGTGGTAAAAACCATAAGCCTGCAGGCATCACAAAAAGGTCACTATACATCAGAGAACAAGGAGTTCTGACTTCCTGCCTCACTGACCCCTCTGTCCCTCCCTTGTGCCTCATGATCAATATCTATAAAACAAGGGGTACAGTAGATAATCTGTATATCCCCCTCCAACTCCAAAATTCTATTAATATTATTATTTTCTTCTAACTCACTAGCTGGCTCAGATGCACTGCATTAATTTTACGTATCAACTAAGTAACAAGAAGCTTCTACTTTACCATTCATAAGCTTTTCATGCCACACAGGCCCTAGGAGGTTGGCTCCTGCACACCTGTTTAACCATATCGTAGGCCAGTCTCCTCCCTACTCACTGTGCTGTAGCCATCTTGCTTCCATTCTTGTCCCTTCACTTAGAAAGCTCTCTCTTGCCTCAGGGTCTCTGCATTTGCTCTTCCCTCTGCTCAGCACACCTTTCTCTGGCCTTTTCTTGCCTTGTTCCTTCTCACTCCAGACTTAGCCAAAACACCACCCTCGTAAAGGGTGATTGCCTGATTACTTCGTAAAGACCTGTCCCTTCACCTGTTCCCCTCCAACTCCTAGGTGCTTCCCGTCACTCTGAATATTTTCTTTATAGCCTTTAGCATGACCTATGGCAATCCTGCTTTCTTGTTTTGTTTTTACTGTCTACCTTCACTCAGCACCCCAGTATATAAATGCTTTGAGGACAGGAATCATCTCTGGGTTATTTCTGCTGTATTCCAATGCCTAGAAGGGTATATAGATAGATGCACAAAAAATACTCATTGAATGAATGACTTCATTTTCCTGAGCCAATTGAATTGCTCTTCTATAAAGCACATTTAATAAATTATCATCATCTCTCTCACAGTCTCTAACTTCAAGCCTGTGACCTGGGTCAGTGTGTATAGCAGGGTGCTTATTTTGGTTCTCAATTATTTGTCTTTATTGCTTATTAATATCTCTCAACAGGCGACAAAAGCCAATTAACATGTGCCACCTAAACTCTAGAAAATTATAATGTACTAACTACATTTGACCTTGAATGAAAATGGAATGCTGGTATTTACTTGATGTGGAAAATATATCCATGGACTTAAAAAGTCAAATGTTATTGGTGAAGATTTTCTTTACGAATATTGCTGTTTGTGACACTAGCATTTCATTAGACCCTGGGAAGAGAAAAGCTTCTCTCTGTGTATAAATTTTTAAGGATATATTTCAACGATAATTTAAGCCAGCACTTCTCCCTGGATTTATTTACATTTTTGTCTTCAGTGTTTTGAGTTCCTGGCATTTTGTTTCTTTAATAATTTTGTTTTTGAGATTTGCAAGTCAAGCAATATGGTAATCATGGCCCCAGAAGCATATGGAACCCCGAATGATCAACATAATCCAGGCTTCCACCAAATAGATGCTGTGACTCCAGTCGTAAGAGCAGATGGAGTTAAAAAGGGTGGATAATAATATCCTAGGGACTAAGCTAAGTGAAGAAAAATAAACTTGTCTTCATGGTTTAACTAAGATACAAGTTTATCTTTTATAGAACAAATGTGCAAATATGCTGCCACTAGCATTTGGGCTTTTCATGAAAAGTGCTTTTGGATTATGAACTACAGACGCTAATCTGTTACCATAAACCCCATATCATTGTAGGAGACTCTTGGTAAATAGATGAATGCTTGGGAGCCATTGTACTGTCTTTCATGTCAAACAGTCAGACTGCAAAGTGATTCAATCCGGACCTAAGTTTGTTTCTTTAGTGTCACATTCACATGACACTAGTATGTCATATTCTCTAAGTGGATTGTAGTGTCTTGCTAAGAAAAAATTGAATTGCATCAAAACTGTCCAAGGTTGGTAGCATGGCAAGAACCTGACATACCAGGGATTGAATCCTTGATCTACCTTTACCGTTATCTATGGCATCTATTGACTATGATATTATCTATGACCTGCAGTAAGTTACTTAGTCTTTATGAAGCTTCTCATCTATAAAATGGGAAGAGTAATGCTAATCTCAAGAATTATTGTGAGGGTGTCATGAGAAACCTTGTAAATTCCTATAGTAAACATTCAGTAAATACTTATTTATTCTGTCTTCTCTGCTCTCCCTTTCCCTAGAAACTTTGTCTTTTAAAAGTTAAGGGTGGGCAAGGTAGCTCATGCCTGTAATCCCAGCACTTTGGGAGGCTGATGCTGGAGGATCACTTGAGGCCAGGAGTTCAAGACCAGTCTGGGCAACATAGCAAGACCTCTATCTCTAAAAATATATTTTTATTGTTTTAATCTTTACAGTATTTTTGTTTTTATTGATTTATTGATTTATTGTTTTATTTTGTTTTTATGGATTTATCAATATATTATAATATATATTTTATATATATATATAATTAGGCCGAGTTTGGTGGCCCATGACTGTAATCTGAGCACTTTGGGAGGCTGAGGTGGGAGGATTACTTGAGCCCAGGAGTTCAAGACCAGTCTAAGCATCATAGTGAGACCCTGTGTCTACCAAAAAATACAAAAATTAGCTGGCTGTGGTGATGCCTCAGCTACTTGGGAGGCTTAGGTGGGAGGATTGCTTGTGCCTGGTAGTTCGACACTGGTGAGCTATGGTCACACCACTGCACTTCAGCCTGGGTGACAGAGAAAGACCCTGTCTCAAACAACAACAACAACAACAATAATAATTAATAATAATAAAAGTAAGCTGAAGCATTGTTCTTTTTAAGAGAATATAGCTTAATTTTAAAAGCGAAAATACACACAAACATATATATTGATGGTAGTTCTCAAGTATTTTTGCTATATTATTTAGATCTTCTAGACATAGTTATGAGCACTAATAGCAGCAGTTGTACAAAAGAAATAAAAGCAGTAGTATTGAGATTTTTTTCTAATGAAAGAATCAACATTCCTACAGTGGATGTAAACTCTGTAAAATAATGAACCAAATGATACATTAAGGCACAGACTTAGGATACAGGTGCTGACATCTCTGTTGTTTCCATTTGACGTGGCCCTTGAGGCAAAACAATGTAAGCATTGTTGTCAAAAGAGCAAGAAAATTAAATGACTGTGATAGAAATGTGACACCATGGAAGAAAGAGGGAAAATCCAGGTCGGGTATATAAAATAACTTGTTAAAGGTCCAGGACCAGAGCTCATAAAAATTAGAGAAATGTTGTGTTACCAAAGGACGTGCAAGTTGGGGTAACAGAAAGAGGGATACAATAAAATACCTGGCAGGATTTTTCCTTAAGAAATTTCCAAAGGAAGCCTATTTTATTTACTGGGTTTTGATGGAATTGATCGAGTGACGTCATTTATAAAGTTAGTCTTGTTAGTGTCATCTGACAGTTTTGGGGAAGGTTATTTGTCAGTATTGGGGAAGGTTAAAACAAGAAGAAGGACCCCAAATCTTGTTTTTGAAAGTGATTGAAGAATGCTATTGAATACTGGGCTTTAGGCACCATGGCATCATGCTAACTATGAACCAGGTGCTCTCCCAGGAAACACAGCAATGAATGAGATGGTATCCCCACCTTCTTCAGTCCTGCAGTGTCATGAGAGTTATCTGTGGTTTTAGATTCATAGCAGTGAATCTAAAGCAAAGCCCTCACTAAAATGAGGCCTTACTGCAGTAGTTTCTGACTTAGCTTCGGAAGAGGTGTGAGGGCTTCCCTGAGGCTTGTAGAGGGCCTTTTAGGGAAACAATCTTAGAAGAACTCTTCGTGCATGTAGGCAGCTCATCCAACAAGCTACCTCATGATTCCTGGAAACTGTTCTACCTGGTGACTTCACCTTGCTTGGCTTTATCCATCCATTCCCAGGGCTATCCTGAATCTTCCTAGTGTTTTTACTTTTATGTTCATTTATTTCTTCATTTTCCGAAACATTTATTGAACGACTGAGTGGGCCAAACACATTGTACTTTCTATGACGGCCCCTTAACTGAGGGTCAAGTGGGGCTCACATTCAGCCCTTGTTTTTGTTCCCTAGTAGTAGGCACAGGGCTGTGTCTGCTCACAGGTGGGGTTATCTTCTCATTTGCCGAAAGGAGTTGTTCATTTACCCAGCTGTGCTCACAGGCATACCTCTACCTATAAAGCGGTGACTTTTCTAATTTTTACAAAAATACTGTATGGATTGGCAGTATCCCTGCTGGGTTTCACAAACTTGATGAATAATCAGAAACTCTCTCAGTTAGTGGCATCTGCAGCTGGTTCATCTCCAAAGCTTGAATCCGGAGAGATGTCCTACTCCTGGTCTCTCCCCTCAGCTCTTTCTACAGCACTGTGCCTCACTCTCAAATCACTAAGTCTTATTGATTTAGCTTGTGCATATCGAGCCTCCTAAATGTTTTTGTCTTTTTTTAACCATCCTCTTTCCATTTCTCCACTGATGGTCTGCTTCAACTGGATTATTTTAACACATTTTCTTGGCAACAGACTCTTTCACTTGGGATCATTCTGCACATCGTCATAAATGATTTAACAAAAAAAATCTTTAATTTAAGTTCTGTTTGCTATGGTCTGAATGTTTGTGTCCTCCCAAACTTCATGCGTTGAAATCCTAATCCCTAAGGTGATGTTATTCAGAGGTGGGGCCTTTGGGAGATGATTAGGTCATGAGGGCAGAGCCCTCCCGGATGTGACTAGTGTTCTTCTAAAAGAGGACTAGGAGAGACTCTTGCTTGTGCCCTCCTGCGAGGACACAGTGAGAAGGTGCCATCTATGAACCAGGAAGCAGGTCCTCACTAGACACTGGATCTGACAGCACCTTATCTTGGACTTTTCAATTTCCAGAGCTGTGAGAAATAAATTTCTATTGTTTATAAACTACCCAATCTATGGGTATCTTGTCATAGCAGCTGGAAGGGACTAAGGAATTATTCAAACGGATTTTACATTTTCTGAAGCAGTATTTTTCCATGTGGAGTTGATATAATCCTCAAAAGAGGCAGATCTTTACCCGATAAAAATGCAGATTTCTTAGCCACATTCTGAATCTACTGGTTATAATTTCTGATTTGGGAAGTATAGTGTGGGCTTTAGAATCTGCACTTTGATAACCTCCCTAGGTGATTATTACAGACTTACGTTTGAGAACTGGGTTAAAAATTGCCTACAGTGAGGCTGTGCTTTATCAAATATTTCTTTCTAGAAATATTTCTAGAATTGTGGCAACAGCCTAGTGCTTAGATGAGCACTCTTTTTTTCAGAAGTGAATCAAGAGGAAAAAAGGAAGAAATTCTAAAACCAGTTTCTATTAAAATGATAAGATGTTTGGGGTTTCTGTGAAATCACATAGTTTTATAACTAAAACTGCTTTGAGAGAAAGGCTGGATTCAACCTTTACTCAGACAGAAAATTTCCTTTCCACATCCTTGATAGGTAGTCATTGAACATTTTAAATATTTTCAGCAAGCAGCTCTCTGCTTCATAGAACATTCTGTTTCAGTGTTGGTGGTGAACAGTTTCAGTTGATTGACCTTGTGCTTGCATGTGCTCATGTGTTTGTGTTCCCAGATGACATATGAATCTTATAACAGATACTAGTTTTAAGTTAGCACTTTTTTTTTTTTTTTTTCGAGATGGAGTCTAGCTCTTATTGCCCAGGCTGGAGTGCAATGGTGGGATATCTGCTCATTGCTACCTCTGCCTCCCAGGTTCAAGTGATTCTCCTGCCTCAGCCTCCTGAGTAGCTGGGATTACAGGTGCCCGCCACCATGCCTGGCTAATTTTTGTACTTTTAGTAGAGATGGTGTTTCACCATGTTAGCCAGGCTCATCTCGAACTACTGACCTCAGGTGATCCACCTGCCTCAGCCTCCCAAAGGGCTGGGATTACAGGTGTGAGCTACTGCACCCGGCCTAGCACACTTTGTTAAGATGACAAGTTCTTAAAGAGTATTTTCAGGTATCTACTTTATCAGTTTGTATAAAAACTGTAAATTCTTTTCCAAACATATATCAAAATATTCAGAAAAATCTAGCCGCTAAATAAAGAAATAGTTTTGGATAAAGTAGCTACTGATACTTAATATGTTTTAAATAAACAATTTCTTGCTTAAAAGTTTTTACTTTTATGTTCATTTGTTTCTTCATATTCCAAAACATTTATTGAACGACTGAGTTAGATTCTGTCGATGTAAAAAGAAATGCGTAAGACCTGATCGCTACTCAGAAACGGATCATAGTTTAGGGAAAAAGACATGGATAAAAATGCAATGTGCCAAGTTTGAAACTGAGATGTTCAGAAGATAGATGGAGGCATAACAGCTGAATTCAAGAAGTGGTGTGGAGATAGCTTGAGCTGGACATATCATTTTGTATAATTAAATCTGTGTTTAGCATAGAAAAAAGAGAGGACCTAAACAATACTAAGTTATTTTCAAATACTTAATAAAAATTATGACTGCACAGGATAGTAACACATGAATTGTGTGCTGCTCTTCCTTATCCATGCTTGAGGCAATGGATAATGCTCTTTCACTTTGTACGCTCAGTGGGCACTGCTATTTTCTTTGGTGGTTAGCAGAACTAAAATCAGTAACATTTATAATATAAGCCCAGCTTTGTATTTATAAGCTTATATTTTTCAACTCTTTGCACCTGGTGAAGATTGTATGTAAAATCTATATTATATATACATATATATATGTGTGTGTATATCTATTTATCCATCTATCTATGTATCTATGTATCTATGTATCTATGTATCTATCTATCTATCTATCTATCTATCACTCATTCCAAGGCCAGTGTTTCTTTTGGCGGTGGGGTTAAGAGTGCAGACTCTGGGTCCATCACACTATCTGGTTGCCTAGCTTCTCTGAGCTTCAATCTCATTGTCTGTGAAATGGGAAGAACAATACTGCCTGCCTCACATGACAGTTGTGAGGCTGAAATGAGCTCAGCACAGAGTCTGATGCTTGGATATTTCTCACTAAGTGCTCACTGTCATTCATGGGGTAGGGATAGCTCTGGAGGTCTGGATAGCTGTGGCTGTGGAGTCTTAAGGCCTGGCTAGGATCGCCTGCTCTGTCATGTACTTGCCTTGCATTTTGATCACTTTTGTTTGTTTGTTTGTTTTTACCATTGATGAAGGAGAGATTCCCGCCCTAGAGTTACGGGGATGGCCTGACACACAACACCAGACATTAGACAGGCGAGATTAACAGCAGTTTCTTAGTTACAGATTCTCACAGCCTGAGGCAGGAGGACACTGGCCCATGCAGGGTTGTCACACAGGGGCTGCATTAAGGAACATTTTGAACAAACAAGAGCTGTGGGAGGCAGGCTTGGTAGTATCAAGAAGGCACGGTGGCTCATGGCTCCCAAAGGAGGATGTGATTGGCTTGTTTGAATAATTTTGTGGGCTGACAGGGAACAGGAGCCTGCTACTCAGGGAGGAGCAGGAGCTGCGTTTGGTCCCTGTGATAAGGAGGGTTGTTTTGCTAGAGGACCTTGTCAATGGAGCAGAGTGGGGAGGGCAACTTTTCATTAGGCTGTTCAAGGCCTTTTCAATTTTATCAGATGTTAAGGAACCACATAATATTGAACCTTCGTTTCAGGTCTTATACCATACTCTTTGACTGAGAAATTTACTTTCATTTCATTGCAACTCTATTTCTTCCTTTCTAAAAACAATATGGCTTTAAATGAATGGGTCTTATTAAGTACAGTCTTCATAAATATGGAGTGTTATTAGGTAAGCTATTATTGACTATGATTTGGAAGATATTGATGGTATTCTGGTTATAATGTTCCAGAAAATATATCTTGATAAACTCCATTGCATAAGTCAAGGTCATGCTTTCATTCTTACTGAAGCGTCCTTCTTTCCTTTTTGTTTTTAGAATCAAGAATTATGTGTCAACATAGAAAATTAATGAGTTTCAGTAAGTTTTGCAATAATATAACAAACATAATTGTGAAACTTAGTCATATCACTTTGGAAATTGAAGCCCAAGGGGTGTGCACTTCTAGAAAAGTATGAATATAATAAAATTTACCTTGTAGGGAGTAGATACCAGTTAATATTTCTCACTGATTATGCTTCTCATGTCAATATTTGCATCTGAAAAATAATATCAAAGTTATGAAGAACTATATTATTAAGATTTCTTCTCTCACCTTATCTACTTTCCTCACTCTAAGCCTAACTTATAATTTAATTTTTCATTGTTGCTACATTCTATTAATAGCAGTGAATACTTATATCAAAGAGAAAAAATACATGCACATATGTAAAATATTTTCATTGTGTGTTTGTGTGTATGTATGTGTATGTATAATAGCATAAGCTTTCTGAATCTACAGACTAGGTATGAAAGGTTAACAACTTACCTCCACACTGTGGTATACATTTGTATGAGGTGATTTACAGGGACAAAGGTGCCTAATCTAGAAAAATTCGTCAGTTATATAGAGGCAAGTTTGAGAGGTGAGATGGATGAGGTAAAAGTGGGAGAGAGGCTGGGCATGGTGGCTCACTCCTGTAATCCCAGCACTTTGGGAGGCCAAGGCAGGTGGATTGCTTGAGCTCAGGAGTTCGAGACCAGCCTGGGCAACATGGTGAAACCTTGTCTCTACTAAACACACACAAAAATTAGCTGGGCGTGGTGGCATGCTCCTGTAATCCCAGCTACTTGGAAGGCTGAGGCAGGAGAATCTCTTGAAACTGGGAGGCAGAGGTTGCAGATCATGCCACTGTACTCCAGCCTGGGTGATTGAGCAAGACTTGGTCTCAAAAAGAAAAAAAAAGTGGGAGAGAGGGACTCAAGACAATCCAGACTCTAGGGGAGATTATGAGAATCTATCCTGAGGGAAGAAGTTTCTGGAACAATGAACCACACCTGGTGACAGAAGCTGAAGCTGAGGGACAGCAGGGTTTCTAGGTCAGTCACCAACTAATTCTGCTCTTGCTTAGACCTTGACTGTTTGTGCACAGCCTTATAAATGTGAACTATGAAAGGCTCAAATCCTGGGGGCCAAACAGTTCTGCAAGGGGACCCCCTCAAAGTGGGGGGGACATAGAGGAAGGGGTTAGTTTTCAAGTGGCCAAGAGAGGGAAGCACAAGGTGGTGGGGAGCAGCAGGTTGACCTCAGGGTGAATTCTGATGGACAGATGGGGTCCGAGGTTAGGTCAGAGGTCAGGATGAGGCCCAAGTTTGGGGGAGCCCTGAGGCAGACAAATACAACCTAAGAAAGCTTCAGCAAGCTGGGGCAGACTTCCATCCTCCAGAGAAGCCTGAGAAGAGACACTAAAGGAAATGGCAGATGGCGGCTCACAACAGTGTGGGAGTGGCACTGGAATGGCTCCCAGGGGCGCTTGGAGCACATGGGGGCACCTCTTGAGGACTGCCTGAGATACCAGAGGCAGAAGCAAACCAGGAAAAGTGAAGGCTACCCAAGATCTTGAAGTTATATTTGTGGAAAGGAACCTCTGACGGAGCCATGGGTGGGTTTATTAATGTAACTTCATTTGTGGTTAGAGTGAGGTGTCCTTGGTCTTTCAGACTCTGACCACATATAAAATCACATTTATTTTATTTTATTATTTTATTTTATTTTTGTTCTTTTTATTCTTATTTAAAATCATATTTATTTTAATTTGAAAATGATAGTAACTGAGTTCTGACCTTACTTGCGGCAAATCTTATTTTGTTCCTCCTTCTGTTATATCCAAGAATGTCAAGTATGATTACTGAAAACAAAAAGTTAGTGCCCATTAGTCTTGTCTTCCACTAATTCCAGGTAGTTGGAAGTATTGCTTTGTTTGCCAATGAGAGTTTTTTTCTATTGCTAATAAGTGTCCATTGCTGTGGCTGTGGGTGGAAATGTTCCTTCCTCGCCCTGGTGTTAGGTTTAGACAGAGGTGTGACTCTTGCTTATGGTGAATTTTATCTCAGGGTCCTCTCCAACCTGGCCTGAGTCAGGGCTAACTCAACAGGGTTCAGTAACATGGAACTCAGGCTTTGTGTTCTCAATACTTTCCATCCCAGAAGACTCCTTAGAAGCAAATTTCCAACAACCTCAACCTTTACTTACCAAACCTATGGGTAAGGGACAGAGTGATTGCATCCACTTACTACCCAAGCTCAGATTCTAGTTAACAATCTTGTTGTATACTCCAAAGATAAAGTGTTGAGGACTTGCTTCAGACTTGTATGATTAAAAAATACTCTTAAAAGGGTTCTTTGGCCGGGCACAGTGACTCACGCCTGTAATCCCAGCACTTTGGGAGGCAGAGGCAGGCGGATCACCTGAGGTTGGGAGTTCGAGACCAACCTGACCAACATGGAGAAACCCCATCTCTACTAAAAATACAAAATTAGCTGGGTGTGGTGGCACATGCCTGTAATCCCAGCTACTCAGGAGGGTGAGGCAAGAGAATCGCTTGAACCCAGGAGGCAGAGGTTGCAGTGAGCCGAGATCACGCCATTGCACTCCAGCCTGGGCAACAAGAGCAGAACTCTGTATCCAAAAAAAAAAAAAAAGAAAAGATTTTTTTCAAGATTAAAATAAGTTTTCCAAGTGGAGACGTTCTAGCTCCAAAGAAAGAATATAAGTGAATATTTGTCAAAATACACTTCACTGCCTTTTAAAAAGTAAAGCCTCCCTCTGCAGCTATTTCATATCTATAAGACCTCAATAACATTCCTGTGTGCTAACTCATTCATACTGCCACACAGCATTGGTTATAGGAACATGTTAAAATCACACTGGACTTTGGTAGTAATTCCAGATCTTCCCCAGCCTGCTACTTCTGCAAAAAGGTAGATAAGTCCCTCACTGGCCTGAAAGACAGAAGACTCTGGGATGGGCTAGTGGATGTGGACCACTCTTGAGCTGCATGACCACAGAGAAGTTACCTGCCCACTACAGATATTTACAGAATTAGGAGGTTTGGACAATGAGCATCAAAATGTATTCTTTGACACATTTGTCCATCTCTTAAGCATTCTTAATATGTAAATGTAGATAATGCTATCATTAGTCACAGGATTATGTTCTATATTGAAGTAAAATTAATTCTAATGACAGTTATAGTAATAATAAGAATTCTTTTTTGAGTGCTTAGTATTTTAGGTACTGTAATTTGCATGAATTATCTTATTTCATTAAGGTGTGCATTAAGTATACATTACTATATCCATTTTATAGAAGTTGAGTAACTTGTCCCAGTCATTTATCCAGTAGGTAGCAGATCCCAGATTTAAATCTAGGCCTGGGCTCTTACTATGTACATGTAGTGCCTGCAGAAAAACACACAAACCAAAGCTCCAGCATGATTTAGCTATAAAATCATGTTAGGCTTGCATCTACGAGTAAGAAACTGAAATCTAAACCAAGAAATGAGGTCATAAAAGAGGAGACCAGGAATAAATTGTGTAGAAAATAAAAAGAAAAAGATCCATAAGAGAAAACATCTTGTAAATTTGCTTTATAGTGACCCAAATTGACCACCTGCCCTCAGGGGCGAAGCAACAAGATTGATTTGCGTAAATAAATATTGACGTGGCAGGAAGTCAGACACATGAATTATGTGAGTAAGTATATCTATTGTATTTTAAACAAAGCAGCACCAAAAGCAATCTGGGAAGAAAACTGTTGCAGCAGAATGGAGACTCCATTCTGCCGATATACTTGCACTTCTAAAGTGATGTGCAGAATGATGCCTTTGCCCTAAGCCAATGCTCCTTCCAGATTTTTCCATTTCCCTTAGCCTGACACGTTCGTTGGACATCTCACAGACTTTTTTTTGTTCTTTTCCCCCCAGCTTTATTGAGGAATAATTGACAACTAAAAATTGTATATTGTTTTTAAAAAGTGTAAAGATGGTAAATTTTATACATATGTTTTACCTCAATAAAAAATAAAAAATTGGCCGGGTGCAGTGGCTCACACCTGTAATCTCAGCACTTTGGGAAGCAGAGGTGGGTGGATCACAAGGTCAAGAGATCAAGACCATCCTGCCCAACATGGTGAAACCCTGTCTCTACTAAAAATACAAAAAATTAGCTGGGTGTGGTGGGGCATGCCTGTAATCCCAGCTACTCAGGAGGCTGAAGCAGGAGAATGGCTTGAACCCGGGAGGCAGAGGTTGCAGTGAGCTGAGATTGCACCACTGCACACCAGCCTGGTGACAGAGCGAGACTCCATTTCAAAATAAAATAATTGCACATTATTAACTATAGTCACCATGCTGTATATTAGATGCCTAGAATTTCTCTCTCTCTTTTTTTTGGAAACAGGGTCTTATTCTGTTGTCCAGGCTGGAGTGCGGTGGCATGACCATGGCTCACTGCAGCCTTGACCTCCCAGGCTCAGGTGATCCTCGTGCTTCAGGTTTCTGGGTACCTGGGACCACAGGCATGTGCCACCATGCCTTCTTTGCTTCTTTTTCAAATGAAGGTAATTGTTGACAGCCTTCTGCAATGAAAAGGAGCCATGATATAGCTAATATATTAATATATAGCTTTGAGATGCATTATGTGACTTTTGAAAATCATCCTTTTATATCATCCTTATTATGTTTGTCTAAGACCATAATGGGTTTGTGTTCCCTGAGTAAAAACTTGAACACTGTGGAAAGATAATCAGGAGTGTGGTGAATGACTCTGATTTTTAAGTTAATATAGATGATCTTCAGAGTAAATAATCCACACCTGCAAAATTAATCATTTAAACCCTTTCTCTATATACTGGATTAGATGGTTGAGCCATAATGTTATTCTGCACAGGAATAATACTTCTTGTGGAGCTATTTGTCATTTGTCTGTGTATGGTGGTTAAAACATTTTCTTTTCTTTTGGAAATAAATAAAAGGTAGTTCAGAATGCAGAGAATTATAATACAGCCAAATATAGAGATGGAACAGAATCCAGTGGAGAGGCTGGTGTTTTATAAAGAGCTTTTAAATTTTGCTTTGTACTTCATTATTCTATACTGGGGGAAAATGTGTTTACAGTCATGGACCAACTAAATTGCTCCAATTACCCCAAGGCTGCAAATATCATCTTCCCCATGCAGAATCAAAACTTTCATTTATCATTATTTGCTTATTTCCTTATCCCTTTATTTATTTATTTGGGATTCACCAAGGTCCAGAAGATTTGCATGATGATCTTACAGGGGGTTCTGTAAATTCTCTCTTTTCTGCTACTTTGTGCTTCAGGGGCCATTTGCAGGTGACTGTGCCAGGTTCCTTGATTGCCAGCCATCTGGTGTAGGTTTCGCCTCTGAGTCTTAGGGCCCTAGAGCCTCAGCAGTGGATTTACCACCAATTCTGATATAAAACAACGATTTGGCCAACTTTGATGGCCTTTAAACTGTCAACTACCCTCTGGTTTGCCTGGAATTCCATAGATTCATCTGTGGTTTGATTTCTGGAAAATAAATGTCAAGGTATTTAAACATACACTTTTGGTCACATCCAAATTAGTGTGTATTTCATTTGCATTTAAAGAGCTTAATCATGGAGCAATTGTGAACAAATTCTATATGGCTATCCAGAATGAATCAAAACAACCTTACTGAGTCATTTGAGTAATGAGTTGGATATGGTTCTAAGAGCAGTCAGTCCATGAATTGTAATTAAAAGAATTTAATGTTCACAAGGATGGTGTGTTGTATAGTTTCTGAAGGATTGTTATCACATTTATGCCTGATAAATATATTCTTCATGAAAATGCTAAGGCAATATTAATGTACTGAACTAGATGGGGTTATAAGGAATAATTAATTGAAATGATTTCATAGGCTTCTGCAAACCGAGTAGGTTGTGTAAACAATCTTTCAAATTAGAATGGGCCCATAGGCCTAGAGCTGAAGAAGTATACGAATATACCTACAATTTCTGACAATAAGAAAGGAAAAAATGTTATTCTTTCTATACTTTTTTAAAGTTCCTGGAATTTCCTACCTGATATGGTTTGGCTGTGTCCCTATCCTTCACCTTGAATTGTAATTCCCTATAATCCCCAAGTGTTAAGGGTGGGACCAGGTGGAGGTAATTGAATCATGGGGGTGGTTTCCCCTATGCTGTTGTCGTGATAATGAGTGAGTCTCACTAGACCTAATGGTTTTATAAGCGTCTGGCATTTCCCCTGCTGGCACTCACTCTGTCCTGAAGGGCCTGCTTCTCCTTTGCCTTCCATCAGGATTGTAAGTTTTCTGAGGCCTCCCCAGTCCTGCAGAACTGTGAGTCAATTAAACCTCTTTCCTTTAAGTTACCCAGTCTCAGGTACTTCTTCATAGTGCTGTGAGAATGGACATACACTACTTTTGGCTACATCCTTAACCTAACATAGCTGGAAAAACATTGTAGAAATCTTGTGAATTGGTTAAATATTTGATAAACTCATTGAAAATGTGGCCAAATGTAGAGATAGAAAATTAATCCATAGTTTAAAAGTATAGACTATGTATATACTAGACTTGCTATATACTAGACTTGTATATAGCATAAATAAGTCTAGATATCTCATGTAAGACATGATGACTGTGGTTAACAAAACTGTACGGGACTCAGAATTTTTGTTAAATAAGATTTTAGCTGTTCTTGTCATAAAAAAGTAACTTGTGAGATGACAGATATGTGAATTTGCTTCACTATAGTAACGATTTTACTATCTATATGTACCCCACAACATCATGTTGTAAACCTCAAATATGCACAATAAAATTTATTTAAAAAATAAAAAAACCTCATAGGTTGGAAATAAATATGTATATCAAGTTGATATAAATTATTGCTAATGATTTTAAAATCATTTATACCCCTTGCTCCAGGGGACATAAATAGGAATATTTTTCTCTGTATCAAACACACTGATAGGGAGACCTAACATTTTAAAATGCTATTCAAGCATTTATCTAGAAAGATAAGTAGGGAATTTCCGTCTCCCTAAATCTCATCTCCTCTACCAAAAGGCACTATGTATGAAAATATGAGTGTATAATATATAAGCTCTTAGAACATGAACACAATGGATAAAAGACTATTAGAAATTAAAGGGATCTTAAAAACCATTTAGCTGAAACCCTTTATTTTATAGATGAGGAAACTAAGGACTAAATAGCTGAAGGGATCTCCCTAAGATTTTAACAGAAACAGAATCAAAATGGAGCTCTGGTTTTCCATATCCTAGGCCGTTGCTTTTTCCACATGCCAGGTGAAAGTGGAAAATTAAAATTTAAAACAATTTTATGTTTACTGAGGCCCAACTCAGCAAGGAAGCCAATAAGAGGTCACCAAAAACTTGAAATGTCACTTTTAAACTTGGTGTGTAATTTCTTTTTTTGGTTCTTTCTCTTTTTTTTGTAGTATATATGACATAAATGACAGTATCTCTTTGGGGCTAAATTAATTGTTTGCCATTTTACTTTCAGTGAGATTAGAAAATATCTTTAGTATTGATACAAACTATCTTTTTATTTAAAATTATCTGTAATTTCTATATCATTCAAAATATTGTATAGGCTGTATAATTCAGACCCATAGCATGAATTCAATGATCCTCTTCCATTAGAAGCACTCAATCTACATATAAGAACGTTAAAGATATTAGATTGCTAAATGTACTGCTATGATCTGAATGTTTTTCTCCCCCCACTAAATTCATATGTAGAAATCTAATCGACAACGTGATGGGACTTTGTGGTGGTGATTAATCCCCTCATATAAAAGACCTCTGAGTGCTGCTTTGTCTCCTTCTGCCACGTGAGGATACGGTGAGAAGAGGCTTTTTATGAATGAGGAAGCAGGACCTCACCAGACAGTGTGTCTACCAGTCCCTTGGTCCTGGAGTTCCCAGCTTCCAAAACTGTGAGAAATAAATTTCAGTTGTTCATAAGCTATGCATTTTTATGGTATTTTGTTATAACAGCCAGAGCAGATGAAGACAGACACATACAATATCCTGAGATCATTCTTCCAGTCTTCAACAGATTCTTCCCCTTCTCTTGTCTACAACACTCAATCTGTCACCAAATCCTGCTATTTTTTACCTATTAAGTATCTGCCAACAAGTGCCCCCTTCCTTACTCTTTCTGGGCAGCTGTGCTAGTCCAGGCTGTATCACCTCTGGGTAGATGCTTGCTGCAGCCTCTTAATTGACCACCAGTTTCTGTCCTCTTTGGTCCGTCTCATACAGTTCAGGTTTCTTTACATCACCAAGTTATTTTTCTAAATTTCCAAACACTCCATAGCTTAAAAACTGTCATTGTTTCCCGTCATTGAGGTGCTAAAGCCCTAGTTCCATTGCAGCCACATATAATGTTTTTTTCTTCTTTAAACCCATGTTTCTATCTTTTCTGCCAGCCTGATCCCTGATCCTTAACATCCCAGCCACGCCGTACATCTCTACTCACGTGATCTTTTGGACTTCCTCTTCTGATTCCTACTTTTCCTCCATCCCAGCTAGTCTGGCAAATACCTTCATCTTCAAGATGCACTTCATTCTCTATGCTCGCTTGATAGCATTGCATTCTCATTTGTTACATTTTGCTCTCAGTACATGTAAGTTTAGAGATGTATTGTTTTTGTGTTTGCTTTTTTTGGCTGTGTGTTCCCATTACTTTTTGCTTTGTGGAACCCAAATATAGTTGATCCTCATTATTCAGATTCCACATTTGAAAATGTGTCCTGCATACTAAGATTTATTTGAAACCCCAAAATCAGTACTCATGCACTTTCATAGTTATTTGTGGAATGGCAAACAATTTGAGTTGTGGGATATGCATGTTCTCAGCTGGGATCACACAAAGCAACAGACACTTTGCCTTCTTGCTTCAGCTCTCATACTATAGATGTCCTTTTTGTGCTCTGTATTAGCCTGTTTTCACACTGCCGATAGACATACCTGAGACTGGGGGAAAAGAAAAAGAGGTTTAATGGACTTACAGTTCCACATGGCTGGGGAGGCCTCACAATCATGGTGGAAGGCAAGGAGGAGCAAGTCACGTATTACATGGATGGCGGCAGGCAAAGAGAGGAGCACTTGTGCAGGGAAACTCCCGTTTTTAAAACCATCAGATCTTGTGAAACCCACACACTATCACAAGAACAGCATGGGAAAGTCCTGCACCCACGATTCAATCACCTCCCACCAGGTTCCTTCCATGACACGTGGGAATTGTGGGAGTTATTCTCTGAGATTGTTTAATCATTTTTAAAATGGTTGTGAATAGCATCTACCCTGTCTATGTCACTGGCTTGCCGAGAGGAATGAAGAAAGACTGACATGACAGATGTGAATCATGTCTGTAACTGGCAAGATGTTGAACAAATGTTTAGATACATTATTACAATGCATTTGCAGTATTCCTTGAGTGAATAAGGCCCACTCTCTGCTGTAGCAGCTGCTTTTCCAACTCTGTCCATTCCCTTCCCTTCTCCATGCCCTTTCTGACATTTTTATTAACACTTCTACCTAGAAGAAAGACTATTAAGCCTTTTGTATGTGGTCTTTAACAGTTTGCTTCAGCACATACCTGTAGGCTGACTGCCTTCCAAATTTCCACTGGGCTCTACTATCATTTTATCCTTTGACCTGGCCACATTAAATAAGACAAGACTAATTGATTAATTAATTTATTCATTCAATAATTATTGAGCATCTCTTCTGTACCAGTAATTATGGTCAGAGATGGAAATGCAATGATGAGTAGGGAGAGGATGAGGCCCCTGTCCTAACAGAGCTTCCAGGCAACTGGGGTGGGGTAATTAGCCTCAATAATAAAACAAACAGCACATGAAAAAGAGAACACGACCCCATGAGCACTTGGAACAAAGACAGCTGACCCAGAGCGTTGGTTTGAAGGAAGTGATGACAGCTTGAAAAAGTGACACATGATCTGATGTCCAAAGAATTAGTTGGGGCTAAGTTGGTGAATGAAGTTGAAATAGGGTTAGGAGAGAGCTTTGAATATACCAAATGGGTGCGCAGTCTGTGCAAAGCCCCTGTGGCAAGCTGGAGAGTGGCACATTTAAAGAAGTGAAAATAATTGGCATGGCTGAAGAGCAGTAAGCATTGGGAGACTGATAGGAGAAAGGCTGGAAGTATAGGAGGAAGCAGACCCCTCAGGGCCTCAAAGGCCATGTTGGTGGTTTGATCAATATCCTGGGAGCTGTGGCAGACTATTCAGGGGTTTTAAACATAGGGTTTACATTAGCATATTGTCATTCTGAAAGGATCATGGGGTGATATGGTTTGGCTCTGTCCCCACCCAGATCTCATCTTGAATTGTAGCTCCCATAATTCCTACCTGCTATGGGAGGGACCTGGTGGGAGATGATTGAATTGTGGGGACAGTTTCTCCCATACCGTTTCCATGATAGTAACTACATCTCATGAGATCTGATAGTTTTAAAAGGGGAAGCCCCTTTCACTTGGCTCTCATTCTCTCTTGCCTGCTGCCATGTAAGACGTGCCTTTCACCTTCCACCATGATTGTGAGGCCTCCCCAGCCATGTGGAAGTGTGAGTCCATTAAACCTCTTTTTCTTCATAAATGATCCAGTCTCAGGCATGTCTTTATCAGCAGCATGAAAAAAGACTAATACACTGGGCTTGCTGTGTGAAGAATGGATTGTAGAGAGGTGGGAGCAGCCCGGAGGAGACCTAGGGAGACCTTAGGTAGCAAGCTGTTATAATCATCCAGGAAACTATTAAATGTGTGACAATTTGATGTCCAATTTATAATAACTTAAAAAGTGAATGGTTTAAATAAAGTTTCTTCTCTTTCATTTTATAACCTGAATCCTTTCTTAGTAATTATTATCTTCATACTGATGCTATAAATTTTGAAATAATGCCTATAGACAGGCATATATTTTTGGCAGTACTTGGAGAACATAAAAAGTTTACTTGCTTGCCGATAAAAATCTTGATGATTTTACTTTTTAAAGAAGAGAAAGGTAAGCACTTAAGAATTTAAACTTTGCGGCATTGCTTTTTGACTCCATTTAGTTGTGATTGTAAGTAGGCAGAGTTTTTGTTTTGGAAAAAGAACTCAGCCGGCAGAGGCTGTGGCAAGGGAAGGGAGATGGGCTTGTTTAAAGACAGCAAGAATAGTCTCTTGTCATTCCTTATAAAATATTAGCTGTGAACTTCCAAGTTAGAAGTAAAGCTGTAGGGGTGGGGTGAGGAAACTGAGCCATCCAGAATTTAACTACCCCAGTATTTATTCTTAGTGGATAAGGCCACTGGGTTGGCATCCAGATGCTAGTGATCGTTTTTAGCTCATGATGCCAGAAAATGGTTCAATAATGAAAGTAATTTTGGCAAAGAGTGATCTTAGTCACGTGTCTTATGAAGTTTTTGATAGGGTACAATTTTAAATGACCAGGCAAATATATAGAAACCAAAATATGCTTTTTTCAGTATTCTCCATCTCTCTTGGCAGATGGTAGCCTTTGTGTTCTCTTAGCTTTCTCTCCTTAGTGTCTGTGCTGAGGAAGCAGGGTAAACCAGATGTCTGGTTGTAGCTGAGGCCCGTTTACATGTTGAACTTCTCCACAGCTATGCCTGTGGCCCTTACTGCCTACTGAGAGGAGTGCTTTAGTCAGAGACACACTCACCCAGCTTCCCCCATTTTTGTATCTTTTAGAATGGAATGGCCACAGCTGGTAATCAAGTGTTTAGCAGTGTTTAAGGCACTAGCACGTCTTGAGATAAGGGATAAAGTGTCACTTTTTAGACTTCAGCAAGGCATGAAGTTTGTCCTCCCATCCTCACTCCTGTCCTGCATTCATTTTGACTCTTTGGACAGGGCAGAGGCTCTTCAATCTTTTGTAGTCTCAGTTTTAAGTCAGCTTGGTTTCATTTTTTGTAAAGCAATACCTAGCATTCGATAAATTAACTTTAGAGGTGTTATGGACCGTATCTGGTAGAAATATCATTTGTATAAAACTGTATAATCCTCATTGTGCAGAACTTCAAGAAAGGCATGAGTATAGCATATTAACAATAATCTTTGCAATAAAGAGCTTAGAATGTGATCCTATTGTTGGAATTCGTACCCAGTTCTTATGGTACATTGTCTGGTATGATGATACAGAACGGTGTAAGAATACTGCAGATTCAATCTCATTTTCGTACAGAGTGAGGCTTGGATTTTTTAAAGAAAGAAATGTCCCTCAAAGGTGACAGAATTGTAGTAGCAAATACTTAGAATCATTTAGTTTTGTGTACTGTGTGAAACTAATGGATATTTTTATTATTTTATTTTATTAACTGTAGGAAAAACATTAAGTGGTGAGGGTGGCTAAAATGTTGAAATAATTGCCACCTCTGCCTGTTTACACTGTGAATATCTTTCTATTAAGGCTTCATTTGTTCATCTGTTGCTTTGTGGTCTTCTCAAAAGAAAAGCTTCTGGCTAATGCACTTATATTATTTGGAAGATTTCTATTTGCTCCAGAGGGTATTGGAGAGACTCTATTCCTTTTTCCAGCACTGAGCTGAAAGATAAATTATCTTTTGTAATGATAATAATATTGTAAAAATTTTTATAGTACTACTAGAGAATGACAAAGAGGGTATTTATTAGCATTACAGCATCCCTGTGAAGTTTCCAGCAGCTGAGATTGTTCCTATTTTGTAATAAAACAAACTAGTTAAGTCACATTTATCTTTAATAGCAGACTAAACTCTAGTCTTAATTCTAAGTAGGTGCTCCCGCACTAAGTCTGCTGTTATAATAAGAATATGCCCTTCTTTTCTTCCCCCACCTCTGCTGCCTTCTCAACTCTCTTCCCTGCCACAACCCTGCTCTCTCTCTCATCCCATCCATCCGTTTTTTTCCTCCCAGTATGTGAAACGCCTACCAGCACATTCAGAGATGGCTTTGAATGCTGACTTAGATAATGGCGGACTTAGTAATTCTCGTTTCATGTGCTCCTCCCCAGTGTCCCTGTTCTCATTGCTGTCCTATCATTGCACTTAGGAAAACTATTTTGGGGGGTCTGTGTGGACCCCTCTCCGCTCCCAGTTTCAGTAGGGTTGAATCCTTGAGGACAGAATTTAAAAAATATTTATGATACTTATTTACTTTTATGTACTTGGTTATATGCACACTGCCTTGGGCATAGAAGGCACTAGGTGGATTTTTAGTAAAGGAGTGGTATAGGGGATACAAGGAGGGAGAGAAGGAGGAAAGGAAGGAAGAAGGCAGAAAAGAAGAAAAATAGGGAAGAGGTAAGAAAGAGGTGGAAGAATGAAATAATCTTCCACTTATTAGCTATGAGGAAGTTTGCCTGAGCCTCTGTTTCCTTATCTGTAAAATGGGAAAAATGATACCTACCTCCATGTTTAATCAGGAATTGCTGGCTGGGCACAGTGGCTCATGCCTATAAACCTGGCACTTTGGGAGGCAGAGGTGGGCGGATCACTTGAGGTGAGGAGTTCAAGACGAGCCTGGCCAACATGGAGAAACCCTGTCTCTACTAAAAATTCGAAAATTAGCCGGGTGTAGTAGTGGACACCTGTAATCCCAACTACCCTGGAGGCTGAGGCAGGAGAATCGCTTGAGCCCAGGAGGCAGAGATTACAGTGACCCGAGATCACACCACTACACTCTAGCCTGGGTGCCAGGGGGAGACTCTGTTTTGTTTGTTTGTTTGTTTGTTTGTTTTTTAAAAGGAATTACCTCAGATAACATCTATAGGATATCTAGTATAATTAATTCATTTCTTTCCAATTCTTCCCTTTGAAAAATTCTATCTTTCTAGAAGTCTTCCAAATTAATCCTGCCCAGCCCAGTATGGAAATTCAAGGCCTTGGCATATAGATATATAGGTTCTACTGCATTAAGCTGAATTTTAATGTTTCCTTGATGTCTTCCTTTTTGATCTTTTCACTTGGGCTATGTGGTATGCAGAGTCACCTTTTCCCATCTCCTGATCAGTGACATACCACTGATAGCTTGAAATTGGCCATGGAAATTGACAAACATCCCCATCCCCATCAGTTGCTAAACACTTACCAGCACAGCACTGCTTGTGTCCCTCCTGCCCTGCACTACAGGTGGCCCTTGGGCAAGGGCAATGGGTGTCCTCTTAGCAAATATCCCCTTAGGACAATGCAGCAGTTACAAATGGTGACAACGTTGATTTGCCTAAAAACAAAAATGAAAAACAAGTGCATGGCAAAGGTAAAGCCAAGGAATTAAAGTAGATAAATAGGATCACCCTTAGTCTTAGAAATAACTGCCTTTTGGCTGGGTGTGGTGGCACACGCCTGTAATCCTTGCACTTTGGGAGGCCGAGGTGGGCAGAGTCACTTGAGGTCAGGAGTTCGAGATCAGCCTGACTAACATGGTAAAACCCTGTCTCTACTAAAAATACAAAAATTAGCTGGGCGTGATAGTGGGCGCCTGTAATCCCAGCTACTAGGGAGCCTGAGGCAGGAGAATCGCTTGAACCCAGGGGCAGAGGTTGCAGTGAGCGGAGATCGCCCCACTGCACTCCAGCCTGGGCAACAAAGCAAGACTCTGTCTCAAAGAAAGCAAAACAAAACAAAAACAAAAACTGCATTTTTAGATTAAATAATTTACAATATAGGTATATACTTTTAAAGCGTGTTGTAGACTTATTAAATATGACTTAGCATTTATAATGTCCTGTAATGTTATTACTATATTATTAAATATTTCTGAAGATATGTTTTTCCCTTTGATCCACTCATTCTTTGTGTAATCCATTTTTGTCTATCTTAATACTTTACATTTTCACAAAGGTTAACTCAAACATCTCTTCAAGCATATAAATGCCCACTTCTTTGACTCATCAATATAAATTGTTAAAAAAACTCTTACATTTCAATTTATTTATGGACAAGAACTTTATTGCTTCTCCTACAGAAAGATCAATGGAATATTTATTTTTTTTCTGGCTTCCAGGGCCTTTTCACCAGAGAAGGTAGTAGGCTGATTTACTGAAGAATCCTGAAAATTTCTTGTCAGAAAAAAACACAAACAAACAAAACATAGAGAGACATTAAGTTCACTGCCCTTCCTGTACTTTCATATGTATAGTTCTTTAGAGTTTACACAGAACTTACAACAGAACAGCAACGATATGGCTTAGTAAGCACTTACAGTGTGTGAAGAGCTTTACACATCTCATTCTCATTTCATTTTCACAACAACCTTATCTAGACCAGGTACCACTATCTTCTCCATTTTACAGATGAGGAAACTGAGGCTTAAGACTATAATGATTTGCTGAGTAATCTAGTTTCTAAGCTTCCAAACGTAGTAGACATTTCCTTTGCTGCTGTACAGGAAAATGAGGTTAAGATTCTTATCAAGTTCTGCTTCTTTGCAGTTGTGTGGCCTTGTGCAAGCCACTTAACCTATCTTTGCATCATGTTTTGTACTCTAAGATGGGGATAATAACCCTATCTTATAGGGTCATTGTGACTGTTAAATATAATAATGTGTGCAAAGCCCACTGCGTAGGAAGTGCTGAACACATGCTGCTTTCTACTATGTTTCTTGTCATGGCAACTATTATAAGAAAGTTTCCAATAGCATCCTGCCTTGTCTCATTTTAGTTCTTAATTATCTATTGCATTTTATTTATTTTTATTTTTTTGAGACAGAATATTTCTCTGTTACCCAGGCTAGAGTACAGTGGCATGATCTCAGTTCACTGCAACCTCTGCCTCCTGGGTTCAAGTGATTCTCCTGCCTCAGCCTCCCAAGTAGCTGGGATTACAGAGACCCGCCACCATGCTCAGCTAATTTTTGTGTTTTTAGTAGAGATGGGGTTTTGCCATGTTGGCTGGTCTTGAACTCCTGACCTCAAGTGACTCCACCCACCTTGGCCTCCCAAAGTGCTGGGATTACAGGAGTGAGCCACCAAGCCCAGCCCCATCTGTTGCATTTTAAAAAATTGACTGAAAGAAGTTAGGTTGCTATCGTAACACAATTGTTTTACCTTTCATATTGTGGGAACAGACCCTAAGGTGACCCCAGTGAGTCATGCCCTGGTGTGATCCACTACCCTCGAGCAAGAGGCAGAGCTTGTGACTTGTTTCCAGCTGATATAAAACGGGAAAGGACAGAAGCGCTGTCCCTCCTGTGGATATGATATACTGTATAAGACTTTGTCTTAGCAGTTGCTGGCCCTGGAGGCTGCCTCTAGGACAGTTCTAGGAGCTGAGGGTGGCCCCTACATGACATCCAGCAACTAGACAGAGACCTCAGGAACTGCATGTTGCCAACAACCACATGAGTTTGGTTGAGGTCCCCCAGTTCAGAACAGAATGCACCTTGGTTGACAACTTTTGAGACCCTGAGCACAGGACCCAGCTATGCTGGGCCCAGACTCCTGACTCATAGAAACTGCCAGATAATACATGTGTGTTGTTACAAGCCACTGAATTTGTGGTAATTAGCTATGCAGCAATAGATAACTAATATACACATCAAGTCAAGTTTCTGAATACTTCTCTGATTTTGACCAACCTTTGCCAATTAGTATTACACATTAGGCTATGTTATTAATTTTTAATTAGAGCAAAATAAAATCTAGTTTTTAATTTTTTAAAAAGTGCTATTCATAGTTTTTAATCATGGCATGATGAAATTACAGAGATAAAACAGACCCTTTTAGACTCAAAGAGACCTTAGAATTAGCCTAACCTTTTTATTTTATAGATGAGAAAATTTAATCACATATGACGTGTCTGTAACAGGGTTTAGATTAATAGCAAGATTACTTACTGTTCACACCTCTTTATACAACATTGCATAGCCTCTATGCATTTTGGAATCTTTACTGAGATTTTTATATCATCATCCTGAAAGATGGCCTTAATTTATATAAATATTCTTTATATTGTTTATTTCTAGAAGTGAAGAAATGCGCAGAGTTACTTTGTACAAATATAAATAAAATATTTGAATGTTTGGCCTGTGCCAGAGGGCTGCCCATCATAGAATATCACTGACCATTGCCAGATCTGAGGTGGGGCTGGAGATGTCCAAGGGTCTCCCATGTACACTGGCTGGTGCCATTGGTCATGCTGTCTCTCTTCTTACGGGCTTTCAACAGATGAGTTCTGACTTACAACTGAAAGACATAAGTTTAATAAGTTTATTTGTGTATTTACTGTAGGATGCAATATTAGTTGTCACCAACTCATAATGCCTACATTATAAGTAAAAACTATACTCCTTGCTATTGAAGTCTTTTCCTCAGTGATCTGGTCTAATTTACTACGTCAGTCCTGGGACCCTCTGCTCCAGAACCCAAAGTTTTTTTTTCAGGGGAGATTGGTCTTATCATTTTCACTTCTAGGTTTTGTTCACACAACTCACTAAAAGTTTGAGTCCTGTTTTTCATTCAGAGAGGGAAGCTCAGGTCTTTCACCTTTTCAGTGGGAGCCACCTCTGCTTATCTCAGTATACTGGAAATGCTCCCTTCAATTCAGTAGTGCTGAAATCACACACACACACACACACACACACACACAGACACATATATGCAGACACACATATACACACAGACACAGACTCACATGCAGACACACACAGATACACACACATACACACAGACATACACAGACACACATATAGACACACACAGACACACAGATACACACACACACACACACACACACACACACATACAAATTCTTGACTCCTGAATAGGCTGGGAATTCCTTCAGAGTAGGGAAGAGTGTCACATACCAATTTTTGTACCCCATAATATCTAGTAAAGTGTCCTGATAGGTATTAATTTGAGGTTTGTTAACTGATTAATGAATTAATTGGTTAGTGTGGATAAGGAAGTGGTAATGGATATAATTAGAGAGGTGATAACAGGAACTTATCACTGTTGATGGGCACTGGGGAGTTGGTAATGGCTGTAATTAGAGACCTTTGAACAGGAGCATATCAGAAGAGGGATATTGATGGGAAGATGAAGCCACAGGAGAGGAGTGACAAGAGAGAAGGTATTGGGACTGAAGGGCTGAAGGAATATCCCACCAGTGGCGCAGGGCTTTGTGGTTTGGGAATTTGTCTCCGACAAACCTAAGAGTAGTAAAATACATGGTGGTTTGCACAAAATTTGTTTCTTTCCTCACGTCTTAGTCGCTTTAACATCCTTCAGTTATACTCCATCAAGATTTCCGGGCGTTTTCTTTTCCTCCCCTGAAGAGTATTCTACCTCCTGGTTTCCAGACTCAGAGTGTTAATTTTTAATATAAGGGAGATAGAAATGGACAGTATAAACAGCTACAATCTAAAAATCTTCATTTTAAGCATACTTATCAGGAATGAAAACAGGAAAATTTGAATATGAAACTATCACTAATTTAAAATACGTTGATTATTCAATGTTTATTTTCAGCTGCATAGGGAAGACATCAAAGTAATTAAAATGATGTGGAGACTGGGAGGGTGCAGAAGGAGGCTGGACCTTCCTTCTATTGGGAGTCTTAACAGAAGAGTTTCCTTGCCTTTTGTACCTTACTGCTTTTCCCCCCTAATTGAAAAGACCAATCTTTGTTACTATTGAACATCATTCTATTTTTAACTCTGACTCATAGGGGACATTTGAAACTGTGTCCAGCCCTCTACACCCTTCAAGTTGATGTCAATACAAACTTAATACACATTATTTGTTTTCTCATCATCCAAGACACCATTCAAAATGTCAGCTGTGTCAGGTCCTGAAATGGACCTTAGCAGACAGATAACTGTCTCAGAGCTATGCCCATCTGTCTTGCCTCTATAGGCAGACAGCATCTGAATGTGCCCCAATCTTGGTAGCACTGTCCTTTCTCAGTTTCTTATAGTTTTATTTGTTACAATTGTCACAAGTATAATATTCATGAATCAAAAATACTTTATAAGGACTGTTATTTATTTATTTTGAGACCAAATCTTGCTCTGTCGCCCAGGCTGGAGTATGGTGGTGCGATCTCGGCTCACTGCAACCTCCACCTCCCGGGCTCAAGCCATTCTCCTGCCTCAGCCTCCCAAGTAGCTGGGATTACAAGCATGCCCCACCAAACCCAGCTAATTTTTATATCTTTCGTAGAGGCAGGGTTTCACCATGCTGCCAGGCTGGTCTCGAACTCCTGATGTCAAGTGACCAGCCTGCCCCGGCCTCCCAAAGTGCTGGGATTACAGGTGTGAGTCACCGCACCCAGCAGGATTGTTATTTATCATTTAACCTCATGCAATGTTAATTTGTAGCTTGTGAACTAAATAGCTCATCAATCCAAATTATGAACTACTTAGGACTCTGTCTTTTGTTGTTGTTTGTTTTTGAGATGATGTCTCACTACATTGCCCAGGATGGTTTTGAACTCCTGTGCTCAAGAAATTCTCCCATCTCAGCATCCCAAGTAGCTGAGATTACACACAGCTCAGTCTCAAGTAGCCGAGGTTACAGGCATGCACTACTGCACCCAGTTCTATTTAGGCCTCTTTAAGGTTGATGTAAGATATGTTGAACTTATTAACTATCTATATAAGACATGGATGGATGTATAAACTATGAGACCTTAAGTCAAGTTATTTAGCTCCTCAGATTCTCATCTATAAAGTGGAGATAACAATAGCACTTACCTCATAAAATTGTAATGAGGATTAAGTTGGATAATATGTGAGCTTAGAACAGTCATTTATATAATGAATACTATATAAGTTTTAACTATTATTATTAAGTGCTTTAGAATGGTTAATAATATGGCTGATCAGTTTTAGGTCTGTATTTAGTTGTGGCATAATTTAATTTTAAGTGTGCAGCTTTATGACTTTTGAAAACTGTATACATCTATGTACTCCACACCTCTATCAAGAAATAGAACATTTGCATTGCCTCAATAAGTTCCTCGTGCCTCTTTGCAGTCAATACACTGTCCCCAGAGAAAACCATTTTTCTTATTTATATCACCAAAGATTTCTTCTCCCTGCTGTAGTAGAGCTTCAGATGAATGGAATCATAAAGTGCATGTTCTTTTGTGTCGTGCTTTTATTTGGAAATATATTTTCGACATTCACTCATGTGGTTGTGTCAGTAGTTTAATCCTTTTCATTGCTGAGTGGTGTTCCATTATATGACTATACAATTTGTTTATCCATTCTCCTGTTGATGAACATGTAGATTGTTTGCAGTTGGGGCTTTTATGAAGAAAATTGCAATACATATTTTTATATACACCATTTTGAGGATATATGTTTCCTTTCGCTTGGGTAACACCTAGGAGTAGAATCACTGGCGTGTAGGATAGCTTTGAAAGAAACAGTATAACAGTTTTCAAAATGGTTTTAACATTTTATATTCTCACCAGTAATGTATGAGATTCCCAGTTGTTTCATGTTCCCCCTGATCCCCGTCTTTGTAACTTTTGCTGTTCTAGTGGACATGAAGAGGATCTCATCATAGCTTTCATTTCCATTTCCCTGTTAACTAAAGATGTACTTCTTTTTATGTGCTTATTGGCCCTGCAAACATCTTTGTTTGTGAAGTGTCGGTTCATCTTTTGCTAATTTTTAATTGATTCATTTTTATTATTGATTATTTTTATGTGACTTGAGTACTTACATAACAATGAAGTTATTTATGTATGTACAGCCCATTTATGACATATGATTCCATTTGTCACTGGAAGGAAGTCACTGCCAAAATGGTTAACCTATCCTCAAATAGACTCAGTAAAGTGCCAGTACCTTGGTTTCAGAGTTTTACACCACAATCAGAGCCAGAGCAGGTGTTGCTGCCATCTGAGAGTGATCATCATTTGCAGATGCTGCATATGGTATCTCCAGTAACTCAGATCCCACATTATGTAGTTCTGAACATTTTTACACTTTTGTGACTTAATCATTTCCTTCCTATACTTGTTTTAATTTGTCTCTTCAAGAAGAAAAAAAAATCCCCGTGAGAATAATTAGCTTTTATGAATTGGTTATTTGAAGCAACTATTTGTTTCCTTAGGTGGAGGAGAGCAACTGTATGTTTTCGGGGGACAGGTTGGGGGAAGGCTCCATCTTCTATGTACAACAATATAGCTGTGAAACTTCAATGCTTTCATTAGCGTGTATCAGGGTCATTACAGTAGTGACAGCTAAGAAATGTTAATACATACTTGGAAAATGTGTTTGTTAATGGTTCTTAGGCAAAGACTGTGACAGAGCTGTCCCTAATTCCATAAACATAAGGCATATTAATCCCTTTAGTTGACAGGTGCTTAAATGGGCAGATTGGATGAGTAATTGGGTTGTTCTCCTAATCCTTAGCTTTGAATATAAATGGGAAGTGTCTCCATATTTTTATTTGTCTTTAGTAATGTCTTCTAATTGATTTATTTTAAAATGAACTGTTTCTGTAGAATAGTGATTTCTTTTAGCATCTGTTGTTCATGTAAGAGGAGTTGCAATTATAAAACATTTATAAAAGTCCATACGTTTTAACACTCAACCATTTTTCCAAATCCCATGTAGAAGACTGGGGAAGTTATCCCCCAGTTAATTCATTTTAAATCACATTTTATTTTTGGAGAAAAAAGCCCACTATTCCCTAGGAATAAGATGGATTTCTTTGGAGGATGTTCAGTGCCTTATATGCCCGTAGGACACAATTTAGTGCAATACTGTATGACCCAAAATTGTTAAGGTAGTTGCCTAAAGAGCCTAATGTATTCTCAAGAGGCAGATCCTGTCCTGGAAAGACCTGGCTGAATATTCCTCTCTACCTGATGACAGTGAGCAAAATTACTTAACATTTTAAAGAGTGGGCTGACATATTTCTGAACCTTTTGTTGCAGACTCTCACCTGTCATTGTGATGAAGGATTAGGGAAAAATGTTAGAGTGAGAGTCATGGCAGGAGAGGAATAGAAGACATTTTGTAGAGCGATATAGGAAGGAAAGTTTGGAAGGAAAAGTCTGGGAGTTGTAGGGCACCAAATAGGGCCAATAAGCCAAGAAGTTGGCAAAAGGCCAATACCTTAAAAGCAGCAAAAACTTCACACTAATCCACAGTAAATCAGAGGACAGTGGTGAGCTGGGGGAAATTAGATCAGATAATAGAATTCTGTGCTAGAAATCCAAAGAAACGCAAGGGCAGGTGATATGGTTTGGCTGTGTCCCCACCCAAATCTCATCTTGAATTGTAACTCCCACAATAGCCACATATAATGGGAGGAACCCAGTGGGAGGTGATTGAATTATGGGGGCGGATCTTTCCTGCGTTGTGCTGGTGATAGTGAATGAGTCTCACGAGATCTGATGGTTTTAAAAACGGGAGTTTCTCTGCACAAGTTCTCCCTTTGCCTGCCACCATCCGCATTAAGATGTGACTTTTTCCTCCTTGCCTCCCACCATGATTGTGAGGCCTTCCCAGCCAAGTGGAGCTGTGAGTCCAATTAAACCTCTTTCTTTTGTAAATTGCCCAGTCTCAGGTATGTGTTTATCAGCAGCATGAAAACGAACTAATACAGCAGGGGATCACCAGAGTAGCCAAAGTTTGCATGTTTATTTTTTATTTTCCTCAAGTTTAGAGTTAGTTCTATATTTTATGTCCGTATATGCCATCATTTGTACAAATATTTGAGAACTTAGTTCATATAGACATGTAAATTTTTCATTTGTTAGCCTATTGAATGTTAACAAATGTTAATTTTGTGGCAGGTTGAACAATATGAATATACTGCTACATATGGAAATATGGTATTACCATGTTTGGTCATGATTGATGGGAAGGCCTGGAAGGAAAGGTCCTTATCTGTTCATTTTTGTACCTTCTGCATCTAACACCATGCCTTATTTCTCATAGGTACACAAGGAATATCAGTGAATGGAATAAAATCAGATTCAGGAGCTTTCTATCTGACATGAGTACTGAATAATTATCTTTCTTGATAGAGTGCTACAAACACTTTTTCTTAAATATTAAGCGCATCCTATATTTTCTATATTTTTTGCTGATATAAAATACCCTTCTTATGCAAAAAGATTACCTATAGCATAGCAGAGCAAGAATCTTTGGAATGATTGTTTTCCTTGGTGCAAAAGGCCTGCCAGTGCAAAAAAGGACAGGTTTGCAAGAACAGTAGATTTCGGAGGATTGTTTACATTTCCTTGCAAGTGCCTTTGGTGTGGTCTTTGGTTTCTTTTTAAGGAGTCATTCAAATTCATAAAATTTCAGAGGTGAGTTTTGAGCCAATTTGCTCCCCTCCCCTGTCCCACAAGAAAGGGAAATTCAGAGATTTGGAAAGTTAGAACAATAGGAAATAAAATTCTCACCTTTTTCCATTAAGACTTTGGAGAATGCTTTTTATTCTAATTCACTTTTCAGCTGTGTGATTAATGTAGTTTCCTTGAAATTTGTAATCTTTTTATGCTAGGTACCACAATTGTTTAAGGATCTGGAATACTAATGAAATTAAAATGTTGTATGTATTTTGGATTAGTTCGGTTTAATTACAGTCTCAGCATTTTCTAATCAGTTTTATATTTTTATTCAGACATTATTCTGCTATCACATACAGACAATTATGACAGCTCCTTAATTATGAAAACAATGTAAAATCATTCAACTAACACTTTGAAGAGAATATAAGACTTATACCATAATTCTTAGGCTCAGTGGTACCGATTTCTTTGTTCTCAAATACTAGTGAGTACAACCATTACCTATTTTTGTGCGTTTTGCTTAGTGTCATACAATTACAGTACTTGGTTTGTTTTCGTGGCTGTGAAAATACCAGTGCTATTCATTAGCTATAAACTGAACACTGAAGTGCTGTATGTATTCATCTTGCATTGGAACTTTGGAATTAGCAGAATGTTTTAGCTATCATTTGCATTTCACAACCAGGGAGCTGTTCAGCTTAGACAAATCTAACAGCAAGGTAGGAATTGCGCTATATTTATTCTCAATTTTTCTTGGAATGGCTTGATTTCTAAAAATGCAGTTAGTGTTCTTTTTAGGTAACAAGAATTGTAAAATGTAAAAGAGCAACAGTGGCAACTCATTTAAGCACAGTGTGGCTTAAATAGGGGTGGGGAGAATGCAGATCTTTAAGTTAGATAGAGGTTTATATCAGGTATTTTGTCTTCTGTCAGAAGTTACTCTAAGGAGATTTTGATTTGACACAGTTCATATGTGTCAGACAAAAATGTATAGGAAGTCCCCTGTGTTCTCTTTCCATAATGACCCATTTGATCAACTTTTATTAAACATTTTTTTTGTAGACAAGATACATATACAACTGTACATTTGGAATATAATTTAATGTTTTTAATGGACGTTGCATCCTGATGGTCATTCTATAATTCAGCTTCTAGATATTTGTATTAACATCTTATAATGCAGTGATTTATAAAAAGTTATATCATTTTACGGGATTTGACTTTAAATCCTGGGAATATCTTTGAAATGAATGTATTTGTTAATATTAAAACTTAATGCAATGATCTGTTAATGTTGAAACTTAAAGTATTCTTTGCGAAATTTTAAGTTCAAAAGGGGAGAGCTATTTATAAAGTTTCTGTCAGTTTGATCTTATAATATATAAGCCATAATTCATCCCTTCAGTGGTCAATGATTCTTACATCCTTATATAGTTCTTCAGGCAGTACGTGGTATTGGTTAAGACCTTAAACTTGGCTCTTGGATAGACTGGGGTCATATCTGTGCTCAGCCATTCACTCCCTGTTTAACTTTACTAAGTCTTGGTTCTTTCACTGGTGAAATGGGGATAATAATAGTATCTACCTTATAGAGTTGTGGTGATTAAATGGGCAAGGCCATGCGATATGCCTAATATTGGACACATATTAGGGGCTCAATAGGCGTTCACCTGGTTAGATAGGTTGTATTCACATTGATACTTTCTTAAATGTGTCCCTCAGTGAAGTGCCAATTACTTAAATCAGTAGATAAGATTTTGATAACCTAGCAAGATCAAAGCACTGTGCTGGGTGCTGTGGGACATGTAAAGCAGAATATGAAATTGTCCTCGTCCATGGAGAATTTACATTACAATTATAGATGGGGAAGTAACACTTGAATATTTGAAAAATTTGAGAATAATTTTAAGTAAAATAACAAGGGAAATGCTAAAAGAAAAGGATAGAAAAAGATTGTTAAGTAAATGATGGGAATAATACAAGTCTCAGAAGTTAAATAAAATGTCAAGGCTCAGGATTCAGGGAAGATTTGGTTACAACTCCAAACTCCCATATTGATAATATTCAGGATTTTTAGCGTTATTATTATTATTATTTTGAGACAGTGTCTTGCTGTGTTGCCAGGCTGGAGTGCAGTGGCACGATCTCGGCTCACTGCAACCTCCGCCCCTGGGTTCAAGCAATTCTCCAGCCTCAGCCTCCCGAGTAGCTGGGACTATATGTGTGCACCACCATGCCCAGCTAATTTTTGCATTTTTAGTAGAGATGGGGTTTCATCATGTTGGCCAGGATGGTCTCAATCTCTTGACCTGGTGATCTGCCCCCCTCGACCTCCCAAAGTGCTGGGATTACAAGTATGAGCCACCATGCCTAGCCTGCATTATTTTTAATACTGATAATGGAAAGTATGATCAATTCCCCTCCCCCAATATTCCTATTTCAAAGTAGATGGTGTGTTAATATAGTGCAACATATGAGTCCAGTGGCAATGGCTCACAAAAATGCATGAAAAATATTCTCCAAACTGGAGCACATTGCACAGATATGTAGCTAAAATATAAGCTACAATATGGTAGCTTTACTTAACTAACATATAATAAATGAAAATAGAAGATGAGCATCATTTGCACATATTTGTTGTCGAATAGGCAGTGTGTTTGCCAGGAATACAAAGAGAAAGAAGATGTAGCTCTGATCCTGAGAAGAAGATAGTCAGATGGGGGTGAGTGACAGTTAGGCCTACAGATGAACACAGAAGCAAGACAAAAATATGCTAATCAGGTCAGGCATGGTGGCTCATGCCTGTAATCTCAGCACTTTGGGAGACCGAGGCGGGTGGATCACCTGAGGTCAGGAGTTTGAGACTAGCCTGGCCAACATGGTGAAACCCCGTCTTACTAAAAATACAAAAATTAGCCAGGCATGGTGGTGGGGGCCTGTAATCCCAGCTACTCAGGAGGCTGAGGCAGGGAGAATCGCTTGAACCTGGGAAGTGGAGGTTGCAGTGAGCCGAGATGGTGCCACTGCACTCCAGCTTTGGTGACAGAGTGAGACTCCGTCTCAAAAAAAAAGAAAAGAAAAGAAAAGAAAATACTGTAATCGAACATCGTGCAAATGTTCTGGGAGACCAGAGGAATGTGCCATTTGAGTTATTAGAAAAAAAGAAATGAATAGAAACACCCAAGGGATTCTGAGTAAACTGTAATAACCTCTAATGGAGAAACTAGGGAAGACTTCATGAAAGAGAAGGTATTTGGCTGGATATTGAAAGAAGGTATTTGGCTGGATATGGAAGGGAGATTATCTCAGCAAATTCCCCAAATGTGTGATATTTGTCCATATCTGGCATGTGCAGGATCAAATTTGTATAAGAATCCTGGACAAAATAGTAGCATGCTACTCCATGCTGATAGCCAGTAGCTCTGTGTCCAGTCATATAGCAAGGACTAATGAATATTTGGTTGAATAAAAATATTTCTTTTATATTGTACACAGCAGAAGCAAGCTGGGATTAGAGAAATTCTGTATAATGCTGCTATTTTTCATTTATCTTCTTATTCCCTACAATGCCTTACACATGGTAGGTGCTGAAATATTTGTTAAACTTATGACTCCTGGGTGGGAAGAGTGTTGATAATGAAGCCTATGTTGGAAGTAAACATGCAAGAGTTTTCCCACGGCTGAGTGTCAGGTTATATGCTAAGTTTCAAAATGTGTTTGTCATTGTGGTGCTGGCAGAAGATATCAGTCAATACAATAAATATATAGGAACTTCTGTTTATCGAGTGCTTCTAACTTTCCATATGCTATGATAAGCATCTCATATGAATCATCTCTAATCTTAAAGCAGTCTGCAAGCGGATCTATCTATTTTGCAGATAATGGAATTAGACACCAAGAAGTGAACTGACTAATTCAAGGACACAAAATCTGTGAGGCCTGAAAATGAGCCACAAACAGAAAGCCCCTAAAAAGATCTGTTACACCATATAAAACATCTTATGAAGCGTGGTCTTAAAAGCAAGCTTGAAAAGAAAGATTTAGTCAATAAGTGAGACTGAAATAAATTTTAGTGGGAAAAAAGTTATATTCCTACCCCGAGCAGTATGCCAGTATAAATGCCAGGTGGATTACAGAGTTAAATAAAATAAAAAGAAATAATAAAAGTACTATAAGGATAATATCTTCCTCACATTCATATGGAGAAAGACATTCTATATATAAAATCGTGAAAGGAACAACAATGAAAATAATGATAGTTTTGACTACGCAAATATTTACAGCTTCCATAAAGCAAAAGAATCAAGATGCTACGCACAAAGTTGAAAAGCAAATGGCAAACTCTGTAGAACACTTAGACAATACACATCAAAAGGTTAAGATCCATGATATAATGTTACACAATATGATAATAATATAATAATGAAGTTTTTATAAATCAATAGGAAAAATACAAATTATGTAATTAAAATAGGCAGAGGAAATGAACAAGCAATTTTCCAAGGAAATACAATTGACAACAAGCATGTATAGCCTCACTGATATTCAAAGAAATAAGAAGTAAAGCCATAATGAGATATCTTATATTATCTATCAAACTGATATGAATTAAAAAAAATACTTTGTCCTGGTGAGAAATTGTGAAAACAACAACAATACCACTCTAATATACTGTTTATTTGTTGGAGTGCTACCCCCAAGAGTGAAACATTGAAAAAAAGTAAATGTCTATAATAGGGTAGTATAAAAATATGGTTTGTTAACCATAATTATTGTTAGCCAAATTATTCCAGTTGCATTCAATGTAATATTAGTTAACCATATTTAAATATAGTATTCAATGATACAGAAAGCACCTACTAGCATTATTTTAAATAAACAATACTTATGCAGAGAATATCACTTTGTCAAAATTGGAATACAGATAAATAACAAGACTGGAAGCAAATACATCTAAATGCCAGTCATGGTGTCTAACTCTAGTTACGTTATGGAGGGTATATTTTCCAAATTCCCTACACTTTAGAAGTGATAAAATAGAAATCTTTAAAAATAATGAGAGAATGCTTTGCTACACAGCTTGAAATTATATGTTAACCCTGGAGCTCATAGCCAGGAATGAGGATGGTAAATTTCCAGTTTAAAGTTCTTTGACCTCACCATCACAGCCCCACAAACCATTATTGGTGGGATTTGGGTGAAAAAAGTAACCAGTGAAGACCACCTAGGGTTCAAAATATGTATTTAAAATGATTTATGTGTTGAAGATTTAGATCAATTTTAGGATTTAATGAATAAAAGACAAAGATTTTATTTGGAGAGGAAAGGAATAACCTCTTAGCCACCCCCACAGTCCCCCATTCCATCATGATGGCTTCTGAGTGATCTTGACCAACGAGGAAGCTGCTTCTCCAGGGCCCACACTGGCAGCCTGGGAACAGGTGGCTGCAGAGGAGAGAGCATCAAAGCCACACAGAGGAGCCAGAGAGTTCTCATGGGAAATATTTTGGGGCTTACATAGGCTGAAATGAGGAGAACATTCTAAGCAAAGGAAAGATATTTACAAAGGTTGAGATGGGTGAGATAACATGGCAAATTCTGGTAATACAAACATTTTGGTGGGAGTAGAGCTAAACGAGGTTTTGGGGAAGTAGTACTAGATGAGGCAAAGAAGTAAAGAAGGTCCAATTCCTGTGTTGAACCAAGACTTCATCTTGCAAGACATGGAAACCAAAATAGGCTTATAGGATAGGGGTGGCACACTCAGATTTGTGTTTTAGAAAGACCATTCATTATCAAGCTAGAGAACAGATTGGCCGGAAACCTGATTAGAGGCAGGGCAATTAGTTAGGTATTGCAGACATTCAAATGAGAAATAGTAAAGACGTGAACAAAGGAAGTGTCAATGAGGGATGGACAGAAGATGGATCTGAAATATAAAAGGGAGGTAGGAACAACAGAGCTAAATGATAGATGAATAGGGGGAGTGAGTGATAGGAAGAAATCTATAATGACTTGTAGTTTCAGGGTTGAGTCACCAGGGGAATGAGGAAGCACTTGATACAAACAGGAAATTAGAAGGAGAAGCAGATTAGGAAATAGAGGAAGGTGGTATGCCTGGTATTTCTTTTCTTTTCTTTATTTTTTCTTTCCTTTTTTTTTGAGACGGATTCTCGCTCTGTAGCCAGGCTGCAGTGCAGTGGTGCGATCTCGGCTCACTGCAACCTCCGCCTCCTGGGTTCAAGCGATTCTCCTGCCTCAGCCTCTCAAGTAGCTGGGACTACAGGCACGCACCACCACGCCCAGCTAATTTTTGCATTTTTAGTAGAGACGGGGTTTTACCATGTTGGCCAGGATGGTCTCGATCTCTCGACCTTGTGATCTGTCCACCTTGGCCTCCCAAAGTGCTGGGATTACAGGCGAGAGCCACTGCACCTGGCCGTGCCTGATATTTCTAAGAGGAGAAGTCCAGCAGAGGACTGAAACTGTCTTTGGGGCCCAGGAAGATGATCAAGATCAGAGATAAAGATTCTAAGTCAAGGGTGGGAAGGAGAACACATTCTAGGGAGAGTTTTTGTAAAGAAAAGAGGATGGGATGATATAATTCTGAGAAACATTGCCATTTGGATGCCATGATCCATCTTATTCTTAATCCATTAGAACAAAATGGATTAAGAAGATTCTTGGGTAGAAATTGTCAGGCACAATGGACAGAGAGCTAAGAGAAGAATCAAGAGTATGTGCTGTTATAGAGCCAGAAGAGAGAGAATTTCCACCGTAAGAGAATGTCAAAACCACAGAGAAGATCAGTGAGGAAAGTGTTGAAAGGTTTCTGTTGGATCTCTTTCTTCCAGTACTTTGTAGGCGCTCAGTAGAAACATCTCCAACTCAATTTGAAATGAAAAGGTTTTAAAGGAAATAAATTCAATTAAAACCCACAAATTTCCATGTTAGAATACATGTTTGCATATACAGTATATTATATATATATATTTATATATAAAAACATATATAAGCCTTGGGCATAGTGAGTAATCAATATTTATTGAATGAACAATTGAAGAAAGAGAAAGAAGAAAGAATGCAATATAAAGGGACCTTTGTGTGATGTCCCTTCTTTCCACTTTTTCTCAAATCCCCTTCTTCCTGTGTTACTTTCTATCTACTCCCAAGAGTAAAAATGGACTGCCTTTGTTTCAGGCCTGAGAGCATGCCCATCAAGCACCATAGACACCTGCTATGTGAGCACATTCTTACTTGAATTGCCTTTTTGAAGGGATGCTTTCTGTATTTCACTGTCATTATCACATGACATAGTTCTTTTAATTCGATTTTGAGATAGCAGCTTCAGACTAGATAATGTTTCATACTGCCATGAGTATTATTTATTGATTAGATAGATTGTTTCTTGAGTTTGTGAGTAACAGTACCTTGAACACTTAAAATAATCTGGAAATAAAGTGAATGGGTATAAACAGTATAAAACTGAACAGACTAAAGCAAATTATTTTATCTTTAGAATGAGCGGAAAATAACTAGTACAGTTTTGGAGTGAAGATATTTCAGTAAACATATGGTCAGAAAAGAAATTGGGGGTAGAAGAAATAGAAAACTAATGCAAATTAGTTAAGACTTTTCGAACGATTAACTTTGCAAAATATTAAGATTGAGAATTTGTAGAGGATACTGAAGCAAAACAATTTTTAGAAGAAGTCTTCACTATTCAATTTCAACAGCATTCAGGTATTGACTACATGTTTTGTTTTACTTGCCAGATCCATCTTGAATTTGCTTATAAATAGCTATGGTTGTGAGAATAACATATTTGATGGACATTTAAGGCTTGAATGCCTATCGTGAAAATGATTATGATTTGTGTTTTGGATCTAAATCTGTCTCTGAATTTACAGACATCATTAGTCTGGAACCTGATGACACCTAATATAATTGTCCTGTAAATACCTTTGATTGCTGCTGCTATTTAGCATTTGACCTCAAAATCCGTGGTGGAATTCCTTTCTTCCTATAGTTTTTGGTGAGATGAAAAATAGATTGTTAGCACTTAGGTTTCAATTCTGAATGCATTTCATGTTTGCAATTATGTTAAACACAAGCAACAAAGTGTTACATAAATTAAACTGGACAATAGCCAAATTCCTTTCAGAAATGACAAAGTCAAAAATGAGAGAAAGCCTTTCAGTGTTCTTTTAAACCTACATGGTGAGTTTTGCTGACTTTGTTACAGTTCTTAAGTTCTCAGCTAATGGCCTTGGTTAGTGAAGGCTTTAAGAAATAGGGTATTTTGATAGTGTGTATTAAGGAGATCTATTTTAAAAGAATAAAAATTTCACCTAGGCCAGGCCTTCAGAGAGAAAATTCATTTCATTGTGGTTTACTAAGTATTAAATAAAGCAATTAAGAAATGATGTTATTCATATTATTCCTCAGCCAATTAGAATAATTGAATTTTAGAGTTTGAAGGGTTCTTAATATCATTAGTCTGACCTTTTAATTTGTATATGCAAAATATGAGGTCCAAAGAGGTACATTTACCCAAAGCCAAATATTAGCTAGGTTTGTGTGATATCAACTTCAACCCAAATTTCTTGATTCGTTTTTCTTTCTTTCTTTTTTTTGTGTGACAGAGTTTTGCTCTTGTTACCTAGGCTGGAGTGCAGTGGTGTGATCTCGGCTCACTGCTACTTCTGCCTCCTGGGTTCAAGTGATTCTCCTGCCTCAGCCTCCTGAGTAGCTGGGATTACTGGCGCCTGCCACCATGCCTGGCTAATTCTGTATTTTTAGTAGAGATGGAGTTTTACCATGTTGGCCAGGCTGGTTTAGAACTTCTGACCTCAGGTGATCTGCCCACCTTGGCCTCCCAAAGTGCAGGGATTACAGGTGTGAGCCACCACTACCAGCCTTGATTCATGTTCTAATACTCTTTCTAAACATAGTGTGACATCTTGCTGAATAAATATGGGCTTTTTTTCATTTTGTACAAAATTGACTGTTTCAGAGTCAAAAAGTGGCATATTTTATAAGAAAGGATGGAGCCTTTCTCAGAATTCTTGATATTCGTGCAAGAAATTAAACCCCCTCCCTTCAAAAAATGAGATCATTTTAAAAGAATTCAACATGTTTTATTTTTCTTACTTAGCTCTTATAGTTATATTAATTACTCAGAAATGTAGCTTTAAAAATAGGATATTTTACACATAACTGAGAAAATTCATGCTTGGACATTACTGCCTTGCAGCTATGGTTCTTTGGGGAATGGGGTGACCTGTTCAACCATTTTGAATCTTCTCACAGTGTAACATTAATCAGAAAATTACAGTTCCTGAGGGAAGTTGTCTGGGAACATGATGTTCTGTACAGAGGGAGTGGGAACCTATGAGGAGAGGGAGGGAGGTAGAGTCATCTTACTCCGTTGCCGGTGAAATCACAGGAATCCATGAGAAGCCCCAAGTCGTGCTGATGAAAGGGACACAGCATAATACAACTCTAAAGCCTCTCACAGCCCAGTGATGCACTTCCATTATCTTCTTGCTAAGCTACGACAATTTTCATTGCCTTTGGAAGAAAAAAATAAATAAAGTGCTCTTTTTTATTTGGATTGAAACACACCATTTTGAACGCTGTTTGTGCTGGTTCTGCTTAATGAAGCAGCTTAGGCACCTCATGACTGGCATAGCCAGAGATGGGGGAAATAAGACCAGCTTGCATAGCTGTCTAGATGTGCACAGTGGCATGGAAGACCTTTGATTGGCTTTAGAAAATAATGGCTGATGTTCTCTGTGGATCTTGCAAGAGAATCTTACTGGGAAAAAAAGGGAGACATGTTTCATTTATGCCACTTCCTTCTGTTACTGGCAGCCCTGCAAATGAACTGGAACAGGTGGGTACACCAATAAGCAAAGAACGTATTTTATAGCCTGTCATACTCCACTTATCTTATTTTGATGAAGATATATAAAGGGAGGATCATATTTATACTTGATCTTGTGTTTGGGATCTGTAAAGCACTAACAAAATAAGAGGTACAATTTCTCTTTGGTAAGTTAGTTGACTATTAAAACTGAGAATAATTTTCTTGCAATTTCACAGAACTGTTTTTCATCGGTGGCAGTCATCATTTGGGGCAGGAAAAGGAGAAGCAGTCTATCAAAAACAGATAAAGAAAAGCCACACCACAGCCTGCTGTTTCTGCTATTTTGGATGATCAAGCTTGTGCACAAATGAAATCATGACAGATTCATTTATATGAAATGGCCATTGCTGATCTCCTTGCCAGAAACTAGATTGCTTTTTTATTTAGGAGATTTTCAGAGCAGTCCTTAGCTTTTTTAGTTAGTGGCAAAATGGCACCTGGCCAAACTGCCTCTTCTCATCCAATTGGTGTTGCCAGTATCTTGGGATGCATGCATTAAAATATATTTGCAGTCAATTGAAAAAAATATTTTTCATTTTAAGTGTCTTAATCATTTGCAAACTTGGAATGGGTAATATCCCATTAGTCTAATACTAAGAGTCATACCTGGAATGGTATAAATTTTGCAATCACTAAGCATAGGGTTAGGATTAAAAACAACAACAAAAACAACCTATGGATACTTTTTCATTTAATGGCATTTGCTATTATTGATCATCTCTGGAATGCTGAAAACATTTTTGTTTGCTGGTTGTTCATGCCAAATTTATTGAACGACTGAACTCAATAAATTGATTGATTGGAGAACATAAAGGTATTAGGTAGTTACAAAAAAGAATCCTTCTTTAGAACTGTAAACTGTAAGTGTATTTTTTTTTTTTTTTGAAAGCTCTTTCACCAATTTCCACTGTCCCTTCAAGGGCTTGCCTGCTTGCTTATCAGCAGAGGCATAGGGTAACATTTTTTTTTTTTTTTTTTGAGACGGAGTCTCGCTCTGTTGCCCAGGCTAGAGTGCAGTGGCACGATCTCGGCTCACTGCAAGCTCTGCCTCTCGGGTTCACGCCATTCTCTTGCCTCAGGCTCCCAAGTAGCTGGGACTACAGGTGCCTGCCACCATGCCCGGCTAATTTTTTGTATTTTGTTGAGACAGGGTTTCACCATGTTAGCCAGGATGGTCTCGATCTCTAGACCTTGTGATCCGCCCGCCTCTGCCTCCCGAAATGCTGGGATTACAGGCGTGAGCCACCGCGCCCGGCCGGCATGGGGTAACTTTTACGCTGCCAGCACACGTTCAGAAATTCTTAGCAAGGGACATTGGAAGAATTATTATCAGATAAGTGGACATGCTTCAGAATTTTATTTTGCAGTTTGCTTCTCTTCTTTTTTTCTTGGAGGTACCAGCTGTTGGTGTGTTTAGTGAACCAATAAATTGATTCATTTACCTAATGCTATGTACAAGGTACCTGTGCAAGGAGCTGGAGGTTTAGAGCAAAACAAAGATCTCTGCCTTCATGAGCTTACATTCTAATGCAACACTCTTCTTCCTTGCCCTACTCTTCTTCATAGCCAGCCAAGAAAGAGAGAGGAATTAAACAGTGATGATAAAAACATCAAGTTTTACTGCTGATTTAGCTGATTAGAGAATATGGCTGTCAATGTAGCACCCCAAAGGGGTTTGCTAATTAATCTTTTACTTCTTTACTAGACTTGGATGTCTATGAGGGGTACAGCCATATCTGTTTGGTTTACCATTATCTATAGAGGGCCCAGCATGGTGAAAAAAAATAGCATATATATATGTGTGTGTGTGTGTGTGTGTGTGTGTGTGTGTACATATATATACACACAGATATATACATGTATATATGTAAATAAACATTTAACTATATATACATATACCTATATATTTATATGTACGTATCTGTATATATAGCTTATTTCACACACACACACACACACACACACACATAATAGTCTATCCTCATTATTCACGGTAACGATGTTCTATAAAGTTGCTGTGAAAGCTGAATTAATTAATACTAATTGCTTTTAGAGGCAATACAGGTTTAGATTCCTGCAAGCCTCCAGTCACAGTATTTTCATCAATGAATTGATATATATCCTTGTTTTATGTGTGTTTCTGTTGAATAACACACGTGGACATTTCCACTTGTGTTTATTTAATATGTATTGTCAATTCATTAACACTGCCATGACATTATAACTCATGCCTGAACAAAACTCATCTGACACATGTATTTTCTTCATAAGGCACATCTCAGCCTTCTTGTGCTTAGGACTACCGGGCACCCTGTCAGCATGGTGCTTGAGACCATTTTAGATAGTGAAATCACCAACAAAAGCACAGAAATGCAAAACACATGGCACTAAATAGACCATGAAAAAAACACTTGTTTGCAGCATGAGAACTGAAACAAGAGGGTGGAGAGTAGCCTTGTTCCACCTCCGTTGGGAATAGCTCAAATTATTTGCCACATTGAACATGCAGTATGAATGACCGCAAAAGTTCTCTGAATATTGGCTTTGGCATTATGAACGATTTTAGCAAGTAGGCGATTTTGCAGATACAAAATCTGCAAATTGAGGATTGACTGTATATATGATATATGTTAAATTGTGCCTTCTGTCTTGCTCAGTGAGTTCTGAGCTTTATCTTTGGATGAGTTGCAATCCAAAGCCTGGAAATGGCATTTTTGGCTCCAGGCAGGGAAGCAAGATAAGCCCTGTCTCCTTAAGTGGTAGCTCAGCAATCTGACCTCCTCTTTCTTCCTTTTCTGCCTATAACCTGGTAGGTGCTATAAGAGATGCAAATGGTTTAATGCTTCAATCAGCCACCATGCCTTGTAACTGGCCATGTCCCAGGTGCTGCAAATACTGAGCTGGAGAGGAAATGTTGGAAGAGAGGAGGCCGGCAGTAACAGTGTGCAAAAACAAGAAAACAAGCTGTCTGAGCTCTACCAGGTGGTAACAGGGCCACGCTCTCTGTTTTGTGCCAGGTTCTTGCTTCTCGACTCTAACTCCAGGCTTCACTGGGTCATTCCACGCTTCAGAAACCTGCCGGCCTTAGCTTCCTCAAGATCAAACCCTTCTCAGCCAACTGGCTGTCCTTTCAAGGCAGGAGGGATCTGACCCATGTCTGCATCTTTGGAAGTCTAAAGCTCAGCACCAGGGGCATGAAACGCCCCGATAAATGCCTTCTTGATTGATTAACTGTCTTGAGGCTTTTTACAGATTCTAAGTCAGACTTTTTTTCTAGTGTCAATTGAATAGGCGGATGCCTAAAATGCCTTTATTGTGGAGAAGAGCCTTTCATTCTGTAATTATAGAGGCAAGGAAAAGATCATAAAAATATTCAGATGTAACAATTTAGTGTGAATGCTTTTCAGTTAAAATGTAATTAGTCAACAAATGTAAATCACTAATTATGAGTTCCTTTTCCGTTTTAATGTGAAACCATCCTTCAAGACTCTGCCACAGGAAGAGACCTTAATACTGAAGCTGCATAAAAGTGTAGGGGGGAAGTAGAATGGCCTTTTATAGAACAAAACAAAAGAGAAAATGTGACCATTTTGCATCTGATTGAGCCTAGACAGAGAAAAGATGGGTTATGATATGTGGTATTTGCAAAGGCATCAGGTCTGTTTGGCATGATGTTTTGATGATAGATAGATAAATGGAGGTAGATAGATGGATGGATAGATAGAGAGGTAGGCAGATAAATTTGTATAAAAGAGTATATTTGTTTTGTTTTCAAGGGCTGCCATAACAAAGTACCACAAACTGGGTGGCCTAAAACAACAGTTTATTGTCTATAGTTCTGGAGGCTAGAAGTCCAAAGTCAAGGTGTCATAGGCCATGCTCCCTCTAAAACATGTAGTGAGAAGCTTTCCTTTACTCTTCTAGCTTCTGGTGTTTTGCTGGCAGTCTTTGGCCTTCTTTGGCTGTGGATGCATCACTCCAGTCTCTGCCTCCATCACGCATAGTCGTCTTCTCCTCGTGTTTGTGTCCACATGGCATTTCCCTCTTCCTATAAGGACACCAGTTTTGTTGCTTTAGGGCCCACTCCAATGATCTCATCTTAAATTGATTGCACCTGCAAAGACTCTATTTCCAAATAAGGCCATATTCACAAGTACTAAGGGATAGGGCTTCCTCATGTCTTTTGAGGGGACACAATTTAACCCCATAATGAAAGAGTTATGCTATCATTCATAAAAATCCTGTATATAAGTTTGGGGTACAACCTCATAGTTATAGCTTAGGTTTCCTTTGGACTGCTTCCCTTCCTGCTGCAGGTTTTCCTTAAGTTTTCCAGTCAACAGCAGCAAACAACTCACTTGGTATCTGCCTGTGCTGACACTTTGTGTTCTAACCAGCTTCATTCTGGCTGGGCAGGGGGAAAGAGTGCTGGGAGTCCCTGGTGAGTACCCGGGTTTATATGAGGGGATTACGGTACATCTTTGAAGAAAAAAAGTCAAATGTTTGTGTTTGGAAGGGCTCCTGTGTTATGCCTGCTTTTCTGGAGATCTTTATGCATCCTCCTCTTCTTTATTCTCCTCACTCTCCCCACATCCTTTATGTGGTCCTGTTTCTTTGTCAGATTCATGATATACTTGCTGAATGTACTATAACATATCACTTAGACTCGGTGGATGAGGAATTTTTATTTGAAAAATTTATTTTGCTTATTTTGCTAGTTTGGTGAATACTTGGGGGAATATCTAACTTTAGAGCAACAAATACACATTTTAAATATTGAAACATAGCCGATAATTGATGGTCATATATGTACTAGTATCAAGTTTATAACTGCTTCATCATCATAGTGACCATGTTTGTCCTTTTTACATCATTTTCTGTTATGTGCATTGATATGATGAGCAGTTCCTCAACCTCTAGACCACAAATGCTGTATCAATGGATATTTGGTGCGTTTTACTTATAAGCATGATTTCATTTGGTTTTGAAACATTTCTGCATAGACAAGGAATAGTATAGTTATTTTTACATTGCCTGAATGGAGTGAAATAAAGAAAGTGTGAACCATTTGCTGAGTTCACGTGGTTAGTGAATGAGAATGTCTTCTAAACATGGTTTTCTTAGCTCCAGTTTGACCTTTTTTCCTACTCCATTACCACCTTTCATGCAGTTGAACCTTTGTTTTTCTTCTACTCTTATGAAAATGCAGCCACAAATAATTTACTCCCTGTGATGCTTTATTGAGAGTTCCTGACCAATATGAGACCCCAGTTATGATGCCTCCTCTGGAGGTTACTTACAGGTAGAAATCAGAGTTGCATATTAAAGCTAATAACAAATGTTAACATCAATATTAACAAATGATAAATATTCAATATTTATCATTGAATTATTAAAATATCTTTGGGCTGTTGCACAAAAAGTCCCTTTGTATAGTTCACTGTAAAAATAGGATTATCTTTAGTACCACAGTTAAAAAAGAAGAGAGATTCGTAAATTGTTTTGTCACCAATTCATTAATGACTTCCTCTCTTCCTGTGGAGAAATTTAGTTATTGTCAATGCCCCAAATCTTCAGGGGAGGGAAAAGATCTGCAGTGCTTTACAATCTGCTGAAGTTACATTGCAAATCTGATTATAATATTCACTTACTTAGAATATTTCAATAACTTTCATTTTACTCAAGGTAAAAACCAAGCTCCTCCTGAGCATGGTAGGTAGGTCTTTTATGATCTGACCTCTGCAATACTCAAATGACATGTAGTCACCTGAATGTGCCATTTTTCTTCTCACCTTGGCTCATGGTGTTGCTTCTGCCTAGAGGCCCTGTGTGCTTGATTTGCCCTATGACCTGCATTCATCTCTGAGGTTCTTTCTTAGTAATCACTAGTAAAGGTGTTCCTAACTCACCAAGAAGAATTGAATGCCTTCCGTCTCCATGTTTCCATAGTATTTTGAAAACGACTCTGGTAAAACAGTACACATATTGTTTGTTTGCATATCTATTTTCCATGCTACACTGTGAGCTCTTTGAGGTCAAGAACACTGTCTTTTCATCTTTACATGTCCAGTTTATAAATTTAGATATTTGGCATGTAGATAAGTAAATGTTTATTGAAAGAATGCATGTTTTCATGCCTTGGCTCATTTTCTCCACAATTCAGCTTTTTCATATCTTTACATAATTTGTTTTATCATTCATGAAATAATTATCACCTCCTTCTGAATATATTGCACGTTTCATGCTTCCCTGAATAACACTGATTCATTTTAACACTATTTATCTTAGAAGTCTTTTTGTAATTAAAACAAAATTACAGCACAGTGTTAAGATATACTTTTTGTCATGCACTCTCAGCCAGTAAGAGCGATGGCAGTCTGTCCTGGCCAGACTGCTTAGCACATCGCATTGCAAACTCTCAGGCAGTGAGCCACTGAGCTATTCTGAGTTGAGTGGGTTCTGCAACACGTGTAGTTTGGTCTTCAGTGGCCTCTCTTTTGTCATATATTTTATATTTTGGTGAGCATTTCTGCAAAACAGGAGAATCCTTTTGATGTTGCAATGTGAGTTTTATAGCAGCTTCAGAGTTCTCCAAGAGGTGTTCTAGAAAATAGAGGACAATATTTATCAGGAAACTAGGACTTGGTAGAAGATCCTTGACACAAGGCATGGCACATATGTATCACAACAGACTGGGCAGGGTGTTCAACAGTTAAGAATGATGTCTGGAAGAAATATTGCAGAAGGTGTGTCAGAATTTCAAGAGATTTTGAGAAGGATGAAGGAGCAATTGCCACTATGTGATAGGTCTCCATGGGCATGATAATTTGATGACTTCATGTCATGTGAATTGCATTAGAACTAATTCTGTTAGAGCTCCTGTTTGTAGGAATGCACCCATTCACCCATCATTCCCCACTCCTCTCCTGTAAATGAGGTATGTGTATACTTGTGGAATTAAATGCAAGGTAACCAAGCACTGGATAGGAAGGAATCAAGAAACTAGCCAAAGGCAATAATAAAAAATAGATTCTCCCATTTATCTTTTACTTTTAAAATAAGTTTTCTCCTTTTGACTTGCTTTCTTAAGCATCAAGTCCTACCACTTAGCTTATGTAATACTATCAAAACATCACAAGTAATATACTTTTAAATATGGACATTGAAGGAAACCTAAATATTTTATGGTAAGAGCACTAAAATGAAATAAATATATAATTGAAATTAAAATCATCAATGGGGAATAGAACACATACAAAGCCTTTTTTTTCTTATTTTTCAGGAGCTCATATATTTCTACCAAGGTTTTCCAGGTTTTTGGAAAGTAGTCATCCAGACAGAATCCATGAAGCTACAAACTCTTTTCTCCTTAAGAATGAGGGTCCCCTCTTCATTCTAATTCGGGTATTTTACTTTAAATCAAAATGCCCATTCATTCATGAGCTTTCACTCAGTTACTCAGTTTCATGCATTCATTCCAAACATATTTAGAGAATTCCCATGATGTGCCTAGGACTGTTCTGGGTCTTGGGTCCTGGGTCCAAAAAAAGTTTCTTTCCTTGGTGATCTTGTTTTTTAGTGGAGAAGACAGGAGATGACAAAATAAAAGTGGATGCTGTCAGGTAGTAACAAGCACGGTGAAAAATAATAAAGTGAGTAGATTGGCTGGAGAGTGTGCTGGGGTCCGGTGGAGTGAGGGTGACTGTCTGATATGGGGTGGACAGTCAAGACCTCTGAAGAGGTGACATTTGGGTACCTGGAAAAAATGAGTGCCAGCCATTTCGATTTTTTCAGGAAGAGCATTCCAAGCAGAAGGAAGAGTAGGTGCAAAGTCTCTGTGGAAGGAGCCCGCCCCACAAGTTTGAGAACCAGCCAGGAGGCCAGTGTGGCTGGAGCAGAATGGAGGCTGTACTTTGCTGGCCACTGTAAGGATTTCTGTCTTATTCTCCCTGTGATGGTACACTTCCTCTAACGTAGGTTTTAGAGGGATCAGTCTGGATACTGTGTCGAGAATAGACTAGAAGGGGTGATGAACATGGAAGTAAGGTCAATTATGAGGTCACTGCCGTATTCTAGGTGACTGCATAGCACGACCTGTGGGTTTCCAACTTGTTTCATTCCCCAAACATGCGATTGTATCTTGGCTGCAACAATCCAAATTATCCACATGCATTAAATATTCTAAGCCTGTTATTCCAATTTTACACTTCATAAAGACTGGATTCAAAACTACCTAAGGGACTATTCATATTCATATTACAAGTGTGTGTTTCCCATAAAGCATCATCTTTCTCTAGCTAGTTCAGTAATATGAAATCCAATTACAATGACCATATTTATTAGAGATAAGTTTTTTTTGCCACAGTTGACATCACCAAACAAACGAATTCCAAAAGCATGGAATATTTCCAATCAAAATGAAGATGTCTTCATTCATATTCACTTTTATTTTAATGAAACTTAAGTCCAGCCAATTCCTATTGAATCATTATACCTGTAAATGATTTCAATGAATCAGTTTCCAAACACAAAACACAATTACATAAATTTAAAATATAAAGCCTGATGTCATTTGCTAGTATTTCATTTAGAAATATTATACACATTAAATGGGCACACGATTTGTTTTTGACAAACATCCTTTTACATAATGAATTTACAATAAACCCTGAAGTGACATCTTAGTCCCTTTGAGTTGCTGTAACAAAATACCATCAACTGGATAGCATACAAATGATAGAAATTTATTTCTCACAGTTTGGGAGGCTGGGAAGTCCAAGATGGAGGTGCTGATAGGTTCAATGTCTGCTAACAGCCCACTTCCTGGTTCGTAGATGGTGACTTTTTCTGGGTCCTTAGACGGCAAAAGGGGTGAGGGAGTTTTCTCCAGCCTCTTTTATAAGGGCACCGGTCCCATTCATGAGGGATCTGCCCTCGTGACCTGATTATCTTCAAATACCATTACACTGCACATTAGGAATTAATGTATGAATTTGGAGGGGACATAAACATTCAATCCATTGATCACATAATAAAATAAACATAATTCATGCTGGTATATAAGATTGGTGGCCCTCATTTTTTTCCATTGAGCAATATTCAAGATAGGTGCCACTAACCTACTATACACATCAAAATAATGTACAAAATGGGATGTGTAATTCTGGAATATTATTGTGGATGAATATTGTAGCAGATTTTTGGGGGGATAAAGAGGGAGAAGTTGTGGTTTGCTGATATGATCTATCTGTCAGGAGAGGGGTAAGTATGACTACCGGCCCTAGTGAGAGACTACCTACCTGGGTGAGAGCCCACCTTCTGCCTTCTATATGCATGTAACTAAAGGCAAATGACCTGTCGAAGCCTCTTCTCTGTCAAATGGGAATAAGCATGGCACCAGCCTCTTAGATCATTGTGAGGATTAGATAGCTAAAATGTTTAAAGTGCTAGCACAGAAGCATAGCAAGGAATAAATACATGTGAGCTTTTATTATTATATCCTGCAGTTTGCTGCCTAAAGCCTTGAAGAGCTCTGCTCTTTTTTTTTGAATTAAATGTCCTAAAGAAATCTCTCTTTGGCATATATGAGAATATCTGCCAAGTCCATATTTGGCTTTTCAAAGATAAAATGTTTATGCAACAAAGAAGTTCATACACAGGCTTCATTACTAAAAATTTTAGTCAACTAAATATTAGTTTCATGTCGTTCTTATAAATTGCTCTTGTTTTCCTGAGTTTCCTTTCTTATTTGTAAAAAAATGAAAAATCAATATTTGCATCTTTAAATCATAGATATGCAAAATAGTTCATTGTAAACCTTCTGTGTGTGTGTGTGTATGTGTATATGTGTGTGCAAATACAGCGAGAGACCCCTAACCCTACTCCTTCCCATAGCCCTGCACAGACACCTCAGGCGGGACAGTAAATAACCATTCTCTACTAACCCCAGACCGTCAGCTGAATTGCAGGTACAATTTGGTGTCCAGGCCAATTACCAGAATGATTTTTTGGGGGGAGATACATATCACAAATGGTGGCTTCCAGGGCTTTTCAATAGGTTAAATATTAGGAAACACAGCTTTTCCCTATAGGTAGGTGAATTTCTTTCATTTATTGCACAAGCCCTTACTGAGCATGCTCTGTTATTCACACACGTCTGCTTGGTGCTGTGGATGTTTCAAAGGATAGAGAAAAACAAGTCAGTGCCCCCCGAGAACCCCCAGAGAGATGAAGGAGATCTTCATATGGAAACACAAAATAGGAAATAGCCACTTGTGTAGGTCAAATATTGGTTAGTCCATGATTCAACCTAAATTGTATTTTTAAAAAGGGTAAAATTAAAAAAAAAATGGCCACCTTGCTGTAAGACCCCTGCTTCAGGCAGGGGTCTCGTCAACCTGTCACAGCTGTGTAATTATGTAAAGCTAATAAGCTTCATAACCTCATTTCAGGGTTATATTGTTCGCACTGCCTCTATTTGTGTTTTTTGAATCCAGCTCGTAAAGCCTATAATTAGGAGGAAGCATCAAAGTGCCTACTTACACACTTTTTATTTGTTTTCTAAGGTTGTAATTGTCTATAAGTGCTTGCATGGCTGACAATTCAGCAAACAGAATGGTTTCCAAATACTCTCATTGCAGCTTTCTTGATGTTTCTTTCTGTTTCATTCCTCACCTTGAAGCAATTCAGTTTTTCCCAGCTTTAATTCCACTCAAAAGTAGGAAAATGTTTATTTTCAATTAGAGTCTTACATAGCTTGATGGTTTCCCTTTGCCATTTTAAAGGGACTAGAGGAAATTAAAATCCGAGACAGTAAGTCATTTGACTTTTTTTAGTAAAATGATTGCTACTTTCTTCTCTTTATTGAAAGGGTTTTGAGATTTATCTCTGGAGTCAACTGCTTCTGTGTTCCTGGTGCTCTATGCAGTTAGCTGATGAGAGCTCTTCTGAAGTTGGTCCCTGTTCTCCATGTGTCTTTTAAAGAATTTCTTTTGCTTGTTTCCTTAAATAGTATGTTGCACAAGTTGAACTTAATTGATTTTGGTGATACATGCTTACTCCTGAATAAATGATAAATATGACTGCCTATCTTTTGCAAGGGTTTTAGTTCTGTTCTGTATAACATTAACATTGATAAACTAGTAGAGTTGTTCTCTACACATATGAAATATCTGGGGATAATGTAAAAATTCTGAGGTCCAATCAAATCTTGAAATAATTACAGCAGAATTGGGGGTAGGATTTGAGCCTCAGGAATTTTTAAAGCTTCCCAGGTGATTCCAATATTTGGCTAAGAATGAAATCCATAGTTAGAACGGATATACTTAGGTGAAAGTATAGTTGGTGGGGACATAGAAATTCATACTTAACCAGGAGAACAAACATGGTGCATTGGAATTAAATGGAGCTGGGTCTGAATTCCAGTCTATCACTTGTTATGTGACCTCGGATGAATCACTGAAATATGTCTGAGCTTCTGTTTCATCAGATGTCACATTTTATAAGTGATAGTGCTATTGTGAGGATTAAATAAGATAGTACCTGTCAAATACTCAGTATCAGTAGATCTCAATGAAGGTTAGCTTCTTTCTCCCCTCCTTTTTTAATATAGAGTTTATTTCAGGGAAGACTTCACAATGATGAAAATATGTGATTTTTCTCCACTGGTGGTGTTTTATTAGTTCATTTATTTTGTTATTTGATTTTTATATTATTAGTCATAGTACATATTACTTTTATAATACATTATTTATATTATGATATATTATTTTAATTTTGAAATAAATTTAGCATTACAAAAACATTACAAAGATAGAACTGAGAGTTTTTGTATATCCTTTATTCAGCTTTCCCTAATATTTAACATCTTGCATAATTATAGGACCTTTATTAGAACTGAGAAATCTACATTGGTACAATGCTATTATTTCACCAGAGCTCCATAAAGATCCTTTGTCTGTTCCAGGATCGAATCCAGGATCCCACATTGCATTTAGTTTTTATGTTTCCTTTGACTCCTACAATCTGTGGCAATTCTTGGACTTGTCTTGCTTTCTTGACCTTGACACTTTGAGAGTACTGATCAGTTGTGTTCTAGAATACCTCACAATTTGGGATTATCTGATGCCTACTCATGGACAGATTGAGTTTAGGCATTTTTGGCAACAATACCATAGAAGTAATGTACCCTTTTCAATATGAGGGGTACATGATGTTGGTATCTGTGGGGTTCTTTACATAATTAATAATAGTTAGGGATATGAGACACATTTGAGGGTGCTATATTAGTTTGATAAGGCTGCCATAGAAAGTATCACAGATGTGGTGGGCAGATCACCAGTTCAGGAGATCAAGACTGTCCTGGCTTACATGATGAAACCCCATCTCTACTAAAAATACAAAAAAAATTAGCCGGGCATGGTGGCACATACCTGTAGTCCCAGCTACTCAGGAGGCTGAGGCAGAAGAATCGCTTGACAGGGAGTCGGAGGTGCAGTGAGCTTAGACCGCACCACTGCACTCCAGCCTGGGCGACAGAGCGAGACTCCGTCTCAAAAAACAAACAAAAAAAGTATCACGGACTGGGTGGTTTAATAAATAAAATCTTATTTTCTCAGAGTTCTGGAGACTGGAGGTCTGAAATCAGGGTGTCAGCAGGGTTGGTTTCTTTTGTGGTCTCTCTCCTTGGCTTGTAAATGTCCATCTTCTCATGGTGTCTTTATATAGTCTTACCTTCTGTGTGTGTGTCTGTGTCCTAACCTCCTCTTCTCAAAAGGACACCAGTCATTGGATTAGGGCCCACCCCAATGACCTCATTTAATCTAGTTACCTCTTTAAAGACCCAATCTTCAAATAATGTCAGGTACAAGGAGATAGGACTTCAATATATGAATTTGGGGGTGGCAATTCAGCCCATTCCAGGTGCTTATCAAGTAAGAACATAGACTGAAATAGAACAGGCAAAAGATTTAACCAGGAATGCAAGTGCTCTGCAGTGCTCCTTAGAAATAGAAGCAGCTTCTTGGCAAAGTGGAGAAAACCATCACAGCAAACATAATGAAGCTCGATGAGGACAAAAATGCTCAATGGGAGAACCAAGCTGCTTAAGCAGTAAATAGAATATGGTGGAAGAACACGATGGGGATGGGTAGGAATGGTCCTTGTAGTTATAAATGACTATAAGAAAATCACGTGCCCATATTACAGCTGTAAAACTCAACGTGCTATGGTGATGTTGCAAGATATTTAAAGGCACAGAAATTTTTTTCAAAGAAACATTGAAAAGGGCTTATTCAGCCAAAAGAAGAAATTGCTGATGGGGGATTTAATTATCTTTGAGTACTGTATGTGCATGAGCTGTTAAACCAAGGACAGTGACCAGCTGTTTCGAAACTTTACAAGAACAGCTTTTAATTAAACAGGCTTAAGTGACAATGAATGAGGCTCAGATTAGAATAGAATAAAAATTTCCTGATAGAAACAGTGGTTAAATACCGAAAGGTTACCTATAGAAGCAGCGTGATATTATAAAATGAACATTGGATTGAAGTTAGATATATCTGTTTTAAATACCAAGTTACTATTCCACTACATGATCTTAGACAAAGAACTTAGCCCTCGTGAAAACACTAACAGTCTCATTTTTGGGGGAGTTAACTGAGCTACTATATGTAATTTTGGTAGATTTACTAATGTAAATTTAGAAGATTTAGAACAGAGCTTGCTGCACAATAATTGTTAGTTTGATCGACAGCTACTTTCTTCCCTGTATAAGTTCATTCCCTAGACATGTCTAAAGAGTACAGTGTTCTTTGCTCAACCTGAGCTGGTGTATATGTGGTGTTATTTGAAGTCCAGAGAAATTATATTTTCAGCCCTTTAGCTGTAAGACTTTACATTTCCTAACACAAAGTGGTTTTTAAGCTTAAATTCCTAACCCTCTAAGAATTCAGGTAAAGCAGATAGTCTGTAGGTTCGATAGAAAATTATAGGGAGTAGGAAAACTCTTTTTTTGTTGTCAGAATAATGCAGGCTCTTGTGTTTGGGAAAAAGCATGAATTATTTGACAAATTGTAGTTTATAAAATTCAGCTATGGTTAGCCACTGTGTGTTACTGGATTTTACAGAAATATTTTTCTATTGTAGATTTAAACCCCTTAACAAATAATAAACCCTGACAGAAAGGCATGATAAAATATAGGGGCTCATTCATAGAATCTAAATTGACGCTGATCACTATGCTTTCACAATTTGATTTAATGTACTTGCTGTGTGTTCATCCTCTGAGACAACATTGCAGCTAGCGTCTTAGCATAGCTGTGGATGCTACAGGCTTTGAGTTCTAATTTGGGGTATTACCCTTTTTTAGTTTGAGGAAATCCACAGTCTTTCGATTTTCTATCTATGAAATTAAAATGAACCTAATTTCTGGCTTCATTGGAGTTATTTATTTTAAGTGTAATGCCTACATCTCGTAGGTTTCACCAGTTTGGGGAATACAAATGATGTCACATTTAGCAGTCATATTCAAAATTGGCTGTCTTTGTCTGGCAAACTGTAGTAGGTGAACGCCCTCCCTCCTAGATTCTTCAGGGTTACCTACATTATCTAATACCTTTCCAGGACGGTGTCTCCATGAACTTATGATGCTACCCTGGGCACTGTCTGGCCCTCCATTCCGCTTCAGAGAGCTGACCTCGAGCTCTCCTGGGGTGAGGCCCTCATTGTTGCCATGAACCAAGCCTCTATCCCAAGTGTCTAAGTTGGCCCCTGGGTTCCTGTTGTTGTACCACTGCCCTCTGTGCTAGTCTCAGAAGGCCCTGCTCTTCTCTTTACCACCTGGACTTCCAGCCATTCCCTACAGTCTGAGTTCCAAAATGGCCCAGAGTAAGGGCTCCCCTGAGGCCAACTTCCCATTGACCACTAGTGCCGGTTTCCTCAAAGGTGAAGGTCAATTCAGCCACTCCCTTCGGAAGCTGCTGCTCTGCTCACCTGTGTCATGGTAGCCCCACTTGACCACAGGGACTCTTTTGCCAGTGTCCTCCTATTTCCATGTTTCAGAGGCACATTTTCTCTCCACTTATGTCTGCCTCTTGAGATAGATTCTTTGGGTCCAGGCCTAAGAAAACAACATTTAGCTTGGTGCAGTGGCTCATGTCTATAGGCCCAGGTACCCTGGGGCCAAGGTGCGGGATTCGCTTGAGGACAGGAGTTTGAGACCAGCCTGGGCAGCATAACAAGAGGCCCATCTCCAGAAAACAGTATAGCAGGGTGTGGTGGTACGTGCCTGTAGCCCTAGCTATGCAGGAGGCTGAGGCAGGAGGATTACTTGAGCCTAGGATTTGGAGTTTGCAGTGAGCCGAGATTGCTCCACTGCGCTCCAGCCTGGGAGACAGAGTGAGACCTTGTCTCTAAAACAAAAAACAAACAAACAAACAACAACAACAACAACAACAACAACAACAAATAAACCAAAACCAAAACCAAACAGAAAAAGGAAATTAAAGAAAACAACATGAAGAGAGGGAAAGGGCTTTTCTCTTTCCTCTTTCGTTCCCTCCTCCAAATCTCATTGTCAGTCTCTCCAGAGTGATTGACAGTGGGAATGTCCAATCCCTTCAGATCTTGCTTTCCACCACAGGGGTGTGGTTTTAACCTTTCCCTCCCAAGGCCCGTTACTAAACCTCTCCCTCACATCTTCTTCTTCTGAATTACAAAAACAAAGGATAGGCCCTTTAATTGAGACATTTTTTAGCATCTGTGAATTTCATTTTTACATAATGCCATGTGTTAGACTTCTGCTGGACAGTCCAGATTGGGCTCTGTCAAGCTAGTCCAGCTCCTTTTCAAAGATCTTCCACCTTCTTTATGCTCTTGGGCTCTGCTTACCTGAGCAGACAGCTTGAATAAAACAAATAGTTGCCCACAAGAACAAGCGATGGTTGGCAATCACTATTTGTCCAATTAGACGTCTGTGCTCAGTGATGCAACGTTTGCCTACGACATAGATCATCTCTTGTAGGGCAACTTAGTTCCTCAAAGCCCCAGCTCTTCAAACTTTCCACTGTACAATCGGTTATTTGTTTTATATAGTCATAACTCAGTGGTCTATACCTGTGTCTTTTCCAGAACAAAGCATGGTCAGCACTAAAGGTACATTCTGCTTACTCCATTTCATTCCCTCATAGCACAATCTTTGAAATGAGTGGTCCTCTCCTGCTTTTACGATTTCAGGTTCAAATCTCTCCAACCAGAAGTGGGTGTTATTCTGGCCCCTTCCCAGAACAAAGTATGGAAATGGAAACTTCCATTTCTTTTTGCCCTTTTTCCTTTACTTTTGGAACTAAAATATTTGCCAAAGTGATACCTTATCCCTAACTTGGACCAGCTAAGGTGCTCTCTTATGTAGAAATTAATAGTTTCAGAAAGCCCTTCAAAACTATGGCTAATGACCCCTGTAGAAATATGCAAATTACCTCAGTGGTACAGATTACATTTACTATACATTTTACATTGCTTTCCTAATACTGAGAAACTTTATAGTGTTATATTTAATGGTGTATGTCATCAGATCTTTACTAAATAATGAGAAATTTTAATTCTCTTATCCCATTGTTCTTTTCTTTTAAAAGATATCTTTTCTAGTATATTGTTAATAAAGGCCACAAACATTTTATTGAAACTTGGTTCATTGGCCAAAAGGGGTCCCATATCACTGGAGTTATTTACTGTTTTGTGGCATTTGTATTCTTCTCTGAATTTAGAAGTTTATTTTTAATGCAGTAATATAATAACCAGACTTACTCTGAAAAAGCTAATGGAGCTAGAAAATAAAAGTTTCACAGGCCTCAATCAGGATGAAGTTGACACCTTCTTATACTAAATGTTCCTTAGCAAAAGGTCAGCAAACTCATCTTCATTCTTATAAAACATGGGCAGGAATGAGGAGAAAGTGAGAGGATGAAAATGAGAGAATCAAAATTACTTATAATTATATCTCTATGAAGTAATAATAACTTTATTATCATGTTGCATATGTGGCTTGACATTCTAAATGAGCTGCATGAAATTAGTACCAATAAAACCATAAAGACAATTACTGGCAAATGTATAAAATAAAAGGTCTTTAAGCTCTTTTTAAAATATTGAAAGTCATAAGAGAAGAGTGCATGGTAATTTTCCCTCTCATCTTTGACTTTAAATCCTGGGCAGGCCTATTTGGCTAATAAATAGTAAGAAAAATGAAGCTGGGAATACTAGCTAAAGTCATAAACCAAATTTGTTCTTTTAAAAAATTGTTTTTCTCTCACTCTGTGTTCTTTGTTTTTTGTCTGAGATCTAATAATTGAATGATAATAAAATTCTCGGTTCTGATAAGAAACAGTCAATAACAAGGTTGTTCTAGTCCCTCAGCTGAGCAAGGTGGCTTCTTTAGGCAGGGGAGAAGATAGAGGTAGTTAAGTTTGAATGAGGTCATTGGGGTGAGCCCTAATCCAAAAAAGACAGGTATCCCTATAAGAAGAGAAAATTTGAATACAGGAATTGATATGGTTTGGCTGTGTCCCCACCCAAATCTCACCTTGAATTGTAATAATCTCCATGTGTCAAGGGTAAGGTCAGGTGGAGATAATTGAATCCTGGGGTTGGTTTCCCCTATACTGTTCTTATGGTAGTGAATAAGTTTCAGGACATCTGATGATTTTATAAATGAGAGTTCTCCTGCACTAAATGAGAGTTCTTCTGCACATGCTCTTTTACCTGTGACTGTGTAAGATGTGCCTTTGCTTCTCCTTCACCTTCCGCCATGATTGTGAGGCTTCCCCAGCCATGTGGAACTGTGAGTCTATTAAACCTCTTTCCTGGCTGGGTGCGGTGGCTCACACCTGTAATTTTAGCACTTTGAGAGGTTGAAGTTGGAGGATCACCTGAGGTCCGGAATTCGAGACTGGCCTGGCCAACATGGTGAAACCCCATCTTTACTAAAAATACAAAAATTAGCCAGGCTTGGTGGCAGGCACGTGTAATACCAACTACTTGGGAGGCTGAGACAGGAGAATCACTTGAATCCTGGAGGCGGAGGCTGCAGTGAGCCGAGGTCATGCCATTGCACTCCAGCCTGGGTGACAAGAGTGAAACTCTGTCAGAAACAAAAACAAAAACAAAACTTCTTTTCTTTATAAACTGCCCAGTCTTGGGTATGTCTTTATGCAGCATGAGAACAGACTAATACAAGGGTGTAGAGAGTTAAGACCATGAGAAGAAACAGGAAGAAGATAGCAGTCTGCAAGTCATGTGGAGGGCTCAGAAGAAATCACCCTGCCTACTCCATATCTTGATGTCAGACTTTTAGCCTCCAAATTGTGAAAAATATTATAGATTTTTGTTGTTTTAGTTGTTCAGCCTTTGTTATGGCAGCCCTCACAGACTGATAGTATACCCCCAGGTTGCAGTATTAGTATTATAATATTAACTTGTGGTGTATTATGCCCCTAGGATTTTTCTTCTTATCTTGCTACTATAATATTAACCTGGGGTATAACACACTCTCCAGGATATTTTCTTCTTATTTTGCTGTTCATCAATGCTAATTATCACAGTGGTAACCCAATTCCCTTCCTTCCTTGACTGATGGCTGCCTTGGCCCTGGGCTTAGTTGTCTAGCCAAATGGCTCCCTGCAGGCCCCTTGCCCTTTACCTGTACAACTGATTGGCCTCCAAATACAGTTCAGGTTCACCCAAAGTTGGAGACCAGCTCTGAAGGGCACCAGGACGTATTTCAGAGAGGTCTTTATTACAGCCCTTTCTTGGTGCTGGTGCCCTGGCTCTTCTCTTACCAGGCCTTGACCTCACAAGCTCTGCCAAGATCCAGGCTTCTCTCCCCAAGCTGCCCACCCTTCTTCCTGAGCTTTTCTGGGTGGTCTCATACCTAGATGAGATTATCTTTATCTTGATTGCTTTTATGACAACTAAACATTCTTTATATTATCATCATTTTCTGATCTGTACACTAATACTTTTGTTCATTTTTTATCCTCCTGCAAGATTATTAATCCCTTGATTAATTATAAATTATAAAAAAGGCTTACTGAAAGAATTCTAGATTGGATGCCTTCTTTCTTGATCAAATAATACTGGTTGCCCCTATAATGGAGTTGTTTGTCTTAATGGACAAAACCATTTTTGTCTGCCTAACTTTAATTTTTTTTTTCCTTTCTCTCTGAGTAAATTTGCAATCCTACTACCTATCCTCAACCCCAGTCCATCTTATTTTCTCTTTTCCTGAGGGTGACAATATTCAGTGCTAAAAAATTCCTTGAAGCACTCTGGAAATTTTAAAAGTGAAAATTCTAATTGCAGTGGTTAAATTTGACCAACAGCTCATGTGGTTTCAAAGACAGTTTTGAAAATGGAAGCCTCAGATAGAAATTCTCCTCATCGTTCCTTCATTTATTCTCAGAACTTGACATATTTTTTCCATGTTTTCTTTTTTCCTTCCTTTCCAAGATAGAAGTGTCTTCATTCCCTTCCAAGGTGTACTCCTTTATGGAGTCTGTATGTATTTTTTTCATGACTGATTTTGACTGGACTCTTCTCCATGAAATGTGTCTTCAGTTTGTTAGCCTGACATACCCATCTGGCCAGCCTCAGTGCCAACCTTCCTCCTTTGTGAGGCCTTTCCAGATCCCACTGGACACTTAGGTGCTCCTTTCCCCATTTATTCTGTGCCTTTGGACATATTACCATTAAAACAAATAACTTAGGGCCATTATCTGTATCCCAACTAATCTGTAAGTCTCCCGAGGAAGGGGAGCGACAAGCATAGTACTAGGAAGCCCTCGCATATTGGTTAAGTGAATAGATGGAGAATTCCCTCATTCCCTTGATTCTTTAACCTTACTTCTAAGTAGGGTCCTTTCCCTCAACCTGTTAACAAACTCTAGTGTGATCTTTAAACAAGCAAACAAAAATAAAAACAAAACTTCTGTATAGTTTTTCCCTAAGTTATCACTCCTTTTTTTTTTATCAGACTTTAGAAAAGAATCACAAATTCTTTGTACTTCATTTCCCATTGACTTTCAAACAATGAAATCTGTCTTTAATGATCTCAACTATAGTAACATTGCTTTTCTGAAGATCATGAGTAGCTCCCAAGTGCCATGTCACGTAGTCGTCTCAGGCTTTATTTATCTGAACTCTTAGCTGCATTCTCTTTCTTGGAAAGAAGATCTTGCTCTTTCCTAATTCCCCTTCTTCTCTTTGTTGTTCTCTTTGGGTGTCTCTTTTTCTGCAAGGAATTGGAAGTTAGAATGCCCAAGCACTCATGGCTGTGTCTCCTACATCACTCTGCCCTATGTTTTACTTGGAAACAGTCATTTGTTTTAAGAAAAAGTCTTTTCACCAAATTTATCTATTGAGACATTTCATCAGTCCTATAGAGGAGAAATCAAAGGTCAGCATTATCATTGCCTGGTCTAAATTTGTAACTCCCCAGTCTTGCAAAATTTTGGAGTTTAACTATTTACATTGGAATGTATTTATCTGTACCTTTGTATAAATCCATATTTTAAAAGTTGAATTTCATATTCACAAATATGTCAATGGTATCATGCTTTCTTCACAGTACTGTACACAGTTACCACTGACATTTCCTTGATGATTAAAAACCAAACACACCGATGTTATTGGTCAAATTGTTTCCTTCTCCCAACCTCATATGTTGAAGCCCTAACCCCCAGTACCTCAAAATATGACTGTATTTGGAGACAGAGTCTTTGAAGATGCAATTAAATTAGAGTAAGGCCATCAGGGTGAGTCCTAATCCAACCTGACTAGTGTCCTTATAAGAAGAAGAAATTTCATCATATAAAAAGGATACAAGGTTTGCGCATTCAAAGAGAAAAGGCCATGTGAGGACATAGCAAGAAGGTGGCTGTCTGCAAGCCAGAAGAAGAGCCCTCACCAAGAACTGTATGGGCTGGCACCTTGTTCTTAGACTTCCAGCCTTCAAAACTGTAAGACAATAAATTTCTGTTGTTTAAGCCACCCAGTCCATGGTATTTTTGTTATGGCAGCCCTAGCAAACTAATATAACCCCTGTAGCAAAAGTGAACATTCAAATACATTTATTGGTAAAGTTCTAGGTGGAGGGCATTAAAGGCAGAAAAAGGGCCTCCATTTTTTTTTTCTATTGTTCTTTTAACCCTTCTGGCTTTCCTCACAAATTCAATGGGGGAGCATATTTTAGGACAATGTTCTAGAAGGCTGTAGTAGCTACCAAATATGTTGTGTGTTCCTCACATAACACAAGTCACCATGTGGTCTGTTTTCTCTTTGTTCCTATGCTAAACTCCTCTAAGTTTTGATCTTTGAGTTCTGCATTTACCAACTCAAGATGCCTCCCTGTTCTTCATGCACATCCAGATCAGGCCCATTCTCCAGCATGACCTTGTTAATTTTCTCTCCTTCCAGGAGATCTCCCTGGCCACCCATTCTGCACTGATGTCTTTCTTAGTCATTCTCAGTCCCTTGTTGCTCATGATACTAATTGCTGAGTATCATCAGCTACTTTGTTTCATTATTCAGGCTCTTCAATGTTTGTCTTCTTTGAGTCTTATTTGCTTTGAAGATTTTACATTTTCTGAAGGCAAGGAAAATACTATCACTTCTTTCTCATTTCCAGTCTCCTCCCCACCTTTCTGCCACATCTTTCTCCCAGCAGGGCTAGTGTACCACTGAACACATGAGGATGCTTAATTCTTGAATTAAATTCAGAGAATCTGATGACTTATTCTTCATGATGATATGGGGTAAAAACAAGGGATCAGAAACAGAGCTGATGGGAACTATCAATGTCTGTTTTCAGAAATGAGGGGGACATTTGAATACAAAGGTAGATTATTATTTCAGATTGAGGCATTGCCTTTGCTTATTCAGTATCTTCCTTGCTGTAGTCAGTTCATAACATGCTAGGGAAAACAGAACTGCTATTGACAGTTCAATACATCTGATGAAAAGGCACTTAAATTATTTTAGGGGAATTTCGTTTTCTCAGTAACCCAACTGGGGATACTCTTCATGTTAAAAAGTATGAGGATTGGTCTCTTTTCTAATTTTTCTTTCTTGCTTGTGTAAATGCACAATAAATTCCTTTGACAGTCAGAGGCACAGACAAATGTTATTGGAAATCTCCAACCTGTATTAGGAAGGAGTAACGCTCTTAACAGTGAACTCGCTGGGGGACATTCTATTATGATGTCATGACTTCTTACTCTTTACAAATGTCAGCAACATTCATCTTTAAGAGTTTCACTGCTCTAAACGTATATATTTCTTGCCACTGGTTCATTCATTCAATATAAACACCACTGTGTCCAGGGACTGATGTCTATTTTCAGTTCAGACTGGTTCTTGTGTCTTAATACACACTATTCACTGTGTAATAATTTGATGTCCTTTCTTCTTCATGTTTGGTATATAAAACAAGAGCATTTGAAGGTGTATTACATGCACAAATTTTAACCATATTCTGATGAAAATCTTAGATTCTGACATAGTGTTTCATCATACTGCATACTCTTATGTGAAATTCTTATTTTACAGATAAGGTCCAGAAGGGTGCAATGACTTATTCAAGATCACACACAAGGTTAGGGTTGGAACCAGAAGCCATATCCAGAGCTCCTAATTTCTAGTCTGGTGTTCTGTCTCTCTCTACTTGGCTCTTATTTGATCCACTGTAGCTCATCACAGAATAGCTACTTGGGGCATTTCATTGTTGTTCACATTTCTGAGGCAGAGGAGTTGGCTTACTGTGACTACCACTTCAGTCAAAATGTACTGAGTTTACTCAGAGACCTCACAATTGATTGTTCCTGACCAATAATGCCTGTAGATGACTCTAATGAAACTTCTTAAATGTCGTGAGAAATTGTCTACAAGGCCAGGTAGTCCAGAATTCTGAGATCTTTTCTGATTTAAAATATTATGGTTATGGCTGGGCACAGTGGCTCATGCCTGTAATCCTGGCATTGTGGGAGGCCGAAGTGGATGGATCACTTAAGGCCAGGAGTTTGAGACCAGCCTAGCCAACATGGGGAAAACCCATCTGTACTAAAAATACAAAAAAATTAGTTGGGCATGGTGGCTGGTACCTGTATTCCAACTACTCAAGGGGCTGAGGCAGGAGACTCGCTTGAACTCAGGAGGCAGAGGCTGCAGTGAACCAAGATTGTGCCACTGCACTCCAGCCTGGGCGATAGAGCAAGAATCTGTCTCAAAAGAAAAAAAAAAGAAAAAAAAAGATGGTTATATGTGGCCGCTAGAGATCATCTATTAGATCTTATATTTGAGTGTGGGCCACATTTTTTAGTGGAAAGAACAGTGGAATAGGAAGCAGAACACTATGGTTCTAGTTCTAGCTCTATCATCAGTTGGTCCTGGTCCTCTTTATCTATTAGAAACATACAATAACACCATTGAAAGCTGTTAAGATCCATCCAGATGATATGTGTATTTCTAAAAGTATAAAAATGTAAGATAGTAATTTTAGACTGGCTGTGGTAATCTCTTAAATTATAGCAAGATGGTTCCGTTTGTCACGTAGAAATAAAATGCTAACTGTAATTCCAAGGGACATATGTTTAGTGGTTTGTTCAAAGCAATTCAAATAAATTAATTGTAAATCACAGCGAGGAGACAGCATGTGTAGAGGGTGAGAATACAGATTCTGGAACCTGGTTGTGTGTCGTTTATTTCATGGCTCTGGCACTTAGCAGCTGTGTGACCATGGGCAAATTGCTCTTCCTACCTGTGCCTCAGTTTCCTGTAAACTGTGAATAATAAGAATCCTGCCTCTGTAGGGTTGTGTGAGAATTGACAGAATTAAGATATGTTAAATGTTTGGAATGATGTCTGACTCAGAATAGGTGTGAATGTGACTGTTAGTGCTAACGCAGTACATGTCTAGAGGCTAGGGTTGTGTGGTTAACCAGAGTTTTAGCTGCCAAAACAAGAATAGAAGATTGTGAATAGAAGATTCTGAATACGAGAGGATTCTAATTATGTGATAAACTCAAGTCAGGCAGTCTGGGTAATTTTGGGTAGTCACTGGTCAATTTTCTCTTTTGCTTTAGATGGGTAGACAAAACCAGACAGAAATAGAACTCTCTTCTAAGTATGGTGAATTGGCACCATTTCTAAAAGGCCTGGGGCTTATTTACTGATATGTTGATAGAGTGATATGCTCCATTTATACCAGTAAGTATTCTTTGGGTAGATCTTGCCTATTTATATGTGTGTGTATGTTTGTTTGTTTGTTTGCTGTTAAGGCTAAACTTGAAGTTAATTTTCCCTAGTATAGAAACAAAGAGGGTTGGCTGGATGCGGTGGCTCACGCCTATAATCCCAGCACTTTGGGAGACCAAGTAAGACAGATCACTTGAGGTCAGGAGTTCGACACCAGACTAGCCAACATGGTGAAACCACATCTCTACTAAAAATATAAAAATTAGCCAGGCATAGTGGCGCACACCTTAGTCCCAGCTACTTGGGTGGCTGAGGCATGAGAATCGCTTGAACCCAGGAGGAGGAGATTGCAGTGAGTCGAGGTTGTGCCACTGCACTCCAGTCTGGGTGACCGAGAGAGATTCTGTGAAAAAAGAAAAGAAAGGAAAGGGGAGGGGAGGGGAGGGGAGGGGAGAGGAGAAAGGAAAGGAAAGGAAAGGAAAGGAAAGGAAAAGAGGGTTTTCTTAGTTTAAGATGGCTTGCATATGCTTTTATCTCCTCTTATTCTTGAGAATTTATTAATACCACACTGAAGAAATAAAACTGGTATCATCACATAAAAGTGAAGAGAAGGGGAGGGGGGCTATGCATGGACAATGGGGTTCTAGAAATTTTTGGATGATATAAAATGGAAGAGTATTGATAACTATTCAGAACAGCAGAGACTACAGTGGTTTGACTTAAGGAATCCCAGCAAGACTATAAGAAATAGTCTTGAGACTATAAAAAAAATGGTTGACAGTGAGAAATGCAGAGGAATAATTAATCCCTTTACCCCCTACCTTTTCTCCAGCATTTATTGCTAAGTTGATTTAAGAAATAGACGGAGGACTGCAATGGACTGAATGTTTCTGTCTCTTCCAATTCTTATGTTGAAACCCTAACCCCATGGGATGGTATTTGGAGGTGGGAACTTTGGAGGATGATTAGGTCATGAAGGTGGAGCCCTATTGGGATTAGCAGCCTTATAAAATGAGGCCAGAGAGCTAGCTGGCTCTCCCTCCACCATATGCAGATTCAACATGAAGACTGCTGTCTGTAAACCAGGAAGAGGGCCTTCACCAAGCACCTGACCATGCTGGCACCCTGATCTTAGATTTCCAGCCTCTAGAACTGTGACAAATAAATGCTTGTTGTTTTGAAGCCTCCCAGTATATGGTATTCTATTACAGTGGCCCAAACTAAGATAAAGACTTGAAAAAATTTGAATATACTTTTTTTTTTTTGATGAGTAGGGGACTGGGGAGCATCAAGAAAATGAATGGCAGGGATGGTTCCACAGAGCAAAACTCTCCACCTAGCAGTACTTGAGGAGCCATTGGCACAATGACGGCTCCTCACTGGCTCACCCTAAAGTCGAATTGGCCTTTTGACAAGCCTCACCCATGAACACAGAGACACAATTATTATTATGAATGAACACTGCAAAGAAGCCCAAGACAGCTGATGAAAGTCTTCAGCATTACAGAGAAAGAGCTACAAAAACATGGAAAAAACTAATCTTAAAGGAAGCAGGTGATTCAGAGTTCAGAAAGTGCAGAAAATAAAAAAGTTATAATTGGCCTCCTCAGAGAGATGTGAGATATTACATCCATAAAACAGAGCATGATGCTGTAAAAGTGAATAATCAGGGAATAAAGAAGAGCTTCTAAAGGTAAAAATATTACTATTGATATACAAAATACATTAGAAGATTTGGAAGTTAAATTTTTAAGATAGCTGTGAGAATATAGCATAAAAAGACAAGAAAACAGAAACAAGAGAAAAAGATAAGACACAGAAATCAATCTATAAATGTTCAATGTTCAACTGGTAGGAATTCTAGAAATTAATAAGTGAAAAAAATCAATGGAAATAAATTTGTAATCATATAGGAAAATTTTCCAGAGTTAAAAATTGTCACAAATTCTCACATTGAAAAGACAGTGGGCTGATCAGAATGATAATATAGTTTTTTTTTTTTTTCAGACAGAGTCTTACTCTGTCTCCCAGGCTGAAGTGCAGTGAAGTGACCATGGCTCGTTGCAGCCTTGACCTCCCGTGTTCAGGTGATCCTCCCACCTCAGCCTCCCAAGTGGCTGGGACGACAGGTGTGCACAACCATACCCAACTAATTTTTTGTAAAGACGGAGTTTCACCATGTTGCCCAGACTGGTCTTGAACTCCTGAGCTCAGGTAATCCATCCATCTTGGCTTCCCAAAGTGCTGGGATTCCAAGCATGAGCCACTGCCCGTGGCTGAAAATATCATTTTGAATCTTTAGGACACAAAGGTTAAATGAAGAGAATTAAACTTATTAACTAAGAGAAAAAAAAAGATCCACATTTTCTCTGACTGTGCATCAGCACACTGGATCCTAGAAAGCAATTGAACACTGACTTCCATCTCTGAAAGAATTCTCAGCCAAGAATTCGATGTCCTGGTAAATTATCAATCAGGAAACCAGAATAAAGTCATTTTCAGTTATGCACTCTTTCTTAGGAAATTACTTGAACATGGATAGCAGAAAAAATGAGGATGAGAATTTAAAAAATGAAGTTATGAGCTTCAAATAGCCATGCATCCAAGGGAGAAGCAAAACTGCAGGATGACATTTCTGTAGCACACCTAGGGAGACCAGATGGGAGAGAAGAAGAGAAGACTTCAGGAAGTAGGGTTCTGGGAAAACAATGAGTTCAATATGATAAAAAGTACAATTGGAAGTAAAAAAAAAAAAAAAAGTCTGAGAACATGATAAAGGAATCGAACTTAAGGAAAAAACAAACCAAAAAACCCACTGAAATTCTAGGAATAACAAACAGCTTTACAAGAAAAATCTTGGTCCGCGCATGAATATCCTAAATTACATTAGGAGACTGGTCAACTTTAAGAAAATGGAAAAAATTTCAATCCATAGAAAGAATGAAGAAGAAATTGAGCAATATTAGGTAAAAAATGGATAATTCTCCCAACAAAGACAGAGAAAGGAAAAATATACAAGAAAACATCATTTAAAATAGCAGACTAAAATGTAGCCTAATTTTGATCAATATTTATAAAAGGAATCATAACACAAATTTTAAAAAGCAGGCTAAAATGTAAAATCATTTAAAATGTAAAATTTGAAAAATGATTTTTTTTGTAAAAAAATTTTACATTTTTATAAATGTAAAATCATTTTAAAAAAGCAGACTAGGCCGGGTGCGGTGGCTCACGCCTGTAATCCCAGCACTTTGGGAGGCTGAGGCGGGCGGATCACAAGGTCAGGAGATTGAGACCATCCTGGCTAACATGGTGAAACCCTGGCTCTACTAAAATTACAAAAAATTAGCCGGGCATGGTGGCAAGTGCCTGTAGTCCCAGCTACTCGGGAGGCTCAGGCAGGAGAATGGCATGAACCCGGGAGGCAGAGCTTGCAGTGAGCCGAGATCACGCCACTGCACTCCAGCCTGGGGGACAGAGCGAGACTCCGTCTCAAAAAAAAAAAAAAAAAAAAGCAGACTAAAATGTAGCCTAATTTTGATCACTATTTAAAAAAGGGAATCATAACACAAATTTCTATTTAAAATGGCATTATTATCTATTCACTTATTTATTGTTTCTTCATTAATAGAAAGTAAGCACTATGTTGGCCTTGTATACCACTCTATTGCCAGCATGTAGAAGAGTGTCTGAACCTGCATAGTTACCTGGTAAATATTTGTTGTTTGAATGGAGAAGTAAATGGTTTCCCTGTAGTTATGGCAAAGTAAGTACTTGTTATTCATTTTCAGCTTTTGGAATCAACCTGTAGAAAAAGACTTAGTTCTAGTTATGGGGCAGATACTGTGTCCTAGGTCTTGATATTGTCGGTCCTGATACTGGAAAATTAATCATCACAGATTGCACTTACATAGTATGAACCACAATCCTGATACTGCTGTACATATTCACATACACAAATTCACTTAACCTTCACTATGAACTATTTACATTATTATTATTTCCATATTACACCTTTCCATAACAGCCAAGAAAAGCTGAGAGATGGCAGGGATGAGGACCGGTGGAGAAAAGTATAGAGTGTGAAGCAGGCAACTCTTCTTTTATTATAGATCCTTCTGGACTACTTTCTTTTAAATCATGGGCATGATAAAAAACTTTGATAAAAAATTAAAAAGAAATTCTCAAATGTGGCAGGCACATGGGGCTGTGTTATATAAAGGGAAGCACCATACAGTGTGACACAGTAAGACCTTATGGCTTCTTGGGAATGACCAGGAGTAATAGTCTATTTCACATGGCATGTAGGTTTTAAGGCACTAACTGGGTATTTTGGAATGGACCCTGATGTGGGAACAAAAGGGAAATTTCATTATGATGATTTCCCACTAATGCACATTACATGTTAATTAACATTTACTTAAACAGTGAGGTCTTAGTCTTGTTTCTATAAGTTGAATAAAATTTGAGTATAGCAAACAGCCTAATAATTTAATCAGTCTTAATTTCTTAATGCTAGGATCTTAAAATTTTTATTTTTGTATTGGAACACCAATGGGATTGTGCATAAACAATATTTTATGCTATGCTTTCTGGATTCAATATGATACAAAATGATAGGGTTTCTTATGTAGGAATATATTTAGTAGGGTTCACCTTTTTATGAGCAATAAAAGGACTTGAACATGATAAAGAATACAATTACGTGGTATATAAAACAGGTATTGTTACTATGCTATTTATATATGTGATTTCTCTCAGGATGGTGATGTGAAACCAAAGGATTCATCTGGTAGTTTCTTACAGACTGAATGGATGGCATTGGCTGAAACAGCACTTTTACAGCTTTCTGTTTTTTCACTTTCAAACTGCACTTGAATCTCGTAGACATACTCTTTGAAGATCAGAAGATTTAGAGCATACTATGCTCTTTCTAAATAAAAGCATAATGTAAGTGGAAGGAGAAATTGTTAAAAAAAATGGGGGTATCAAATGTAGTGAATGACCTCAGCATATTTAGAGGTCGATTGTAGAGTCAGAAATGAATTACCCTGCATTAGAGATGCTGGATGATACAATAGGTTGTGGAAATTGGAAAGAAATAGGTAAAAATAATAGGTCAAACCTATTACATTGGCCTTTCTTCAGTGTAATTTTGTGCTGGAAAGCATTGAACCAGATATTACCCTGTGTTTACTGAAGAAGAAAACATTGAAGCTATTACAATTTTTATGAAATAAAACAATCAGTTGAGTAAAAACTGTGTCAGGAGATGCTTGACATGGGTGTTTGTATCCAAGGTATATGACAGCTAAATGAGTTTTGCTCATTTACATTTAATATTTATACTTAAAAAGTAGTTTGAAGTCTTATAGATAATGAATATATTGTTAAACCCAGAATGCCTCCTTTTAAAGAATAACTAAAGCCTATTAGTATGGAAGCAATATTTATTAAACACTCTACATTAACCCCATGAGAGTACACTATATATTGTCTTTCATACCACTTTGGCAAAAATAATAGTAATTTTAAAATTACAATGTTATGGCTGGATGTGGTGGCTCACACCTGTAATCCCAGCACTTTGGGAGGCGAAGGCAAGCAGAACACTTGAGGCCAGGAGTTCGAGACCAGCTTAGCCAACACGGTGAAATCCCCGTCTCTACTAAAAATACAAAAAATAACCAGGCGTGGTGGTATGTGCCTGTCATTCCAGCAACTCGGGAGGCTGAGGCATAAGAATCACTTGGACCCAGGAGGCGGAGGTTGCAGTGAGCCAAGATCATACCACTGCACTCCAGCCTGAGTGACAGCATTGAGACTCTGTCTCAAAAAAATGAAAAATAAAAAAATGCTGGGTGCAGTGCCTCACGCCTGTAATCCCAGCACTTTGGGAGGCCGAGGCGGGCAGATCACGAAGTCAGGAGATTGAGACCATTCTGGCTAACACGGTGAAACCCCGTCTCTACTAAAAATACAAAAAAATTAGCCGGGCGTGGTGGCGGGTGCCTGTAGTCCCAGCTGCTGGGGATGCTGAGGCAGGAGAATGGCGTGAACCCAGGAGGCAGAGCCTGCAGTGAGCCGAGATCACACCACTGCACTCCAGCCTGGGCGACAGAGCAAGACTCCATCTCAAAAAAAAAAAAAAAGTTTTTTTAAGTAAAAAATATTTCGTTTATGGAATTTATGTTAGCTGGATATTAGTCTCAGTCTCTATAATTTTATAAAAAGTTGAGTTCCAAAGTAAGTTACATTTTTTTTTCAGACATATTTGTTTAGACCAGTAAACTGAGGCTAAATTTAATTAGCAGCATCTTACTATGCATATTGACATACCCAGCAGTAACACCTTCATGTATGCAGCTTTTCTCTGATCTCTGCTCTTAACGAAGAAAGAACTCTTTATATGTGCCAAGACTGGTACAGGGTAACAAGTGGGAGTATTTTTCCCCTCTCACAATGATAGGAGAAAATAATTGGCAGGATCTCTGGTGTGACCTCCCTCTTCACAGGTGTTGTTCAGCACTCCCGACAACCTTGAACTGGGTGTCGCTATTCTTATTCTGGCGGTTTCTTTTTTTACTGAGTTCTTATGCAACTTTGGCAGTGGAAAAGAATAAGCATGTTGATGGGTCCAGGAGAGCAGTGTGTGAGATCCATTGGCTAAAAGTGGAATGTTCTCAATTAACTTTTTATTCACAGAGACAGCCAATGCTGGTGTGGCCATCAGAGCACTCTAGGACTACGCCCTCATTCTATAGCTATGTAAAGAAACTGAGTTCCAGAAAGGCAAGCAGTTCGCCCTCGAAATGTGGCCCTTCTCCTGAGTTCCTTAGGTCATATAGTGAGACTATTATCTACTTCATTCTCTGGCCAGAAACCAGGAAGCGCACTCATTTCCACACCTCTTTTTCCCTAGGTGTGCCTTCAAGTCCTCTTTTCTTCTACCTTTTTAATCTCCAACTTATCCGTTTTTTAGCTAGAGCCCTCAATTTCTGAATTATTCCAATATCACGTATCACCCTGCATGCCGTCCTGTGTTCTGTTGACTGGGATTTCCCTGGCTCTTAGATGAGCACCCTCAGCAAAGCACCAACTTCTATCTTCTTGTTAGTCCTGCTCAACTAGTTAAGCAGCTGAACGATTTCTGGAGGCAAAGCTCACTGGCATAAGGTCATCCGCTTTCATGCATTCTCTCCATCCATAACTGTCCAAAGTCAGCCCTTCTTCACCCCCTCCTCTTCCCCTTCTCATCCCCGTTGAGACCTCATCCTCAGCTCCCAGAAGACCTGCACTTGTGTACCCCTCTCTCCAGATCTTTATATTTTCTTCATTTCCATCTTATTGTTATAGGAGTTACTAAGAAATTATTTTCGGCAGATAGTTAGGAAAAGGGGTCCTGGGGAAGTTTTTGTTTCTTTTAAAGCAGCTCCAGAAACATTTCTTGTCTAGCAGGAAAGCCACCTTTGACATGCAAATGCTGGCTGTTAGAAACTGGGTCCACCCAAACATGGCGATTCCTGCTGCCTTCTTCTTGCCCTTGGCCTACATGTGCCTGTCAACATGGCTGCCCCCACATATCCCCACGTGTGTAGAACATCATGGTGCCCTGCATTTCCATATTACAAGAGTAGGGTGGGAGGGCCAGTTTTTTCTAGGGCTACGTGAATGACATGCCTGGTTAAACCAATCTCCTGAGCCCTATGCAAATCAGACCACCTCCTCATATAACTGGCTGGTTTCCACCCTGCAGTAGGAGTTTCCTCTCTTGGCTTTGGAGCCTCCCCTCCCTCTGTCTCTGTACAGGGAGCTTCTTCCTTCTGTCTTCTCCCTTCTTTCTTGCCTGTTAAACTTTCCGCTCCTTAAAACCACTCCATGTGTGTCTGTGTCGTTTTATCAAAACTGGTGCGAGGACCAAGAACCCTGGTGTTCCTCCACTCATCAGAGCTGTATCATTATTATAGTCTGAGGAGATGGTGCTCTTCTTCCTAATCATAGAGCCAACTTTTATCATCATGGAGGCTTCACCTAATTGTCCATGGTATAGTTATTGCAGCTGATTGAAGCCAGAGCTATGACCCTTCTCAAATCTTCTTATCTTTAGTTCTGGCCTAAAAATTTGAGCATATGCAACTTATTTTTTCTCTTGGCACAAAGTTTCTTGGTTACCTTTAAAAATCGGCCCACTAAACATACATTTGACTGTCTTAACTTCTATGCCGCTTATATACACCTGCTTAATTGTGTCTATTCCTTAAAATTTAATCAACCATTGTCATCATCCTTATATAGGCCACCAGAATGTCTCTCTCTCATGTATGATCATGTTTTCCCCTCGTTTAAAATTACTCTATGGTTTTTAAATTACTTATGGCTAAATACTAAACCAAATGCACCGCATGCTCATCTCAGTCTACTTCTGGCCAAACTTTCAGTCCTCATTTCTCACTGCTCTCCTGAACACAGCTTTCTTCTGGGTATTTCCAGTGTTTACTACAGTGCAAACCACCTAATAAATACTCAAAATAATGGTGATATCCGCCCTAAGCCATTTATACTTCTAATAAATCATGTTCTCTTTGCCCCTGTACATTTTTTCCTTGTCTAATACCCCTGCAATTTCTCTTCCTCCTCATCCGCTTGACTGTCTAGGCTGAACTCCAGAGGGCCTCCCCTGGGGACCCCTCCTACCTAATGTCTCTCTAACAAAGTGTCCTTCTGTATTCCCACATCTCTTCTGTAGCACTTTGTGTTGAAATTGTTTGCCTGTCTGCATTAGACCACGACAGTATTTGTTTAGTTCATCTTTGTATGTCATGCCCTGCACGTTAGCAGCCACAGAATGAGCATATATTTTTGGATGGGGCATAGTTTTTATTTTTTTATTTTCATTTTGTCTCACCTTTGGCATAAGTTGGTATAATCTAGAAGTCTTTTCTTTAGAGACAGGGTCTCAGTTTGTGGCCCACGATGAGTGCACTGGTGTGATCATAGCTCACTGCTGCCTCGACTTCCTGGGTTCAAGGAATCCTCCTGCCTCAGCTACCTGAGTAGCTGATACTACAGGCGCGTGCCACCATACCCGGCTAATTTTTAAATTTTTCATTGAGACCAGATCTCACCATCTTTCCCAGGCTGGTCTCAAACTCCTGGGCTCAAGCTATCCTCCCTCCTTGGCCTCCCAAAATGCTGAGATTACAGGCTTGAGCCACTGTGCCTGGCATAATCTGGAAGTCTTTAGAATGACCATGCTTACTATGAACTCTTGTCCAAAAAACATCCTCTCTCCCCTTCCACTCCAGGAAGATACTGCCAAGGCGCTCCTTCTGACATCTACATGCCAGTCTGGGAGAAATAAAATGTATCCCTCTGCTACCAGTCTGATGATTACACTTCTTGCAGAGTTCTATAAGGGAGGATACTTCTCATGATTCAGGTCTTTGTCTCTCTTAGTTTACTCCTGGACAGTGGCTTCATTGTTACCAAATAAAGCTACCAAGCAGATCTCTTTATAGGGTAGGCCCATGTTAAATCTCAAACAATCAAATAAATTTATCCTCAGGAGACCATACCTCCATATATATATTTCCATATGTATATACGTGCATATGTAAATGTACATATTCACATATATGTGTATAACTCTATATCTAATCAGTGTATATATTTAAATGTTCAGAACACTATAACAATATAGATGTTCATTATTATAGAGAATGCAAGTAGTAGGCTATCTAGCTTTTTATTACAAGAGACTTACTTCTTAGAAACAGTTTCCAAATATATTGAGCATTGTTGGATGACTTTTTTGCCCTTCTCCATTATAAAAATGATGATAGAATTTAAAAGTTAGAATTTCTATGAGATGAGAGGTGGTGTGCATTACGTTATATTGCTTACTAAAACTCTAATTTGACTTATGAAAACTACAGATAAAACATGTACCCTGGATTTTAAGAAAACACATCAAAGAGCAGCCCCAGGTTGGACAGTAATTTTTATTTTGGCCCTTTCCCCATATTTATGCCTTATGTTCCAAAGACCCAACTAGTTGTTTTATGTGGAACTTGCCCTTCTGACCTCAAACAAATGTTTTGCTCAATGGCAGGTCAGTGAATTTGGAAACATGCTCTCCAAGAGATGGGTAGTTCTTATAAATGAGTTGGCTTGAACAGAGTCATTTTTTGGGGGGATATACAATTGGCTTTTTATCAGTTTTATGACCCTATTTGATAGACTGTTACTTTCTTTTTTCCCACTGGTATTTGCCATAGGAACTTTTATGATTTGTTTTGAGACTTATTTAAAAACATGTCTATTCATCTGAACAGAACATTGATGTTCGTGAAAAATCTCACTGTCGTTGACTTTTTATAGAATTATTGTGAGATCTGTTTATTTTCAGATAAAGATGTCTTTAAACATTTTGTATTGAATACAGACCCCTGCTTGCCTATCTCTGTGCTTTTATTCTAGCTGGGATTTCAATGACTATTGAGTATTTTTTCCATACCCTGGAGACAGGCCATCTCTCTTTCATTCTTTAGTACAAATATTTATCAGTTTCACAAGAAGTTGAGATGATTGTCTTGAGCATATAAATTGCCCCAGAGGTTTCTGGCTAACTTGCCTATAGAAACTGTGCCTATGATTAATAAGCAATTATGCTGTAGCAATATTTTCTTTGCTGAGAAAAAGGCAGTAACTGTCCCTGCTCATTATGAAATAGATGTGGCCAAAAGTGCAGTTGTAGCCTGTCATAGAACATTTGGCACCTCTGCTAAAGAGGTGAAATTATGATACTAGAAAAACAGTCTGGGCGGGTATCAAATATGCTGGTGTTAGACAAACACTTGGCTGTGGCTTGTGAAGTCCTAATGGGTGCCCTTCAAACCCCTATGTGAAGGCCTCAGTTGGAATCAGTTTTTGCCGTGTCAAAAGACCAACCAATATTACAGAAGCAGATTTAGTCTCTCATGAAAGCAGCTAGACCTCAGCTAGTTTATTTCTAACTTTTTCCATGTTTCATAGAACAGTATTACCTCATTAAAAATCATGTGTAATAGTATTACACATTAAAAATTTAATGTGTAATGTAATTTAATGTGTAATAGTATTACACATTAAAAATCAGCCAGTGTTAGGGGGACAAAGGATGGGTAGATGGTAGTCACATTACCTATTTTTCTACTATTGAAATAAATAAATCCAATGATGTTGATATAGATAACATAATTTTACCCTTAAAAAAAGCCAAAATATATTTTTATTTTGAATTTCCAGTATTGGCAAGACTGGTTTTGCATCTCTTTGTTTCAGTTTCGCTGTAGTCTAAAGGTTAAGGCATAGTCATGTTATCCAATCTTGAGTGTTCATACCAAATCTATAAAATGTAAAATGCTTTATCTTAGCTTTCCAAGCAAGGGTATTAATTTAATTCAGATGCTGCACTTCAGGATTTTAGCGAAATATTGAAGTTTGAATTCTCTGCTCAAGCCTCATTAGTAGTGATTAGGTAACACAAATGCATCTCTGATTTATGCATGTCTAAAAATGATTATGAAAAGCCATCTTGTGCAGAGTTGATTGTTTTTATGTACAGTTTTGTCCTTCTAGGCCATCTTCTTCAAACACTGTAATCAAATTGTCCACCTTTGGGATATAGCACTGGCAGACTGCTTGTACGCTGCAAATTAACATTATAGATATGGTTCTAGAAATTGAGAAGATAGATATTTTTGTGATAATGAGAGGTTGGGATTAAATGTACAGAAAAGGAAATTTATACTAGGAGGTTTTTCCTTTTTTTAAGATACTATAAATTTCTAAATGAATTCCTGACATTTGGAAATGTTTTGATAGTCCTTCATTTGTATAAAGCTTTATGTGTAGCAGCCTCATTGACTTGTTTTTGTTTAGTCTGGTTTTTATGTGATCGTTTTTACCTCTGTTGAATTGGCGAAAAATAATTTAACATTTTACCAAGGCTTTAGCTGGCACAAGAAAACTCTGAATCCAGCCAGGAATTTTTCTGTGGCCTAATTTTCACATTGCAATGAACATAAAATTTGCATCTTGTTTTATTTTTCACTCTCTTTACTGGTATTTGTGTAATGCAGAATTAAATTTTGTGGAGCATTAACTAACCAAGGAGAACATAACCCTCAGCACATCTATATGGTAAACCTGTTAAATTCATAGAGATTCAGAACTTGAGGGTAAATAGCTGTCTTTTGGAACAATATTGAGTTTGTGCTCCAAACAAATGACACCACTGAGCAGCAGGAACTCAAGTGTTGAAGGAGACATTTTTCTTACTCCAAGAAATTACAAAGTTCTCCTTTTTTCCCTTAAAAGATTGACAAAAATCCATTGACATGAAATAATTTAGCTTACTTTTAATATTTTGGAGGCAGACTGCAAATTAAATATGCAATCACAAATCCAATTTTCAATGTCATTCAAATTTTCTTTTCAAAAATGTGAATTTTAAGAAAATTATATTAGCTTTCTGATTTTTTTTTTCAATTACCAACAGTTCTATCAGGAATCACAAAAGTCTTGTGTCTTAAAATAATCTACATTTTTCTAATATGCAATTAAGGGAACTGTTAGATTATTTAGGGAAATATGGCTGCTCCCAGGTCTTGGAGAAGTTCTTTTATGCCTGGCTATTAATTTTCTTTTGGCACCTATTCTTCTATGTTTTTTATTTCCATACCCTGGAGTATGGAATTCCTCTATGTTTTTTAAGACATTCCTCTGTGTTTTTTATTTCCCCCCCAGGGTGGGTTAGAGAATCCGTAGGAACTTTCTACCCTACTACCTGGGAGGAATTGCATGATGAAATTTTACCGTGCTTGCAAGCTAACAGGTTACTCTGCCATAGTTTTATGGATGCTGGCAAGAGACATGAGACCCTTGGGTCAGAGACTCATGGCATGACAGGTGCCATGAGCTTTGGGGTTGCCCCTCTACCTCCAAGTCCCATGGAGGAGATGCGGAGTACCCTAGGTAGATGCTGTGCACACAAGGATTTGTGACACAGCTAAGGATCCCTGAGCATAAGAAAATCCCAGTATTTTACAATGGACCATGTGTAAACCAGACCAACCATTGCCCTGGAGGAAAATGCTCTTTTTAAAAAAAAAAAAAAAAGAAAAAAAGATTTAGAGAGTACGAGTACATTCTTGCTACGTGGATATATTGTGCTGTGGTAAAGTCTGGGCTTTTATAGTAACCACATCCAAATAGGGTAAATTGTACTCAATAAGTAATTTGTTATCCCTCACCCCTCTCCAACTCTCTCACCTTTTGGAGTCTCCAATGGCTATTATTCCACTTTGTAAGTCCATGTGTACACATTGTTTGCTATAAAAAAGGAAGATACTATCTTTATCTTCTAAGACTGTTTGTCACACAAACACCCTTGAAAGATTAGGCCAGCACAAAAGCTGCTATAAGATGTGCAGAAACACCGTGGAGAACCATCTCTCAACAGCCAAGTGAAAATAACCAGGCCGTGCCTCAATATGCCTTTCCCTAGGTAGTACACCCATGGTGTCCTTTCAGTAGCATTGAAGGAAGCAAAAAACGGGTTCTAGGGTAGAATTATTATTGAAGCTACAAGCCATTTTATTAGCTACTGGTTACTTTGCTCATTCAGAAAGCTTCAAAGTCACCATACGCCTGGAAATCAAATGGACAGCAAGACTAGGATTACATCACAGCACTGCTTAGTACATAACACCCCTTCTTTTCGCCAACTCTGAATAATCTGAAAAATTTAAATATTTCTTGGCTAACTTTTGCTGGCAGTAATGAAGAGAGTCAAGTTTGATCAAAACATTGATATGGAAAAGGGTTTCTTAAGGAGAACTACACTTCCATTTCTGGGTCTTCTCCCCTTTATCTTATCCTCCTTACCTTGCCCTGTTGGTCATCATTGGAAGGAATTGTATAAGATTCTTGAAAGAAGTTGACACAAAAGGGGAAGAATCTCTCCCTTCTCCCTCCACCACTCCCCCACCCCTAGCTTACCCTTGGCCTTCTGAGTCCAGGGTTTCCGCTGTCTTAATATTGGCTTTGTGGGCAGTAGATGTTGTCAAGATTGAATATGTTGCACTGGGCCTTTTCATGGAGCCTGTGGATTAAGGGTCTGGAATTTAGGGCATATATTAGGAACTGAATGTGCCTTAGTTCTGGGCCATCAGTGAAATCATAGTGGGGTCTGTGCTGATGCGGACCAGCCATGGGGGAGTAGGATTTGAGACCTTTGCTTTTTCAATGTGAGTATGAGAGTGACTATGTATAATAGCAATCATTGATTTTGGGGATAATTTAATGAAAAATGTAGTACTATGAAAATTTGATTTTGCTGTGTAAACCTAACATTAATTGTAGTCATTTAAGTGAACGACTTAGCATTTATCTCCAATTACCATGCGGCACAATGATTATTCATAATACTAACTATATGTCAGATCAATGTTTTTAAGTTGCATTGATTATAACACTAAAATCTGCTCATGTGTGATGCTGTCTTCACTTGGAAGGGCGTTTGCTAAAGGAGCAGAGCTTTCTACTTACAACTTAAAACATTTAGGTTTTTTTAATGGATGGAGAGACTCATTTGCATTAGAAAAGTCAGATTTGCAGTCTGTTTGACTGTGAGTCACTATAGACAGTAGAAGAACCCTCAGATCATGAGGATGGTGGTTAGGAATAGGAGCACTGACATTTTAAGACTTTGAGTCTAAAAACTGATTATGTGGTTCACTTCTTGTTTTATTTTTGCCACTTCTGTTATTACCAGGGAATGATATTATTGAACTCTAAAAAAAAAAAAACATACGCCTTTATGCCAGCCAAGCAGAAGAGTATACAATATCTTTGATATGCTGAAAGAAATTGAAGTTAAATGAATTACTGTGTCTGGGAGGGTGAGTGATGTAAATTCCTCCCCTTTTCTGCTTTCTGAATCAGGACTCAGCTTCTATATTTTTGTCTGTCCATCTGACTACTAATTTTACCAGTGTGTCTTAACCAAGATCATTTTGTGTTAAGATTTAATGATTTGGCATGATGTTAAAATGTAGTAAAATTAAGCAAGGACTCTTAAGAGGGAAGTAGATCCCAATAAGTATTAGTTGCGGAAAATAATGTTTTCACCACTACAAGGGGTTGTTGTTGTTGTCGTTGTTTTTAGACAGCGTCTCACTCTGTCACCCAGGCTGGAGTGCAGTGGTATGATCATGGCTCACTGCAGCCTCCTGGGCTCAAGCCATCCTCCCACCTCAGCATCCTGAATAGCTGGGATTACAGGCGTGTACCACTATGCCCAGCTACATTTTTTTTTTTTCTATTTTTTGTAGAAACAGGATCTCATTTTGTTTCCCAGGCTGGTCTTAAATTCCTGGGCTCAAGTGATCTGCCTGCCTTAGCCTCCCAAAGTGCTTGGATTACAGGCATAAGCCACCACACCCAGCCTACAAAGGGTAATTGGGTATCAGTCTCTCTATCACTTATAGGTTATCTACTGTGTGGTCAATATATTTGTGTCTCCAGCCACTAATTGATAGATAAAACAAAATTAAAGGCAATTAGGCAAAAATTTAAAGCAATAAGGCTTGAACTTGAATAAGTGGCTACATTTAGTACTTTGAGTACAGTTTTAATATAGAAGTTTGATAGTTAAATAATTTAGAATTTTGACTTTATTGTAAACCAGTGTGAACTATTTATTCATATTCAGGTTGTTAGCTAAAGACTTTACAACAGTTTCAAACTCTTTGATGCTGGCTCTATAATGGAAACAGAAAGCCTGTGCTTTTGTGAAACAGAGGTAGCCAGGCCAGTGGAATTACTGTGAAAAAATGACCGAATGTCTTTCAAAAGCTGATGGTTAAACCTAGGCCTCTTGAGTTGAGTATTCACAATTTCTTAAGTTGTTCCTGGTACAGTGATGAAGCTATGCTATCCTTTGTGAAGAGTCAATTTCATTGAGTGCTTTTTATTATGTGTATGTTTAGTTGGACAATGGAATTATAAAAACTCAGCTCTTCCAGGTAAACTTTTAGAAGGACAAACGTATTTCTTTGTCTTTTTATTTAGGTGTAGTAGAATGACTACAGTAGGTATTCCAGGAATAGAATTACTGTATAATCACTGCTTTGTTATAATTACTGATGTGTAATACTCAAGAAAACTAGATTGATCTAGCTGTATAATCTGCATCTTGACCCTTTGTGAGAAATCATTTCTGCTGTGTAAAACTGAAGAAGAGTAGATTAATCAGAACATGCATTTTCTATTTATAATCAATTTTCAGATGAGACACAGTGGTCTCAGTTTATCTAGATTTGAATATCCAGTAGCCCTCTACCCCAATTACATGAATTACTGATGTGCAAATGCATTTTCCTAAGTTGTAAGTAAATACATTTTTCTTAGGGATAAGTTATACAAAATTTAATCTTATTTATACATTCTGCTAATATCTATCATGTATATCTGTTACACATGCCCTTAAAATATCAGCCCTGATGGCCTTAGATTTTAAGTTCCTAGAAGATAGTTTCACTTCTACTTTATTATGAAGTTAGCTGAGAAAGTGATCTAATATTGGGGCTTTGCAGAAACATGTTTCTCCCCAGTGATGGTATTTATGCTGAGGTTTTCTTGCTCTAATCTTCTTTTTCCAATAATTTCATTTATGTGGAATTTATAAAACTTTACTTATATTTACATCTACTTTGTTTAAATAAGTCATGGATTTTACTGTGTAGTCTTGATGCTAAATATCTTTTTCTTTCTCCGATTAAGTATTTGTTGCTGTCCAGAGTTCTTCTTTGGAAAATATAGTCATTATGCATATTTAAAATGCATATTTATAAGATAAATTAATCTTTCTGAACTTTTACTATAGCAATCCTTAGCATGTGCAAATGATTTTAAATTTCTAGAATTTTAATTGTAATATTTTAATGCAGTAGTAAAATAATAGGTAAAAAATATTGATCTATATGACTTCAAGTTCTATCAGTTTTAGGGAGGCTGATTACAATTGGCTGAATGACCCTCATTAGAATCCCTGCTCTTATATTGTTTTTACTCTGAAGTATATTTCAGTGGACAAACACTTATTCTTTTAATAGAAAATTTATGTTACTTGAATGTAGCTAGATTGACATTTACCTTTAAAATACTTAATGGAAGCAGTTTGCTTAAGTTATAAAAATGCTTAATGTCCCAAACCTTAAGATGCCAGGATGGACTACTTTAAGACAACCCCAACCTCAAACAATATAAAATTACTCATCTTAACTCTCAACTTCTAGCTTCTCAGGTGGGAGAAAGAGAAAAATTGTTATTTGCTTGGTGACAATGTGGCAGTTACATAAATGTGATGCACAAAGTGAACACATAAATAGTATTTCAGAAACAGAAAATCATCCAAGTCCCTGTTGATTATTGTATAGGTACTAGACATTTTAATGGAATTGCTTCTTAATTACTGAACTCTCTTTGATAGCCATGAAAAAAAATTGGATTGGACAGTATTGATTCCAAGCACTTCTGTTCCTCTTTAGGGAAATTCTGAGCTGGCAAAACACATACAGATGGGCAGACAAGACTGCTTAGTTTGCCCTCTGCTGAATTTGATCAATAGGAACATATTTCTGTATCAAGGAGAAGTGGCTGTGTTAATTTAGACCTGGAAATCTCATCATTAGATACTCTTGAGTAAGAAGATTTAAAATATTTTACTTAAGATATAAATTGCATGTAGGCATTTTTTTTCCAAGAAAACTTGTTTTCCTTTTTCTTCTTTTTTTACAATCATGTCACCTGTTTCATTGAGTTTTTTTATTTTTTCCTCATTAAGAAGGCTAAGAGTCTATACTACTGGGTTCGGTAGCTAGTGGATAAGCCTCCTATTCTACTAGATAACTTTTTTCTTTCCAGTAGTATTGCATGTAGTTTTAGGAACCGGGGAGGAAATAGGATTAACAAAAGATAAGACCCAATTTGCCTACTAACCTGTAGTATCTTTTCTTCTATTGTTACCCAGGTAAACACAATTCCTGCTTTGTATTCTGTATTCCCATACTGTGGTCTTACCTTCATTCATTCCAAAAGCATTTACTAAGTCCTATGCTCAAGGGTAATGGTTGAAAACCTGGAGTCAAGAATATACTGGATATTAGGAATGCCAAATTCTGTTTTTCTGTTTTAAGCATTTATTTATGTAATCATATTGCTAGTTAAAAAAAAGAGAGAGAGAGAGAAAGACGAAGTGTATGGATTGGTTGCACTACATCCGATTTGTGATGCTTCCATCTTATTACAAAATATCCAGAGAAGTTTTTCTTAGATATTTTCTGCTCAGTTCTTTTAATGGAGCCATTTCTCTCTTTGAGTTCAGACTCACTCAAAAGGGTCAGAAGTAATGGAGAAGGAACAAAGCCTTAGCAAGCAGCTGCATTTCATAGTCAAGGTGCTCTGATTCTGATTTGACTTTCTTTTTTAACATTTGGAATAGGTTCTAAGGGACTGTCCTGCCTACCTCATCTGTTACATTTGTCAAGTTCTCAAGACAAAAAAAAAAAAAAAGAATGGTCTTTGAACTGCAGTTTGAGATTTGAAATTCATGGATCATATGTCCATTTTTTGCTATATGTTTTCTGAGGGAGCTGGGACATTATTAAAACCACCTGGGAACTGGATACTGCATGAGACACTGATAAAAATGAAGAGGTTTGTAAGAAAGAGGTGATATGGTTGGGTGTGGTGGCTCACGCCTATAATCCCAGCACTTTGGGAGGCCAATGGGGGTGTGGATCACCTGAGGTCAGGAGTTCGAGACCAGCCTGGCAAACATGGTGAATCCCCGTTTGTACTAAAAATACAAAAATTAGCTGGGCATGGTGGCATGCTCCTGTAATCCCAGCTACCTGGGAAGCTGAGACAGGAGAATTGTTTGAACTCTGGAAGTGGAGGTTGCAGTGAGCCGAGATTGTGTCACTACTCTCCAGCCTGGGCGACAGAGCAAGACTGTCTAAAAAAAAAAAAAAAAAAAAAAAAAGAGGTGACATGAAAAGCAGTGGAGCATTTACAATTTGTAATTGATCCTGGCAGGAGAGGCACTGGGATGTGGTAGTAGGTACTTCCTGAGGATATAATTAATACTTATTTGATGTTTACTAATTTTATCATAAATAATGAAGAAAAAATAAATACATGTCTATAGAACTTCTGAAGGAAAGGAAGAAAAAATGCTTTATCTTGTTCTGAGCCTGAGATATCACTGACTTCAAAAAAGGGCTATCAGAACCATTATGGGCTTGCTTCTCATGAGATCATCTTGGTTATCATATTGGAAAAGTTAAAAAAAAACTGAAAGTCACACTAATTTCAGAATAGAGTATAACGCAATATGGAAAAATACTGAGAATTTAGGCACAGTTCTTAGTAGGTCAGTTAATATTTCTGCTATCGGGGTAGGCACGCAGTTTTGGAAAGAAGATGGACTCTGGTAATTCTACTGTTGCTGTGTTGCAGTGTGTTAATTCCTACATATTCATTTGGATAAAAATGTGATTGTAATTTTTCTCTTGTATTTCAACAATTCTTGGTACAATTGCATACATGTTCCTTTCTCAGCTCTAGGTACACACATTAGCTACAGCTCCATCCCAAGAATGATGTCCTCTAAGTTGTAAAGAGATTGATCAGTGTTCACATTTGCTTTTGTACCTTTAAAATGATAAATTGAATAATGGGATAATCAAGATCTACTTTAATTAGCTGGGTACGGTGTGTGCATATATTTGTAGACCACCATTTAAAATTCAGTGTTTGAAAGTTGTAGGAGTGATGTAAAATTTGACCTGAGAAACATTTTGAAAGGTTATTTGCTTGATTCTTCTTGTGAGTGTAATGATGATTAATGGGCAAATTGGTTTACTTCAAATACTTTTGAGTAGCTAAATTTGCTATATTGCAGTCATTAAAGGCAGGCATTTTATTAGAATCTTATACCTGAAGCTCAAGATAGAGCAAAGATATACACAACACAATAGGCAAAACCAACTTCCATGAAAGAGTGTTATTTTTCCCAGAATTGAACCATTTTTCTATGTGTTTCTAACCCCACTACTGTGCCATTATTAGTATTTGGGAGCAGAAAGCAAACCCAGAATCAGACAGGAAAGTCTAGCTTCAGACTATAAGATAGTACTGGGAATTTAGCAAATTAAACAAGTGTACTCTGTGAAATTAATGTATCTGCTTCAAATTCTTCTACTTATTTAAGTTGTCGATGGTTTTATATGTAGGAGAAAAATTCTTTTAGTTTGGTAACTAAACTTTATCTTGGAATTGTTTCCTTCTCAGAGTTCGTATATTTTCTGTAAGATTCAGTAATGTTTGGTACATATATTTAGTTTATCTTCTTTGAGCTATCAGGTTTTGGAAGTATCATGGTGTTTTCAAAGACAGCTGGGTTAATTCAGCTGTTGGCCTGGTCTATACACCTTTTAAGACTAGATGCAGTCAGTTATGATAGATGCATTTGTTTTTCTTCAGAGAAATACATGTGCATTGGTATTGATTTTTGGTATTTTTACACTTAATAGTAAACTGTGGGAGGCCATTACTTCAGATAACAGAGGCTTTAAGAATTAGACAGCTCAGATGACTCTAAATTCTATTTGTAAGCAGTTTCCAGTTAAGGAGATAGGTCTGGCAGTGTGCCCACTCAGCACAGACCTATTTGACTTGTCTCTCTTTCAATGGTGTGGTTCAGAGCATATAGTCAGGAAGTATAACTTATGTTCAAACAATGCATGGGAGCTGGACATCTATTGCCAAAAACAAGCTGCCTGGGGCAGAAATGAAAAAAGCATCGTAAGTGCTATGGAACAACCCACTGTAGGCTTTTAATTGTCTGCGATTTACATAAGCAACTCTACAAAATGGGAGATACACCCAATTAAATGACAGTAAATTTACTTTGCTGCAGAATGCAATAATTTACATCTTGGTTTCCCCGCATTGCATTAATTACTGATTTGGTAGCAGATAAAAAAGCATCTGGGTGAAATTTAACCTACATATATTCAAATTAACTATAGAGCTGGATTTATCTGTGTATTTATTTACTCATTTATTCAGTATTTTTATGTGCCAGACGTTGGGAATGAGAAGATGTATAAACAGCTTCATATCCTTCAAAAACTGACAGTTCAGCAGAAGTGATTGACATTTAAGTAAAAATTATAATGTATTATAAGAAGAACAACAACAAAATTTGTTTAATGCAATTGTAGTATTCATTTGTACATTTAATAATATTACCTGAGCCTCTACTACATGCCAGAGACACAGTGGTGAGCTGAGGTATACATGTCCTAGAAATAAGGACAGGTCAAATGTTCTTAGAAGAGCACAGCCACTAGGACACCCATTTCTGGTAGTATGAAAGGCTACCTGATTAAAATAACCAAAGACTGACAAAAATATATTTTAAAAATCTTTTAAACTGCATTGCTGAACTAACACAAAAAGGTTGAATCTGAAGAGGCCAAAACTTAAGAGCTGGAATTCTGCAAGGTGGATAAGCTCCAAAGTTGGCTTTCACCCTGAGGTTTTCTGCCAAATCCACAAAACCTTGAACTTTCACATCTGTGCCAAGTGACTCCACCAGATACTTGGGGAACGGGTAATCTATACTCCCTCTGAAAAGGAGGAACAGACAGCAATTCCAAATTCATTATATGGGGCAAGCACAACCTTGATACAAAAACCTGATAAGGAGATTAGAAAAAAATAAAAATTATAGTCTGCTTTCTTCATGAATGGGGATATGGATATCTAATAAAAGTTCTAAGCACATGAAATCCAGATACATCTAACAAGAGAGTGTATAATGATCAAGTTGTGTTATCTCAGGAATGTTAAGTTGATTTAAAATTAAGAAATTGATTACTATGTCACACAAAACAAATTAAAGGATTTTTTGAAAACTTTTGTTTTTCAGGCAGGGTCTGACAGGGTCTGACTCTGTTGCCCAGGTTGGAGTGCAGTAGTGTGATCATGGCTCACTGCAGCCTCAACCTCCTGGGCTCAAGCAATCCTCCCACCTGACCCTCCCAAGAAGCTAGGACAACAAGTGTGTGCCACCATGCCAGACTAGTTTTTAAAGTTTTTGGTAGAGATGGGGTCTTGTTGTGTTGCCTAGGCTGGTCTCAAACTCCTGGCCTCAAGTGATCCTCCTACCTCAGCCTCCCAAAGTGTTGGGTTTACAGGCATGAGCCACTGTGCTCAGCCTAAAAACTTTTAATAGAATGACAAAAAAGGAATTTGAAGAACATCAGCATTTATTTATGACTTGAATAATTTGTGGCGAACTAGGTGTATAATGAAACTTTATTAGTCTGGCAAAAGGGATCTATACAAAACCTACAATAAGCATACACCTACTGGTGAAATATTGAAAGCATTCTTTTTAAGATCAAGAACAAGATAAGAAAGCCCACTGTCACAATTCCTCATTTTTATTATACAGGAGATTTCAGCCAATGCAATGTGACAAACAAAAAGAATGACTGGAGGAAGAAGCAAAACTGTCATTGTTTAAAGGTTATCAATGAAGAAAACTCAAAATGATTTATAAATATATTGCTAGAATTGAGAAGGCAATTTAGCAAATTACTGGGTATAAAATCAATAAATGTATGTATCTGTGTGTCTATGTATGTTTGTATCTATCTATCTAAATGAGTTGCATTTCTAGATGCTAGCACCAAGAATTTGGTGTAGCAATATAAATAAAGTAACAAGAAATAAATCTAACAAGAGTTTTGTAATAACCATATTTCCATTTAGATAATGTGTGAGGTTAGGCAAATAGTACTAGGGAACAATTATAGATTATAAATTTGATTTGAAAAAATTAAAGAAAACCAAAATGGATGGAGAGCTATATCATGTTCCTAGCTAGGAAGACATTAACTTTTCCCAAGTTGATTTATAGGTTCAATGCCAATTTAACCTTAATGGAGTTGTGTGAATTTTGTAACTAGACGAACTGTTTTTTAAAAGATTTATTTGAAAAAAGAAAGTGCAGAGAATACCCGAGACACCCAAGAAGAAGCTGAAGGTAAGACAAACCCTTTCAAATACAGGCTTATTTAAATCTATATTCCAGCTTAGACACTGTAGGGAGTTAGAACTAGAACCACGGAGTAAAATGTAGAGCACACCAAGAACTCAGGCAAATATTAAAACTTAATTTATACAAACAGCATTGTAGAACAGAGGTAAATGTAAATGTAGCTAGGACAAATAATTAATCATATGATAAGAGTGAAATTGGGTGCCTGCCTCCATACCAAGAGTAAATTACAAGTAATTAAAAAATTTAAAAGTGAAAGAGAAAACTATAAAATGTTTAGAGGAAAATATAGGATTATGTTTTTATGACCACAGGGTAGAAAAATATTTCTTGAACAAGACACAAATAATACAAGACACAAAAGAGCAAACCATTTAGTAAGGATTTAACTTGACCATATTAAAACTAAGATATTGTTTATCAAAAGACAATGTAAACAGAAAAGACAAGCCACAAACTGGCAACACATACAGCTGGGAAATAACTAGTAGGCAGATTAAACAAAAGAACTTCCTCAAATCAGTAAGAAAAAGACAATTCAGTAGGAAAATAGAAAATAAACACAAGAAAAAAGGAACATAAATGGCTCACAACATGTGACAAGATGTGAAATAACATTATTAGTCAAGGAAAGAATTGAAAGCAAAGTGAAATACCTTTACCACCCAGTAAAGCTATCAAACTAAAACGTGTTGTGAGGTTATACCAGTGGTGGAGAACCCACATTCACTTTTGGATTTCTTAAGAAATTTAAACATTCATATACTACCATTGAATCTGTCCCATTAGTCCCATAGACAGGTTTTTTTTTTTTTTTTTTTTTTTTAAATAAACACAGAAATTGACCCTTCTGGTTTTAAAGCTTGAAACTTAAGTTTGTTTTATCTGAGTTACCTCCTCAGGAAAGGACTGTCAGGCCTCAAAAAAAAAAAAAAAAAAAAAAATCAAAGATCTGAAACTCTCCAGATCATGAATCTAGACAATGAGATGCCAAACCCCTCATCATGATGATTGCTTCCTTACCCCCCTACCCAGTTCCTGTTTTCTTACACATTGTTACATTTCTTCTCTGCTATATAAACTCCTAATTTTAATTGGTCAGGGAGACAAATTTGAGGCTGATCTCCCATGTCCTTGGCTGCGGCACCTGAATAAGGACATTTTCCTTGGCAACAATCATTGTCTCAGTCACTGGCTTTCTGTGTGACAAGCAGCAGGACCTAGACTGAAACCCTGGTGTTTCAGTAATACCATGACTTAAAATACCACTTTCAATGTATATCCTAGAAAAATACATAACTCTACAAAAATGTTCATAGCATCAAAGTTTGTAATTGCTAAAAAGTGGAAACAAACTTACTTATATAAGTAAAAATAGAATATATAAGTACGTAGTTACATATATAATGGAAGAAGAGGGAGCTGATTTTCTAGAAATCATGATGCATTTAAGAAGTATTCTCAGTAGAATTTGATCACCTACTGGAAGGTCGGTAATATAAGATGACAGGAGTAGAATGATTTTCAGGTTCTGATTTGGGCAATTATGTGAATAATGGTGCCATCAACCATAACAGTTTTTCTAATCCAATCATTGATATATTGATTTTAGATTATAAAGGCAGGGTAGCCAGAGAAGCTTCTTATATTTTGATTAATTTTATCACAGCACATAGTTATCCACAGTGTCCATAGTAAGTGCATTATCTACTATATTGGCAAGATGCTTCGTGTGTGTGTGTGTGTGTGTGTGTGTGTGTGTGTGTGTGTGCATGCCCACACACGAGGAACTTTAATGGCGAAGTTGATTCAAATAGATGCTCCAACTCAATAGTTATAAGTAGGCATACTCACCATGTGGGCAAAAACTAGGAAGTTTGATAACACCCATGATTAGGTTGTAGATGGGGACGCTTACCCACTTCTGTTGGGAATAGATATTGGTATAACTACTCTGGAAAACACTTTGGTATCACTTAATACACTTAAGTCTGCACATAATTCATGAAGCCAGCAACTAAATTACTAAGTGGAATCCCCAGAGAACTTTTGCATATTTGTACCAGGAAACAGTCATACAAATATTCTTAGCAACAGAATATGGAAACAACAACCCAAATGTCCATTGATAGTAGAATCAAGACATACATGGGGGAATACTCATAGAAGGGAATACTACACAGCAATGAAAAGAATTGAAATACAGTTTGAGACTTCCCACGGATAAATCATGCACAGGCACAAGGAGGAATGAAAAGAAGCAAGCCTCCAGTTGTACATAGTATACGGTTTCATTTACATAAAGATACAAAACACAACTTTAAATACATTACTTAAGGATGCAACCCACAGGTGGCAAAACAGATGTTAGACTCATGGAGAGAGAGAGGATGAGGGTATGCTTAGAAAAATATGGCGTGATCGTGGATGGAGCAAAAAAGAGAGTCTGAGGTAAAGTACAATTTTCTGCTTTTGAACCTGGGTGGTGCTTACATAGGTGTTCACTTGGTTCTGCTTCTTTAAAATGTTCTTATGTTTTATATACATTGTGATGTATATATTATGGTTAGTGTCTCAATAAATTTAAAAATGAAGCAATAAACCAAAACATTAACAACACTCTCTATGAGCCATAGAATTAAAAATAATTTTAAATTTTTAAAGATTTCTTTTTGTTGTCTAAATTTTCCAAATAAAAATGTTAATCTAAAAGGAATGACACATTTTCTTTCATTTTTTTATTTGTGTGTGTGTGTGGTAAGAACACTTAAGATCTACTATCTTGTCCGGCACGGTGGCTCACGCCTGAAATCCCAGCGCTTTAGGAGGCTGAGGCGGGCAGATCATGAGGTCAGGAGTTCGAGATCAGTCTGATCAACATGGCGAAACCCTGTCTCTACTAAAAATACAAAAATGAGCTAGGCGTGGTGGTGCTCAACTGTAATCCCAGCTACTCAGGAGGCTAAGGCAGGGGAATTGCTTGAACCCGGGAGGCGGAGGTTGCAGTGAGCCAAGATCACACCACTGCACTCCAGCCTGGGCGACAGAGTGAGACTATCTCAAAAAAGAAAAAAAACATCTACTATCTTAGCAAATTTCAAGTGTACAATTCGATTACTGTATTAACTATAGTCACCATGTTGTAGATTAGATCTGTAGAACTTATTCATCTTGCATCACTGGAACTTTGTATCTTTTGACAAACGTCTCTCCATTGCCCCCTCCATCTACCTGCTGTCCCACCCCTTCAATTTTCTGCTTCTACGAGTTTGACTCCTTTGGTTCCACATGTAACTGAAATCATGCATTATTTGTCTTTCTATGTCTGGCCTGTTTCACCTGGTATAATGTTCCTCAGGCTCATTCATGTAGTCACAAATGTCAGGATTTCTTTCTTTTTTAAATCAAAGAAGAAAAGAAAGAGAACGAGAAATAAAGGAAATGGTAACTATGGGAGGTAATGGCTATGTTGTTAAGTAGCTTGATTGTGGTAATCATTTCACAGTACATGCATGTATCAAACCATGAAGTTGGATACCTTAAATATATGCAATTCTATGTCAATTATATTTTAATAGAGCTAAAAAAATGACAGCCATCATGCTATTATTTTTAAGTTGGAAATCTCCTGTGATGAGACAAGTGTATATGTGTGCCATAAGAAAACTCTTTGGTCACAGTAGAAGATAGTGGGTACCCCTAAGTAGAATTTGATTTTTCTATACTTAGCAGGGATGTTAGTGTTAAAAGTTAGAAAATTATATACAGTGTTACTGAAGCCAAAGATAGCACAAGAAGCTGCTTTCCTTTGTTTCAATCATTTCATCTTCCCACCTATATCTTTGATATATTCTTTCTGACTCCCATTGCAACATATGTATAAACTTCCCTTCTGTCTCTGAGTCAGCTCTGCTTGCTTGAGTTCACCATATCATGTATACCGTTCCCAGCCTTGTTTTTTTCCTAGAAGTTTCAAAGTTTGATTATATTTCCCAACTCTTCATGTGTTCTATTTGCCTATTCTATGGGAAGCTATCTCTCAAGCATTACTATTCAATATGATAAGAAGGAGAAAGAAGGCAGGACTGTCATCTTAGCACGTGGCACAGTCGTCTGCTTAAATCTGTCCTGAGTCCCGTTTCTCTTTAATTAGTCTCGTAGGAAAAGAGGAGCAAGATCATGCTGCCAAATGGGATATTTTTGGAATTCTCATTATTCTTTTATAATTGTGCCCGTGGTCATTTTGAATCTTTACCTTAGTAGAGTTTCTAATGAAAACCAGATGGTAGACAGGTTTAATGTGTTGAGCACCTACCATGTACAAGGCTTGTTCACATTACTGAATGTACAAGGCCTGGTGTGTTTCCTCAAGGAACCTATAATCTAAAGGAACAGATATCTGTGCTAATAATAATTAATAATAAGTGATGATAACCACAGCATTAATCTAGCATTTCCTGTATGATAACCATTCTTCACATATTAACCCACCTAATCCTTATAACAATTCTATCACATGGGTACCATTTGTCACCATTTTGCTGATGAGTACATTGAGAAGAAGAAGGAAAATCATGTGCCCAAAGTCCTGTAACTACTAGATGGTACACTGAGAATTTAAAAACCAGGCAGCCAACTCTTGACCCACTGTTTATACCCAGTACACGTGTGGCATTCAACTTCAGTGTGAAATAAAGCAGAGTACAGGATTGGTGCAAGAGCTAGGTATGGACTGGGAACAGCATTAGTCAGTATCAACATTGTAGCTGAAACCCAGGAATTCAACTAACTTCATTAAACCCCCAATCCTGGGGGGAAGTATTCAGTCCTACGTTTCTTTATGCTGACATCTAAGGGCTATGTTTTCCTAATGATTACAACTTCTGTTTTCTTTAACCATACCTTATTGTTGACTTTTCCAAGCAGTGATTTGCATTTTAGAATGCCAGAAATTGCTGTACATGTTCCCAAATAAGAACTTTAAGCCTTAAGTTTAAGAAAATGAGAAATCAGCCTTAGAAACAAATGTACAAATATATGTGGCATGATGTGCTGGGCATCTTGAATGGGCATTTTTTCCTCATAACTTATAAGAAGTCTCAGAAAGGAAGAAATTGGGTGTCTTTAAATGGAAATGAATTTGAATAAGAGCACAGAAATGGAACTGATAGAACATTTATTTGGTTATATGATGATTTAATTGAATTACTTTGTGTGGCCATTTGAATTTTATTTAACATTTAACAGGACATACACACATACACACACACACACACACACACACACACACACACACACTCCATAATATTATCAATTCTGTCTTCTTTTTCTGCAAGGAAAATGAGGAAGCTAGAAGTAAAAGACATGCTGTTGCAGGGCTGTGGTTGAATTATAGTTCCCACTGCAAGTTTAAGTCCACCCAACATGTGCCCACTAAGAGCAGGATGTTATCATCATAAACAACAAGAGAAATCTACTATACGTATCCTATAGAGCCTTGTTTACAGAGCCTGTGGAAGCTATAATTTAGAATTTTGGACATTTTTAAGAAGTGAAATCTCTACTTTGGAACTTTTGGCATGAAACATAAAATATAACAGCTCACAAGAAGATACGCCTTCACTGAGCTTCTCTCTTTGGCAAGCCCTGAAAAAGGGCATTTTCGATGACTTTTCCATATTGATCTCCTTTAAGGAAGCTAATAAATAATTTCAGCACCACTGTTTTCCTCTTGTTTATTCATGTCTTTTTCTAAAGAAAAAAATATTTTTCTAATGAAAATATTTTTTCTAATGAAAATATTTCCATGCTGTGTCTTTCTTTTGATGAGGGCCAATGTGGTAAGGAAGTTTTTTTTCTCCCTCATAAAATTGTTTACAGGAGACAGTGGGAGAGAACTAAAGAATAACTGTTTTTCTTTAGCAGCTGGAGGTTGTCTGAATGGAGTCTTCAATTCCCATGCATGTTTTGTAATGCAGATTTCTTTGAAAATGGTCTTGCCGGTGCACCTTAAATACATTTTAGAATTATCTTACCATGAAATTAGTTTTCTCCGTCATTGGCTTAGTTGAATCCCTCCCCCAACTTTTTTTTTTTTGATCAATGCTGGGACATTAAAAATAAAGCCATGGCTGCACATGCTATTTTTGGAAGTTCCTATCAAAATTCCATCCTTCAGCAGGCCAGTGTGCTTTGAGCAGCAGGTCTTTATCACAGTACCGCTAGATGGTATCCAGCTCCTCCACCTTTCAGCCTGAGGTTTAATTCTCCACTTTCCATCCTTGCCATTGGCCTGTATTTCTATAGTAATTAACCATAAAAAGAGCAAGGAAGGAGTTTCAGGAGCAAAAGTAGCCCAGAACTTGGTTGCCATTCAATGAGCCATTTTAAAAATTACTGAGTCAAACAGCAACTCATGGTTCAGAGATCATGCTAGGAAACTAGCTGATGTTGATGATATTTGTAGAGGTGGTGGTGGTCATGAAAATAGAGATAGTAGTGGTGGTGATGGTGATGGTGGTGATGGCGGTGGTGGTGATGGTAATGGTGATGTTGGTAGAAATTAATAATGGTAGTAGTGGCAGGTTATGGCAGTGACTTAAAAGCATCCCACTTAAGGGTCTGGGAAACGTGACTGGTACAACACTTACAAAAATTTCTGTGCTCTGGTCATTTTACAACAGATAGCATTCTTTTCATGCTAATATTTTTCTGTCTCTAAAAACACTATTAATTTTAAGAAGAAAGTCTTTATCAAATATTGCTACATACATATAGAAAATTCTTCAAAACCAACAAAATAAAATTTCAAATTATTTGTTTGATATATATTGAGTACCCTTGGAAAATGAGAGTTGTAAAAGAAAACCAACCCTGTAATACAGTAGTGCTAAAAATCTCCCCATATTCACTTTTTCCCTTGTTGTTATACCTGAGAGGATTGTCTTGGTGTCATTGCTGGTTGGCACATGCTTTTTTCATTCCACACTTTGAAATATGAATCTATTACAAAAGGATCATGTTGGTGAGGCACTGGGGATGAATAAGTTAGGAACAGTAATTAGTTTTTAAGCATTCCCTTTAAGGATGGCAAAGCATTTCCCCCTCCCCCAAATATTAAATAATTTCCTCTCAAACAGTTGGTTTATAGGAAGAACAGTTTAGTTTAAATTTGCATATTCTGAATGGACTGTCTTTATCTTCTTGACACATTACTTCCCAATTTCATTGTACTGTCCCTTCTGCTCATCATCTCCCACAAAAGAAACCCTCTTCAAGATATGTCATTCTGTGTCTCATATCTGGAATGGGAAGCCCTTCCCACTTAAACAAACAAAAAAACTCCCCATTGTCATCCTGTGTATACGCCTCCCCACTTAGAACCTTGCCTCTTCCATAGTCATGCATCTTGAAAATGTAAGAGTTGTCTACGTTTATTTCTGTTTTCCCACTCAGCTCTTCAACCCACTGCACTCTTGCCTCTGTCCTCACCACTCCACTAAAATTTCTCTCAATATTGGCCATTGCCCTTTTTTGCTCAGTTGCGAGGCCATTTCTCAGACATTTTCCTGCCCACCTGTATGGTTTGTGACCCTGTTCCTTACATCCTTTTTGGTAAAGTGTTTATCTGGCCACCTCCAATTTACCATTTAGGTCTCAGCTTAACTATCGGTTCCTCCAAGAGGACATTGTGGAGGCCTCCAAGTCTGGGAAAGAAATAGCATCTGTAATTTTTTTGTCATAACCCAGGAACTGTTAAAAAATTTTATTCTTTTGTCTGACCTATTTGCTTTATATCCCTGATGCCTAGCCCATGTATGACACAAAGTAGGCATATATTTTCCTCCAGTTTCTTTTGGATTCCAGTAACAGAAACTTCCACCAGCATAAGCAAGAGGAGAATTTATTATTATGACTTAGAGTTACACCTTGGGTCAAGCAACAGAAAGTGCTGCCAGGGCATGGAGGACTGAGAATAGGAAGAGACAGCTGTAGGAACCAAGACATTTATCTTGGATGTCCTCTGCCTTCAGGGGCCAAATAACTACTAGCTTCTGCTTCTTTCTATGTTTTAGCCCAATTTTTTTCCTTCTATAGACCAGATTTCCTTCTTCTCAGCATCCTTTTCCTTCTTCTGAGTTTATACATCCTCAGCTCCAGTCCTCTATGCTGGGGGAGCAGAGACAAGTGGTAGAAACGTGGCTTCTGGGGTTGCACCTTGAGGGTGTTAGGATGTCATGGGCTGCTCGCAGAATGGGGGTCATGAGCTGAACAGGCACTCAGTGTATGTCTATTTCAATGCTTGCTTAAAAATCCAGTGAATGATTGAGCAGCTGTCTTCCAGGATTCTCTCATTTTCATAAGCCATCTAAACTCTCTAAAGACTAATATTCCTCATTTACAAGACAGTGAGTTTATCCAGGATAGCTTCCATACTCCTCTGCACTTTCCTTATTGACACAATGGGATATATTATTCTTATCAAAAGAGCTAATGGTCCTTATGGATTCTGAGTTGACCATCACTTTATTTTGGTTTAAGAAGCAGAGGTTGGAGGGTGGGGAATGGAATCGTGCTTATATTAGTCAGCTGTTGCTATAATGTAAGGCAGAATAAGAAACAATACTCCAGATCTCAGGGACTTATAACAACATGCATCTATTTTTCTTGTTCATGGGTATGTAGGAGCTGAGGTTTGGCTCATTTTGGCTGAGGTTGGTTGGGTTTGGTGCTTCTTCAAGGATCGGAACTGAAGAGGCAGAGGCTACCTGGGGCTTATTCTTCTTGGGCAGCAGCCTTCATGGAAACATGGGCTGCTTCTAAAGGCCTGGGCTCAGAAGTAGCAGCTGTCACTACCACCCACATACTATTTAAGGCCAGGGACAGGGCCAAGCTAAATGTTGGTGAGATGTATACTTCATCTTCTCTATTCTATTGCAAGTTCCTCTGGCAGTGGAAAGGAGTAAGAATTGGGAACAAGAACCCAATCTACTAGAATCCTAAAATTGCTTACATGATTTCAATGACTTTAGTTTTCAAAGTGAAGTTCAAATTCTTTAAGCATGCTAGGTGGCTAGGTGTGCAGCTGCAACTGGGTGATCTCTTCAGTCTCATTTCTTTTTCATTTGCCCTTATATATGTACAATTTGGCTCAAGCCAAGTTGAATCTCTGTTGAGCATAGCATATCTTGCATGCTGTTCTTTCTGACTCCCCTCTGGCCTTCTTTATTTAGCTAACTCTTATTTTACCTTTAAAACTGAGGTCAAGAAAAGACTTCTTCCTGGAAGCCCTCCATGATTCCATGAAACACACATCGATGCCCTCCTCTGTGCTTCTTGGCATCTTGTGCTTGTCTCCAGCATTGTACTTATTATTTTGTGCTCTGTCATTGCTTCGGCCATCTGTTCCTTCAAGTAGAATTGAACGTTCCTCAAAGGCTATAGCAATACCTCAGTTAACTTAGTGTCCTTAGAATCTAACACAGCACCTGGCACTTAGTAGTTATCCAATCAACAATGTTTGTGAAATGAAAGAAGAATGAGAAGATGAAAAGATGAGAGGAAGGAAGGGAGGGAGAGAGGAAAGAAAGAGGAAGAAAAGGGTGGTGATTGGTTACTTGTAAGACAGTTCATTCACTGGAAACTTATGAATTATTTATTCATTATTATTCATTCACAGTAAGCCTATGTTTGGAATATCTTATTTCTATAGTTATGAGGTGGTAGCCCTTAACCAATATACCATTGTTGGCCTGATTTTGTAAGCATTATTTTTTCATTTAGAGAATCCATATATTTAGTATGACAAGCACATACTCAGACCCTAAAAGTCACTTTCCAAAGCCAAATGCGTGCTCTTCCCCACCTCCTTGTAAGTATTTCAAGGCTACTACCTTGCCTAGCAGTATCTGCCTGAACATGGCGGTTTTAATTACACAGGAAGCACTCTTGCCCTGCCATTGACTGATATGTAGTTAAAGGCATAGCCTGGAGTACCCCTAGTGGAATGCTAATAAGGAAATGGAGACTTAGTTGTTATTAGGTTATTTTCTTATTGGAAAAACTAAGGGTGATGAGTGTAGCCACGACTGAGCTCCTCCATATTCCAGGCATGTATCAAAAAGAGTTTATCTTTATCTGAGCTCTCGTGCCAACCTTCTTAGAGCAAGTGACTGCATGACACATCACGGTAAATAACTTCTTAAAAAAGTATATGCTGGCTTGTTTTAGAATGCATGTGCTGTTTAAAAATAGGTAGGGAGTTTGACACACACCTGATTGCCTCTGAGATGAAATCCTAAGTGTCTGGCATCGCTACCTCTTCTGGGGAAGGTTTCTTGTCATCTCACCTCTTGTCTCCAGCTGCTCAGGCGGCAGCTAGGTCTACAGAGGCGGCGTCCAATTACTCAGAATATCTGCCCCTGCTCTTGGCAGGGACTTACACTTCCTGGCTTTTGCAGATGATGGATGGCACTTTTTGTAAAATGAGATGCCTTTGGAATAGGAAGGTCGAGTCGGGAAAAGGGTAGGTCTTGATTCCCACAGGACAGAGTAACTGAGAATGTGGCTGGCCAAAGTCAAGAGGCCACTGAGCACAGGCTGCAGAGGGATTTCATCAGAAACCAGTGAGGACAGTGTTGCTCAGGAACACTTTTGCTACCGTGTACTCCTAAGTGGGAAACCATAGTTGTTTCTTTGTTTAATGTGAATTTCTTTCCAGTCTATTGTTTTCACCCGGTAGAATGGGAAGGACCTCGCCAAATGTGGTGAGCATTCCTGTGTTGTCGCTTGGCTTTCCTGGGAACCACAAAAGGAGTGGAATGTTGCAGAGACTGCTGTCAACCTACAATGAGCAGTGAATATCAATGAGAGGAAAATGGCCCATTTTTGCTTCATTGATTTTTGCTGGTCAATGAATCCTCTTCATTTTATGTACCCCCCTCCTTCAATTTTTTTCCTCTGTTGGACACATCTTAATGTTACGGCTCTGCATTAAGCACAGTACTGAGAGTGACAGTTTCTTTAATCACACTGAGTTGTTAGTGATGGCAACGTGTCAGATTTGGAGAGGAGCACAGTGAGATGAGACCGAAGCTTGGGAAAGGTGACGATGGTGTATTAGCATTGAGTAGGTTAGCTTAGGGACTGGCGTGACTGTGTTCAAACGGATAGGAAATGTTTAAAAATAAAACAGGAAGGATGACAAATCCCTTAGATGAAGAGCAAATATAGGGGCCTGGGAAGACAGCAGTGCTAACTCGGTGTGGGTCCAATCACAGAATTTAAGAGAGATCTTTGCATTATACAATCAGTATGCATTACCACATCAATATTTTAGTGAGAATGCAAACAAAATATAGCATTTGCTATACAGTAATAAGAGTTTAATGTAATACGTTAATAATTTGGAGTGATTTTCTTGTATTCAGCCACCTCACTAGGTAGAACAATAATCGGCTCCAATGAAGAGAAATCAGAAGCCCAGAAAAAACGACCTCTCTGGAATGTTTGCCCAGGGAGGCTTGTTCAACTTAATAGGAAAAGAATGAATAGAAAATTATCATCTCTATCTAGACTAGTTTTAATTATCTTTTTCAAACAATCTTTGGATTGCTCTGTCTGTATTAAATTTTCAGATAAGAAACTAAGGCACAGGGCATTTTTAAAAATTGCATAAGATCAAATAGAAAGTGAGTGCAGTGCTGAGAGGAGAACTCAAAACCTGTTTTTTCTATGGATTAGCTATTGAAGCATGTTATCTTATGGGGAAGCAGTTGACAGTAATTGGGATTTCCTTAGGAGAAAATGCAAGGTTCAAAGCTAAATGCAACTCTATTCTCTCACCAGTGAGGCTACTTTTTTTTTTTGTCCCTAAATAGACCTTTTAATTTATATTTTGCTTTTGGAAATTCCTGCTCTGATTCCCCAAACAAACAGTCCTGAACATCTTTAGGTTGAGAACATATTGCATTCTCTGAGCTATTCTACTCTTCAGTTTTCTACCTTTCTCGTTTTGGATCAAGAAGATGGACCATGACTTAGAAGCTGCTCCCTGGTTTAAGCTATGCCTTGCAACAGGACAGTCCGTGCTCCTGTAGCTCTGGGCACACTAAACGGGGATGACAGGAAGCTGATAGAAGCTATTAGAACAGGTTCCAGGAATGCACATTTTCCTGAAGGCTTTGGGCACTAATACAAGCATAATGGTTTAGCTGCTTGATAATAAATATATAATGTGTCCTTCAAGCTAGTTTTCACAAGTTTTCTTTTATTTCCCTGGAAACGTCTGCATGTCCCTTGACCATCAGCAGTCTGTTAAGACACGTATCAGCAAAAGCTATTTGGCCGGAATACAGCTCTGAGAAACTAGCTGCATTACCCAGCGGAGTACTACCAAAAAAAAAAAAAAAAAAGAAAAGAAAGAAAATTGTCCTAAATTGTTCTGAATTTAGTTTTTCTAATGATATATACTAGTTAATTAAGGATTTAAGTCATTCAACAATGGTCACAGGTCAAAAAAGAAAATCAACTGAAATCATTCTAAGTTTGTCCATTGGTAAACCTGATGAGTCACCATAGTAAGCCAAACAGACCTCTATGGCCATATGCGAGAATGAGGAATTTGCAAATTGAAATGGAGCTCATGATGATTGGATTAACCTCATCCAAGAACCCTCACATGGCTAAAAGGAGGAAGGGCAGGAAGAATCATGAAAACAAATAAACTAACCGAAAAACCATCCTGATCCCTCAGCCCTCATATTCAGACTGCTTTAGAAGAATGTAGGCTCACCTGCTGAGACGCCTTGGAGGCTGGTAAATTTTTCCTTGAAGAGAACAACAATAACCTGAAAATAAGAGGTAGCTACATTTCTGTTAAAAGGGATGAATGGTACATTCTCATAGCTGGTGAAAGGTGTTAAATTTAAGGAATAATCTGAAATGGACATGATAAGAGGAAGCTACCTTCATCTTTGCTGGAGTCTTAACACTCCAAAAACACTTCTTAACACTCCAGATAATTAGGTTAATTTTTTTTGACAGATGCTAGGGGTCTTTAGACACGTACAATGGATGGGTTGCTGATGGGGACAGAGAGCCAGAGAACTAGACTTGAATGATTCCTTGAGACAGTTTTCTTTTTCTTTCTTTTCTTTTCTTTTGAGATGGAGTCTTCCTCTGTCACCCAGGCTGGAGTGCAATGGTGTGATCTTGGCTCACTGCAACCTCCGCCTCCCAGGTTCAAGAGATTCTCCTGCCTCAGCCTCCAGAGCAGCTGGGACTATAGGCGCCCACCACCATGCCTGGCTAATTTTTGTATTTTTAGTAGAGACGGGGTTTCACCTTGTTAGCCAGGATCGTCTTGATCTCCTGACCTCGTGATTGGCCAGCCTCGGCCTCCCAAAGTGCTGGGATTACAGGCGTGAGCCATCGCGCCTGGCCGAGACAGTTTTCTACCTGCAGTGACATTAGATCTTGTGAACGTCGCTTGTGTTGCTTACTTGGATGAGATCTATTTGGGGTGTAGTGCCTTGAATCATAGAAAGGGAAGTATGTTTATGCTGTTAATGATGGGAAACCAATTCCTGGGGAAAAGCTGTTATAAAAAGCTGGTGGAGTGGAGCTGAGGATGACAACACCTTGATTTGATGGTATCCTTGAGTTCTCCTAAATAATTTAGAACATTTTACACAGATGAAGAGTTGAAATCAATTGTAAGGAGGAATTTCCTGAAAGTCAAGACTATTTAATATTGGACATGAGTTACTGAGAAAGGTTACTCTTCAGCTTCCTATGTGTAATGTTTTAAAAATCAACTCCTTTTAGTAAAACCTTAGCCATGTAGCATTTCATTGCATTTTCCTCATGAGGACCCAGAGGCTGAGTTTAGAGTTCTCCCCATTCCTCCCTCTCCCCATCACCGAAATTACACTCTACCTAGCACTAGCTGTAAGATGATAAACCTTTGGAGTTCCTGATCAGAATTCTCTCCACTATCCTGTTGCCTCATTTAGTTTAAGCAATGTGCCTTTTGAGCTGGGAGACTGGGATAATGGAAGAAGAGAGGGATGCGAATGGAATTTTCCTTTCAGTCATCAAACTCCTTTAGGAATGAAAACAGCAAGTAACACAAAAAACTAAAAATTACTATATTCTTCAATAGGTGACAATGGCTATGCTTTGTTGACACTAGTGAGATTTTATGTTCAAGAAGTAAATGTGTTTATGTATTTGTAGGCTTAGGTCCTTAGTGTAAGAGAACTGGCATCCATGCCTGCCCTACACCTTTGGTTCAATCAAAGAAGTAACTAATTTTTATGATTAACTATCAAGTCTCATATATACCCAAAACAAAATACTGTGTTACCGGCCGGGCACGGTGGCCTCACACCTGTAATCCCAGCACTTTGGAAGGCCAAGGCAGGCGCATCACTTGAGGTCAGGAGTTCAAGACCAGCCTGGCCAACATGGTGAAACCCCGTCTCTACTAAAAATACAAAAATCTGCCAGGTGTGTTGATGGGCACCTGTAATCCCAGCTGCTCAGAAGGCTAAGGCAGGAGAATCTCTTAAAGCCGGGAGGCAAAGGTTGCAGTGAGCCGAGATCGCACCATTGCTTCAGTCCAGCCTGGGTGACAGAGTGAGACTCCATCTCAAAAATAAAAATAAAAAAAATAATAATAATATATTGTATTACCAATTTGCTGCATACTCCACACATACACACAAAAAACCGAAAGCTAACCCAAACCAAACAAAAACCTCTTTTTGCCTGGGTATCCATAAAACAAAGTATCAAGAAGAGAAGGGGAACTTTTCCCTTTGAGAAATTTTATTTGAATTAAATATGGCTAGTAGTTTGTAACTAATTAATATTTGCTCAGAGAGAAAAAATAGGACCTAGCTCAGTGCCCCAGGCCTACAACAGTGGGAGCTCAATCAATATGTGTTGAATTAATGACTGATGGGAACATTGGAAGACCTGAAATTAAGACTTAGTAATTTTAAGTGAGGATGGATTGCTCAGTTTTATTTGTGTTTATTAACTGCCTGCTTCTTTTTGGCCAGAGATAGAACAGTGAAAATGTGTAGAGAAGGGTTTTAAGGACGATAAGAGAAGAGAACATGGAGAAGGCAGGCAGTCATCGCCGGAGTCCTAAGCGGCAAAAAAGGAAGAAATGTCAGAGTAGGTTAAAACTTAATGTACATAGTGAAATAGAAAGGATGAGGATGACAGAAGCAGCTGGCAGGGGGGTTAAGTAAGAGTCCATTATCCTCCATAGAGTTCCATAGTCTCATCTCTAGTCTGATTGTTTACTCTCTTCCTGCTTGAAATGAAATCTGATCTCACTTCCAGGTGTTTCCATTGCTGCCATCAAGCCAGTTTTTATATGATCAATAATAATAATAACAAGAATACTATTAGACCTACCATTTATATTTAGCGTTTGCTTTGTGCCTCTCACTCAGTGCCTGTTTTATGTTCACAACTCTAATTTTTACAACTCCGTCATGCAGATACTACGATTTACAACTGTATCAGGGAGATATATACAATTACTACCATTTTACAAATGGAGATTTGGGGGCTAAGAAGGATTAAGTTGCTTGCCTAGGGTCACAAAGTTTCCAAGTGGTAGAAGAGGAGTGTAAAGACAGATTGATTAGACTCTTAAATCCTTTCTCTTTCCTTCTGTCCTATACCTTTGGAATAACTGAGAAGGGAAACCAGGAGGGAGGCACATTGGATCCAAGCATTCTTTCTTTCACTTCTCTGTTTCACAAATACCTGCTGGATCTCCCTCATGCTGGGCCCTAAGAATGGAGTCACCACTAGAAAATAGTGTCTGTGTCAAGGAGCTCTCCTGGCAGAGGAGTGTCAAGGGGACAGGTGATTATATATCCTGACCTTTAGCAGGAGTGAGCAGAGGTTGACACTGGAGCACTCAATTCAGCCTTAAGAAGTCAGGAAAGGAAGCGTTTGCCTAAACGGGTTCCTAAGGAATTAGCCTAGAGAAAGGTGGGCAGGTGGACAAAAGTGTTTCAGGAAGATGGAACAGTGAGGCTGTATAATGGTAGTTCCAGAGAAATCAGGTATTTCTAGGACTGAAGCATAGAGAGTGGAAGGTCAGGAGATGCACATGGAGAGGGGAACGATTAGGAGGCCCTTGAAGGCCATGGAAAGAGTTTCCATTTTTTCCTTGAAGCAATGGGGAATCATTGAATGATTTTAGGTAAAGAAGAAAAAGGCTTAGGTTCGAACTTTAGAATGATGACTCTGGCTGTACAGGAAAATGGATTAGAATGGATTGAGAGGCAGGGAGAGCTGTCCCATCAATACAGGTGAGAGGGAATGGTAACCTGATTTAAGGTAGTGACAATGGTTAGCATTGGATAGATCAGAGAAATATTGATGAGGTGGAATTAAGAGAAATTGGTGGTTAATAATATGGACAAGCAGATGGTATTAGATTAAACTAAGTTACACTGCTATAAAAACATGACCCACATCTCTGTAGCTTAACAAAAGCTTATTTTTTTCTTACGCAGAGTCTATTGTAGGTCTAGGTAACTCTTTTGGGCACTCGTCCTACATGCTTAGCAATGCAGTTGCTTCAGCCTCTGTTACCTTCATCTTAGTAGGAGAACTCCTCAGCAAACACCATGACAGTGAGAGACAATGGCTGGGGAATTGGGGTGAGCTTTTCACCTTAGCCCAGAATTGACCCACTATATTCTGCTCCCATCTCCTTGGTTAGAACTAGTGGGCCCACTCAGTGACAGGATTGCTAAGAAGTACAGTTTTCTGTGTGCTCAGGAGTGGGAAACATTCCAGATATTGGAAAACACTAATATTGTCTACCACAAGGACTAGGAAGCTCTCCATTTGTTTATTTGTTTGTTTGTTTATTTAAGATGGAGTTTCACTCTTGTCACCCAGGCTGGAGCGCGGTGGCATGATTTCGGCTCACTGCAACATCTGCCTTCTGGGTTCAAGCGATTCTTCTGCCTCAGCCTCCCGAGTGGCTGGGATTACAGGTGCCTGCCACCACACCAGGCTAATTTTTGTATTTTTAGTAGAGATGCGGTTTCACCATGTTGGCCAGGCTGGTCTTGAACCCCTGACCTCAGGTGATCTGCCCGCCTCGACCTTCCAAAGAGCTGGGATTACAGGCATGAGCCACTGCACTGGGCCTCCACTTTAAAAATTTAAGAATGTGTACATGTGTTTAAGTGTGACTGTGTGCGTGTGTGCATGTGTGTGTGTGTAGAGAAGGGAGTAGAGTTTGTGTGCAACATTACTGGACTTAATTTTCCAAACTCTAGGCTGCTGATTCATGAGATGGGGAAGTTATGCATGTCCTAGTACCTTTCATGAATTTGGCTGCTTTGTTGTGAAAACAGCACCAATGATATCAGAGTGTCTTTTTGTACATCACTGGGTTCTAGAGGCTTCTCTCCACTGTGCTACTCCCTGATCCCCACTTCTGTCTACCTTCTGCCGTCTTAGTGTTATGTTTCCCTTTAAAAGTGGTTTGCAGGGAAGTTTAGTGCGATACTGGGAAGTGACTCCCCAGCAATCCACAGTCTTTGTGTGGACTATCCTACATTGTGGATTCATCTGAGTATGGCCTTAGTGTACTCTGGAGCTCACAGTGCCCAGCTACTGAAGAAATGTTTACAGCTATTTGAAAATAGTGGTGTACTAAAGAGAAACTAAATGCTTTGGACATCTTTTGCTTAGATTCATTCTAAACCATAAATGGTAAATCATAATGATTGATTAATCACAAAAATATTTTCTCTATTTAAAAGCCTTTATTTTCTATTTCATAACCTGGGATTTGGGGTTTTGATAGAGAATGATAATTTCTTGATATTCTCTGCATAATAATTTTCGAGATCTGAATTAACTCCCAAGTACCTCATGACCATCTCTGTCCTTTGCCCCAGACACCAATTAAGTCAAAGTAAGATGAACTGTCTAAAATCAAAGTGCACGTGACCTAGGATTCTTGTCAAGGCTGTTGAGAAAAACGTGTGATAGAAAGTGATAATTTTTTAAAAATGTGCTTGTTAATTTAAAAAAGCAATCACAAGCCAGAAACAAGAGCTCTGTTCCCTGCTTTTCCTCCTGTGTAAGTGAAGAGGGAAGCAGTGTGTTCCTTTTAGTGGGGATCTGGGGTCCATTTTTCTCTAGAGTAAAGCCCACAGTAAGCTTTCAGTACATGAATTAAGAGTAGAAAAACAAGACTTAATCAAGTGCTGCCTTGCCAGTTGAGGATTTGTTCTTCTCCAGAAGCAGCTCTGCTTAACCCCCAGACTGGTAATAACACTAGCAGTTACACAGACTCACTCTCCACCAACCTCAAAACTTGGCGTTTCTCTGTTGCCTTCCCCAGATGCCTTCTGCAGTCAGAAAACTCATGCAGTGCCGTCCTGCCCCTCCGCTCTCCAGCTCAGGGACTTTGGGCAACTTGCAGCCTCTCTAAGCCTCAGGTGATCAGCTAAAAAAGAAGGAGCAGGGTGGTGATCCCTGCCTGTCTGTCTCGCAGGCTTGCTGTGAGGTGGGATAACATTATGTGTGCCAAGTGCTTTGGAAACTGGAAAGCGCTCGGAGCTCCAAAGGAAAACTAATTATTTTTCAAAATTCTCCTTCTCTGGCCAGGCTCTCACCTCTCTCACCTTTGTTTCTTTCTTCCTTTCTTTGTTCTCTCTGTGTCCTACTCACCTCTGTCCTCTTCGCAACGTGCTCACTTCTTTGTTCTTAGATCTCCACCTTCTGTGCTTCATTAACTCCAAAAATAAAAGAATAAAAAGGGAGAAAAATCCCTTACTATTGCTGAAAGTTTCAGCAAAATGCTCTCTTGTCTTTCTCCATGCTTATCCTCAGGTATGTTATTCACAGTGTCTCACACACTGGATGCCTTACAAATATTCTTATTAATAATAACCCAGAGAGTTACCTGTTTCTACACCAGCAATGATATTTACTAGTTACCTATGACACTGATCTTCGGGGTTCTTTCTCCTGGGGCAAATGCATGCTCATTATTTAGGTCTGTCAATCTGCTTTCTTTGCCATAGATCCCAGTGGAGGCTGAATGAGAGACTGGTTGTGATACAGAGATCATTAGCTTTCAAATCTGCCTCCTTGAAACCAAATAGAATGTATTTTCTGCTCATATGACAATAATTTTTTCATCTCTTTAGGTTCACAGTTCTTGTTTTATTTTTCTTTTTTTTTTTTTTCCGTAAAGCCTAGCTTAGAGGTAGCCTTGTCTGTCCTATAGGGACTAACTTTTTATCTGGTCTCCTCTGCAGTGTTGTTAGAAGCCCATAATGATCAAACGACTTGATTAAGGTCATTTCCTGGGCTGAGGCAGCTGAATCTTTCTAGGCCCTGACCAGCTTTCAAAATGACTTTCCATCAATTCCATCCAGCAATTGTCCTTCGTCACCTCAAGTTCAGTCAAACATTAAATATAAAGAAGTGGATAAGATAGAAATCTACGGAAGGGTGCAAAACTAAAAAGGCAGATTAATCTGCATGAGTATGTTTCACTTTTAGTTGTTCCTAGCAGAGCCTAGGAAATATTGTTAAATGGAAAAAGTTTTAAAGGTATGCCCATGCCTTTAAGTGATTAATTTTTCTGACTTCTTTGATGCATCCCCACAAATGTGCATTTTCTTCCTAATGTTACTTTTAGCATGTCATACACTAAAAGTAGTTCTTAATCCACCAGCTGATTTGATAGTAAGTGGTGTTTATTGAGTACTTACCTTGTGCCAGATACTAGGTGCTGAGGATAAATAATATGAATGCAAAAGCAGATATAGTCACCATCCTCATGAGCTTAGAGTCATTAGTTAGAATATCACATTCATGAAAGTATAAAAGCAAACAGAGCTAACTTCCTATGGAAAGGAATATGGCTTGATGGTTTGATGAATGCATTTAACTGTGGGAATGGTCAGATTTTGCATGTATGACGGTCAGGGAAGTGGTACTAGAGATCTGAAAGTTGAGAAGTGAGCAGGGGTTCCCCAGATAAAAGGTGGCGCTTACGAGGTGAATATTCCACTAAGAGGGAACAGTAGGTGCAAAGGCCCATTGGTGGGAAGAACCTAGAATCTTTGATGAACTGAAAGGAGGAGAGTGTGTTTGGAGCTTAGAGAACAAGAGGGCAGTGGTTTGGGATGGGGCAGAAGAGGTAGACAGAATAGGGCACCAAGGCCATATAGACAATCCCTGCAAGGTCATATGAAGTGACTAAGGCATTTCAATTAAATATCGTAACATGATTAGACTTTTATTTGAAAAGAGATGTTTGGCTTTATTTTGAAAGAAGAATAAAGAGTGCTTTCAGAATTAGGAAATTAAGAAATTTGAAGTATGGAATCTGTGGCTCACTCTCACATTACTTATCACATTATATTACTGGGCATCTTTGTGAGTTATGTTTCTTACTTAAGAGATGAGCATCTTTGACAGGGGAATTTCCTTTTGGTTATGAATTATCATACCCTGTGATCTCCAGCCTAATTATCAAGGAAGTCATTATGGTTAGTGTTCAGAATGGCTCACAAGCAGTCATCATCAAACCCAAGGTCATCTAGGTTTTCTCTTGTGTTATCGTCTAGAGTTTTAAAGTTTTGCACTTAACATTTAGGTCTGTATTCCATTTTGAGTTAATTTTTGTGAACAGGGTGAGGTCTGTGTCTAGATTCAGTTTCTCACATGAGGATGTCCAGTTGTTTCATTACTGCTTGTTGAAAAGACTATCTTTCCTTCATGTATTGTCTTTGCTCCTTTGTCAAAGATCAGTTGACTATATTTATATGGATCTATTTCTGAGCTCTACATTCCATTTCATTGATTTGTCTATTCTTTTGCCAGTACTACAGTCTTGATTACTGTAGCTTTTTTTCAGCTTTATTGAGGAAAAAATGGTAAGAATTGTATATGTTTAAAGTGTAAAACTTAATGTTTTGATATATGTGTATATTGTGAAATGATCATTGCAATCAAGCTGATTAACATGTCAGTCACCTTACTCTCCTTCCTTCCTTCCTCCTTCCTTCCTTCCTTCCTTCCTATGTGCTGAGAACACATAATCAATATGTGCACATTGTTGATGTAAGGCATATTCAATGTTTCAATGTTAGCAAATTTCAAGTATATAATGCAGTATTGTTAACTATATTCACTATGCAGTACATTAGATCACCAGAATTTATCCATCATGCATAACTGAAACTTTGTATCCTTTGACCAAAATCTCTCCATTTATCCTTCCCCCGCCACCAACTACCATTGTACTCTTTGCTTCTGCAAGTTTGACTATTTTAGATTTCACTGTAAGTGAGATCATACAGTATTTGTCTTTCTGTGTCTGGCTTATTTCACTTAGCGTAATGTCCTCCAGATTCATTTATGGTGTGGCCGTTGGCAGGATTTCCTTTTTCTTAAGGCTAAATAATATTCCAGTGTGTACAAATACTACATTTTCTTTATCCATTCATCCATTGATGGACACTTAGGTTGTTTCCATATCTTGGCTATTGTAAATAATGCTGCAATGAACATGGGAGTGCAGATATCTCTACCATACTGATTTCATTTCCTTTGGATGTATGTGAGATTGCTGGGTCATATGTTAATTTTATTTTAATTTTTTGAGGCACCTCCATACTGTTTTTCATAATGGCTGTACCAGTTTGCATTCCTACCAACAGTGTACAAGAATTTCCTTTTCTCCATGTCCTCACCAGCAGGTTTTATTTTTGTCTTTTTGATAATAGCCATTTTTACAGATGTGAGGTGATATCTTTGTAGTTTTGATCTGGGTCTTTTTCTTATCCATATAAACCTTAGAATCAGTTTATCAATGTCCACAAAATAACTTGCTGGGATTTTGATTGGGATAGCATTGAATCCTGTATATCAAGCTGGGAAGAACTGACATCTTTATAATATTGAGTCTTCCTATCCATGAACATGGAATATCTCTTCATTTATGTATTTCTTCTTGAGTTTCTTTCATAGGAGGTTTGTAGTCTTCCTCATATAGATGTTGTATATATTTTATTAGAGTTATACCAAAATATTTTTTTTTAGGGTGCTAAGGTAAATAGTATTGTGTTTTCAATGTCAAATTCCACTTGTTCCATGCTGGTGTTAGGGAAGCAACTGACTATTGTATATTAATCTTGTATCCTGCAACCTTGCTGTAATTGTCTACAAGTTTCAGGAGATTTTTGTTAAATCTTTAGAATTTTCATCATAGATAATCATCTGTGAACTAAAGCAATTTTATTTCTTCCTTCCTAATCAGTACATATTTTATTTATTTTCATACTACTGTATTAGCTAGTACTTCCAGTATAAAGTTGAAAAGGAGTGGTGAGAGGGGACATGATTATCATGTTCCTGAAATTAGTGGGAAAGCTTCAAATTTTCACCATTAACTATGATGTTTGTGATAGAATTCTTATAGATATTCTTTAATGAAATGGATGGAGGGAGGGAAATATATGAATGAACATCAGTTCTACTGACATGACATGTATGGAGTTGTTTTGGTCTAGCTCATGTAGGCTACAATACTTCATAGCCTTCAAATTCTTTTTAGAAATATATCAATTTCTTTTTTTTATTATACTTTAAGTTTTAGGGTACATGTGCACAACGTGCAGGTTAGTTACATATGTATACATGTGCCATGTTGGTGTGCTGCACCCGTTAACTCGTCATTTAACATTAGGTATATCTCCTAATGCTATCCCTCCCCCCTCCCCCCACCCCACAACAGGCCCCGGTGTGTGATGTTCCCCTTCCTGTGTCCATGTGTTCTCGTTGTTCAATTCCCACCTGTGAGTGAGAACATGCGGTGTTTGGTTTTTTGTCCTTTCGATAGTTTGCTGAGAATGATGGTTTCCAGCTTCATCTATGTCCCTACAAAGGACATGAACTCATCATTTTTTATGGCTGCATAGTATTCTATGGTGTATATGTGCCACATTTTCTTGATGCAGTCTATCATTGTTGGACATTTGGGTTGGTTCCAAGTCTTTGCTATTGTGAATAGTGCCTCAATAAACATCCGTGTGCATGTGTCTTTTATAGCAGCATGTTTTGTAATCCTTTGGGTATTTACCCAGTAATGGGATGGCTGGGTCAAATGGTATTTCTAGTTCTAGATCCCTGAGGAATCACCACACTGTCTTCCACAATGGTTGAACTAGTTTACAGTCCCACCAACAGTGTAAATGTGTTCCTGTTTCTCCACATCCTCTCCAGCACTTGTCGTTTTCTGACTTTTTAATGTTCGCCATTCTAACTGGTGTGAGATGGAATCTCATTATGGTTTTGATTTGCATTTCTCTGATGGCCAGTGATGATGAGCAGTTTTTAATGTGTCTTTTGGCTGCATAAATGTCTTCTTTTGAGAAGTGTCTGTTCATATCCTTTGCCCACTTTTTGATGGGGTTGTTCGTTTTTTTCTTGTAAATTTAGGAGCTCTTGGATAATAGATAGATTGGAGGTATAGCACGATTAATATCAGTTACAGGGGAGCCTGAAATGAGAACAGCCTTGATGTGACCTATGATACCCTCAACTGAGAAGGCAGTAAACTAAGATGACTAGCGTTATTCCGTAGCAAAAATGCCCTTGAGTCAGACTTCATCAATAGAAAAAATGTTCAGTTTAGGGAGTGCACATTCTGGCAAAAGTTGTATAAAGGGATAGGCTGACTGGGAACTCGAAGAGATAAAACATTATTTGGAAAGTTTCCATGTAAGGTAAATAAAGCTAAGATTGGACCCTGTTCAATTATCAATTACAATCAAAGACCATTTATATTTGGCTGATCATCTCTTGGGAAGTATCTCACATCCACTGCAGTTGTGTTTTGTTTGTTTTTACAGAAGTATAAAAAGGAGATCTGACTCCTTTTGTGTGTTTTTTGGTTCCTTTACTTCCCAAAGGAAAATGCGATGATTATAAATGTGAAAAAAAATAAGAAAACTCTAATAGTGCAATGTTATTTTTGAAGGGCAAGGCAGGACCCTCTTGCTTGTTTTGAAAGGTAAAATTTCAGGGGGATATTTGAGGTTTTTCAGAGCACTTGTTGAGTTGATGTTGGCTTAGGTTGGTCTGTGTACCTTATTTCCTTAGAGGATTTATAGGTAATGGCTTAAAAAAGTCTTAGAAAATGCATCCCGCTTAAATTGAATTTCTAAATGTGACATTCCTGCAAAGTAAAAAACTTGAATTTCCACAGGGACTAATATTTATTGATAGGGCTGGTATCGGGATTGCTTTTTGGTAATCTCAGGTTCATAACTAACTGATGGCCTCCAGTTTTACCCATTTATATTTCCACATTCATGGAGAATATTATACATACAAGGACAAAGGCCATGTTTGGTATCCATATGCCATGTCTTCTAGAATTAGCTCTTAATATATTTTACAGGTGTGATCAATATTTAAACAAAGGAGAGCAAATAATTAGACCCTGATTCACATTCAGACCATTCATATTTGGCTTATCATCCCTTTTTAACATGAATTTGGATGTGACTTAAGGGTTCCTGCAACTGAATGTGGCACATTGATAATGTAATGCATACTTGGTTTTTTGTCTATTGCCAAATTACCTTCAAAATGTGACTGGTTATGTACATCTATCATTGTGAATGGAAACAGCTGTGTACCACCTGAGACTGTCTAGTGTGGGTGGTCAACCACATCACATACAAATTAACTCAAGTTTACTTGTCAGGAAAAAAATTATTTAACTCTGCAAACTCACACAATCAGAATCTGTATAGAATGTTTTTCTTTGCAAAATGTTTCATTTTTATTGTTAACCTGTGCCTTAGATTTACCCAAAATGATTTTTCTCTCTTTTTTCTCCCGGTTTGGCTTCCTCTCTTTGGATGTGTATGCACCCCGTGAACTTGGCTTCTTCTCTCCTGTATAACAGGTAAGAAAGGGCAATTTTGCTATTTATATTTTCTCCTGTGTTCCAGTTATAGCTGGCCAGAAACATTCCTAATCTGTTCCATTGCTGCACTTTAATAGGCTGAGAATATGTCCTTAAACTTGGAAACCGGTACCTCTTAGGTTGCCTCTAAGATGAAAGCTTTAAATTAATAATGATACATACTATAGTATGTTATTTAAATCATGCACTGGTAGTTGTATTATATATCAAGGCATTTTAGTAAGAGCGATGTGTTCCTGAAAGTTAGACTGTAAATTGGTTCATCATTCTCTGTTGGCTTATGTCATAACTTCTGATTGAGTGTCCATGGACAGTGCTAGCTTATGTTTTCAAAAGCTGAGCTGCTTTTGTTGTCTAGTTTTTTCGCCCTAAAGTGGTTGGCTGTTTATGAAGATTAGGAAAATGCACTTGGTGGGTAGAACTGGGCCATGAAATCTTTTGTCAGTCAAATTATCTTGTACATGGTGATTAATCACTGCCATCTGCATGATAGTTTTTCTTTTTAAAGTGGAAGATGCATGTAATTAAAAAAATATTCTTGGTCACTTTGAATGCTTCTACTTCATTGTTCCATTCCATATATTCAATCTTACTTTCAGTACCTGTGAATATATTTCCTATCACTCACCACAAAATTTTGAGATCCTTAAAAAGCATTTTTTTTCTACTTCTTGGGGAAAATAGATATAAAAAATTGTCAAGAATGTACATACCATGGTATGATAGGTTTAATACAGTGTGTGTGATCCTTGGGGATGTGTACTTTGTTTACTGAAGAGGAAGATTAATAATACATGTGACACTCAGAAATATTTGTGAGAAAAAATAAATAACATTGTAATGGGCATGTTAACCAAACTATTCTTTTAGAGTCTCTAAAATACATCTTTATATTATAGACATAAAAAGAAATAGCATTTCTTGCCTCTATTAGTTTTCATCCCTCCAAAAAGCATTTAAGGTTATAATTTAACATTATATTTTTAACTTTTACCAAGGCTTCTTATAGCAAAATGATTACTTATAGAACAAACTCCAGTCAGTAAATGGCTCTTCATGTTAATTAGTGGCTCTGAATCCATCAAGACACACAATAAACTCACAAGAATTTGTGGCAGGAATATTTTTCTGTATATACAAACACACACACACACACACACACACACACATATAGTTTTTTTCTAAAATTAGTAAAAAATAAAAAACATGTTTCTATTTTTGACTGCCAACTGGCAAACTTAGAATTAAATTTTATGCTTAGAGTAACTGTCTCACCTTAGTTCCTAGTGAAATTTTTTATTTCCAATATTTTTTCATGTTTTCTTTAAAAATTAATTATTTTAATAGCACTGCTTATATGTGTTGTCATATCATGTCTCTTTCTTTCTTTAGGCGAGGCTGTAAATGGTAAATAATATTAATATGGATCATAATAAGAGCTAACATTTTTTAAGAGTTTCCTAAGTGCCAGGCACTGGAGTAAGCATTTCACATTTATTAAGTTGTTTAAATCATACACTCATGCACACACATGCACTCTTACACTTCTTATACATTTGGAGCAGATTTTGTTGACATTTAGGGGAAAGAGTATATTTATATCATAGCATATCAGATAACACTATTCTTAAAATGTCTTCTTCCACCTAGCTCAGCCAGTCTTCTTTCTCTTTTCTCACTTCTGCCCTCTTCCTTCTTATGTGCAAAAATAAATTTCATTCTATTTTCTTATGTAGAGCAAATTAGCTCCATCCATCCCTTCTACTCATACTTAGCTCTGAACCTTCCTTTGCATATTACAGAAACCCAGAGATGCATTAAATAGCCTCATATGGGGACAAATACATTAAATTCCTGAGAGTTAGTTCTTTCAGTTTTATAGGCAATAATTACAAGCAATGGTACTAGTTCTTGGAATTATATTCTTTAAAATATTTTTGGATTCGGCAGCAGCTGAGTTTAATTCTATAGGAAAGCATCCATAATTAGTTCAGACCCAGAGCCTTAATTCTAGAACTGTTACATGTTTATGGTGTTTAGCAGAATAAGGGCATCTGACATGTGTTTTTATGGTAGTAGGTTCCTAAAGAAGAAAGTAGAACATGTGCACACTAACCTAAATGAACTGGTCATGGGGAGTAAGGTGGTCAACTATAAACAAGCATTTTCAGTGTATTTTTAAGGTTCATAAATAAAAATAAATGTGCAGGACAGAATTTTAGGGACATTAAAATGATTAAAATGAAAAAGTATTACAATGCTAAAAGATTTATGAGATGACTATTTTGCATTGACTAGACTAAAAGTTCATTTAAAATATTAATATGTGTATTACAGTGCTGAAAATTCTTAGGACATTTAAATGACATGGTTACAGACTCTGTCTTTCCAAGTACTTAACAATTGCATTTCATGGTTCTGATGTCACTTGAGAGGCATATTTTATTGAATCGCCTGTATCATCTGGCCTATAAATAGAACTCCCCAGAATATCTACAAAGTGGTAATGCATTAAATATAGGGCTTTTCACAGCACTTGCAGGGTAGTAGGCAAACTTGTTGATAACCCCACGCTCTGGTTCTATTATTGTATTACCACCGGCTATGCTGCTTCACATCTTAGAGCATACTGTGCTACTTGCTGTCCCAGCAATCAATACTGAGTCACATCTGGATGGCTTGAGCAAGCCACCTATGGCGAACCACGCAAGAACCTTTTCTGCTGCCATGTATTTAGGATATGGTTGTGTGTGACTTGAGACTGCTTGGGAGCCATTCTGAACATTTTCATAATGACTTCCTCCATAATCAGTCTGGGAGACCGTAGGGTATATGATAGTTCTTAACATGATTTGCCTTCTTGAACTAGTTCTAAAGAAGACCCATGTTGATCTGAGTCTCATACTTTAGCTAATTAAGTTCAAGGGAAACACCATTTATTTGAGGGAATTATCTCATTATTTTTTGCTAACCAAACACATTTTGAAATGCATTAAAAAAAGACAAGTGACCACTGCTGAAAGCTGTTCCCAAAGCCATATGCATACCATCTGGTATTTCTTCCCACGGCCACTGTTTCAGTATTCTGTGGCAGGTCGGAGGGAATCAGGGACACATTTCATACTGCCATGAATAAAAGAGCAGGGAAAGTGAGGACATACTTTGTTTTCAAGGGGAAGAAAATGATTTTCTTAATATAAAGTTATTGGTAACTTTATAATTGTAGTACTAATGTGCAAAAAAAAAAAAAAAAAATACCCAGAACAGTGCAGACTCATGATTATGGGACTTTGAGAGGAGTGTGGTGAAAATGGGGGTTCCCAGTTGTCTGCTTCTAAATCGGACATCTTTGGTAAATGAATTATCTGCCACCACCCACCTGCATTCCCAACTTGCATACTCATAGACATATGGGACCCACCAGGCCAGTTCTGTTGATAAGTTATACCTTAGCTATTAGCAATATTTCCTACTGGTCAGCCCATATACACATGGCCTCTTCCAGTCTCTGTCACATGCTAAACCCTTCATGTAGCCTAAGTCATGCTGCCTGTATTCATTTTGGTCTCATTTTCAGATCTCTCAATTCCAGCCACTTTTGCTGATAGATGTGCCTCGAAGATCTCCCAGACAACTTTTTCACTTTTTAATTATTTTCCACCCAGAGAATGAATGGAGATAGATCTAGTCTCAACCCAAATTTTGTTACTAGAGCTTCAATTCCACTACTTACCCCACTTAGTGGTTGTTTTCTGGCCCCCCACAATGAGAGCAGTTACCTTAATGACTATCCTTCTCAATGGCATATTCATTTTACAGAGGACAAAACCCCCTGATTTATCTCTTCCTCTCTTGCCTGTGGATTGATTGTAGGTAGGTAACGTTGCTTTTGTTGTGCCAGGTACTATGAGCGTGTCTCACAGTTCATAGATGCTGCCATTTTATTGGTTAATCCACATTCTTCAGGGGCTGGGTTCATTCTCTCTGCTTTTGCTGCTAAATTCACCCATTCTGCAGACAGTGACACTCTTTCTACAGCAACTAAAAAGACTCTCAGTTCTCTCAGCCAACTTTGGAAAGGTTAGCATCTTACGTTACTTCAAAATTTGTTCTGGTAAGGAACATCTACCAGTTTTTTTAGGGATTAGCTGTAGGGCTGTTGTATAATACCACTCTGTGTTGTAAGCACATCTACCTCCCTCACCCTGACCTGGTCCTATAGTTGGGGGCATATCTTTCAAGTCCCCCTTAGTAATTTGAGTACTTTGCCTTGCCAGGCATCCTATCTCTCTCTCCTTCCTTGCAGAAATGTAGCCCCAGTGTCTGCGGATAGACAATCAGTTCCAAAGTATCTTCACCGTTTCTAAGAGGGCAATTTTATTTTTTGAAGAATGGCCTGTACTGAGACCCTAATACATATTTGAGGGTATCTATCTGAGTTTGAACTCCTCCAGGACTTTTAAACTCAAATTAAAATTGATTTGAGTCTTCTTATATATTAACAGGAAGTACTGTAGCTTCCTTTTGGGATCTTTCCTCTCTTAAAATTTCCTTGAAACCTGAGAGCTTGCTCACTCCAAATGGGGGTTGAGAGGTCTTAATTTCTGTTATAAGAGAAGAGAGACTGAATTCTCATCAGTTTGCTAATGCTGTTGCTTGCTTGCTGCTGCCAAGTTGGGTGGCTGTTGACAAAATCATGCTCTCTGCTCCGACAGATGCCGCTAATTCACATCTTCACACTGGCCAAGGGCACTCTGCCAATGTTGACTTTTGAGCGAGGACAACTTTAATTTCTCAGAACCACGCTTAGAAAAAGTTGCCCTTCACTTGGCTTCCCAAGGTCATGTTTCTTGCTGTTTAGCTCATTTAGTCCTTTTTCAGAACCAGATCCACTGTTCCCTGTCTGTTCCTGAAGACATACACCTAGAGGTTGGGTAGCTTTTTGTTGTTGTTATTAAACACAAAAAAAGATCTGACTATACCCATTTCCCAGACAATTCATCATTTGGAGGGAGGTTACCTTAATGATTCCAGGAACCTCTATAATCATCCTTCTCAAGGTTTCTCTCAAAGATTTCAAAGTAATACTCTAAGATCTCTCTCAATAAAGCATTTTTTTAAAAAATCACAAGTTAAATTGCCAATAGAGCGTTTTGCTACACATATATATCTAAATAATGATGATCATTTAGGTTTTAGGAGGTTTTACGGGGTTTAAAGTGGCTCATTATTATATTCATTTTTTACAGCCATTCTGTCTGCAAGATCAATGTTATCTTTCTTTGTGACAGTGTGGGTACTTTTGGTTCAGAGTGATATTGAACTCATCTGTTAAAATAAATTAATATTTCCCTCTTGACCTTAATATATGATCAGGAAAAAGTTGATCTCTCGATGTATGAACTGAACGACATATTCTTACAATAGCAAAATATTAAATGTGTTGTAGTATTGCTTTGCCAAAAAGCTATGAAAAAAGGATAAAGTTTTCTCTTTCTTATATTTTTATGGTTATGTCTTTTTAACTTCAAATAACACATGCTGGAGATCAGAGTAGTGGAAGGTATAGAAGGTTGTGAGAAAAAATGTTATGATTTATTAAAGGAAAATATCAATATTTCACATTTTAAAACAAATATAAGGACTAACTATTATGAAAATTTTTGCAGAATGGCTAAGTGAATTACCTTGGATCTCATGCATGGTCATTATTTAAAAGCCATTAGTTCAGAGTCGTGACTCAAACATAATTCCTTAATCTCTGATCTTGTCTTTCTACTATGTCAATGGTTCTTCGTCTTTGTGATGCATCAGAATAACCCCTGGAGCTTGCTACAATTACAGATGCGTAGAACCACGATGTACCTTTTGGCTGCATAAATGTCTTCTTTTGAGAAGTGTCTGTTCATATCCTTCACCAATGATAGACTGGATTAATAAAATGTGGCACCTATACACCATGGAATACTATGCAGCCATAAAAAATGATGAGTTCATATCCTTTGTAGGGACATGGATGAAGCTGGAAACCATCATTCTCAGCAAACTATCGCAAGGACAAAAAACCAAACACCGCCTGTTCTCACTCATAGGTGGGAATTGAACAACAAGAACAATGGACACAGGAAGGGGAACATCACACACCGGGGCCTGTTGTGGGGTGGGGGGAGGGGGGAGGGATAGCATTAGGAGATACACCTAACATTAAATGACGAGTTAATGGGTGCAGCACACCAACATGGCACATGTATACATATGTAACTAACCTGCACGTTGTGCACATGTACCCTAAAACTTAAAGTATAATTAAAAAAAAAAAAAGAACCACGATGTACCTACTTAATCACAGCCACTAAAGGGAGGGTCCAGGAATGTGTACTTTCATTAAGCTCCAATAGAAAATTTGAAACATCCTGTTTCAAAACACACACACACACACATACACACACACACACGAGGTAAGAGATAAGAAAAAGATAAAATATGCCTTTCAGCACGTCTTCGGTATACATATGCTGGTTCAACCCCATTAGTGTGGGATATTAATAAACAGGTGATGGAATAAAACTGACTGCTATATTGTTCCTGGTCCTACTTATCTGTGCTTTGGCATCACTAGTATTGTTGGGAGATCTTCCTTTGAATCTCTCCTTGATACATGCTTAAGGAAATATAGCAATATGAAGAATACTTGGAAATGTTTTTGCCCTTGGGACAAATCTGGCTTCGTGTGCCTAATTACATTGCTCCCATCCTCTGCTTTCTCAGTTTTTCACCTTGTTTCTTTCCCTCCTCTGCCTTCCCAGATGCTTTTCCTCTCTTATTCTGTCTTGACATCTTTTTTACTCCTCCTAACTGATATTATACTCTTCTCTTTTCCAGAATCACTCTGAGGAAGGTTTTGTTTTGTTTTTTACACAGCCCGTTTATAACACCTAGTTCTTTTATCAAATGCGTTTAAGAATTTATTGCTGCAGAATTTGTTAACGAAAAGAGAACTCTTCTCTTTCGATACTGGCATAGAGGATGCCATATCATGAGGATTTTTATTTCTAGGGTCATTGTCGCTTGTAAGAAATATCCCTCTCCTTTTGTTTTTACTTTTGGTTTTTGGCTACTTAGCAGTTTTCTTATTACAAAAATTTTAAAATAGACTTCATTAAGTGAAAACACCTTTCCTTCATCATTACCCCCTTAGAATTTTAACAGTGCTTTAAACACTGAGAGTTCGTGGTTTTCCATGTTAAGTGGAAAGAGTTGATGAGGAAAATCACTACGGAGTAAGTGGGGAGATTGTTCTTTTTTTGTTGATGGCTTCTTTTAGTGCTTTCTTCAGTCCTGATCAAGCTAAGATTATTAAGAGCTTAATGAAAAGAGCATATTGCCTCTTTATTTAAACAGCCATTTAATGACGACTCTAATATCATTCTAGCCTGGGGCAAGGGGAGTGTAATTGATGTGACTTCATAGGGCCACAAATTGTTAGTTGTGTAAACGTGTGGCCAAGACCCAACTCTCAGTATTTTTGAATGCATCCCTTTGCAAACCACTAATACTAGATTTGCAAAACTTTACATTGTGAGCAAAACATCATAAAAAAAATACTCATTAATGTTTGGATGTATTCTCCCATATATTGCCCTCGTGAAGAGCGCAGTAGTTCCTTTCCCTCTTCAGCATAAGGCCCCCACGCAAGACAGGCGTGAGCAGCATGCTCTGGCACTTCCTTGGTTGTAATCACCGCCTCAACCCCGTGTTAATTGGGCCTTGCAAGGGCAATGGCAGAGGCCCCAGGCCTGTCTTGCTGTTTGGGCCACATTAGAGGAAGCAGGGTGAGAAGTGAGGGCAGTGAGTTAAGGAGCACTGGCCACAGTAAAGGGCAGGAACTGTGCTCCCATCCCATTCTACCCAACACCTTTTTCATCCCATTCCTAAATGCCCCACCCCTGACTACAGTGGCCACATTTTATCCCTGATATTCATTTTATTATTGAATTGGGCATTCTTCTTGGGGATGGAGTGAGGAATGTGGGGAGAGAAGGTCTGAAGTTCCTAGAAAATATTCTGTGGAACTCTGGAAGATTGCTTCCAAGAAGGCCACCATCAATGCCTTCCCGCTTTGTACACTCACGCTGCTTGACCCATCAAGAGGGACATCTGTATTCCGTCTTCCTGAATGGGCCAGTCTTCTGACTGGCTCTGACCACTAGAATGTGGCAAAAGTGACATTCTAGGTCTTCCTTCCTCTTGGAAGCCAGCTGCCAAATAAGAGATCTGACTACCTGAGACCACCATGTCTCAGCTTGCCTCATGGAGAGGCCATGTGGAAAGAGATATGCCTGCTCGCACCTTTCTACACAACTTTTCCAACCATTCCAGGTGGGATGCCAGACATGCCAATGAAGAAGCCATCTCAGACATTCCTACCCAGAAGACACTATGTGGAGGAGAAAATGCACAGCTTAGCTGAGCTCAGCACAGACTGCAGAATCACAAGGGGAACACGTTGCTATTTTTTTTTAAGCCATTAAGCTTTAGGGTGACTTATTACACAGCAACAGACTATTGAAATAGGGACTGATACCTGTGATAGTTTGAATAAACTTAGGTCTGTAGAGGTCCTTGTCAGTGGGGATGGAAAGAAAGCCAGGACCAGACATAACCATCATTTAGAAGACTAACACACATATAGGGATACCTCATGGGGGTTGTGTGCTGCCCCGGTGGTGGTGCTTAAGGGTGCATAATTTGGACTTAACCTTGTCTGGTGGGAATACCCAAGCTGGTCTGATATAGCAGGTGGGACAAGACAGCAAGGAGTAGCCATCACTAGTCCAGGACAGGTGACAGGGTGGCAAGGGTTATTTTGGGCACCGGGGGAAGATCTCTAGTCGAAATGAAAACATGGAGAATGAATCTGGGAAACACATCAGAGGACAGGAAAAGGGAGCCAGTGGTAGATATATGTGTGCTCTCAGCCCATCCATGGATCAATCTCAGGCCTCGCCGTCTAGTGGGTATAGGACTGCTAATGTTACTACCTGCATTGGTGAATTCTGACCCATGAACTTAAAAGGTTGGTCCTGCAGACTCATGATCACCCCGAGGAATGTGAGGTACAAATAGTGAGGTATTCCAGATTGTTGCATAGTTATTACTATCTTTCAGTCACTCCCTGAGACCCATCTAATCAATGACTTATTAGTTTAAAGTACTTCCTATGTATATGCCAAATCAATCCATTTTTATGTACCCTCACAATAACCTCACCTTAGTCTAAGCAGCCACCTTTCATGGAGTAGACAGATGCAGCAGCCTTCTAACTCCTCCCCCAGCCCCTTTGCTCAGACATCTCTAATTCATTCACCACAAGGCCCTCAAAGTGATCCTTTGAAAATAAAATCTGATTGTATCAGTCATGTTCTGCTTCTGCCCCTCTGATGGTTTCCCATTGCCCCTAGGTTAATATTGTAAAATTCTGAGTGAGGCTTCAGAACTGGTTAAAATCTGTCCCCTGCATACTTCTCCAGCCCTATATCATGTTGCTTCCTCTAATGACTTTAGGCTCAGACTTCCTGACCTTCTTAAAATGCCTAGAATATACCATGCTGTCACTATATGGAAAACTTCCCCTTTGTCCTCTGAAGGTTTAGTAAAAATCAAGGGACAGAAAGCAGATTAATAGGAGAAAAGATGTACAAATTCACCAACATACATGGGAGAGAATCACAGAGTGATTGCCCCACCATGCAATGGAATACAGATGGTTATATACCCTTCTTCTTAGGGGAAAGGAAGATGAGGGAAGTCTGGATGCTTTTACAGGGGTAGAAAATGATTTTGGGGGGATTTCAGTGGGCTTGAAGAACACACAGTGTCCTCGGACAAGGTCTGTTGGGCCCACAGAACAGACAATGGTTTGTGACAACAGAGTTTGTCTTTCTTCCTGCAATTTGAGTTCATTTAATGGTAACCCAGGGAAGAGACCAGAGGCAATTGTTTTCTTCTTTGGTGAGCCCAAACTTTAGGCAGTTAAGGGAACTTCAGAAAACAACTTCATCCTCTGCTTTGGAGAGACAGAGGATTGAGAGACAGGAGGTGGAGCAGGGGGAGGTCAGAAAGACCTTGAGGCTTCTTCTTCCATAAAGCGTGTCAAGGCACCATCTTTTCGGGTATCAGTTTCTGAGTCCCAGCAGCACTCACCTCTGGGCCTCTTTAGGATGGCTCCTTGTCTTTTAAATCCCAGTTTAAATGTCTCCTCCTGATTGAAGCCTTCCTTTTCTACCCATAGTGACCACTCAGCTCTTATTACATCACCTGATTTCAATTTCCTGTATAGAATTTCTCACTAATGATATTTTTCTTATGAGTTCATTGTTAATTTTATTCCCAGAAGATCTAGACAGGTTAGTTCCTGTGACATGTCTTCCCCTAGACAGGTACAGTCACCCTTTGTAATGTCACTGTTCTTTTAGTTACTTATTCAACTTGTATCCTTTGTAATAAAATGTGAAATTCAAAAGGGCAGTGAACACACCTTCTTGTTCAGCCAGTGTCCCCGTTCTTATTTGGTTTGTTTGGTTTGAGCTGAATTAAATCTTTTCCCTGTCATACTTCTCCTACCTTGTTATTGGGAATATTGAGTTGCACTAAGAAAAGACTGAGTCATCCAGGTACAACAGAATATGTTAAATAAGATTTCTCATCTTTCAGATTCTTATGAATTTTCTATCATTCAGGTCAGTATGCAACATTCGTGACAAAGGGAATTAAACTGGAAAGATTGTTCACACATTTTTTTTTTTTTTTTTGAGAAGTCTGGCTCTGTTGCCTAGGCTGGAGTGTAGTGGCTCGATCCCTGCTCACTGCAACCTCTGCCTCCTGGGCTCAAGTGATTCTCCTGCCTCAGCCTCCCCAGTAGCTGGGATTACAAGTGGCTGCTACCATGCCTGGCTAATTCTTATATTTTTAGCAGAGACAGGGTTTCACCATGTTGGCCAGGGTGGTCTCAAACTCCTGACCTCAGGTGATCCGCCCACCTCGGCCTCCCAAAGTGCTAGGATTACAGGCGTGAGCCACCATGCCTGGCCCTGTTCACACATTTCTTCAACAAATGATCATTGAGCACATAGTACATATCAGGCATTGTTTGGGGTCATGGGGATACAGATATGAACAAAAGAGCCATGAATCTCTACCCTGGAGGAGCTTACATTCTAGCAGAGGGAGACCTTGCTTGTTTACTGAAGTTATTAAGTGAGTTTAAAGGCAAAGGAGAAAGATAATGTGGGGCTAGGGTGATGGGGAGATAAGGACAGCTGTTTCAGGTGGAATACTCAGGGCAAGGCCACATGAGGAAAGCGACATGTGAGGCAAGATGTGATGGAGTGAGGGCAGGAACCCTGTGGCTTTCTGGGATGATCACTTTCTGGGCAGCATGAACAGCCTGGATAAGACCCTGTGGCATGAGCGTGTGTGACCTGTGCAATGAGGCCCAGGAGGCCAGTGTGGCTGAAGCTGAGTGGGTAAAGGAGAAGCAGAGGGAGATGAGGCCCAAGTGTGGGTGGGAGGGTGCATTGCATCATACTGGGCCTGGGCGTCCAGGCTGAACGCACTGGGGAGCCGTTGGTCTGCTTGAGCAGAAAAGCAGCATGATCTGACGTCAGTGTTTTGTTTTTTGAAATTACAGCTTTATTCAGATATGATTCATATATCATAAAATTCACAATTTTAAAGTATATAATTCAGTGGGTTTTAGTATATCTGCAGTTGTGCAACATCCCTGCTGATTTCAGAACATTTTCATCACTGCACAAAGGAGCCGTATACTTGTTAGTGATCAGTCTCCACTCTTCTCTGCCTCCTTCCTCTGGCAACCACCGATCGACTTTCTGCCTCTGTGGATTTGCCAGTTCTGGACATCCCATATAAATGGAATTATACAACCTGTGGTCCTTTGTGACTGGCTTCTTTCACTTAGCATAATGTCTTCAAGGCTCATCCATGTTGTAGCAGGTATCAGCACTCCGTTTCTTTTTATTTCTGAGTAATAGTCTGTGGTAAGGATATACCATAATTTGTTTATTCATTCATCGGTGGTTGAACATTTGTATTGTTTCTACCTTCTGGCTGTTATAAATAATGCTGCTGTAAACATTCATGTACAAGTTTTTATATGGATATATTTTAATTTTTCTTGGGTATATACCTGTGAGCAGAATGACCTCTGTTACCATTTCGTCTGCTATGCTGAGACTAGACTGAAGGGAGCCAAAGGTATACGTGGGGGGACCAAGTTAGTAGGCTGTTGCAATAATCCAGATGGGAGAACAGGGTGACTGCAGGATAAACTGCTTTTGACCTACTAGAAGCCCTAGGACATAACTGAGCCATGGACCTCCAGTGATAGTCACTCTCTTCTGCTTAGGATGAGCCATCACAACATATCGACAAGTCTGCCTCCCATCCTGGGAATGGTGTAAAAACCCACATTTAATAAATTATCACTCTGTGACATGTATTTTCTAGAGAGAGATTTTATTCATAGATGTAACGATACTGCCCCAGATCAATATGAAATCAATTAAAATGTAATGCTCTAATAATATTAGAGCTATAAAACTAACTGTAGTTGGCTTGCAAAGAGTAAGTGTGTGGCCATATTATTGAAGTGCTTTCACTAATTGTAGACATCCTAAGCTGTGAGACAGATTACAATTTATAATGCAGTTTGGCAATCTCAAGCTCTCTCTCTCTCTTTTGTAGAGTGAAAGTTTTGGTGGAAGGAATTGCAAGAGGAGATGGGTAGGATTAGAAAAAAATATATAGCCCACCTATCTACTGACTATAAAATGCCTTTTGGTGGAGGTGAGAGGCTAAAAGAGGAAGAGAGAAAGATCTTACAACCCACATCTATCAAGCTGCTGATGTGTCTGGCTGATGAGATTAGTCATTAGTGTGTTGTGCCTATGCTGCTGTTTGGAACCTAATGGTCTGTTTGCTCGACAGAAGGGGTGTCAATTCTTGGAGCACCCATAGCACATAAAATTGGGTTCTAAATAAAGGAAAGTGGAGCAAAATGTACTGAGTGCCCACTACTGTAATATACTTTTTCATGTTCAACTTCATTACATCCTCTGAGCAGATGCTGTGCTTAAGAGAATGAATCCTGGAGCCAAGCTCCCTGTGTTCAAATTCTGGCTCATGCCAAGTGTGAGTTGCTGTCCTTGGGCAAGTTATGTAGCTGTGCTGTGTCCTGCGCCCTCACCTGTAAATGGAGATAATAGTAACCTACTTCATAGGGCAGTTGTGAGGATCCATCAGTAAAAAACATTTAGAACAGAGCCGGGCCCTTAGCAACTGCTCCAGGAACAAATATTTGAACAAAGTTCTGCCACAGAGCCTGGGTTCCTTTCTTCTACCCTGAATGCTGCCTTTTCCCAAAATGAGACCAATATGTTGCATGTGAGCTATTGATCTTCTAATTTACCTATTACATTCTGATATGCTAAAAATTCCTGATGAATGTAGGAACTGGAAGTCCTATAAAACATCAAATGAATCCAGTTAAATTTGTTGGTTGTTTAGGGCTTTAGCAAACTTGTAAACTTGTCCTTTGACATATACATACCACAAAACTTTTGTTAGCTAGCATACAATTGTAATGCTGAATGAAGAAAATTTCAAAAACAATGAGTCTTAATTCATGTTGCTCCTCCACTCTGACTTTTATTCTATCAGTTTCTTCTCTCTTTAGACCTATAGCCAAACATATGGGCCATAAATTGTATCTTTGTTAAGGCCTTGTATGACAGGTAGATCTAACTTTCCACCTTTAAGAAAAGATGGCATAATAACTAACAATGTTCTAGTGACCTGCAGGTACCCTAACCTTACTGTGTAGGTGGCACTGTTCAGTTGTCTTACTGTTCCTGACCAGATTGGAGATTTATCTTGGGTGATATCTGAAATGCCAGTTTCTGATATCTGGTAGTTTCATGGTCTGGACACCTAGCAGGCAATCAGTAAGTATTAATTGACGGATTTGATTTCTACAGCTTTCTGGTTAGTAAAGCACCAGCATGTTGCTACCCTGTGCCTGTGTCTATAAGTCTCTTCACGGGCTTTTTTTTTTTTTTTCATCTGGCAGTTTTGAACACTTTAAATGGGAACAGATCACAAGTTCTGATATGGAGAGGGAAATGGGTCAAAGTACTCCTGTCATGTTCTCACAAGTGAGCTTTTCTGCTACAGTTATTTAAAGAATGTATTTATTATCAAGCAGGGACAAAGCAGACACACAACCTCTGTGTAAATTTGATGAAGTCCCAGTCTCTTAGATGCTATAATCATGGCCTTTCAAGGAAGATTCACTGGAGTCAGATATACAATATCCCGAAGTAAGAATTCCGTACAAGTTTATGTAGGTGGCTGTATGCAACTGGTGGTCTTCTAATGCCCATGTCTGGGACGGGAACATGCACCATCTCTCATGTGCAGGTAGGTTATAGGCATCAGTAGTTTTTATACTTTGTTTATTCAAGGGTGTGAGTGTAACTTACCTATCTAAAATATTTTAGCCAAGCCATATATCTTGAATACCAATGAGAACCCAATTCCAACATCCTTAGTGTGGAAGAACAAACCATGATTTGACCAAGAAAAACCTAATAGAATCTTCTCTATAGGGTGGTCACACTGGTGTGCGCTTCCATCTGTCAAGTGGGAATTCCTGATCAGGTCAATTAACTACAACTGGAGTGTAACTTCAATAAATCATACACAGCAGATTCACTGTCTATGCTCACTAAAAAGAGTTTTTCTTCTTAAATGAAAATTTAGTGAGCTTCATTTTGTGCATATGTGGTTTTTTTTTGTGTGTTAAGATCTGAACCCCTCCTGTATTATTGCTTGTTTTCTAAGTGCATAAACTAAATGAAATAGAGATAATTTGGGAAACAGCAGCTTCTCCTATTCCTCCTCCTTCTCCTTCCTCTTCTTTTTTTGTTACATGCACACCAAACCCTCCTAGAATGTTCACAACAGAGTAAATCAACATCTGTTGAGAACTACCCATTGGTGAGCAACTGCCATGTGAGGCCTAGGTCAGGGCAGTGTCTGTACTGGCCTGGTGTTTAGCTATGAAGATAACATGAATTCACAGAAAACAATTAGCAACACACTAGAGTATTTCATTAACAAGGAAAGGATAGGAGAGTGTAAATGATACAGAAGACATCAGGGGAAGGTCATCATGACATGTCATATTCCTGGAACAGCTCTTGGAGGCAGTGGGCCTAGTAGGAAGAGTGGGATTTATTACTGGAGGAACACTGGAAGGTATTCCAGCCTAGTGGGATAGGGGTTCTTATGGGGGAGAATGAGCATGTTGTCTTCCAGAACATCAAAGAAACTGGCCTGACAGGGGTGGAGGGAGTTTGGACTAAAAATAGTAGCTCACATTCATTGAGCGGTTCTTATCTGCCATGCCATGTGCTAACTACTTTAAGTCTATGAACACACTGAATTCCTTCAAAAACCATACTGTCTTAGTCTGCTTGGGCAGCCATAGCAAAACACCATAGACTGGGGTGCTTAAACAACAAACATTTATTTCTCACAGTTCTGGAGGCTGGGAAGTCTGAGATCAAGGCATGGGGAGATTGAGTGTCCCATGAGGGGTTCTCTTCCTGGCTTGCAGATAGTTGCCTTTTTGTTGTAGCCTCACAAGGTGAAGACTAAGCGAGAAGCAAGCTCTCTCCTGTTTCTTCTTATAAGGACACTAATCCCATCTATGAGGGCTCCACCCTCATGACTGAATTTCCTCCAAGAGGCCCTATCTCCAAATACCATCACAGTGGAATTTAGGGGTACAACATATACATTTTTTCAGGGACACAAACATTCAGTTCATAGCACTTAGGAAGTAGTTGCTACTGTTGTTCCCGGAGTACAGAAGATGAACTAAGCCATAGCAAAGTTAGGTAGCTTGCCCAAAGGTCACATAGCTGATGAAAGGTGGGATTTGAGCCCAGGCAGCCTGACTCCAAACAGTACAACTCTCACATCCATGACTGCTATGCTATTTTGCCTCCCTAGTGGCCAGTGGTTGTGGTAGCTGGTGTATTGTGAATAAGGGTAAGTTTTTGGAAATCTTGGAACCTGCAGATATTTGAAGGAGATTCTGAACAGGTGTTAGCAACTGCTTAGCAATGAATGTTACTGGTGGGGTTCAGGAGGTTTAGGATGTAGACAGGAAAAGGAGACATCGAGTAACAGAGAGAGACAGTCGGAAATAGGCAGGCACAAAAAGAAAATAATAAAAAATAAAATAAAAGTAAAAGAGAGAGGAAGAGGGAGAGAAATCAGCTATGGTACAGAATGATGGGGTATCACAAACCTACTCCTTAGTGACATTTGGTGGCATCCTTGCTCTCTGATGCTTTGACTTAGTCCCAAGGGACCTGACATAATTAAACATGACCTTCTTTTCCCCCTCTTCAGAAAATAAGTCTCGTTATATTATGAGCATGTTGTGATATCAGCAAGTTAAGAGACATTCACTTGTGATAGGATGCCTTATAAAAATATATAAAATGTTGTTACGTAAGTCTTAGGTAATAGACATAAAGCAATACTACAATTTCAAGATGTAACTGCTAAATGTAAAAATAAAATTTAAGAATAATAAATGTCCAACAGTCAGGCTTCTCTTCCTGTCACTTTTGGGAACTATTACCCTAGATGAGAAAATACTGACCCAAAATACTGTGTTACACACTCAAGTGCTGATTTTTGTGGCATCCTTTCTGTGAGTGTGTAAATAATGGCTTATCCAACATAATGGAAACATTTCCAGAATTTTCTAAATGATCTCCCAAAGCAGCTGAAAATAGCTTTAGTGTGGAACAAATTTATTCCTTTGTAATTGCTGCTTTCCATCCTGTGCAATCACATGGGGGAATTCCCAAAAGATAGGCAGGCTGCGGTTTAAATCCATCAAAAACATGCAAGAAAATATGAACAGGCAGTCTTCCACTAAATTTCAAAAGCACTAATGAGAACAGCAAGTGGGTCATGAAAGGGAGCCCCATCATAGAATGTTCTCCCCACATTCCTCCCAGCACTGAGCCCTTTTAGGTGGAGGAGCTTGCCATTTGGGAAATATTTCTAAGGATTCTCAAAGTATAACTCAGGCTGAGATGGAATATTTGAGTGTTGCCTAGTTTGTGCCTGGGTTTGTCCAACTTACACATGACTTTTAAACTCATACCTCCCTGTAGCTCTCTCTGTCACCTAGAGAATTACTGACATATGCAAAGTACTCAGCAAACACTTGGATTGAAATGAATTGAGGAAAACACATTTGCAGGAATTATTTACTTGTCTTCATTTGTTCTAAAAATACATTGCACATCAAGACAACTTCACATGGGTAGACTTCTAGTTATTTGATGAAGGAATTTATTGAAGCCCTTTAAAAATTCCTTTCATAAGCACACAGAGAAAAGATATACATCTCTTCTTTACGCTCAATAAAAACTGTATGTCACATTAAAAATAGAACTAAGAAAATGGTGGAAAATGGTTCCATGCATACCTTTTCTGCAAAGGGCTTTTCTTTAAGACTTTTGCTGTACCAGTGCTTTTAATTGGATATTGTTTTAAATGTAAAAGCAATCTGTTGGTTCAGGCTGTTTCTGATATTAATGGTTCTGAATTTAACTTTGCCACTGTGTCTCTGAGACGCTGCATGAAGAATCGATACTTCTGTTTCTTTACCTTCTATGCCATTGTATGACCTTGAGGAAGTTTCTTATTCATTTTAGGTCTCAGTTTACCCACCTCTAATAAGGACCTAAATAATGCAGGGATTTTTTTAATAACATTTGAATAATAGATGTCAGAAAAAGCTTTTAGATTTAGAATTTGAAACCGCCGTATAGTTGGCAGTGATAATAATAGTAATAGCTTGGATTAACAGAGAACTTTTCTTCCAAAAACTCTCACTACTTTTAATTATTTTTCCATTTGTCCTCAAAATACTCTTAGTAGGTAAGAATGAGACAGTCTCAGGTTCCTCATTTTACAGATGAAAACATGAAACAGGATGCTGGAATGAGTACTGATTTTCAAAAACAGAATTTCTGATTCCAGGAATATTTCCTGATTTTAAAATGGGAAAAGTATTTTCACCATGTACTATATACAAGTGGGGAAACTTCCCATGAAGGCTGCCTCTGCAAGTTGCAGCTGCCATTAATTCATCTCTTAAATAGGATAGGAAACCATCTTTTGTAGCTATCGCTTATTTTCCTATTGAATGCTGCCTTTCCATTTAGATGGTGATTACTGTTTCAGTGCTCAATGCAATCAGTGAATGGAGAGAGAGATCCATGTTATTTCTGCTCCTGTGAAACTGATTACATTGGTATAGTCCTGGATAAGCACTTATAAGGTACGTACAAATATCATTATGCTGCCATACAGGTTATCCATATGCTGGCATTATGGTTTTCAGATGACTTCCACCTGTAGCAGTGTGTAACTGAAAACCAATCACTCCTCTCCTGAGAACATCACAATTCCTGCTGCTGAAATGGAAATTGACAGGAGTTAGATACAGCTGTACCTGATCGTCAAGGGATAAATTATTTTGTGTAATTGTTAGAGCCTTGCTAAGACCTAATGGAATGAACATGTTGTTTTCCACACCCGTGGGTATGGATAGTTCTTACAAATATTGTGTGCTTGGATTTAAAGTAGTGTGAGACTGTCAGTCTGTTGACAATGAGAAAAATTAATTTGAACTGCTGATGAGGAAGGGAAACATACACAATGAATTAAATTTAATAGACTGAAAAAAATTGGTTTCTTCTTACTATTTCCGTGTGGGAATATGTCAGACTTCATTTAACTCAAATAACTACAGATATGAAGGACAGCCACACTGCAGCCTCTGTTGGAGAATTCTGCTGGCAATTTGGTGCATCCACTATAGACACTGTTTTGGTCAAACTTACCTTTTAATGTGAAATGGAATGATGTATGTCCTGAGCAGAAAACAGAGTGTTTGGCTGTCAAGGACAAATCAGACATTGTTTCTTTTCACTATCCTTTGTGGTTTTGCCTTTTCAGTAATGAACAATGGAGTAAGGCCAGACCCTGATTGGGATCTCTTTCTGAGATCCTAAGAAGAGAGCTCTGATCTCTGGAAGAGGAGGTAGGGTTTTGCAACTAGGATCTCACTCAGAATAATAGTTTTGCTTTCAGTTTTCTGCAATTAATATAAGGCCCTGGAAAATTAACGGGCATAGACAGCTTGTTGCTTTTTCTCTATATCTCTACTTACTTTTATAGCCTAACAGCTCATAAGAACGGCTCCAGTCACTGCTACCATGTCCTTGCTATTCTACTTTATTTTATTAATAATAATAACATTATTATCTCTCTAAAAAGGCTACGCGCATCTTAAAAATGTAAACAATTAAAAAAGACAAGGAAAGTGAGCATCCTATTCAGGTAGAATCATCGTTATTATTTGGTGAGCATCATTCCAGAAAAATAAAATCAAAATAACTTTAGAATGTATTATACCATACACATCATTTTAAGATTAACTATTCAGTTGAATTTTACTTGAAGTTAACAAAAGAAGCTGACAGAACCTAACACAACTGAAATTCAGGTGGGTACTTTACCAAAAATATTGGAACCTGAAAGTGTCTAAGGTTAAAAATAAGAGTGACGAAGAACTTTAAGAGTTGAAATTACAATGCTTGTTATACCTACATGTTTGAAATTTAGACTTTACCTATTGACTCTCTGCTGTGAAAGAGGAGGAAATTAGCACATTTGTACCCTTTGATATCCACCGCCCACTATTTTTATGAGTTACATGATTATGTTTTATGTTGTCATAGCTTATAACACTCAAATTTCGCAGGGTAATATTAATCCCCACGGTTTCATAATTGCCATTGGATATTTAAATTAATAGACTGCTGAACTCAAGTCTTTCTACTATAAGTTTTCTACTTGTAGTTTTCATTTTTTTTGCCTTTATTTATTCCATAACTGGCTGGATCTGTTCAGTAGCCATCCCCCTACACCCCCGATCCTCCACAACCCCTGGCATAATTTTCTTTTTTCTACAGTAGCTTTTGGGGCACTACTGGTTTTTTGTTACACAGATGAATTATATAGTGGTGAATTCCGAAATTTTAGGGCACCCATCACCTGAGTAGTGTACATCGTACCTAATGTGTAGTTTTTTGTATCCCTAAGCCCCTTCCAATCCTCCTCTTCCTGAATCTCTAAGGTCTATTATATCATTCTGTATGCCTTTGTGTACTCATAGCTTAGCTCTCACTTATAAGTGAAAACATATGGCTTTTGGTTTTTCACTCCTGTATTACTTCACTTAGAATAATGGCCTTCAGCTCCATCTAAGTTGCTACAAAAGACATTATTTTGTTCTTTTTATGACTGAGTAGTATTTCATGGTGTATATATACCACATTTTCTTTATCCACACATTAGTTGATGGATACTTAGGTTGGTTCCATATCTTTACAGTTTTGAATGTGCTGCTATAAACATACGTGTGCAAGTGTCTTTTTCATATAATGACTTCTTTTCCTTTGAGAAGATACCTAGTAGTGGGATGGCTGGATCAAATGGTAGATCTCCATATAGTTTTCCATAGAGGTTGTACTAATTTATATTCCTACCAGTAGAATATATGCGTTCCCTTCTCCCTGCATCCAGGGCAACATCTCTTGTTTTTTGACTTTTTAATAATGGTCATTCTTGCAGGAGTAAAGTGGTATCTCATTGTGGTTTTACTTTGCATTTCTCTGATGATCAGTGATGTTGAAAGTTTTTTCATATCGTTATTGGCCATTTGTACATCTTCTTTTGAGAAATGTCTATTCAAGTTCTTTGCCCACTTTTTCATGGGATTATTTGTTTTTTCTTGCTGATTTGTTTGAGTTCCTTGTAGATTCTGGATACTAGTCCTTTGTCAGATTTGTAGTTTGCAAATATTTTCTCCCATTCTGTGTGTTGTCTGTTTACTCTATTATTTCTTTTGCTCTATGGAAGTTTCTTAGTTTAATTAGGTCCCATTATTTTTCTTTTTGTTGCATTTGCTTTTGGGGTCTTAGTCATAAATTATTTGCCTAAACCAATGTCTAGAAGAGTTTTTCCAATGTTGTCTTATAGAATGTTTATAGTTTCACGTCTTATATTTAAATCTTTGATCCATCTTGAGTTGATTTTTGTATAAGGTGAAAGATAGGGATCCAGTTTCATTATTCTACATGTTGCTTCCAATTATCCCAGCACTATTTATTAAACAGGGCATCCATGCCCCAATTTATGTTTTTGTATGCTTTGTCAAAGATCAGTTGGCTGTGTGTATTTGGCTTTGTTTCTGGGTTCTCTATTCTGTTTCATTGGTGTATGCGACTACTTTTATACCAGTAACCTGCTGTTTTAGTAACGGTAGCCATGTAGTATAATTTGAAGTCTGGTGATATTATGCTTCCAGATTTGTTCCTTTTCCTTAGGATTGCTTTAGATATTTGGGCTCTTTTTTGGTTCTATATAAATTTAGGATTGTTTTTTCCAATTCTGTGAAAAATTATCTTGGTATTTTGACAGGAATTGCATTTAATCTGTAGATTGCTTTGGGCAGTATGGTCATTTTTACACTATTGATTCTCCCAATCCATGAGCATGGGATGTGTTTCCATTTGTTTGTGTCATCTATGATTTATTTCAGCAGTGTTTTGTGGTTCTCCGTGTAGAGATCTTTCACCTCCTTAGTTAAGTATATTCCTAGGTATTTTTATTTTATTTTATTTTATTTTATTTTATTTTATTTTATTTTATTTTATTTTATTTGCAGCTGTTGTAAAAGGAATTGAGTTCTTGATTTGATTCACAGCTTGGTCATTGATGTATAGCAGTGCTACTGATTTGTGTACACTGATTTTATAACCAGAGACTTTAATCAATTTTTTTTATCAAACCTAGGAGTCTTTAGGATTTTCTGGGTATACAGTCATATCATATGCAAACAGTGGTAGCTTGACTTCTTTTACAATTTGGATGCTTTTTATTTCTTTCTCTTGCCTAATTGCTCTGGCTAGGACTTCCAGAACTGTGTTGAATAGGAGTGGTGAAAGTAGGCATTCTTGTCTTGTTGCCACCCTTCCAGCCTGGTGCTGGGGAATGTCTGCAAGGAATCCGATGATGTGACCTGTCCTCAAGTTTCCCCACCATGGGTAGCAGCAGCTCTAATGGGGGTGGCAGAGGAATGATGCCCACTCTGTGAGATTTCTTGGTGATTGATAGCCTTAGTGTGTTGGCTTTCTTGAACACCCAGCATAATTTTCAACCTCAGTTCTAGAGAATGGATTGTTCCTGCTCCTTAGTTCATGTGACGCAATCCCTCTTTTAAAAAAATTATTATTAACATTATTAATGTTATTATTAATTCTATTTTATTCCCTAGTGTCATTCTCCTCACTCAGCCCCACAGATAAGCATTCTAACGTGTTTGATGTATATCTCATGCATTTGATGAGTTTTTGCTTTCTTGTAAAACATGTAGTGTTGTTTTTTTACATAAGTGACATTGTGCTAAAGGCCTCATTGAATTTCTTGCTTTTCACTCTACATGATATTTACAGCTTTTATTTATGTTTCTGCATGTATCATCAAGTTTGTTGCTTTGACCACTGCATATATTTCTGTATAATTTTTTGTCCAAAATGGGATGCTTTGGAAACTGAAAAGGGCCTATTGATAATTACACCAGGACAGTAGTCTAGATGTAAGTTGGGATTGACTCAGCACACTGAGATGCATGGTCACCTTACCCACCTTTTCTACATGTTTTATCTTTTCAGCACTGTGTTCATGGATACCTGGATTGTATTAAACACTCTGCCATCACTGACCATGCTGAGATGGACACGCTTTACATATATGAAACTGAGTGAAAATTTTTTTTAGGAATTTATACCTAGAGGTTGCCGGGTCAGAGTTGAACAATGTGATAGACTTTACTAATAGCTACTTTATGCTCCAGGATGACTGCAGCTGTGTAAGCTTTATCATCAGTGCAGGAGGATTCCCATATCCTCATCCCTCCAATAGCCCACAGTAGGCAGCAGTCTAGTTTTTCACAATCTGATGGCTTCAAAGTAATGGATCAATGTTATTTTAACTTGAATTTCTCTAAGAACTAATGAATTTGAGCTTGCTAGCTTTTGAGTTTCTTCCTTCATTGAATTGCCTACATGTATACTTAGCCCATTTTTAAAATTCTGTTTCTTATTTTTGTTTGTTTGATTTTGATTTATGGGCATTCTAGATATGATTCCCTTGTTGGTGTTAGATTGTGAACATCTCCCGATCTATCATTTTTGTTTGTCTATTAACTTTGCACTTGGTGTCCTTAGGTGAACAGAATTTTTTAATTTAATCAAATCCATCAGTGTTGGTTTGTGTCTGTGCCTTGAGGCTTACGTTTAAGAAGTCCTTCTGCATTCCTAAGTTATGACAATCTTTTCCATCATTTTGCATTTAATTTCTTTGTTTTAATTCCCACACTTTGGTTTGAAATCTTCTTTTGTATACTCTGTTGGACAGGAATTCAGTTTTACTTTTATCCAGATAATGAGCCAATTTCCCCCATATTATTTACTAGACAGACTAATATTTCTCAGTTGGTTTAAGGTACCAACTTTATCGTATATGTATGTACAAAATTACATCTAGAAACTCCTTTCAATTATGTATCTGTCTATATAGAAAGACATATAATTATATATAGAGAGAGATTATTTCTTTCTCTTGCCTAATTGCTCTGGCTAGGACTTCCAGAACTGTGTTGAACAGGAGTGGTGAAAGTAGGCATCCTTGCCTCATTGCCACTCTCCAGTCTGGTGCTGGGGAATGTCTGCAAGAACATTCTCTATATAATTATATCTTGAAACTCCTTTTCTTGCACCAGTACCATATTGTATTTGTTACTATGACTCTGGTATATTCTAAAAATACCTCTTAGGGCAAGTGCCCTGTCTGCTTTTCTTTCACAATATTGAACTAACTGTTCTTGAAACTTTTATTGAAATTTTCAAATAAGTTTTAGGATGAGTTTATCAAAATTCTCCAAAAATCCATTTGGAACTCTTGATTGTGGCTGTACTGAATTTTATACTGACTAATGAATAATTGACTACTCCTTAATATCCAGTGTTCGCATTGAAGAGTATGAAGTATCCATCTATTGTGGGTGTTTTTTTTGTTGTTGTTCTTCAGTGGGTTTAAAATTTTTCTATTATACATTAGGGAATCATGAATTATTTTTAACTTGCTACACATTTATCAATTTGTTGCCATTGTGAGTGGTTTATTAGTTATTTTTTCTAGTAGTTCATTGTTGTAGAAAAATGTCACTATTCTTATAAGTTTATTTTGTACCTGTCAACCTCACAGAACCCTCTTATTAATTCCAGTGGTTTATCTGTTGATTCAATTGTTTTTTTTCTGTGGGTAATTATATCATCCATAAATAATAAAGGTTGTTTTTTTCTTCCTCTCTCTTTTCTGATCTTTAACCTCTCATTTTTTTGTTGTTGTTGTTGTTTCTTATAGTATGGGCAGATCTTTCACTACAGGAGGAGCGATAGTATTGCTCAAAACTTTTAAGGACGGCATCATAGATGTTGTCATCCCTTGGTTCTTATACGCTTGAGAATATCTTTCTGTTACACCAATTGGATGATTCTAAAGTTATTGAAAAAGAATCTTTTCCTTGAAATTCTATGGACTTCTGCACTGTCACATAGCTGTGTGTGTTGCTTTGGATAAATCTGAGATCAAACTGTATTTTTCTCTTTTTAAATGCCTTTCTTCCCCCTCCCCCCTTTACTGGATGTCTGTGTTATCTCTCTCCTTATCCTTGAAGTCCAGTGACTTTCCACAATATATTTTGGCCTTGATCTTTCTGTGTATTTTTTTTTTCTGGGGCGAGATCTAAAGATTCCAGCCTTTATTTTAGAAAAGTTTTTCTATCTTGTCTTTGAACACTTTTTAAAAATTTATTCTTTCCCCTGTTCTCTGCTTTCTGCTCATTTGGGGTTTTCTTTTCTTTTCATGTCTGTATGCATTGCCATAATAATTTAAATAACTTTGCTAATTTCCATTTTGTTTCATATAATTTTCACCATGATACTGACATTTTTAATGTATATTAGTTCTAGTTTTTATAAGTTTGTATTTATCTTTCCCTTCCACTTCTTGGCTGAGCTCTGCCAGGTTACTTTTTATTTCCTTACATTGTCTTAAATATTCTTTGAACTCTTGTATCTTTTCTTTAAAATCATCATACTGTCTATAATTTATTTGAGGCAACAGAGAACTGCAGTCATGTGTTGCTTAAAAATGGAGATACTTTCTGAGAAATGCATTGTCAGGTGATTTCATTATGCACCATCATAGAGTGTACTTACACAAACTAAGGTAAGAGGATTTTTAAATAGGGTGATGATAGAAGTGGTTCAGTAGGAGGCCATCTTTGAGCAGAGGCCTATATTGTTGAGATGCAATGAGAAGGAGACCTGTGACTATTGAAGGAAAGTTTCCAAGCAGAGAGGAGGCCCTGAGACAGGAATGTTCTAGAAGTGTGTGAGGAAGAATAAGGAGTGCAGTGTGGTTGTAGCGTTGTGGGAGAGGAGAGTTAGGAGATACGCAGTGAGAGGGTGGGCAGGAGCCTGACCGTGAGCCTTGCGGGGCCTCAGTGCGATGAGAAGCAGTAGGGATGTGAGTAGGGAAGTCACATGATGTGGCTGATTTTTCAAATGGTCGCTGTGGATGTGGTATCGAGAGTAGAGGAACAAGAGCAGAAGAGGGGGACAGAGAGATGAGTAGGAATCAATTGTCATAACCCTGAGATTCAGTGATACCAGCGTGCAGTAGGTTGATGGAAGTAGAGCGAATGAGAATTTCCTGGATTTGGGCTTTATATTGAAGGTGCAGCCAGCAGGATTTGGTGATTAATTCAATGTGAGATATAAAGTTTGAAAGGAGTTCAATTTCAAGGTTTTTCTCGCTCTGATCATTGGGATGAATGGAGATGCCATTTTCTACAGGTGGCTGCTGTGGACTGAATTGTGTCCCCACTCCCTAAATTCATGTTAAAACCCTAACCTCCAATGTGACAGTATTTGGAGATGGGGCTTTTAGGACGTAATTAAGGTTGGATGAGGTCATAAGGGTGGGCCCTGATCTGATAGTATTAGTGGCCTTAGAAGAAGAGGAGGTCATGTGAGCACACAGCGAGAAGGCGGCTGCCGACACGCCAAGAGAAGAAAGGAGGCCTCAGAGGCAATCGTACCTTGCTGGCACCTCCATCTTGGACTTCCAACCTCCAGAACTGTGAGAAAAAAATGTCTCTTGTTTTAGCTGCCAGTCTGTGGTATTTGTTATGGCAGCTTGAGCAGACTAATCTGGTAACCCTGAGTAAGGTGCCTTTTATTTATTCACTTTTGTGATCTTGAAGAGGAGTTATTCATCAAACTGTTTGACTTTTGACAAGTTAAATTTAAGATACTCTTAGGCATGCAAGTGATTGTCTGGTAGCAAGCAGTTCAGGGAATAAGTACTAATAAAGATGAAGGTAAACTAATAGTAATTTCTAATAAAAACTTAGATTAGTATTTGAAAGTCAGAGCCACCTCAAGGCAACAATGATTATGCACTAAAAACAAAGTGTCTTCTCTGAAATTGTCAAGAATTTGATCTATCTCTATGTGCACCTTTGCCTGGAAAGTAGGAGACTTGCAGTTGATTGGCAGCTGCGCACACCTTCCCTGGAGTCCACATTAACTTTAGGAATAATATAACATTAGTTTGCAAATGCCAAATATTGGTAAACTTGAATAAACCATGAACACGCAGCTCTAATAAAAATTAAAATCTGTGGGGTTCCTTGTTATTCCTTTATGAGAATTGAAGACAGCAATTATTATTGATTGAATGAGTCCACAGTACACTAGGAGACTTTCTAAGTCCAAATTGTGGGGATTGGACCATGATTTGAAGCACTCAGTTAGCAAGCTCCTTGCTAATAGTAGGCATGAGGGGATGGCGTTGTTCACATTTTAGTAGAGTTGCTTCTGCTTTATTCTTTCCTGCACATGCAGAGCACATTCACGTTTTATGCATTTACATGTGCTAGGAAGCCTTTTCCCTGATCTGCCTTTGCACACTCTTACTCATCTTTCTCCTTTCATCTTACATGCTACCTCCTCTGATATGGTTGGCTGTGGCCCGACCCAAATCTCGTGTTGAATTGTAATCCCCATAATCCCCACGTGTCGAGAGAGGGATGTGGTGTGAGGAGAGATGTGATGGTTTTATGTGTTTGACAGTTCTTTCTTCCATGCTCTCTCTCACCTGCTGCCATATAAGACATACCTCTTCCCCTTCTGCCATGATTGTAAGTTTCCTGAGGCCTCCCCAGCCATGCAGAACTGTGAGTTAATTAAACAAACCTCCTTTCTTTATAAATTACCCAGCCTTAGGTATGTCTTTATAGTGGTATATAGTCTAAGATACTTTATAGCAGCGTATAGTATAGTCTAAGATACTATTCAGACTCCCTAAAGTAGACAGGGGCTCTTTATGCCATAGACTCCTACTGAAATTCTGTGCAGAGTTCCATTTTACCAGTTCTTTTGTTGCATTGTTATTCTAGTACACTCTATTGTTTGTCTAGATGATGATGTTGAAGATGCTAACAGCATTAACTTTTTTTTTTTTTTTTGAGACACAGTCTTGGTTTGTCAGCCAGGCTGGAGTGCAGTGGGGTGATGTCGGCTCAATGCAACCTCTGCCTCCTTGGTTCAAGCGATTCTCCTGCTTCAGCCTCCTGAGTACCTGGGACTAGAGGCACACACCACCATGCCTAGCTATTTTTTTTCTGTATTTTTAGTAGAGATGGGGTTTCACCATGTTGGCCAGGCTGGTCTTGAACTCCTGACCTCAAGTGATCTGCCCCCAAAGTGCTGGGATTATGAGTGTGAGCCACCATTCCCGGCCAACATTTATATCATACTTACTTTGTGGCTGACAAATGCCCTGTTTACTTAACTTATACCTCTCATCTCTATATTCACACATATATTGAGTACTTAATAGATAGTCAGTAATTATCAATTAAACAGTTACATGTTGAGTAGTATTCTTCTGGATTGTCACAAAAAATAGCAAAACATTGTCCCTTCCTCATATATTTTGTTGAAATATATATGCTATCAAATTATTATTTTTTAAATAAATATTTAATTTATATCTTCAGTTTTCTTTCTATGCGTAGCATAAAACAGCAGAAAACTCTTATTGGTTCAGAGTGATCATTTGCATTAGAATTTCAATGAACACATTTAAAAGAATTGCATTTACCCTAGTCTTGGTGGACTGACAACCTAAATAGTTTTCAAAATTTTTAGATGTTAGCCTCAGCTATTGCCACAACAATGTAGTATAACAAACGACCCCAAAGTCTAGTGGCATACACAGTAGGCATTTTTCTCACACAAAGACCTGTGAATCTCTGGGGTTTAGCTATCAGGTCCTGGTTCAGTTGGTTTTGGTTCAGAGCTACGGTGAGGTTCAGGTCTGCTCTATATATTTCTTATTCTTCTACAACCAGCGGGACACATGGGCAGGCTCTTTTTAAGGCAGTGTTTGAAAGCTCCCAGAGGGGCAAGAGGCCTTGCTTAGAACTGGAGTATCATCACTTTCACCTAAATTCCATTGGCTGAAGAAAATCAAATGGCCAGGCCAGGCGCAGTGGCTCATGCCTGTAATCCCAGCACTTTGGGAAGCCAAGGTGGGAGGATCACTTGAACTCAGGAGTTTGAGACCAACCTGGACACCATAGGGAGACCCCTGTTCCTATTTAAAAAAAAAAAAAGCCAGTGTGGTGGCATGCACTTGTGGTCCCAGCTACTACTCAGGAGGCTGAGGTGGGAGAATCACTTGGATCTGGAAGGTTGAGGCTGCAGTGAGCTGTGATTGTGCTGCTGCACTCCAGCATAGGCAACAGAGCAAGACCCTGTCTCAAACAACAGTAACAACAAAATCATATGGCCAGCCTAACAACAGTGGGGCCAAGAAAGATAGGCTTCCCAGGGAGATGGGGGGAGAGGGCAGACATGGGGAACAATGATCCAATCTACCACATTGGTCTTTTATATTTTCCTTGACATAGAAACTTTGATAACTGTAGTAGCCCATGCACCTTTCTTTCATATTTTTAGGTGTCGGCTACATTTTCCTTTTTTTCTTAACTTTTATTTTAGGCTTGGGGCACATGTGCAGGTTTGCTACATAGGTAAACTTGTGCCACAGTGGCTTGTTATACAGATTAGTTAATCACTCAGGTACTAAGCCTAGTACCAAATGTTATTTTTTTCTGCTCTTCTCCCTCCTGCCACCCCCCACTCTCAAGCAGGCCCCAGTGTCTGTTGTTCTCTTCTTTGTGTCCATGAGTTCTCATCATTTAGCTCCCTCTTATAAGTGAAAACGTGCAGTATTTGGGTATATTCCCAGAGGAATATAAATCATTCTACCATAAAGATACATGCACGCAAATATTCATTGCACCGCTATTTACTATAGCAATGACATGGGATCAACCTCAATGCCCATCAGTGACAGACTGGATAAAGAAAATGTGGTACATATACACCATGGAATACTGTGGAGACATAAAAAAGAATGGGATTGTGTCTTTTGCAGGAACATGATGGAGCTGGGGGCTATTATCTTAGCAAACTGACACAGGAATAGAAAGCCATGCACCTTTCTTAAAGGCACTCTTTTCTCTGACCATTTGGGTTTCCTTGAAATGCTTCCTTTCCCTTGTAGGAGACACCATCTCCTTAACAGATTTTTATTAAAATAAAAGCAATGAGATCCAGAACATTCTGAATTTCTTTCTGATTAATACAAATGAAATATTAATTAAATATGTCTTATCTGTGTTAATGGGCATGATTGCAAACTAATTCTTATTCCCTTTTTTATGGGAAGCAATTGGAATAGTATGAGTTAATTTAGTTTGAGCAACTAAAAGAAGTATGTTTAATCTCTGTAATATATTCTATATATTATGTAGCAACTTCAAAATTGCTTACAAACAATATCACAAAAATATTATCTTGTGTACAAAACTATCAGCTTTTTTCACTATCTGCCAGGTAGTAAAAAGAAATTCTGTAAACATTCTGTCTTATTATTTGTTTGGTATGAGTAACATTTCTTAAAACTAGTAACATGGTCATTTCTAATCATTATCAAGTATTATGTACTATACATAATTATATGTGCTATATTTTTATAGATTCAAAGAGTACATTTGCAGGTTTTTTAAGCTGTAAACATTAGAATGTCTGGATTAAGACAGGAATAATTTAATTATCCACTTATATTGTGTTCCTGTGATCAGATGAAAAGCAAATGTCTGAAAGCATTTTGTAACTTCTAATTTATTAGGGAACATTTTATATTGCCTATCCTTCATTCAAAGTCATTTTGTAGTTTCTGAGTTGTCTAATGAAGCAGGATTCATGCTAAAATCATTTTACTTATTTCTAAAAACTACAGGTTTCTATTTTCTATCCTTTCTATGTACAAGCTATTAGAAAACATTTATTTTCACATTTTGACTGAAATGACTTTAGAATAGTTAGAGAGTTTATGATCCAAATATGTACTTTCTATTTTACCAATTTTTATTGGTAAGTTGTCTAAAATGATAAAACACTTATTTAAAAGCTATTTACTTGGCGCAGAGTTCATTCTCTTTGCTTTCAGAAGATGTGTTCTTAGGGACAGGGCACAGAAAAGGCTGGGCAATCCCCTGGGTCTACCGCAAGGTTAATGCTGCCTTTGAGTCACTTTGTTAATGACTGGTGGTCTCAGTTCTGATTGACTCTAACATTTTCCTAATTGCCTACCAGGATTGGTATCGTGTTTCATAGTCTGTCTCCTAGAGAAGAGCTATGGCTTCACTCAATGACCTGTACACTTTCCCTAAATTATATAACAGAGATTGGCTATTTTGAGGTGAAGTCTTGTTTTGCTTTGAATGACCGTATCTAAACTGAACTTATGTGTGTTAACCTACCACTGGGGAAGAGAGGAACAAATGGATGGGTGTTTCTGGGCATGGTCCAACCAGTGGACATTTCTTGGATTCCAACAATAGGGCTGGAAGTGAGCTGGCCACTGTAGAGTATGTAAAGATGAGTAAATAATGGTTCTGCCCTTGGGCAGTTACAACTTACTTGGAAAGACCTTTATTTGCCTATTCATAGCTTAGGAGGCAGTATGGTGCACAAACTTTGGAATCAGGACAAATGAGTTTATATCCTACCTATGTGATTTATTAGTTGTGAAACTTAAAGGGAATTACTTAACTTTTCTGTGACTCAGTGTAAAGAAGGCAAAATGATACCACTTATCCCATAAAGTTGTTCTGTAATGAAGTTCCTGGTTCTGCTGGGGTTACCTCCATAATGCTAAATTATAGGTATATATACTTAGGTCTTGATTTGGAAAATGTATATGTTACTTTTGGACCCTTCAATATCAAAAATGAAGCATTATTTGATTTTCCCCAGCCTTTCTTTCCTCTGTGTCTCTAAACTAATGGTTGTCTTTATTATTTTTAGTAATTCTATTGGTTACCTTTTGACAAACTATTTGAACCTCTGTTCCTTGTTCCATCAAGTTTAGACAATATTTTATCACATGGTTAGCCAGTTTTCCCAACACCGTTTATTAAACAGGGAATCTTTTCCCCATTGCTTGTGTCAGGTTTGTCAAAGATCAGTTGGTGGTAGACGTGTGATGTTATTTCTGAGGCCTCCGTTCTCTTCCATTGGTCTGTATATCTGTTTTGGTACCAGTACCATGCTGTTTTGGTTACTGTAGCCTTGTAGTATAGTTAGAAGTCAGGTAGCATGATGCCTCCAGCTTTGTTCTTCCTGCCCAGGACTGCCTTGGCTATGCGGGCTCTGTTTTGGTTCCATATGAAGTTTAAAATAGTTTTTTCCAATTCTGTGAAGAAAGTCAGTGGTAGCTTGATGGGAATATAATTGAATCTATAAATTACTTTGGGCAGTAAGGCCATTTTCATGATATTGATTCTTCCTATCCATAAGCATGGAATATTTTTCCATTTGTTTGTGTCCTTTCTTATTTCCTTGAGCAGTGGTTTGTAGTTCTCCTTGAAGAGGTCCTTCACATCCCTTGTAAGTTGCATTCCTAGGTATTTTATTCTCTCAGTAGCAATTGTGAATGTAGCAATTTGGCTCTCTGTTTCTCTGTTATTGGTGTATAGGAATGCTTGTGATTTTTGCACATTGATTTTATATCCTGAGACTTTGCTGAAGTTGCTTATCAGCTTAAGGAGGTTTTGGGCTGAGACGATGGGGTTTTCTAAATATACAATCATATCATCTGCAAACAGAAACAATTTGACTTTCTCTCTTCCTATTTGAATATCCTTTATTGCTTTCTCTTGCCTGATTGCCCTGGCCAGAGCTTCCAATACTATGTTGAATAGGAGTGATGAGAGAGGGCATCCCTGTCTTGTGCCGGTTTTCAAAGGGAATGCTTCCAGTTTTTGCCTATTCAGTATGATATTGGCTGTGGGTTTGTCATATATAACTCTTATTTAAATTTTGAGATATGTTCCATAGATAACTAGTTTTTTGAGTGTTTTTAGCATAGAAGGCTGTTGAATTTTGTCAAAGGCCTTTTCTGCATCTATTGAGATAATCATGTGGTTTTTGTCATTGGTTCTGTTTATGTGATGAATTATGTTTATTGATTTGCATATGTTGAACCAGCCTTGCATCCCAGGGATGAAGCCAACTTGATTGTGGTGGACAAGCTTTTTGATGTGCTGCTGGATTTGGTTTGCCAGTATTTTATTGAGGATTTTCACATCGATGTTCATCAGGGATATTGGTCTAAAATTCTCTTTTTTTGTGGCGTGTCTGCCAGGCTTTGGTATTAGGATCATGCTGGCCTTATAAAATGAGTTAGGGAGGATTCCCTCTTTTTCTATTGATTGGAATAGTTTCAGAAGGAATGGTACCAGCTCCTCTTTGTACGTCTTGTAGAATTCGGTTGTGAATCCATCTGGTCCTGGACTTTTTTTTGGTTGGTAGGCTATTAATTATTGCCTCAATTTCAGAACCTGTTATTGGTCTATTCAGAGATTCAACTTCTTCCTGGTTTAGTGTTGGGAGGGTGTATGTGTCCAGGAATTTATCCCTTTCTTCTAGATTTTCTAGCTTATTTGCATAGAGGTGTTTATAGTATTCTCTGATGGTAGTTTGTATTCCTGTGGGATCGGTGGTGATATCCCCTTTATCATGTTTTATTGCATCTATTTGATTCTTCTCTCTTTTCTTCTTTATTAGTTTAGTTAGCAGTCTATCTATTTTGTTGATCTTTTCAAAAAACCATCTCCTGGATTTATTGAGTTTTTGAAGGGTTTTCTGTGTCTCTGTCTCCTTCAGTTCTGCTCTAATCTTAGTATTTCTTGTCTTCTGCTAGCTTTTGAATTTGTTTGCTCTTGCTTCTCTAGTTCTTTTAATTGTGATGTTAGGGTGTCGATTTTCGATCTCTCCTGCTTTCTCTTGTGGGCATTTAGTGCTTTAAATTTCCCTCTACACACTGCTTTAAATGTGTCCCAGATATTCTGGTATGTTGTGTCTTTGTTCTCATTGGTTTCAAAGAACATCTTTATTTCTGCCTTCATTTTGTTATTTACTCAGAGTCATTCAGAAGCAGGTTGTTCAGTTTCCATGTAGTTGTGCGGTTTTGAGTGAGTTTCTTAATCCTGAGTTCTAATTTGATTCCACTATGGTCTCAGAGACAGTTTGTTGTGATTTCTCTTCTTTTACATTTGCTGAGGAGTGTTTTACTTCCAATTATGTGGTCAATTTTAGAATAAATGTGATGTGGTGCTGAGAAGAACGTATATTCTGTTGATTTGGGGTGGGGAGTTCTGTAGATGTCTATTAGGTCTGCTTGGTCCAGAGCTGAGTTCAAGTCCTGGATATCCTTGTTAATTTTCTGCCTCATTGATCTGTCTAATATTGACAGTGGGGTGTTAAAGTCTCCCATTATTAGTATGTGGGAATCTAAGTCCTTTGTAGGTCTCTAAGAACTTGCTTTATGAATCTGGGTGCTCCTGTATTGGGTGCATAGGTATTTAGGATAGTTAGCTCTTCTTGTTGAATTTATCCCTTTACCATTATGTAATGGCCTTTTTTGTCTCTTTTGACCTTTGTTGCTTTAAAGTCTGTTTTATCAGAGTCAGGATTGCAACCCCTGCTTTTGTGTGTGTGTGTGTGTGTGCTTTCCATTTGCTTCATAGATCTTCCTCCATCCCTTTATGTTGAGCCTATGTGTGTCTTTGCACATGAGATAGGTCCCCTGAATACAGCACACCAATGGGTCTTGACTCTTTATTCAATTGGCCATCTGTGTCTTTTAATTGGGACATTTATCCCATTTACATTTAAGGTTAATATTGTTATGTGTGAATTTGATCCTGTCATTATGATGTTAGCTGGTTATTTTGCTCGTTAGTTGATGCAGTTTCTTCTTAGCCTCGATGGTCTTTACAATTTGGCATGTTTTTGCAGTGGCTGGTACCGGTTGTTCCTTTCTATGTTTAGTGCTTCCTTCAGGAGCTCTTGTAAGGCAGGCCTGGTGGTGACAAAATCTCTTATCATTTGCTTGTCTGTAAAGGATATTATTTCTCCTTCACTTATGAAGCTTAGTTTGGCTGGATATGAAATTCTGGGTTGAAAATTCTTTTCTTTAAGAATGTTGAATATTGGCCCCCACTCTCTTCTGGCTTGTAGGGTTTCTGCCGAGAGGGATCCGCTGCTAGTCTGATCAGCTTTCCTTTGTGAGTAACCTGACCTTTCTCTCTTGCTGCCCTTTACATTTTTTTCCTCATTTCAACCTTGGCAAATCTGACAATTACGTGTCTTGGGGTTGCTCTTCTCGAGGAGTATCTTTGTGGTGTTCTCTGTATTTCCCGAATTTGAATGTTGACCTGCCTTGCTAGGTTGGGGAAGTTCTCCTGGGTAATATCCTGAAGAGCGTTTTCTAACTTGGTTCCCATTCTTCCTGTCACTTTCAGGTACACCAGTCAAACATAGATTTGGTCTTTTCACGTAGTCCCATATTTGTTGGAGTTTTTGTTCATTTCCTTTCACTCTTTTTTTTCTCTAATATTGTCTTCTTTCTTTATTTCATTAATTTGATTTTAATCACTGATACCCTTTCTTCCACTTGATTGAATTGGCTATTGAAGCTTGTGTATGCTTCACGAAGTTCTTGTACTGTGTTTTTCAGCTCCTTCAGGTCTTCTCTACATTCGTTATTCTAGATAGCCATTCGTCTAACAGTTTTTCAAGGTTTTTAGCTTCCTTGCAATGGGTTACAACATGCTCCCTTAGCTCAGAGAAGTTTGTTATTATCAACCTTCTGAAGCCTGCTTCTGTCAACTCGTCAAACTCATTCTCCATCCAGTTTTGTTCCCTTGCTGGTGAGGAGTTGTGTTCCTTTGGAGGTGAGGAGGCATTTGGGATTTTGGAATTTTCAGCCTTTCTGCTCTGGTTTCCCCTAATCTTTGTGGTTTTATCTACCTTTGGTCTTTGATGTTGGTGACCTACGGATGGGGTTTTGGTGTGGATGTCCTTCTTGTTGATGTTGATGCTATTCCTTTCTGTTTGTTAGTTTTCCTTCTAACAGGCCCCTCAGCTGCAGGTCTGTTGGAGTTTGCCAGAGGTTCACTCCAGACTCTGTTTGCCTGGGTACCACCAGCAGAGGCTGCAGAACAGCAAATATTGCTGCCTGATCCTTCCTCTGGAAGCTTCATCCCAGAGGAGCACCCACCTGTATGAGGTGTCTGTTGGCCCCAACTGGGAGATGTCTCCCAGTCAGGCTACACAGGGGTCAGGGACCCACTTGAGGAGGCAGTCTGTCCGTTGTCAGAGCTCGAACGCTGCACCAGGAGAACTACTGCTCTCTTTAGAGCTGTCAGGCAGGGATGTTTAAGTCTGGAGAAGCTGTCTGCTGCCTTTTGTTCAGATATACCCTGCCCCCAGAGGTGGAATCTAGAGAGGCAGTAGGCCTTGCTGAGCTGCAGTGGGCTCCACCCAGTTCAAGCTTCCCTGCAGCTTTGTTACACTGTGAGCATAGAACCGTCTGCTCAAGCCTCAGCAATGGCAGATGCCCCTTCCCCCACCAAGCTCCAGCAACCCAGGTTGATCTCAGACTGCTGCGCTAACAGCGAGCAAGGCTCCGTGGGCATGGGACCTGCCGAGCCAGGCCGGTTGCAAAGACTGTGGGGAAAGTGCAGTATTTGGGCAGGAGTGTACCGTTCCTCCAGGTACAGTCACTCAGGGCTTCCCTTGGCTAGGAAAGGGAAATCCCCAGATCCCTTGTGCTTCCCAGATGAGGCAACGCTCTGCCCTGCTTTGGCTTGCCCTCTGTGGGCCGCACCCACTGTCCATCCTGTCCCAGTGAGATGAACCAGGTACCTTAGATGGAAATGCAGAAATCACCCATCTTCTGCGTTGATCTCACTGGGAGCTGTTGACTGGAGCTGTTCCTATTCGGCCATCTTGGAAGTGACTCCCTATTTGTATAAATTTAAAGGATACAAGTGAAGTTTTGTTATACAGATATATTGAATAATGAAGTCTAGGCTTTTATTGTAATTATCATCTGAATAATTTTTTAAAGTTCTCTTTGTTTTCTGGATTATGTTTTCTCTCGTATCAATTAAATTTAAAATGTTTGGATAAGAAATAGACTGACACCTTGACCTTCAACCTCTCTCCTCACACTAGTTTTCCACAGGCAAATTGCTTAATTTCTATTTAAAAATAGATGGGGGTGGTTACTTCATTTATTTTGCCTAGAGGTGAATTCTGAGCTGCTTATTGTTGGCACCTGCTAGAATAAAGATGGGAGGTTAGAAACTGGTATATTTCTATAGCCACCCATTTCCTTTTCTGTTTCCCTCCCCTCCCTTCCTAGTTACCAGTGGACTCTGAATTTTCAGGTTGCTCTGGTGCTTCTCCAGGAAGATTGGCTGTTACCTCTACAGCCGACAGGTTATACTAGCTACTGACAATATAATGCAGCAGGAACTGTGGACGTTTTCCTGATGTTTTAGTGTTACACACACACACACACGCAAACACACACACACCACTCAAATTCAGGTCTTTAATTATCTGTTTTGCTATCATTTATTTCAGATGATTTCAAATCCATGACTTTGAAAGATCTTCAAATGAAATTATTTTGCCACCTAGTTAGAATGCTTTGGTCTCATTATCAAGTTTCTTTTATAATGTACCTATTAGGAATGAACGTGATGAGAATCAGTAAATAACAAATCTAAACATATTAATTCACTTGTTCTACAGCTACTTACTGTGTACGCTATGATGTGGGCATTGTGTTAGGCTCTGGTGACAAAGCAGTTAAAGACACTGTTCCTGACCTCAAGAACTTTGTACTTTAGTCAGCAAGATATGCAAGTAAAACCACAATTGTAATACTGTGTATGCTTACCCTTTAGGCATTCCCAGGACATTGTATAGATACAGACATGCATTATTATACAAACTGAGTGAAGAGGAAGGTTTTCAGTAGGTTACTGAGTTGAATTTGGAGGAGTTTTGAAGTTAGCCAGGAAAAGAGAAGACATATAGTCTGGGCAGATGGAGTGCCTTAGTTAAAGGTACAGGGATTTCTAATTTTGGGAACTACAGCTTGTTCAGTATGTTAAAGGTGTATTATGCATATGGGAAGATGAAGATGAAGGTGGGTAAAGATCCAGGGGGGACACAGGTCCCAATCACAGTGAACCTATGTGATGCACCGCTGACGAGCTTGGAATTTACCCCAAGGATGAGGTGAACCACTGAAGGATTTCAAATAAGTGGGTAGCATGATCAGAATTACATTTTAGAAAGGTCACTCTAGATGCTGTGTGGAGACTTAGAATTATTTCCTCTAATCAGTGTGATGCTGTGGGGGATTTATTTTATTTCTGCTGAGATCCAGCAGTGTTAGTTAAGGGCTAGGCTGGTCTGCTTACCTCCTTGTTCTAATCCTCTCCAAATTAGGAGGTATCAGTGAAGATTCTCAGTAAATTGGCAACTCACCTTTTTTTCCCTAGTACCATTGCTAGGGGTTGGATTGGGAGTGGTTAGAAGTGTGAAGCTATGACGGAATGTTCTGCTTTAATCATGGCCACCATTTTAGCAAAACTTAGGGTATTAAGTTGAACCCTTTTCTTATTTAGTTGCTTCTGATAATTATTGTTATTACTAGCTAATGTTCATAAGTTTTTCTTCATATCATTAGGTATGGGAGAAAGCAAATGCTGTGATCTAGTTTCTTCCCCACCTTTGGTTAAATTGTGCTTTCCAGGACAATAGCCACTAGTCACAAATGGCTGCTGAACACTTGAAATGTAGCTAATCTGAATGGAGATAGTCTGTAAATGTAAAGTACACACTGATTTCAAAGATTTAGTAAGAAAGGTAAGAAAGTATAGCATTGCAATAATTTTATAGTGAATACGTATTGAAATTATATAATATTTTAGGTATATTGAATAAAGATAGATTTTTAAATCATTCCACTTATTTCTTTTTACTTTTGTAATGTGGTTTCTGGAAAATGTAAAATTATATATTGGTTCACTTTTTTTTTTTATTGTTTTTTTAGAAACGGTGTCTTGCTGGGTCACCCAGGCTGGTTGCAGTGGAACAATCACGGCTCACTGCAGCCTCAAATTCCTGGGCTCAACTGAGCCTCCCAACTCAGCTTTGCAAGTTGTTGGGATTACAGGTGTGAGCCATCACACTGGGCTCACATACTTTTACTGGACCACAGTGACTTAGAAAACTCTCCTTTATTCATTTAAAAATAGCATATCAACAGTGTTTAAGGGATTTTTTTTTAAAGTAAGTTAATCTATTCGGATAATAAGTATTTATTGAGTACCATGTTAGAACTGTGGTGGCAAATAAAACAAAGTCTTAGCTCTCATGTAGCTTATATTTGAGTGCGGGAAGCAGACAATTCACAAATAAGCCAATAAATACACAATGTAACTCTAGTTAGTGGCGAGTAGTATGGAGGAAGTAGAGCAGAGTACGAGAATTTCCTGAGGCTCTGCTGGGAAAGACAGAGCCTCTTGTAGATAAGTGGGTCAGATAAAGCATCTTGGAGGAGAAATCCCTTGAACAGAAACTACAAGTGATGAGCAGTGGCAAGCTAAGTGAACTTCATAGGTGAGAGGATCACCAGCAGAGGGAACTGCAAATGAAGAGTCCCTGAGGCAGGCACAAGATCAGTGTGTTAAAAAAAGTGTTTGTGGCTGGAGCAGAGGGAGGCAGGAGAGTGGTAGCAGATGCCGTGGCTAAGTAGGTAGCATTGTTCTCAAAGTATAACTCACAGACCCCTGGAGATCCCAAGACTGTCAGGGGTGTCTTCAGGGTCAAAGCTATTTTAGTGTGTTAATATTTGCACTGATGATGGAAGCCATGGTGGAGCCCTAGTGCCTTTCAAGGTGGGGGCACTAAACTCTTGTAGTCCCTATATTCTCATTGCCATTCAGGACCAACACACATAATGCCAGCTTCACTTAAGACTGACCTTGGTAAAGCAGTGAAATTATTAATTACATTAAATCTTGAGCTGTGAGTACACATCTTTTTAACATTCTTTTTAATACGATGAGAAGTACATGCTAAATACTTCTGCTGCATACTCAGATAAAATGGTTATCCCAAGGAAAAGCACCAGGGTGATTGAATTGTAAGCTTTACTTGCCGTGTTTTTCATGGAACACTGTTTTTACTTGAAACAATATCTTACAAATTAGTTATTCAGACTCAGGTATTTAGCAAACATTTTCTCAAAAATGAACTTATCACTTCAAAAGTGAGCCTATTCACTTTGAGGAAAACAAATGACATTATTTGTTGCTAATGATAAAATTTAAGATTTCAAGAGAATATTAGAACTTTTTGGAAAAGTGTCAACCTCCATGAGCTGCTTGACAGGGGCCCAATACTGATGAAATTGTTGGTGAAATTAATAAATATGTTTTTGATATTATGTAATAAAATATGACAACATTTAAAAGTTCTGCATAACTCAATGAACCTATAGTTTCCAATGTTTAATACGTAATATCAAAAATCATCTCTGGGTAAAAGATTCATTTAAAGTTGACAATGTATTTTACTATAACACTGTACAAAAGGTTCATTCGTAAAGCTTCAGATTCCACATTGCAAATAACTCTGAAGACATTACCACTTACATGTTGTACCAAAGAAAAATATCCCCAATTATCTGAAAATACTACTAAGATATCCCTGACTTTTCGAACATATTTGTCAGGACTAGATTTTCTTTACATCCTTCAGTGAAAATAACATATTAAAATGGATTAAATGCAGAAGCAGATAGGGTAATCCAGCTTTCTTTTTTTAGGCCAGACAGTAAAAAGATTTGCAAAATATGAAACAATGGCACCCTTTTCAGATTTCGGGAGTAAGTTAGTATAATAATATTTTTTCATAAAAATATGTTCTTACCATGGCATATATTTACTATTGCCATTTATAAACAAATTAGTAAACTAATATTTCTAATATGTATCATTTTTAATTTCAAATACAGTAGATATCAGCAGACATAACCTACATAAACAAAATATTTTGGGATTCTTCAATAATTGTTAGGAATTTAAGGAGTCCTTGAAGCCAAATTGAGAACTGCTGATCTAGAGTTAGAAATTTGGATTGTATTCTAAGTATAATGGAATAGCATAGTTAGAATTTAAGCATAGGGTATGACAAATCTAATTTATATATAAAGTATTACTGTAGCTACTGAAGACAAGGGTGTATCATAAGAGGGGCTATATGGAGGCCAGTTAGGATGTGCAAATTAAGAGATGAAGTCTTGAATCAGGGTAGTCATGTTAGATGCAGTAAGAATGCATTGGATTCAGATATATTAATATTTACAAGGTAGAACCTGAAATTTACTGATGATTCATATGTCTATAATATTTTACCTCATTCTTATTTATCCATATGCCTTTCTACCTTTTGATCATATGCATACATGAATTTATGTAATTGCAACCATAGTTATCTTACATTTTATATTCTTCATTATTTGGTTATCTTTTTATTATAAACTTTTTAACATGTTGAGTCTTGATCTTCATAGCCATTATTCTCAAGTTTGCCTATTACTATGTAAACCAAATGTGCCATAATTCATTTATGATTTTTGCTTATTTAACATTTAGATGATTTTTTAAATATTAGGGCTAAATCACATTGTATTTATCTGCATTTGTAATGGCTTTCTTCTATCAAATTATTTTCTTAGCATAAATTTAGATAGGATCACCCTTATCTTTTATTATACAAGAGCAAACTGTCTATTTTAAACAATACTCATTTCTCCTCTCCATTATTCTAGAGGTTGCTGGTAATAAGGCCAAGTGTGTCCAAATTTTATTTGTCTCAATACCTCAAGGAATAACATGAATCCAAGAACATGGAGGGTAACAGACCAGAAATTAGACTTGGGGCTGATCTTCAAGTTCTATGATTAGATTGGAGATAGTCTCTGATGAGCACTGAATGATGCTCTGAAAATGAGGCATTTATAGGCAGAAAAAGAGTGACCAAAATCATTGCTACTTAGAATATGGTCAGTGGACCAACTGCATAGGATTTCATTAAGAAAATATGATGGACTTGTTTTTGTTTGTTTTGCAAATGAAGTTTGGGAGTAAGGACTTGGAGCACTGCCCATCTGACTTCCTCTTTTCAGCTCCCAAAGTACCTCTTAAGATTCCTAGGGATTAATGGAACATAATTTGAAATCCCATGATCTGGATAGTGAATGCAGTCACTCAGCTCACATGTAGTGCCTACCTTCTCTGTACCAGATTTGCAGTAGGTTCTGGAAAGATAAGATAAATAACCCCTTACTTGAAAGTTGACCCAAATAGAAGCCTCAGAACTTCATCTTAATTCTTCCTTTACACAGATATTCTTTAACTGATCAGTTTCTTTTTTCTTTCCCTTTTTTTTTTTTTTGGAAACAGGTACTCACTTTGTCGCCCAGGCTTGAGTGTGGTAGATCAATCATAGCTCACTACAGCCTGGACCTCCTGGGCTCAAGTGATCCTCCCACCTCAAACTGAGATTATAGGCATGAGCCACCATGTCTGGCCTAACTCATCAGTTTCTAAAACCATTCTTTCTACTTCTGATACGTCTTTGAAATCTATTCCCTCCATTCTATTTCCAGCAACAGTTTGGTCTTTGTCATCAATCACTTGGACTACTACTGGACTGCCCTGGCTATGGTGTTTTCTTATTGATCATTTATCCTCAAACTGTTGTCAGTCACCCACTACCCTCTTGAGACACAAATTTTAATGTGCATTAGAATCACCTGGGTTCTTGTCAAATTGCAGATTTTGATTTAGTGTATCTGATGATTCTGCATTTCTGACAAGTTTCACATGAGTACTGTTCAGTTGGTCCATTGATCACACTCTGAGTAGCAATGATTTAGATCATTCTTTTTTGCTTCTAAGCACCTCATCTTCAGAGCATCATTCTATGCTGATCAGAGAATATCTCTAATATCTCCAATATATTCTAGCCATATCTCTTTCCACTTTCTCTCTCTCTACACACTCTCCTTTCTGCCCTCATCATTGTGCTAATAATTCTTCTAATAAACAATGAATTTATTTGTAATAAAGTAAAAGTTCGGAAATCCCTCTTCCCCACCATTTTGCCCCATAGCCAGGCTCTGAGAGATCCAAATTCTCCTGATTTGGTGACAAATTAATATTTGTAAAAACGAGAAGTTAAATGGATTAAATATGAAGTTAAATATGGATTAAACCATATTTTACAGATGTTCATTTATTGTTTTCACACATACTGTGGAAGATTTTATTTATTTCCAAGTAGTTACTGTAAGATCATTACAAGCTCAAAGTTTAGTAGAGTGTACTGAGAATGTTCTGTCTTTGTATTGGCTGGATACTAGTTAGCATAAATTTCAATTCATGATAATTATAAGAAGCCTTGAGCTGTTTCCTCTATTTATTGCTCTCTGGTGCAGGTCAGCAGGGCAGAGGGTGGTCTGTGACCCATTAATGCTTTTGCAGCCATTACCATCTTCATTTCCTCACCTGTGAAACGGAGGTTTTATTTGCCTTACCTGCCTACCTGGGGTGTCATGAAAGCCAAATGAGACAACGACAATCGTAACAGCAACCATCACCACTATTCCTTATCTCATAGAATTACTTTTCTTATTGTAAAAGCCACTAGAAGTCAAGTAGCTGATATGTGCCAGTCATCACTGTTGGGGCAACGTGTATAATAAGTAATTCCTGCTGCCTCTCTCCTGAGTCCTTTCACTTTTGAGAAATAAACACAATGGTCTCTGATATCAGTTTTATCACAGACAAAGCTGGAGGAAGAAAACAACCTCGATTTGAGGCCCATCTGGGATTCCTTCTCTTTCTCTTCTAAATAGAACATACCTACCTCCCAAAGCCGATGTGTTAGACAAGTAACAGCAGGCCATCTGGTCACCTGAGCCCTACCTGGTCCCCAGCAAGGGAAAGGCCCATCCCAGGCTGGATCCAGAGTACAGTCAGGCCTCTCAGTATGCTGTCACCCTTTCCTGGGAAGCTAGGAAAGACTGTATCAGGAAGACTGAGAACTGAGTCCCCTATACTTCTGAAAGGGGAATTCTTATTTGATGGGGAATAACGGGCATCTAAAAAGAGAGAAACATTGTTTATTCCATGTATACATTATTCTGTTTAATCCCTGCAACTGTACTTTGATATACATATTATTTTCCCGATGAGAAATACAAGGCTTAGCTTGTTTTAGAAACTTGCTCAAATTCTTTCAGCTAGTTTGCATATGCAAATGTGTTGCACACTCTCAACTCTTTAGTAATAATGAAACACTTGAGGTCTGGGGGTTTTATCGGGAAAAGTATTTGCTAACTATGGGACTGGTTCACAAGGAGTAGGTGCAAAAGGAGAATGTTGATAGAAGCCCAAGATATTCTAAGCAGGACTCAAAGAAGGTGAGAAAATGCTTGACCTGAACTTCAGGAAGTAAAAAATTACTGAAAGCACGGAGATCTGAGTTTGAGAATGAGGCTGCAGGAGAAAATTTGTGCTAGGCTAACAAAGAGAACCTTTCCTAATAGTACTAGGAACCTGGTTGTCTACCTAAATCACTGAACAAAAGAAGGTGGTTGACCCGAACTTCAGGAAGTCAAAAAATTACTGAAAGCATGGAGGTCTGAATTTGAGAATGAGGCTACAGGAGAAAATTTGTGCCAGGATAACAAAGAGGACCTTTCCTAATAGTACTAGGGACCCAATTGTCTACTTAAACCACTGATGGAACAAAAAGAGGGTGGGAGGGGAACAAGCATAGACAATCATATTCTCAGCCACTTTTGCTTGCCTGATAAGACCAAGCTGTCTCCAATGTTTCCCTGAAGTGGAAGCTGTTTCCAGGAGGTGGTTTGCACGCAGCATTTCTAGGCAGGAGGTTAAAAGCTCTAACATAAGATGCATACTTAATGTGATTTTCTGCTTCATTCTCCTTTAAAGATAAACTGGGGAAGCTAAAGTGTCAATGTTTGTAGCTTCATTCTCTGTTGTAATTGGATGATATTGCTTGCATTTGAAATGGGAGCCAAGCGAAGAGAAACTAAAAACTTCTTAAATGGTGCTTTGATTCTTCAGGGGGGTAGAGACACAGAGACTGATGAGTTATTTGGACCCTCCTAAGAAAAACCCCTGATGTTGTCAAGCCCTCCACATTTATTTACTTAAAAACAAGCTTCTCATTCCTCAGAGTTTCAGAAATGATCCTGTATGTTATTGACAAATAATAATTTAATGGACAGCCTGATTAGATGGCCACAATGAATTAGCTATCGGCCTGACAGCCATGCAAGCATTATGTTCTGCATCTGTTTACTCAGCACTAGGTGAAATACAGAAGTCTATTGAAAATCTGATTTCCATGCTGCTTTGTCAAAGCAAATTTAATCACAGCCAGAACACGTGGCATCCATCATTTCCACTTCAGAAGACATCAACGGGGGCAGATCAGCAACAAGGAGCTGGGCTGCCATGGCTGTCCTCCACTCACATGAAAATTAAATTTAACTATAGATCCTTGATAAATGAGGCCGCGGAAGCCATCAAACATGATGACTAAGTGCTCGGTATTAAAGTCATCACCAGAGGCCCCAAACTGGAGAGAAGCACAGTCTCATTTGATCCGGCCTTGAGGTCTTTGCAGGCATTCACACCTCTGCTATGGACAGATAAGTATGGGCTTTAGCATACTGCCCCAGGGGGTCCAGAGATGATTTTTCTGGAACTCTTTACTTGGTATTTGCTTTTCCAGAAGTTTCTGTGAGAGCTGTCATAGTCACTTGCCCTATCCATCCTTTCCTTACACACACCTTCCCTTTCTCATCATTCATTCCGCCCATCAGGCATTGCTTCTCCAGCCCCCAAATGACTCTTGGATCTCAGCTGTTTTTAAAATGTTTCTTCTCTAGCATCACACATTATTCCTCCCTCAGACTCCAAGTTAGGGGGAAATAAGACCACAGACACAGTTTTGTGGACTGCCAAGTCGGTGAGCTGTTTGAGGGCAGGGACCATTTTACTGATGTATTTTTTAGCCCTACAGCATATGACACATAGACTGGGCTGGATTCCTGTATGTCAAAGGAATGGGTGAGCAAATGGATGCTCATGGAACTCAGTGGAATGTTCTAATCTAGGATTTAGAGCCATCTCTTTTCTAATGTAATCCAGATATATATACTGGCTGTATTATTAAATATCTGCAGGATAATTATGTATACCCACTTCTTTGAAATTCAGTTTCAATGACTAGCTAATCAAACTGACTTTTATATGTCTCAGTTTTAAATGGTGTATTTAATCCCATCCATCCCGTGTGGTTGTTAGGGGGTCTAAATGCAATAATTTATTAATACTAATTGGCACAGGGCCTCCATACGTGAAGAATCAACATATGTTAGCTTCCATCATTGTCATCATCATCACCATTGTGGTTGTCACTATTTATATGCTGTTTTCTCAGCACCAGTCTTGGCATTGCCACAGAAGACAAGGAAAAAGCCACAGGTGCAGGAACAATATACAAGAAGAGGCCGGGCACGGTGGCACACGCCTGTAATCCCAGTGCTTTGGGAGGCTGAGGCAGGTGGATCACCTGAGGTCAGGAGTTCAAGACCAGCCTGGCCAACATGGTGAAACCCTGTCTCTACTAAAGATACAAAAATTAGCCAGGCATGGTGGTGTGTGCCTATAGCCCCAGCTACTTAGGGAGGCTGAGACAGGAGAATCCCTTGAACCCAGGAGGCAGAGGTTGCTGTGAGCAGAGATCACGCCACTGCACTCCAGCCTGGGTGACAGAGCAAGACTCCGTCTGAAAAACAAACAAACAAAAAAAGAGGAACGCAGAACAGACTGTGAAAGCATAGCATTTCAAAGTAAGGCCTGCCCAGCTGTGTATTGAGAAACCTGACTTAGTGGGAACATATCTAGGCCTTGGAGGGTAAGTCATTGTAGGCAGAGAGTCCTGAATAATGTGGAAATAGAAGTGTGCCTGGGACTGGGGTAGAAACATGAATCCAGGAATGGGACATGAAGGAGACAGGCCTAACTTTAGTAGAAGAAGGTTTGATTGGGGATTCGTAGAAGATTATTCTATAGGTATGCGTGGAGTTAAAAGTTGGAGAATCTTGGCCGGGCATGGTGGCTCATGCCTGTAATCCCTGCACTTTGGGAAACCAAGGCGGGCGAATCATGAGGTCAGGAGATCGAGACCATCCTGGCTAACACAGTGAAACCCTGTCTCTACTAAAAAAATACTAAAAATTAGCTGAGCATGGTGGCACATGCCTGTAGTCCCAGCTACTCAGGAGGCTGAGGCAGGAGAATCTCTTGAACCCGGGAGATGGAGGTTGCAGTGAGCCGAGATCTCACCATTGCACTCCAGCCTGGGCGACAGAGCGAGACTCTGTTTCAAAAAAAAAAAAAAAAAAATTGGAGAATCTTGAAATCTAGGTAGGGTTTGAACTTGTGGCTTGATACATATGCATGGAGATCTGGTTCTTCATCAGGGAATCACATATAAAAGTGAATAATTAATATAATGGGGGATGAGAGGCTGGGAAAAGAGATAACAGGTAGTAGATGAGGGAATATGAGTAAGGGACAAACATAATGCATCTTCTAGAGGAAGAATCAGTGGGTTTGGGTGACTCTTCTGTGTTCATTGCCAGACAGTGAGAAGCACATTGCTGTTGAGAAGCAAAGTCCCTTTCCTAATGCCAGCAAGAGGGAAAGGCAGGATGAGTTCACCTCCCTCCAAACTGATTGACTTGCTGGAATAATTTAAAGTGTTACTAATTGAGATAGCTCTACAGCGTGAGAGCACTGTGCACATGGAGTTATATTTATACCTCCTTCTTTTTAACCTCATCAAATGCCAATTTAAAAACTTATAGTCAATAATCAAGCACATTTTAACTCCCCTGGAAAAATTATGATGGGCCCTTATGTGTACCCCCATGCTTAAATTTTCAACGTGAAGCATTCAAAGGGAGTTTGGACTGAGTACTGTCTACCTTCTTAGCAGATTTACATGAACATTTTTCGAAGTTGTTATAAAAATTGTTAAAGCCTTTTCCTGGTATCTCTTGGAAACACTTAGAAGCTTTGGCAGAAATCGTTGTCTTTGGTCTAATCACATATTTCCAAAGGCAGTTTACAAAACATGTTATTTTGCTATTTACTAATTATATTTATTTGATACAGCAATCACTTAATAGCCTCTGGCTGCATTTACAAATAGTATTGAAAAAGCTCCCGCTGTTACACTTATAATTTATTATAGACAACATAAAAATAAGATGCTCTCCCTCTGTGTGCATAACACACACAGGGATGCTTAGAGAAAAATTCTGTACAGATCCAGAATGATCAAATATAAAGGGCAGTTTTAGCTGGGAGCGTTCGTTTCTTTGTAGACAGTTGGAGATTGTGGCTCTTCTCTATCTGTGGTTGGAGAGAGGAGAGGCAAAGTCATGCTTGTGATACTGGCTTTAGTTGGCCCAGAAAGGTGGAAAACTGTGTCCTCAAGGGACAGATTGGTGCTTGCCACCCTCTACCATTTTTCAGGATAATCTGAAACAGCCAGGTAGAATGTGGCCCTCAGGGATCTCAAAGAGCCCATGACTAGTAATACTTTCTCTGGAGATGTTTATGCAAAAATACTGTCTTATGCAGAAACCACCAAAGTTGTGTGGTTTCAGTAGTATGCCAACAGCCCACTTTTTTGGGGGGGATTGGAAATCTTCCACCTACCTATACAGGTGGTCCATTTTAGCCTCTTCTCATTTGAATAGTCATTATTTAAACATTTATCAGGCACCTGCCTTGTGTAAGATGTAAGAATCCTCTGCGAAGCCCATACTCTGGTAGTTAGAATAAAGCACTTCTCTCTTGCTTCCTGTATTAGTCTGTTTTCACACTCCTGATAAAGACATACCCAAGATTGGGTAATTTATAAAGAAAAAGGTTTAATGGACTTACAATTCCATGTGGCTGGGGAGGCCTCATAATCATGGTGGATGGCGAAAGGCTTATCTTACGTGGAAGCAGGCAAGAGAGAATGAGAACGAAGAGAAAGAGGAAACCCCTTATAAAACCATCAGATCTTGTGAGACTTAACTACCACGAGAACAGTATGGGGGAAACCACCCCTATGATTCAGTTATCTCCCAGGGGTCCCTCCCACAACATGTGGGAATTATGGGAGCTACAATTCAAGATGAGATTTGGGTGGGGACACAGCTAAACCATATCACCTCCTATACCTGAGGAAGACTCTATAATGAGAGGCATAACAGAAAAGTGGTTTTCACTCCCAGTTGCAATTAATTCCATGTTAATCCCCTATTAGGCATTGATTTCTCTGTGCTGCTTCTGCCCATTAAAATCATTTATTCTATTTCTTACATGCATTTGTTTCTTTCCCTAAAACTTCTAAGATTGTAAACATCTCTAAGGATAGGGGACATGTTTCATGCATACTTATATCATTGACTTACTTAATGACTAGAAGTAGGGTGTTATTCTCAGTTAAATGTTAAATACAATATGACATTAGAAATCATTTTATCCTGGATCAGTTAATTTCATTAATGTGTCTCAAAATGCAATGACACTAATCAGTGAACCAATGCTAGGACTGATACATTTTTGATGGTAAGTTGAGTGTCAGAAGTGTCTGTTTTATAAATGAGAGTGGGAGAGAGTCTGCCTCTGTTTGCAAAGGCACAGGGTAAAATAGAGATTCATCATGGTGGGAGATGCAGGTGGACAGTGATGGTTTCAAAGGGGAAAAAGGATACCAGAAGAAGAGGTGAGCATGAGATAAAGTCACTCCTCCCTTCAATCTTACAGTTCTGCCCAATGCCTGGCATATCTTGAAGGTTATGCTTCACCTATAATGGATGCAAATAAACCAGAGACTGATGCAACTGTAATGCTTACACTGTGTACTTCCAAATAGGAGGACCCAAACACGAATTAGAGCCTGAGGTCCCCTGTCCAGCATATTAGCAAAGCATTTTAAAGGACCTTCACTACGTGCTCCAAATAAATAATGTGATTCATGCAGAAACAGATGCTATTTTATTGTGCTAGTAGAATATGTGAATAATTTATGCAGTAAGTCCAATCATACTTTGAGAGAATAAATGATGATAGTCAATACCTTTCTCTTGCCTTATATATTAATTATAGAGATCTAATGCATTATAAATTTACTAACAATTTGAAAGAGGAAAATAGTTTTGTTTTAAAATATTATGATATATCCCAGTGAAACATTTGAGCACATGAAAATTTATTTATTTATTTTTGAGACAGGGTCTCACTCTGTCACCCAGGCTGGAGTGCAGTGGCACGATCTTGGCTCACTGCAACCTCCGCCTCCTGGGTTCAGGTGATTCTCATGCCTTGGCCTCCTGAGTAGCTGGGACTGCAGGCACATGCCACCATGCCCGGCTAATTTTTGAATTTTTGGTAGAGATGGGGTTTTGCCATGTTGGCCAGGCTAGTCTTGAACTCCTGGCCTCAAGTGATCCGCCTGCCTCGGCCTCCCATAGTGCTGGGATTACAGGCGTGAGCCACCATGCCCAGCTAAGCACATGAAAATCGATTTCAGAAGTATCTATACTGCATAGAAAATTCAAGATAACCTGGGAAAAATCTTATCTAAAAATATTTGCGCCTTTTGCTTTTTCAGTGGAATTTATACCATTTCCACTCTTTCTTGGTAAGGGTAGGTTACAAAAGACTTGGGTCAGAGATGATTCTGCGTTTCCAATTGTCTATTGATGCTATTTGGACAGATCCCTCGTTCTGTGTTTTTCACGTGATCTCAACATTTTTCTTCTGCTCCAATATCTGCTTGGGCTGTGCTATTATCTAGGCGTAGTAGTGGCTTACTCTCCCAGGGTTTCTCAGGGAAGTATTTTCAAATGAGAATTATGTCCAGTGAATCTGGAAAAAAGTGGCCAACAGAATAGGTGCTTTTATACTTTGGCCATACTGGTTAGAAATAGGAACATAGAGAAAATAGGGAAAGTATAAACTTAGAAAACACTTTCTGTCAGTTTATGTTCTCTCCTAGCATTCATTGTTTCACTAGTGTTCTCTGTAAACCTTAATCTGAGCTCCAATGTGTCTCCATCCTATGACTACGACTATAAAATTTAACCCAACGAAAGCATTTGCACAACTCAGTTTGGACACTTTTTTTTTTTCTTTTTGAGATGGAGTCTCACACTGTTACCCAGGCTGGAGTGCAGTGGTGAGATCTCCACTCACTGCAACCTCTGCCTCTCGGGTTCAAGTGATTTTCCTGCTTCAGCCTCCCAAGTAGCTGGGATTGCAGGCACCTGCCACCATACCCAGCTGATTTTTTGTATTTTTAGTAGAGACAGGGTTTCATTGTATTGGCCAGGCTGGTCTTGAACTCCTGACCTCATGATCCACCCGCCTCAGCCTCCCAAAGTGCTGGGATTACATGCGTGAGCCTGGGCACTCATTTTTAAGTCTGTTTATTTTTCAGTAGTTCTTCATTATTTTTCCACCATTTTAATTTATTCCTGGAATTGAAAAGAGAAACATTCTGATGGATAATTGGCTGCTTATTAATAGGTATTTAGTTCCCCCAGTGAACCACCCCTAGGTTCAGAAAGCCACGGTGGCTTCCTTTTGTATTTGGACACATCCGCTTGTTCTACCAGTTCCCTGTTAATATCTTCAACTACTCCCTTATGGCCCATGCAATAAATGTGCCTGGTATTTTCCTGTAGCCCAGGGACTAAACATTCTCCATGTGAGAATCTACCTTATTGCTTCATGCTCAGAGTCTTCCTGATGAGTGACAAGACCAGAATGTTGGGCATAGGCCATTGACAGGCCTGACAAGTGGATAGTGGCTGCTGGCTAAAACCCCATCTCTACAGATAACTCTTTCATAGTTACACAACATTGAAAACTCACTTGGAGATTACCAGATAAAGTTTTGAATTTTTCCTGGAGGTTGGGTCTTGCTGCATGGTGAGCACTGCTCTACACCCTACTACCCACCTAACTCTTTGGCAAGTTCAGCCTGATTGCATTTCTGCCCAGTCACTTCCTAATAAATGTTTTATATTTATTTCTTGTAAGCTACTTTCCAAGACAAATTTTACCTTTCCCTAAATGCCCATTCTAAGGTTTTTACAGCACTCAGGTATAAAACTTAATTAAAATGCCCAAATATTTATCATAAGCTTGTGAATGTATACATCTGTTTGTCTTTTGCTTGCTTAACTTGTCCCTTCACTTACATTGGATCCATTTTATCTACAAAATTATAAGCATGTGAATAGCAGAAAACATTTAAGGATGTCTTCCAACCCTCCTCCCAACCACTCTAATAGGCCACTCCCTCCTTAGGCAAAGGAGCCTTTATCAGCCTTGTTTAGATTTGGTTAATGGATTCTTCACTGATAATAATGTCTTAACTTGATATTTTAAGCCATGCCATTAATTACTAACATGCTCTTGTAACTTAATGCCAGTTCCTTCACTTCATTCTGCAAACCATTTTTATTCTAAAATAAATTTCATAAAGGAATCGCTTCTCTTTGCTTAGTTTCAGACGTCTAAATTAGCCCTAGGCATTCCTATTTATTTCTGGTTCTGAGGACCTTCTGGAATTAGATCTGACACAGAGTCTTCCACAGGGAGCTGACAGCTGGCAGCACCAGAATGGATGATGCACTCAAGGAGTGTAGAGTCAGAGTGACCTCAGGAACAGATTAATCTCCATCTATGCGCAGATATATGTCAGACTTATTCCTGAGAGCTCTGTTATACAAAGCCCAAAAATCTTAGAGCTGGGAAGGATACTAGAGGCCATTTGTTTATTAATTTATTTTTATTTATTTATTTTTCTAAGACAGTCTCACTCTCTCTCCCAGGCTAGAGTGCAATGGCGCGATCTCGGCTCACTGCAACCTCTGCCTCCCGGGTTCAAGTGATTCTCCTGCCTCAGCCTCCCAAGTAGCTGGGATCACAGGTGCCCGCTGCCACCCCACCTGGCTAATTTTTTGTATTTTTAGTAGAGACGGGGTTTCACCATGTTGGCCAGGCTGGTCTTGACCTCCTGACCTCAAATGATCCACCCGCCTTAGCCTTCCAGAGTGCTGGGATTACAGGTGTGAGCCACTGTGCCCAGCCCCATTTAGATCAAGTCTGACATTTTACTCATGAGACTGAGGCCCAGAAAGAAGTGACTTGCTGGAGTCATAGAGCTGATTAGTACAAAAAACAGTATTAGAACCCAGGTCTTCTGGTTCCTGAAAATGTACGGGGATTTGGGTATTTAAGAGTTTCAGTTCTTCCTGCTGATTTTAGGGCTTAACACATAAGGAGACCTGAGAGTTAACTAGCAAAATTGAAATGACTATAATAAATTAACAACGTATATAGTGCCTGGGAGCTATGATTACAGGTGGTATAAAAATGCAAAATGTAATGAGAATGATAACTTTACTGAGAAGCTTCTGAAAATGGGATGATATAATGTCTGCCTAGGGCCAAATGGGAGGTGCTTCCCCCAGCCAACTGATACTCTGTGACTTCATGGAATATATAAGAACGTTTGCCCAGTATGCCATGGCTTGCAACTATGATGCCCAAAACATAACATTATCTTCATCATTCCCAAATTATTTATAAGAGTGATTTTCCTGGTAGACTACAACTCATCGTATCATTTGATTTAGAAGCAGTTCCACAATTTACCAGTTGCTTTTCTTATGTCACTTGAAATAGAACAGTATGGGAGTAAAGTTTAGCATAGTGTACATTTTCTGGGAGTTTTGTGTTTGCTTTCTTTCTTACTATTATTGGATCAAAGCACTTTTACCTCCTGTGTATTAGTTATGCATATCTACAGATCTGAAACCTTTTTGATTCAAAAATCCCTAGGGGCAGAAAGCCTCTGGGATAAATACTTAACAAATTATGTTTTAACAATTACATAAGAAAGAGATGGTCCCTGGCTCATTAAGAACAACACATGACCAGTTACTTCCTTGTATTTGTAGCATTACTGGACTGGCAGATGAAGGGAAAAACCATTACCCATAGATAGAGTTTAGCTTTATTCATTGAGCTAGCCAGCAGCTTTCTCCCAATATGGACATGCTCCTGGTGGGTAGGGAGAAATTGGGCAGTATGATAATAGAGTCACTTGGGCTCCTTTCATTAAAATATCTATATGCAAAATATTAGATTTATGTCACCCTAAAATATATCTGCAGCCCCACTGATATTTTTATGTAATTACATAAATACATAATCTAATACATAACAGCCTCCCACGCTTTCAAGGGTCCACCTTTTCTGGCATATTTGGGAAGGGGGAACTTGTTCTCATATTACTCCTAATGCAATCAAGGGGATTTGCTTCACTCCTTGACTGTTCTGACACCTCCCAGCCACAGCCCCCTATATTTGTTATATCTTCTTGTTCATGAACTTCAGCAAACTAGTAAGTGTGGGAGTGACTGCATTCACCTCCACCACTCTACCCTTTTGCTGCTCACATGACCTCCACTCAAGATCATTCAAGTATGTCCTATGGGGAAGAGGACTACAACGGTCAATCTCTAGGAGATATTTTCTCAGGGACATAGTCTAGGTCCTTGCTCTGCCACTTTCAAGTTCTGCCCCATCTCAGTCCATCTTTCAACCTATCTTTGTAGCCAAATGTGGTAACTGAGTACTTCTCTGTTCAGTGTTCTAGATGCTGGGAAAATGAGAGGAGATATGATGGTGGTTCCTGCTCGAAAGGAGATTTATATTCTGGTGGTAGGAAAGACACAATTAAAAATAATCAAATAAGATTCTTTCAGAAACCAACGAGAGCTCTGAGGAAAAAACACTTTTCATGCATCACATACCATGTCCCTATCTTTACATATCTGTTGTTTGGCTCCCCTTAGGGATTGCCACCACCATGAACAGAAAGGAATTTATTTATCTTCCTATCTCCCGTACAGATTATGGAGGATGCAGCAGCTCCCAGCAGTGCATTTCTCACTACCTGATTTGTTCAGTCTAGAATAATCTCCTGCTGTACTTCAGTCATCCTCCCCCAGGTCTGATTGGGTCAAGGTTTCCCTGTCATCATGTGGTGCAGGTTGTCTGCTCATCTGGTTGTCATCCACTGGGTGATCACAGGATCCAAATAGACACTCAGCCCCAAGAGTAATTCTCAGAGCAGTCAGAAGACACATTGAGAAAAAGAAGCGCAGTCTTCACAGATGCCCCTGCCCACACCAAGGAAACCATTTAACAACTTCATGAGTCTTCTTGACTGGCAGATGTTTGCTCTTTACACTGGAATCTTCAGGGATATAAAAGATAGAACTATTTCAGGCCTGCCTTCTCCCTATGGATCATCTCTTAGCTATACAAAGGTTGAGCAGAAACTTTACTATTAATATTTTTCCCCATTAGATCCGAAGCCAAGCCAATTTCTTCACCTGGGCATTCTCCTTTCATCTTTATTTGAAGGGAATCAGTTTCAGGACCCATTCCTCTCTCCAAATAACTCTCCAGGAAAGTGTGGCTGATTGTGCTTCAGTTACATAGGAAACATACTTATCAGTTTTGGGCATAACACAAACTATGAAGGATGACAAATATGTTTTAAAGCATCTCTTCTTATGACCTATTAATAATGTTGAATACATCAGGCCAAAAATAGATGACAGAATCAAATTTTTTTTTCTTAATAGGATGGAATGATGTGTTTCAACCATGGATATATGATATGATGGGGAGATATATATATATATATATATAATTCTAAACCTTATTGGCACTAGTTCAGGGTAAGGGAGATCAGGCATAACTTGACAGTAGTCGATCTGAAAAGACCCTAAGGGCATCAGTAGACCATGAACTCACCCTACATCCACAGAATGGCATAGCAACAAAAGGGCAAGTGCCTAGAACCAGGGACGATATATTCTCACTGACATCTGATAAACATCCCACTGAAATCTGATATTCTCACTGATAAACTCAAATCTGGAACACTGCGTCTAATTTGGGGACTAACTCACTGACAGGGATACTTATAAACCAGAGAGCATTCAAAGTACGTTGGCTCCAGTGCAAGGGCATCTGAAAACTATGTAATATAATGAACTGTTTCTGGAACTGAAAAATTTAATACAGAAAGAGAAGGCTCATGGTAGACATAAGTTACTTCCAATATTTACATGGCTAGTGTGTGGAAGAATGAGTTGGTAGAAACCATGTTGTACAAGACAATTGATGGCAGATGGATAGGAATTTCAAACTAGAACAGTCCAACAGTGGAACAAGCTATTTAACAAAAGAGTGAGCACTTTGCCACTGAAAATGATCAAATAGGGGCTTGAACAGATCTGTAAAATGTAAATCATTATTACCTTTATTTTATTCAAGTTATTATTATGATCTTTGTGACAACTCTTTTTAGTCTTTTTTGACCCACAGTATGGAAAAATTCAAAGTATGAATATTTTTCAGCGTTGACCCTCTCATCTTTCTCCTCTCTTATTTGTGCATAAAGTTTTCATCACCTTCCGAAGTGCCGTCCTCTCTGGTGAATGTCTGATGGAGCATGGTGAGTGGTAAATTACTACGGCCTGGAAGGCTCAGTAATTACCAGGAAGTGACTTGGGCACTGGAGAAAATCTGGCTCATTATATTATTTAAAAATGAGCCTCATTAAGAAATTCACAAATGTATTGCTTTAAAATGAAGCTTGCACTAGAAGAAATACTTGAAAATTATGCAAATAAAGAAGCTCCTTTCAAAATTAGTATTGTAGAGGGAATCAGATGAGTGTTTATTAACTAAAAAAATAGAAAATGCGCTCCTTGCCTGGTGAATATATAATAGAAATATGTGAGAACATAGCTGTATAATGCTATCTAAGTCTTGCTGGCATTATTTATGCAGCCTGTGTCAGCCATGAGGAAGTCATGGTGGGTTCTATGTATGACTAAAATTCATTTATCTTTTGAGTCAGTGTTTGCTTACATTTCTGCTACTTATCTGGATCGTAAGTTTGATAACTCAGCTTATTGTGCTCATGTTATCCCCATAAAAATGGAGTAATTATTTCTATTTGCCTCATCAAACCATTGTGAGCAGACTTTTCAGCTGAACATAGTAAAGAGAAATTAAATGACATCCTTCTATGACCAACACTGGCATATTTGCTATTTTGCACTCCCTTCATAGGCAAGACTATGCTTTTGAAAAACCTAGGAAATATTTTAGAGTTTATCTCAAATTATACTGAAGCCCACCTTGATGATCATGGGCAGAAGAAGAGTGGGGTAACTCAGTGCTCTACTTCCAGTGGAGATCAGACTTAAGCGTAGTAAGTATAGTTTGTGCTGAACTTTTGTTTCTCTCATAACTTCAGAAGAGAGAACCAAATCTCTATAAGGAGATAATGTATCCTATTGTCTTTCAGGTGATTCTTTGAAATGTTAATTAGTTTCAAAATCTGTTTATTACCTGTGTTCTTATTGCCATTGTAAAGATATATCAGTTCATTAGTTTTCATCTGTATTCTTAAGGAATTTAAAAACAGAGGTTCCAAGTAGGAAAATCCGATAGCTACTTCGAGAGCCAGCGGATACCATCCACAGATATTAAGAAGAGGTAGAACGTTAGCTGGGAAACAGGAAGTAGAAAAAGCAGTCCACAAATGTCTGCTGAACTCTACATTTTGAACAGACAGGGCATGTCTGTCTTATTTATGTTTGTATCTCCAGGGTCTAGCACAGTGCCTGGCACATAGTGGGCACTCAAGAAATATTTGTTGAATTTGCAGTAAATCATAAATGGAAGGGTGAAGTAGAAATGGAATGGCCTTACAGTATGGTCTCTGAGTTTATTATTCAAGTTATTTAGTAACAGTGGTGATTTAAATTGCACATTGTAACTTTGCTTAATAATATTAATATCCTTGTAGTATAGATAGTAGGTCTCAAGCTGGGCTTCTTCTGAAACTCAAAAATCTCAATGCCCCAGGCTGCCCACCCACAGACCAATTCAAGCAGAACCTTTAGGAGTGGAACCTGGATAATAGAATTCTTTAGGGCCCTTCAGAAAATTCTAGAGAACCATTACAGGGGCGTGTGTGTGTGTGTGTGTTCACACTTGTGTGTGAAACATAATTTAAGCTCCGTATTACAAGTTTCACTTGATAGTACTTCTCTCCTTTGGCAAGGGCAGGGATTGACGGTCTGGAGGGGAAGAACTTGCACCAGACTATAGAAAATGCATAAATATGTATGGAGGAGTTGGTGCTATAAATCATTCCACTATTAATTATGCCATGGCCTGTTTTTATGTTCACTCTTCTTTATAAATGAGATGAAATAGCTTTACAATGTGCCTAACATCGTTTTAAAATGCCACATAAATTCACTCCTGTTTTTATGGGGTTGAAAAATTTTAACACAGAAATAATTTGCCTAGCTTGAAGAATTTGCATAAAACCATCGTAGGGGTGTGTTAAAAATTACTCTTCTTCCTTTTAATGTAAGAGCGCAAGACAGGATGGAGGATAGATTTCATTCTTATGGTGCCCCAGGTGAATCTCACATTTGCATATTAAAGATTCAATTTAAAATAAACTCCCAAGTCACAATGGGCATTTACCCTAGAATATATATTTCAGCATCGGCCTGGGACCATGCAAGGAAAATTCCTAGAGGGACAGCAGAGTCCACAGTTGTTGTAGCTATGCACCTCTTGTATTTACCTTTACAAATGTTAGCAGGAGAATATGGTCTGGGTAGCCCACCCCTGATGCCAGAAAGAAAATGGTAAATTATAGAAACAAAATGGTATAGCAGTTTGACTTTTACTTCTCAAGGTCTTGTGGTTCCATTACCCCTGGCAACAGTTGGGCTGTCTTATGCGAGTAAGTTGGTGAAAGCTAATACGTGCTATTGGAAGTGAGAAGATACTGGGAATAGCTTCTCTTTTAGGGAACAATAAATATTACCTAAAGAAATGAACTCTGGAAAGAACAATTAGATAGTGCAGGGCATGTGTGCAAGTTAAGATATGCTTGGGTTTGGCTTAGGTAGCTGTTGATATCAGGACATCAACTTGGTACCAAAATTAGCTCAAGGCAATCCATCAACAATTCTAGCATTTCTTTTCTCCTTTTTGGGTTTGCCCAGCCCCTCAGTCTAGTATTTCCTTATTCACTAAATGATGCTGAGAATAGCCCTACCATCAATAATATCTTTCATTAGTGTTAAATGACAGGTACTATGTTAATTTGATATTTATTAATTTCTTAATATTTATTTTAAAACTTAAATGTGATAGAATAGCTTTCCCTTAGATTAACTTTAGTGGTTTCCTTGTTTAAAAAGTTAAAGACTTACAAAGAAAGAGAGAGAGAAAGAGAAAGAGAATTTGGCTTAGGTATTTCTGCAGAACATTTAAATTAATTCTTCTCTTTGTATAGTGTCACTGCTTTATCTGCCACCTTGATTGTTTTGCCTCATCTTCGTTTGTGGCATAAGTTGTTTGGAGTTTGGCCGGCGTATCTATATAAGTAATGTGTTTACTGCTACGATGGGGAAGGTTCCAGTTTTAGTGCTTAGCATTGCTTGGTCTGTAGTTTGTTCTTGGCTTAAACGACTTAACAGTACATGGGGTGTTTTAAGGCCCGATAATCTTTTTTTTTTTAATCTTAGAGATTTGCTTGAAAGATGAAGCTGTCACAGAGGCACCCAAGGAAGTCATAACAATTCTTCTTCACTGTGCAGCTTTATTTAGGAGAAATGCAGAAAAGTGCAGAAGTTGCAAGAGTGTAATGTTTACAGAAAAACAAACCTAATCTTTTTACATTTTGTTCAATGATTTTGTTTTGTTTGAAGTGTTGCTTCTCCTGCACGCCCCCCACACCGTGCCTCCCACCTCCTTGGCCAACCTAACTTTTAACCCAAAACATTTTCCAGTTCTTTTTGATTGAAAATTGGGTTCATATAGAGGAACTCCATCTTCCTCACATGATGACCAAACCTGGACCTCCAGACTCTTCCTCCTTCAGTAGGTTACACGTCACATCCAGACGCACCTTGCTTATCCATCCCACCCTCACTCAGAGACATCCAGGGACATGGACATCTGCAGGAATCAATCCCACAGCACCAATTTCACTTTTCCATCTTCTTTCACACCGTATCTCTGTAAGAGCTCTGCTTACGTAAACTGGCTTATGCATTGTCACCCCAAACTGTCTTTTACTATCTCAACTTTTCCTGTTTTCTCATACTATTTCGTCTTCATTATTGCTTTGTGTATTAGTCAAGATTCTCCAGAGAAACAGAACTAATAGGAGGTATGGACTCAAGTGCACATGTATGTAGGTATGAATCTATCTATCTATGTATCTGTCTACCTATGTGTATGTCTATCTATCTGTCTATCATCTGTCATCAAATAAAGAATTGGCTTGTGTCCAAAATCTGCAGAGCCAGCCTCCTAGTTGAAATCTGCAGGTCGTGGACTGCTGTAGAACCAGAAACTGCTATTATTCTAGTTTGAAGGTCATCAGGTCAGACAGGCGAATTGTCTGTTATTTGGGAGAGTGTCAGCCTTTTGTTCTGTGTAGACTTTCAGCTCACCCACGTGAGAGAGGGCAATCTGCCTTACTCGGTCTATGGATTTAAACACTAATCTCATTCAAAAACACTCTTGTGGAAGTATACAGAATCATGTTTGACTAAGTATCTGGACACTCCATGACCCAGTCAAATTGACACATACAATCAACCCTCACACTCTCCTTACAAACACTTGAAGCCAGTTATGGTTACTCCCCTAGAGACAAAGTTCTTCAACCTGAACCTCTCGGGCCTTCAGCCATTCCTCATACGGTGCAGTTTGAGGTACATTAGCTCCCCTGTTGCCCTTTCTCCTCACCTCCTCATAGTTTTATCCCAAAGCAGGGGGCTGGTTTTACTCCTCCAGTTCTCCAAGACTGACCAGACCTCCCTTTTTTTTTTGGTTTTATTCTTTTGAGGCACTCAATAAAAATGATTCCTGGATGTGTATGCAGAATAAAGAACTTCTGTAGCCTGTAGGATCCATGATTTATGTGTGGTTGAATGCAAGCGTTCATCTATTTGTGTTTTTCAAATAGATAGTTTATCAGACTGGGAAGAAATGGTGGCATGAGGTTTGGAGTTTTTGAAGCTGGCTTTATCAGAGAACAGTAGATTGGAATATTAAATCCTCATTATATCAAGGGACAGCTGTGGCTCTGATTTGATTGCAGGCTTGAATAGAAATTGTTAAATTGTTTTTCTAGAAGTAATCAAAAATACTAATATTTAAAGTGAATGCTCTTTAGTTTTATAAATTATAGTCAAAGGTTATCTGTCCTTTGATTAAATCATTGTAAAATATAAACTTTAGCCCAATAATAATTTTTCACTTAGATTACTTTCAGAGGCATTGTTTTTACCCAGGTAACAGTTTATGAGAAGGCCTGAGAACAATTCTGATTGTGTCTGTAGCACCTTGATAGCTGTACCAAGATGTTCATGGTCTTTGAGCTTGCCATATTTCCATGCCTGGGCCCATTCTGTTTATTCTGCCTGAAACGCCCTCTCATGCCTGCCCACCCGAGACACCTTCTTATTCATAGTGCTTCCACTCAATGGTGTCTGAAATATCTTCTCTGACTTCAGCAGGCCAACTTCGGTATTCCCTTCTGGCAATAATGCACTAGGTACATTCTTTTGTCATCTCCCTTGTCACATTGTATGTTCTCTATTTCCACATTTGCCTTTCTGCAACAACAGTGCCTTTAAAAGCATCACATAGTAATACATACTTGTTACTGTTATGCTTCTCATAGTAGCGATTCAATGGTGAGCATTATGGATGTGGTCTGTTAGGGTTTGGTTGTGTGTCCCCTCCAAATTGCATGTTATGTGACCTTTAATGTTGCAGATGGGGCCTAGTGGGAGATGTTTGGGTTGTGGAGGTGGATCTCTCATGAATGGCTTTGTGCTGTCCTCCTGGTGATGAGTGAGTTCTCTGTCAGTTCGTGGGAGCTGGTTGTTTAAAAGAGCCTGGAACCCCCTTCTTTCTCTCCTGCTCCCTCTCTTGCCATGTGACATGCCTGCCCCTCCTCCACCTTCCACCATCAGTAAGAGCTTCCTGAGGCCTCACCAGAGGCTGAGCAGATGCTGGTGACATGTCTGTACAGTCTGCAGAACTGTGAGCCAAATGAAGGTTTTTCCTTATAAATTACCCAGTCTTAGGCATTCCTTTATAGTAATGCAAAACAGACTAATACATGCTCCCAACCTTGTGAACCTTCAAGCCTAATGTGGACTGAAGCCATGTCATCTTTGTCACCAGTACTTATTAAATCAACAAATATATAAAAATGGATTTCTGCAGCAGACTCCTTAAATATAGGGACAATATTTTATGTTTTTTTTTTGTTTTTGCTTGTATACTCAAAACTTGGCGTAATTATGTATTGAGTGAAGGGAGGAATGATTAATTTAAGTAATTTCATTGTTGGCTTTCAGTTTTAGATGAGTAAGTAACTTTTCAGAAAAAACTCATTTAAATGTTTATGTTAATTTCTTTTCATAAATGCTGTTTTGAAGCTGATAATTTTAGGGGTAATGAAAATTCAAAAGTCAGGTCATCTCCCAGGGAGAGTGAGTAGGAATGATATGACACTTTTACTAGCATGATATATTTAGACAATTCTAATCATAGTTTCAGTAATTATAAAATTATTAACATCAACTTTCAGTTATCTTTAGACTTCAAAGGTAGAATTTAACCTTTAACTCTGTCCCAATCTGTCATGTAAACAACCTAAATTAACTACCCTTTGAGATCAAAAATTAATATCTTACAAGGGTTTACTCAGAGTATGCTAATTCTTTGAAGCTTCCTGAAAACCAAATTCAAATTCAAGACAATTAAATGTTAATAAATTTCTAGTGATCAGAGAGACAAATATAAGGAAGATTAATATTCTTTCTCCATGCTTTGGAGACAGGCTCTCAAAGTGATCAAATAAAATGTTACCTTTGAAAGTGACACCTTACATTACAGTGCTTGGATGTCCTTCTATAGTTAATGAACAGGCAGAGTTTTTTTCTTCTTTCTGAGCATTGAGATAGGTGCAAGGGTTGGTGAGCTCCCTTGAGGAGGTCATAGTAAGAATAAAAATGTATGTATTCATTCAACAAGTTTTTATTGAGAAACTGTCATTGGCAGACGTTGTATTCAACACTGGGATTATGGACAAGAAAGGCATGGATCTTGTCCTGTGGAGCTTACTCTTGGGGGGTAGGTGGATAAAAACCACAAATACACAGAAAAATAAACACAAAGTCATTAACAAATAAAGACACTGTCATTTGTAAATACTCAAGAGAGCATTGTATTTCACAATTCACATTTTGACCTAATTTTAGGAAGGGATTTAGCCAGAGCCTTGAGTTGGGGATTTAACTGTAAATGTTTACTCAGGATGCAAAGTTTGCACAGAGCCTCAGAACCACAGCCATCCTCGCCTACTGCTCGTCACACATCGCCACCCGCCGGAGCATACTTTCTCACTTGAGGAAATAAGGCTAATGTAGGAAGCATTTAGCTCAGCTCTATGCCAGCTCTGTATTGACCTTGTATGTTCAGCTCTGTAATTTTAAGACTTCATAAATATAAAAATACTTACTTTTTATCTTCAGTTTGGCTTTAATTTCTCTTCTCTGGGAGAACTGTAAACCTGCCAACTTTAAAGTTAGTTGATCTATTTATTCTGAGCTATAGGAATACAGAATAAGTCAGCTGTTATTTTTTTAAAAGTTAGAGCAATCTTAACTGATATCCTAGGGAAAAAGTTTATTGCATGCATTAAAAATGGAATTTGGTTTATTTCCATGGTTTTGGAGCAATTCAGTGTGCACGTATTTATTGCTTAGATGCCTGCAATTACACCTATTACAGAAGTACAGAGGCTTAGGATGATATTTTTAATGTCCTTCCTCTTAAACACGTTTTACTTTTCTGAAGCTCTTTTGTATTTTTCCTGACCACCGCCTCATAGGATCACCTGAGGACAGGCCTCATTGTCTTGCATCCTGATTTATAAGATCAACACAGGGGCAGCTATGGACAGTAGCTGACCCCAGCTACTCTGAAGGTGACACGCTGTTCTGGGTGTTTCTGTCTTCTCTATAGCTGGCCTTCTGCAAGTGGTCACATCTGTGGTCAGAGCCAGGTCAGCTAGAGTGGAAGGGTCAGAGGTTAAGGGTTCAGGGTCCTAATTGAGAGTTTCCCTCCTGGGGGCTATGGGCACTGTGGATGTCATCCTGCTGCCCGCTCTTGATGCAAGTCTTGTGGGACTGCCAAAGCTGGACATCCCGGCCAGCAAGAGCTAGCACAGGGAGAGCTTCCTAGTAAGGAGTAATAGGGGCATCTGGACAAGTGGTGGAGCTTGGCAGCAGTTTCATAGGAGGCAGGCATTTGGCATCAAGGGCTACTTCAGCAGGTAGGGGACACCTATCTTAGGTTCAAAGGTGAGAGTACCTACTGGAGGAGGTATAAGGATGGTATTGAGAAACACAAATTGAAATCCAAAGTTCAGAGGACAGGGGGAAGGGGATTAGTAAGGCAGAACCTCAGCATAAAGCAAAGGAATCCAGCTACCAGAACTGGAGTGCAGGCAGAAGAGATAAGTCCAGTTATAATGGCTGAAATTGTAGCAAATGCTCTTGGAGTCTTACAGGGGTTTGAGTTGTTTACCTGCAGGGAGAGGAGTGAGGTAGGGGCAAAGAAAGGACACACCTGTTCCTAAGGATCAGCAAGTCCTCCCTGGGGTGTGGGACCTTGGAGTGACTGGAGATAGTGTACCTTGTGAAACTCGGTGTTTTTGAAGGAGTCTGTGTAATTCCCCACATGCACAGTTTGTTTCCTTATCTTTTCTCAGTTCTACATTGTGGTCCTTCTATTCCTGGCTTATAGCCCCTTCCTAGGGATTCAAATGCCCATTGCTCAATATTCAGCATATGCTTACTGAGCACCTATTATGTACAAAGGCATTGTGTTACATCCTCTGAGGGCTCCAGTGGTCAATGAGTCAGAGTCTGCATCTTCAAGGTGTGGACACTATGGTGCTGAGGCATGAAAAGGATGCGAATAAGCCCAAGTCGAGATGCTGGGTGGTGGATGGGATATGAATGGTCCAGAAGACCACAGCTGTCTAGGGGCAAAAAGATAGGGTTCCAGGAGTGTTTATGGAAGGTTTCTTGGAGGAACCCTTCCTTGAGTTGAACCTTGGAGATTGACTTTCAGTAGGTATAGAGCAAGGGATAAGGCTGAGGAAAGAGCAGGTGTAGAGATAGGAAAGCATTCTCTTGGCGTTTAGGACAAGGAGACAAGGTTGGAACTGAAATGTAGCCCTGCACAGATGTGCCCACATTTGGTAGAGCCTAAGTGTCAGATTAATTCCACTAAATTACGTTGAAGCTTCAGGTGGTAGTTCCAGAGCTTTCTTGAATATTTTATGCAAGACTAATACAATGAAGGAGGTGCTTAGTTTTACACAGGGTGAATTAAATGGGCATGTAAGGAAGAAAAGCATGTCAGAACACATGTGCAATTGTGAGAGCATCATGAAGAGCTGTGAAGGTAACAGCTTGATGAAGGAGAGAAAAGAACCAAAGATGGCTGCTGTTTTGAATCCAGCTGACTCAGAGACTATTGGTACAATAAATCGCATTAGGGAGGTCTGTGTGCGTGCGTGCGTGCATGTGTGTGCGCGTGCATGTGCGAGGTAATGAATGCAGAAGACTGAAGTACAAATAGAAGGTTGATTAGGCAGCTAGCTGGAAATAGATGTGAACATGTTCAGGCAATTAGAATGTGGTGCCACAGCTCAGGTTGTGTTAGGGATTCAGAAAGAAGAGAGGTCAGAACCTTGGCTTTCATATTAATTTAAGGCACAGAAGGAAAACAAGGAGCAATAGAAAGAAACAGAGACACAACCATTCAAAATAGATAACAGCCAGGAAAGTGTGTTACCAAACCAAGAGGTGAGAATTTCCAGATATCATATCTTGCTGTATAATAATTAAAATTTATCTATCTCTATGTAAAAATGGTATTATACATAGGACAGAAATCACCAATTAAGATGAATAAGAGTACCATATTTAATCAAGTGCATACATCTGTTAATATCCATTTTCAGAATGTAAACAGCTTAAAATAAAAGCTGACAGAAGTCCCCTGTGTCTGCTATAACAAAACCAATGTTCACTGTATAAATAACTTTTTATTTTGCTTCTCTGGTGAAGAATCTGGGCACAATCTCCTTATCTGTGGACTGTTAGGGTCAAAGAAGGAACTGGTAACATTGCACAAAATCCCATTTTCATCTACCACTGAGCATGGGAGCTCCTCCTCTGTGTCAGAAGCCCACACCTTCCTCCAGGCATGGAGCCTAGGGCCATAGTGCAGTCTCCTTTTGGTATTTCCTCTCATGAGCTTGGAAAAGACAATTTGAGACTTACTGTAGTGTGGGGATTGAAAAGTTCTATATGGCCAGGCGCAGTGGCTCATGCTTGTAGTCCCAGCACTTTGGGAGGCTGAAGCAGGTGGATCACTTGAGCTCAGGAGTTTGAGACCAACTCCTGGGCTCAAGTGATCCATGGCAAAACCCTGTCTCTACAAAACATACAAAAAATTAATCTGGGTGTGTGTTGTACACCTGTAGTTCCAGATACTTGGGAGGCTGAGGTGGGAGAATTGCTTGAGCCCAGGAGGTTGAGGCTGCAGTGAGCTGTGGTCATGCCGCTGCACTCCAGCCTGGGTAACAGAGTGAGACCCTGTCTCAATACATATATACATACATACATACATACATACATGGTTCTGTATTCTGCAGAGTAAAGTGGGATGCTGTATGCTTGAAAATTGCTAAGAGAGTAGATTTTAAGTGTTCTCAACACAAAACATTGATAAGTAAGTGAGATACATACATTAGTATGTGTTAATTAGTTTGATTTAGGTATTTCACAATGTATACATTTTCAAAACGTCATGTTGTACACTATAAATATATACATTTTTTATTTCTCTATTAACACAATGAAAAGCATTAGACCTAATTCTTCAGGACCAGTGGTCAAATGGTTCACAGTAGGGAATAGTGGGCTTGGTGCATATTTTCAAGCAAACATTTGCCTTAAATTTCAAGTTAAATATGATATTTTTAAAGAACACCATAAGATAAGATAGAGATATATAATGAGACTAAAATTATAGCCTTACTGCAGAGCTCACTAAGGCTTAATGATGGAAAACCTACAGCGACATTGTATTTGGTATTATCAGGGCTTGTCTACAACATGCTCTTGTTGTTAGCAAACATGGTTTATATTATGTATGAATTACTTGGGTATAGATGTAAATATCACTTCTATATTTAGACTCTCCTGTTGGGTTCTGCCTAGAGCTCTATGAACAACTTTTGTTATTAGAAAATCTATGATCTGTAATTTGTAGACGTGTCCAAAAATATACAAGAATGAATTAATAAAGACTCTTTAAACAGATGGTTCTTAAAAAAAAAAACTTCTATATGGGATACAGTATACTGAACTGAAGCAAGATGTGGAAGTCAATACATTATTGTCTGAAAATCTTCGCAGATGTCAATGACAGTAAATGCTAGACAGAGACAATAAATTCTGGACTTTTTAACAGGAAAATTGCTTGGAACAATTTATTTCCCCAGAATCTCAACCACCTTAAGTTAGCATCATAGATCATTGTATCTTGATCTCCCGTGCATATGAACTAAGGAGAAATGGAAAGTTTCAGGAAGAGTCTGAAGGTCAAGGTGGCCCTAAGCTTTAGCTTCTTGAATCTAAACCACTCTTATTGCAGTGAAAATGAATTTTTGATCAACCCACTATTGACCATGTGTCCTTCCTAAGGCTATTTTTAAATTTGGAGAGAGGTACAGCAGGGCTTTCCTTGGTATTAGAATAGGAGGGGCCTGGTTGTTCATAAAATATTGGAATAGCTTTAGGTTTTCATGCTTCTGTATTTATACGACTTAAAAGAAGAAACCCCGCTGGACTTGGAGGAAAGAGATTTAGGTTTTAGTGCTAGTTGTGGTACTAACTAGTATATAACTAGGTCATTTACATTATAGTCCTTATATTTCTAACTTTAAAATAAAGTTATTTTTCAGCATAAGCAATATTTTATTTGGGTTTTACACCCATTCATAGAAACTCCTTCTTGGAAATTGATATCTAAACAAACATCTTCAAATTGGTTTGAAGCTTTGGCCAGAACTCATGATGTTTACATTTGTCAAGTGGAATTACCCCTTGACCATTAAAAAAGAAATCCTGTTTGGATGTACTTTTGAGCTGATTAGGAAAAATTATTTGTTTTGAAAAGATGAATGCATTTTAATACTGGTTGATGAGGCTTGATTGGACTATGCAATACAGGTGAGGCAGTTTTTATCCTGATTTTGATTCCAACTATTTTGTCTGTGTTCCCAACCATCCACTTCTATGAGAAGAGGAAACAATAGGAACTGTAGCCCAAGCACGGGTGAGTCATTACTCATAAGAATGACGGAAAAGAAGTTTCCAATGCTACAAGTGACATTAATGCTGTATAATCATGGCTCAGGATATTTTGGCTGCCCTCATTTTTGTCAGCAGCAGCAGCTACAGCAAAGTGCCGTTGTTGGGTATGCTGCAAAGAGATGGCCCTCTATCTGATGTCAGTTCCAATTTTTTGAAACACTTAATCCACATGATTTATAGGTCATCTTTAAAGTTCAGATGTATTCACCAACTGTGAGGTTCTAAAAACAGCCAGTCCAGCTGTTCATCAGTAATATTTGCTACTGAAATCCAGATTCAACAGACGTGTATCAAGTACTGGATATTTTCACATGTATAGGCTCATTGTACCCTTGCAAGTACCTGTGAGGTGGGTCTTGTATCAGTTTTCATAGATGAAGGTGTACTAACAAAGGTTAAATGTCTCATCTGAGCTCATATGACTAACAGTGGCACAACCAGGTCTGAACTGCTACCAACAGGAGTGAGTGCTGAAGGGCTCCACCTCTTAGGGTCTGATACCTATGCAGCCACTGATCGATGAGCTGAAGTGGTGGTCTTATAAGTAAAGAGAGAAAAGAATATCTGAAGAAAAAATATGAAAGACACCACACCAATGAGAAAACCCAGCAAACTCAGACCTTCCTGATCTTTCAATGAAAGGACAGTCCTCACATGCCCAAGGTTTGGACTGGATTGCTGGGAAAATTTGTGTCTTTCAGCCTCTCAACCTAAGTGATCCTTCAACAATCTTTGCAAGTACATGAAGAATAAGGATATCTACACTGAGGTCTCATCATCCCAAGCTCTTAGTGAACTGCTGCATGGGGCTAGGTATGTCCAAACCATGGTTCACTTGGGTAGTTTATGCCTTCAAGACAGACATCCTCTATCATGATAATAGTATTTTCAGTACTCACTCAATCTTTCTGCTGCCTTTGACTCCTAGCTTAGACCAGGAACAGAATAAGACAGTGATTAGAGCATTGACTTTGGAAGTCAGACAGTTAAGTTTTCTCATTTTTGTCACTGACTGGCTGTGTGTTTTTAGGCAAGATAGTTAACCTCTCTGTCCCTCAATTTACTCTTCTGTAAGATGACAATAACAATAATAGCTACCTCACAAGGTTAGCAGGAGGGGTAAATAAGTATATAAATTCTCTATTTGCTTTGGGCTGTCCAATTATCATCAATAGGCTGATAAGTGTGTATGTGTAATTATCGTTTTTCTTTAAATTCTTCTTTTTGATTCTCTTTAGCCTTTACCTTTTTGCTTTTTTATCTCTATCTTCTCCTCAATGCTCGTTACATTCCTATTTTATAAATAAATGTGTCATCCAAACATACTTTTCCAACAACCCATTCTTTGGGGAAAAAAAGTACAGTTACAGCTTTAATTATCACCTAGGTTCTGATAATGCTCAAATTGAGATGCATTTTAAATAGGTGGCTTTTGAGAATGTACTGTGTGCCAAGTTCTGGGAGAGTGTCTCTTACATGTACTTTATTGTTTTCTCTCAAATGCAAGTATATACTATTATTTTGATATTAAAGAAGAGAAAGTTAAGTTTCAGAGAGATTTACTAACTTGCCCTAAGTCTCACAGCAGGTAGATAACAGTTATCACTGCTGGCTGCCTGCTGAGCTATAAGAGGTTCATTTTTCACAAACCATTTATAGATTCATTTACAAGGCATGTAATAATGTTCTGAAGAATTTGGGCAGTATGGCAAGTGTCAGGTAAGAGGGAATGTGTAACTTAAAAAAGATAGTATAGTACAAAGAGCTCAAGGTCAGTAGTAAGCCTTGTTGGAATTTTTTTTGTTTTCTTTTTAGAAATTTAGGGTCTGTTATCTCAGGCTAGTCACATAACCATTTCAATCCTCATTTTAAGAATGATAATTGTAACATCAATGTGAGCTTTTTAAAATAGTATGGATAAGAAAGGTGTTTCTAAATCTTCAGTCATTATAGAAATGTAAATTTTATTACTCTTATTATTTATTTTTCAAACTTACAGAATTCTACTTGTAATCTCACACACAGATTGGTGAATATTAATTAACTGTTGGGCAAGATTCATTCTGATTGCCTGATATAATTTTGGCCAACAAAAGATGGAGAATGGTGGGCTTGTGTTTTTTTAAATCATATTTTGACTTCAGAAGGAAGCTCTGCTAGCATCAAACTGAATTTTGGAGCCATTTTAACCAATTCTAAGTGAGAATCTATATAATCTATCTATCTATCTATCTATCTATCTATCTATCTATCTATCTATCTATCTATTTATTTATTGAGACAGAGTCTCATTCTGTCACCCAAGCTGGAGTGCAGTGGTGTGATCTCAGCTCACTGCAACCTCTGCCTCCCGAGTTCAGGTGATTCTCGTGCATCAGCCTCCCTGATAGCTGGGACTATAGACGCCCCCCCCACCACACGTGGCTAATTTTTGTATTTTTAATAGAGATGAGGTTTCACCATGTTGGCCAGGCTGGTGTTGAACTCCTGGCCTCAAGTGATCCACCCACCTTGGCCTCCCAAAGTGCTAGGATTACAAGTGTGATCCACCATGCCCGGCCAGTCAATTAAATTTTATTAGTCAATAAAGCTACATATCTTCCCAATCCCTCTCTTTCCCAGCCTAGTTTATTCCACTGATATCTAGCTGGTATTTGGAGATTCCATCTTAATGAAGCTAAAACACATGAAGATATGTGTAGATTATATCTTTGGTTCTATTAATGAGCTAGGAAAAAGGGGTGTAGCTGTCTCTTTAAGCAAGCGGACTTCAGGCTGTTTCAATGAGAATAACCCAGGTGCTGATCACCTTAATGACAACACTATTTTAAAAAGCATTTTAAACACATTACACTGCAGATTATTCTTTTTTTTTTTTCTTAATGGAGCTGTCCTTGAAGGACCATTATGCCATTCCTTTCAGATGTTTAATAAAGCAAAAGGTTATAATGATCATGCTTGAGAATAGGTTTTGTGCAGCTGGGAATTGCAATATAGCAATCTTTGATCAAATCATCAAGATGCTAAAATGTATTTTTAGTGGAGTGGTGATGGGGGCTTTGTTAAATTGGTTTAATCAGTGTTACCTATGACCATTCATACAACTATATTTTTAATTATTGTCATCCTAATCAAAACACATGTATTTATGGCTCCTTTGTGCATATTCCTAATTTGAGATCTATGAGAATTTCATCTCAGGCCCTCCACAGGCCTATAGTTGGCAACAACCCTGAAGCTATGTAAGCAACTAAATAAAGTATGGGTACATTATTTATTGTAGAAAGTGCTAGTGTGGGGCTTTGAGCGTGGGCCCCCTGAATGTGCTTGTTTGGGTTCAAAGATGTACATTGTGCTTATTAGTGGCCATGTGTTAGACATGTAACTCAGTCATCTATGATAATAATGTTACCTTATGAGAATTAAATGATAGTTTGTTTTATGTAAAGTCTTAGTATCAAGCTTTTAGCAAGTGTTCAGTAAATGGTAGCTCTTTAAAAATCATACACTATGCCTCACAATAAGAGGAGCCATGTATGACAAACCCACACCCAACATTATACTGAACAGGGAAAAACTGGAAGCATTCCCCTTGAGAACTGGAACATTACAAGGATGCCCACTCTCACCATTCCTATTCAACGCAGTACTGGAAGTTCTTGCCAGAGGAATCAGGCAAGAGAAAGAAGTAAAAATTCATCCAAATAGGAAAAGAAGAAGTCAAACTATCTCTCTTCACTGATGATATGATTCTATACATAGAAAATCCTGAAGAATCTGCCAAAAGGCTCCTGGAACTGATAAACAATTTCAGTAAAGTTTCAGGATACAAAATCAATGTACAAAATAATCAGTAGCATTTCTATACACCAATAATGAACCAAGCTAAGAGCCAAATCAAGAACGTAATGCCATTTACAATAGCTGCAAAATATAGAATACCTAGAAATACATCTAACCAAGGAGGTGAAAGATTTCTACAAGATCTCTACATGGAGAATTACCCAACACTGATGAAAGAAATCATAGATTACCCAAACAAATGAGAAAACATTTCATGTCATGGATTGGAAGAACCAATAATATCATCAAAATGGCTATACTGTCCAAAGCAATCTACAGATTCAACACTATTTCTATCAAGCTACCAATGACATTTTTCACAGAACTGGAAAAAAAACTATTCTAAAATTCATGTGGAACCAAAAAAGACTGAAGCAATCCCAAGCAAAAAAACAAAGCCAGAGGCATCACATTACCTGACATCAAACTACACCATAAGGCTACATACAGTAAGCAAAACAGCATGGTACTGATATAAAAACAGACATATAGACAAATGGAACAGAATAGAGAACGCAGAAATAAAGCTACACACCCACAGCCATCTGATCTTCGGTAAAGTCCACAAAATAAGAAATGGGGAAAGGACTTTCTATTGAATAAATGGTGCTGAGATAGCTGGCTAGCTATATGTGAAAGAATGAAACTGAACCCCTGCCTATTACAGTATACAAAAATTAACTCAAGATGGCATAAAGATTTAAATGTAAGACCTCAAAACTATAAGAATCCTAGAAGAAAGCCTAGGAAACACCATTCTGGAAATGGATCTTGGGAATAATTTATGACTAAGTCCTCAAAAGCAATTCCTCAATAAAAACAAAAATTGACAAGTGGGACCTAAGTAAATTAAAGAGCTTCTGCACAGCAAAAGAAATTATCAACAGAGTAAACAGGCACCCTATTGGATGGGAAAAAACACTGAGAAACTATGCATCTGTCAAAGTCTAATATTCAAAAACTATAAGGAATTTAAACAAGCAAAAAACAAATTACCTCATTAAAAAATAAGCAAAGGACAGGAACAGACACTTCTCAAAAGAAGACATACAAGCAGCTAGCAAACATATAAAAAATGCTCATCATCACTAATCATCAGATAAATGCAAATCAAAACCACAATGAGATACCATTTCACATCAGTCAGAATGTCTGTTATTAAAAAGTCAAAAAATAACAGATGCTTACAAGGCTGTGGAGAAGAGAGAATGCTTACACAGTGTTGGTGGAAATGTAAATTAGTTCAGTCACTGTGAAAAACAGTTTGGAGATTTGTCAAATAAGTTAAAACAGAGCTACCATTTGACCCAGCAATCCCATTGCTGGGTATATGTCCAAAAGAAAAGAAATCATTCTGCCAAAAGCACATATGCATGAGTATGTTCATCGCAAAATTATTCACAATAGCAAAGACATGGAATCAACTGAGGTACCCCTCAATGGTGGATAGATAAACAAAATGTGGTACATATACAACATGGGATACTGCACAGCCAAAAAGGAATGAAATCATGTTCTTTGCCACAATATGGATGCAGCTGGTGGCCATTATCCTAAGCAAATTAACACAGAATCAGAAAACCAAATACTTCATGTTCTCACTTATAAGTGGGAGCTAAACAATGGGTAGTCATGCCATAAAGATGGCAACAATAGACACTAGAGACTGCTTGAGGGAGAAGGGGGACAAGTGTTGAAGAACTGTTGGGTACTATGCTCAGTACCTGGGTGACAGGATCATTCATACCCCAAACCTCAGCATCACAAAATACACCCACATAACAAACCTGCACATATAACCCCTGAACCCAAAATAAAAGTTGAAAAAATAACAATAATATGCCGAGCATCAGAGACAATATTAATAATAATTAATAATTTTAAACTGCCTTTATCACATTGCTCTTGACCATTCAGATTTTTAAAATCTAGAGCCAAAGGACTGACAAAGGAAGTTGAATCTCTTTTTTTCAGCATCATAACATTAAAAAAATCATTTCTAGCAACTGAGTTCCTGTAAAATAATCAGCTGTGTTTCATCATGTACATGCAATGTGCAGGAAGAAGGTTTGCCTGGGATTGGTGTCTGTCACCCAGAAGTCAGGATCTAGGAGCCCTCCATGGAACAGTCAGGGATGTTAGAGCTCTGAAAGCATCTCTGGAAGAGGTGCTTTCTTTGTGGCTCACAGAAGGTCAGGATAGGAGAGAAAGAAAGCAGCAAATGCTGAGATGAGGGATCCAGGTGGAAACTGTCAGGTTTCTGAGGGCTGGCTAAGAAAGAGAAGGCTGCTCCCTGAAAGTAGGCCTAGACTGAGCAATGGAGCCAGTCAGCAGAAATAGCAAAAAAAAAAAAAAAAAAGTCCAAGGCTGGAAAGCCAGTTAGCAATTCAACCTATACCATATTTTCTTTTGACCCCAATTTAATTTTTCTAATAAATCAAACCTTCTAATCATCTTACATAGGTATTTTAATAAAAAGAATCCATGACATAGGTTGGCTGTGGCTTAGGCAAGGCTGGATTTCCATCACATTATCTCAGACCCTATTCCTGGTTAAATTGTGAGCCTATTACACTTAAGTATATCATATCATAAAGGAGAGAAATAAACTTAAAAAGAAATCAAACCCCAGGTATCATAGGCGGTTACAGAGTAAATCAAACCCCAAGTATCACAGGTGGTAACAGAGTAGCAGGATTTGTTTTTCTTGGACAGTTCTTATTATTTTTTGGTCTCTGCTCCTTTAGAATGAAGACTCATTAGTCTTTTATTTTTAAAAGTTGAGAAAGCTGCTCTATCTTTAGATATTTACTTTTATGCTTGAAAAAGTCTTGCAGCAGTGGAAGATAAATGTTTCAAGTTACTGTGAGGAAAAATCCCAAGTGTATAAGAAAGAGAAAGAAAAGGCTGGTCACAGTGGGGCAGGCCTTACTGGCAAAAGCTGTAATGGGTGATACAGGGAGCCTGGGATTGTCCTGCAGAATCATGTCACTCTATAAGGTTAAGTGACTTGCTAATGGCCATGTTGTGGAAGGCATGCCTGATGCCAAAGTTCAACCCCTTTCTTGATGATACAGTCTCTATGTTGATAGGTTTTTGGAAGAGAAATGAGCCCAATCAACCTCTCATGCACACCTTCTTACCCACTTTCATCTTACTGTCTTAGCCCCAAGCCTGAGGCTCATGCCATATGGTTACGGCCAGCCTGTGTGCAGATACCTTCTAGACTTTTCTCCCGCTTCTATTTGTTGCCTTGCAGATAACAGGAAATAATATAATTGGTCATAGCCCCTTCAGGTATAAATGATAATGATACATACCTACTTTATGACCTTACTCATTTTTCAGTCCCCCTCAATAAGACCAATAAACTATTTTGTTGTTCCTTGCAATTGAAAATGAAGTAACAAGTTCAGCAAGTGGTGTCAGCTGCATTTTGAAAGTTTCCACAGAGCATGAGTAATTAGGCAACTTAGCACAGTACTTCTGGCTGATGCGTTTTGTAGAACTTTTCTTCTACCTATTCAGGAATTCTTTGCTTGGGAAAAACTCAGACGGCATGCAGTTATGTGTTTTTATGTGGAGATAGCACATACTTGCAACTCTTTTGTCTTATAAAATTACTTGACACTATTTTTTCCCCTTTGTGGTGAACTGCTATAATCTGTCTTGGAAAGTACTTTTAAAATACCAAAGATGAAGTTCTGTTTCCTTCACAGATCATTGGGTGCTTTGCTTTAGCACCTTGCATAATGAATGTCTCATTGGCACACTGCTTAAGCATCATTTAATCACAAAACCTGAAGAAATTCCCTATTTGACTAGGAGTGACTCTTAAAACCATAGCAATATATACATGAAAATATAAATAAAAAAGAAGCACAAGGTCATGTAAGAATTAATGTGGGATACTTTCTCCACGAAATGACCTGGGCAAATCTAAACAAAGAGCTCCTTAATTAAATTAGCAGAAATGGCACATGATCTCGCTACACTGATTCTTCCCTCATCTCTAGTTTTAAACAAGATATTCCTCATGACCCTAAATAAATACACAATTGACCACTGGAATAGTCCTCAAATAGAGGAATACTGGAATAAACAGAAAACCCAAGTAATTTAAAACACTCGTAGTAACTAAATTTCCTACTAAATCCATGAGAGACTATCTATTTTCCATATGCATTTGCAGAATAAAAGCATTCTCTTTCACCTGTGTCTTTGATGAGAGAAGAAATTAGAAGTGCTATGGCAGGTGGAATGCTAGAGGAACAAGATCAGAGACCATGGTGACATTACAGCTGCAGCTACAGTACATAAACTTGCATATGTGAGAGTGAGGAAGATCTCAAACATGGAGAGCTCGGGACTTCTGCTTGACATAGTGAATTGGCCACACACATTTATCTCTCTCCCCTTCTAAAACCCTTCTCAAAATGAGAGTAAAGGAATTAATGGGGCATTAACCCACAGGAACCTAGATAACAGGAGAGGAGGCAATAGCTGAGAAGACACTTGAACAAACTTTGGAAGAAATTGAGTGGAGAAGTGGTAGTTAATTTAGCAGAGAAGTGCATATTTAAACTTATATAAAGTAACAGAAGGGGATACTAATGAGGAGTGATCCAGTTTGCTCCACAGACTCCCTTGAAATGTCCACCATTTAGATCCTCAGATCCCAAAATAGGTAGGGTAAAGAACAGGACAGGTATCCCAAGTGCCTTTCCTCAGCCATAGCAGCCATGTTAGTATCATTTTCCTACTCCATGGCAGTGACTGGAAATGGTTTATTCTCTGAAAAGTTTGAAACCAAGAGGCCTCAAGTTAAAGGATACTAAATGCAGAAGGTGGCATGGGAGAGATGGGACACTAAAAGGGAATATAAATGAACCTTTAAAATCTGAATTAAAGGACCTCAGCTCTTAGTATACCAGAGACCAGGTGTGTTTACTATTCAGGAGCTCAGAGAAACAAATTCAGTGGCTCCAAAGGAGAGACTTTAAGGTTCTAAAATCTGTGGGTATCCTAAAGAAAAGCCTGGCTTATAGTCTGATCACTTCAAGCTCAGCAGTCAACAAACCCTGTCAATGTACATAATAAGATCCCCCCTACCCCAGTAAACTTTCTTAAACCTCAGCCTTAAATGGAAATTGACAGACAAGGATTATCAGACATCTGAGAAGAGCATCCTCCATGAAATTATAAAAATAAATCAGAAATATACAGACAGAGGAAACAGAGACATAATCAGGATCAGAATAAAAGGTACCTGATGCAGGCTTATTCATACATACAATAAGTATTCTCATAGAGATAAAGTATTGTATCTGTGAAGTAAGAACTGGATGCTGTAAAAAAGAACAGTCAAGGAAAAAGAAAGACTTCTTTGGATTTAAATATATGCTACTTGAAAAAAAAAAGTTTCAATGGAATGGGAGAGAAAATTAAAGAAATTTCCCAGAAAAAAAGATAAAGGATAATAGGAGGACAAAATTAATAATATTAGAGAATCAATACAGAAAGCTAACATTCGGTTGATAGAAGTTGCAGAGAGAATAGAGAGACTGAAAGATAATGATCAAATAAACTAATAATTTTTTTAGAACTGAAGGAATGCACCTCCTTTGAAAAGATTATGAATGAAAACCTTACAGAAAGAGGTAACATTATTTTCAACTTGGAATTCTTTCAGCTTCTCTTTTCCTGGGAAAAAGACCCAGAAAAGCTCTTTTTCAAGCAAAAGAGTAAACATAAGACATTTTGTTCATGACTCAAATATTTGACTCTAGTAGAAACTCTTTAAAAAAAGCTATTAAAGGATATTCTTCAGTAAATGAGTTTATTCTTGAACGAGGAAAACATAAAAGAAAAGACCCAGCACTGGGAAAGAGCAACGGGAAGTCCCAATATGACAACTGGGTAATTTATTAACTCTTGTAAGAGAAAAAGTGAACCAAAAAACTAGACATAATTGTAGGATAGTACTTAGCTGTGGTGTAAACAATAGTCATAATAATGTAAACACTGATCATTCCTAAGCCAAATTTATCACAAACCATATTGAGAAGATGGGGAAGGAAAGTGTTGTGACTGAGTTAAGGGTTCAACCACAAGCATGTCAAAAGCTGATCAGTTAAAAAATAACATTATAAACATATCATTTGGAAATATAGGAACAAATAACAGAGGAAATAACTTAAATATATCCAATTTTTCTTTTGGAATTAAGCGTTTCAGAAAAAAACAGGAATTTCTCATCAAAGCGTTCTCTAATTTTACAAACAAAAATAACTATGTTCCATAAGCAAAAACTGGGAAAGACTGAAAAAATGTACATATAGTTTATTAGAGGTATAGATAGATGGATATTTCCTATTAATGATACCATTGTTTAGTATCACTTTCCATTTTCTCTTTTTTCTTTTACTGCTTCTTTTATCTTCTCTCTTCTTTTTTTCTTCTCTTTTTTCTTCTTCTTCACCTACAGTTCTTCCGCCTCCCCACACCCACAAGTCTTAAATTAAAAATCCCACTAAGTACTGAGCAAAAATTGTATTTCAGATTTATTTTTTAAAAACCCACTCATAATCACATCACTGTAACATTCCAGAGCTTTAAGCATAAATAGAAAATAATGAGTTACCAGAGAGGGGGTGGTAGAGGTAGGAGGAGACTACTTTTCTGAAGGTGTGCAAACTTGATTGGCATCAGACTTCCCATCAGCAACATTGGACACAAAAATAATATGAAAAAATCTGCGGGGAAGTAATTTTGAGCTAAAAATTTTATATGCATCACTCTATTATATAATGAGTAATAATAAAATACAGGCATTTCTAGGTATTGGAGGATCAGAAAAGTTTTTACACACACACCCTCTTTAAAAGAACTGTCATCTTAAGACACAAAAACACAAATCATTAGGGGAAAGCTTGTCAACAAATCTGACTCCATAAAAATAAAAAACATGATAAAAGTCACTAAAAATAAAGCTGGAAGAATATATTTGGGACATGTTTCGTGAATACACACATAATATCTAACATGTATGAAACACTTATAAAGTCAATATGAAATAGAAAATATACCAACAGAAAAATGAGCAACCAGAACAAATGAGCATTTCTTCCGAAGTAGAAAGGCTTATCGTGGCCTACAAACAGATAAGAAATTGTCAGAGCTTAATCTAATTGAGAGTCAGGGAAGCGCATAAGAAAAGATGGGATGCCATTTCTCACCCACCAGATTGGTGAAAGTTAGAATTTCTTATATCATGTAATTATGGGCATATAATGCAACAAGAACTTTCATATACAGCTGCTGGGAATTTGTATAGCCATTTTGGAAAGTAATTTGGCAGCATTTATGAAAATGAAAAACGTGCATGTCTTATGACCTCGGAGTTAACACTACCAGGTCTCCAACACAAACTGCTACCCATAAGCTCAGTAGAGATGTACATGGGTATTCATTACAGCATTGTTAGAAGTATGAAAGATAGTGACATGGTTAGATATTCTGTGATATATTCATACTTCAGTGTATTCAGCAAATACCATCATTTGGCTCTCTGAATCTTTTTTTGAGACAGAGTCTTGCTCTGTCACCCAGGCTGGAGTTCAATGGCACGATCTCAGCTCACTGCAACCTCTGCCTCCTGGGTTCAAGCGATTCTCCTTCCTCAGCCTCCTGAGTAGCTGAGATTACAGGCATGCACCACCACGGCTGGCTAATTTTTGTATTTTTAGTAGAGACAGGGTTTCACCATGTTGGTCAGGCTGGTCCTGACCTCGTGATCTGCCCGCCTCGGCCTCCCAAAGTGCTGGGATTACAGGCGTGAGCCACCACGCCTGGCCAGCTCTCTGAATCTTTACATTCAAGTGTCTATATATTATTATTTCAATTTCATCACATATTTCATGTTCAGACCATAATGAACATAATGAAATATTTATCATTTAGTGAACAGATCATATCTGAGAACACAGGGTTTGGGAATGGATTATACATACCATATGCCATATATTTTAATCTATAGTAGCTATGATCATGTTTTGGTGGTATACTGTGTTTGTCCTGCTGAAAATTTTATTCTGGACATCTCAAATAACACTTGGTTGCAATCCACTGCAATCTTAAGTGAATTCTGCATTGCTGAGCTTTAATTACTTCAAGAATAAGCTAAGTGTGGCCTGTGATAATACATTCTTTTCCAAAATCATCCATAAGTGTGGAATTTATAAGCATGGAATTTTTTCTGTTGCCTAAGTGGGAATGAGGTAACACTGTCTAACCATATCTGAGATTCAGCTAGAACTTGGTTATCTTCATGGAAAGAATGTCTCTGTGTTGCTTTATGGCTTTAAAACAGATATACTTTATTTTCTGAACTAATTATGATCTCATAGTGAAAAACTGAATGCATTTTACTTTATTCTTCTTTTCATTGTGTCACTAATAGTTCCTGGCATCATACTGAGCTTCTACTAGACGTTCAATAGCTACTTGCCAAATTACCCTGATAATGTGACAGAAAGAAGTTACTGGCCTGAGCTCTTGGCTGTTAACTTCAAGTAGAATGACACCTTCACAGGAAATGTGACACTGTGGGTCTTGATATTCTCTGGTCTTGATATTCTCCATTGTATCCTTGGAATTAGGCCAGCCACCTTGCCATAAGTCTGAAAAGGAGACTGACGCCAAGGATAGCAGAGCAGAGAGATGGAAAGAGCCTGGGTCCTTAGTACTATCATTGATCCAGCCCTCAGCCCATGCATTCTGTCCATATCCTATTATATGAGAAAATACTTTCCCATGAGGTTAAACTTTCTATTACTAGAGGCTGGAAGGATAACAACTGGTGAAAATGAAAAGAAAAAAACTGACTTGCAGTTATTAAATATGTTAAAAATTGAAAATCTTTTTTTTTCATAACACCCACATTTTCCTCTGAGTAAGTGGTAAGATCTGGGAAAACAAATAAAATAAACCTTAGAAATAGAAATGGTTGAATACTCTAGCTGAAAGGAAATAAAGACCAATTTGTCTAGCCCATTTCTTTAAATAGGGAATGTGGGGTGCAGAAAAATGTAAACCCTGCTCAGGGTCACTCAGCAAGTTTGGAGCATTTCAATATTAGATCTCAGGGCTGTGTTGGCCACTTCATACTGTCTCTCTACAGGGTTGTCAAAAAGAGTATTAAATGGAAAGAGGAGACTGAGACCTCAACAACATAGCTACCATTTCTGTGTGTTCATCAATGCCTGCTCACCTAAAACTTCACAGGATCCTTTAAAACTGCATCATTAACTTGAAGGGATGTATAAATAAAACTGAGACATTATTATTTTATGTTTCATTTTATAGGAATATGCAATGTCAACACTTCCAGTGTTGTTTATAAATAATTAATAATTACAGGCACATTAGGGAGTTGAGGATTTTTTAAGAGATAGATGTGTCTGGTTTGGTTTATATCCTTTCTGATTAATGCACAACCTATGATACTTGTTCATTTCATCCTGATTTAATTGTGAAATGTTATAGTCTTAATTTGGGGCCTACATTTTTATACCATACAGTTTCTTTGCTCATACCTCTTTGCCAACTTAATGTTTAATATCATTTGTATTCCCACACCTCTGAATATTAAGCCACAGAAAGGTTTTTTGGTAATATAACTTATAGCTTCCATCAGAAGTGCTGGTGGAAATAATATCCCAGATTAATGCGACATTGAAATCTCAGGGTGTTGCACATTAAAAGGATAAACAAAGCTGCAGGCACTCTGGTTTGCAGCCTAAATTACGGGTCAGGGAGTTGAGACTTTGGGTCTACACATGATGTTAAAAGAGTTTTCATCATACACAAATCTATGCACCCCTTGCCTCCTGGCTGTCCATTGGCCACTCCCACTGTGGTTCATTCTAGAAGCATTTATAGAACACCTACTTTATACCCAATGGGGGGCAAGATGTGGAAAGCATGTTGGCAGGGGTAAAAAGTAAAGTACGGGTGACCAAAGAGTAGCAGAAATATGACAAGGAATAACACAGTGACTCTGCCCATGAGGAATGTATAATCTAATGCGTGAACTAGCTAGTCAAGTAATTATGACACATTATGGTAAGTACTATAGTAATGGTTTGACCAAAGTACTATTGAATATAGAGGAGGGTACGGTTGCTTGAGGCTTTTCTGAGGATGTAACATATAAGCTGGATCTTTAAATATGAGCAGAATTCTGTGTGTGGATGAGAGAAGGAAGGATGGGAGTGTTTTGGGCCAGAAAAGATTATTCATAGTGGTAATCATGTTAAGAAAGTTATTGGTGAAGCATCTGTGAGAATGTAGTTCAGGAGGTCTAGGGTAGAGATGTGCATGGTGAGAAATTAAGCTGAAAAATCTAGATGATAAAAGACCAATGGAACAATTCAATGAATGTTCACTTATTCTATTCACAGCATGATTTATAGTTAAAGGCTTCTTTCTTCCTCTCCAGGCACGTTGGTCAACTCTGCTTATTGATCAGTTATTTGTTGGTCTGTTCATCGTAATCTGCTATGGCCAGACCATCCTGCATGTGCATGCAAATCAGTGGAACATGTTGGTTTTTCGTCGTATAGAAAGGGCAAAAGGCTACATTTCACTGCTAGGTAACTTCAAACTGAGCACTATTTAAGATTGTATCTATGTCAATATAAATAAGGTCAATGATAAACAATATCAGCAAGCAAACAGCAATAAAATAAGGTGAAATGGACTCTTATTGAACAATAAATGCATGTTTATCTGTGTCAGGTTCCTCTTTATTAATAAGTTAACAGCATAAAGACTTTTCCTTATCATGCATATGTTTCTCTGTATAACAAATTAATCTCCAAGATTCTTTTGGAGTCTCTGCTATTCTTGCCAAAGCTAGTCTTGCAGTAATTGTTGCTTGAGAAGAGAAGATTACCCATGAGTCTAGGTCTTAGTCATGTTAATTGTAGAGAAGGTGCTATCATTTTTCCTTGACATTATAATGGTTTAGGGATAGTTGACTCAGTTTCCTTTACAAATTAAACCTAGTGTTTAGGAAAAAGAGTCAAAGATAGTTTGTATATTTATGCCTACCTCATAACAAGAAGGATTCACATGTACTGATCCATGAAATGCTGAAAACAACACACTGAAGGGAAATCCCGAGTTCCTGAAATCCAGCAAGTTTAAGTCCCCATTGCACATACGTGTACCATGCACCGTGTGCTTTAAGGTCAGAGTGTGCGTAAAGTCATAGAAATAGAGACCTTGGCAATGCAAAATGACATTAGAGCTCATCTAGCCTAAGCCAGAAGACTGTGCTCCATCCTAGAAAGCCTTGTAGAGGAGTGGAAGGGTACAAAGCAGAGAATCAGAAGACCTGGGTTCTAGGCTCGATAATTTAATTTCTGCTATTAATAGATCTTGGGCGTGTCCCTTAACCTCTATTTGTCCTCACCGCACAGAGATATGTTGGGACACAAACTAGAAAATAGTTATGGACTCTCTGTGAGTAGTGAAAATGAATTATTATTACTATCATTATCACTGCTTATAGTAGGAACAGCATTATTGCTATGAGACTTTCTGATCATTTAAGTAGAACTAGACTATATTTTACCTCTCTACTCTCTGGAGAGAAAAGTTTGGCATGCCAAGTTTGAAATAAATGAGATTCAATAGCACATTTTTAATGTGCTAAAATATTTTCAAATGCTTTCCAATGCCATTTGCATATAAACAATTTGCTAATTACAGATAAATTATTCAGTTATTAAAATAGGCCCTACAGTAGATATATCTGGCAGTATTTTAGTGGTTGCTTTTTCTTATTTTACTTCAAAATAATTGATTTGTATTTCTTCAAAAGTATTTTATTGTGGACTTTTTTTTTTTTTGCCAATTCACTTGTCCTTACTTCATACTCCATTCCTCCCGAATATTCTGAATCAATAAATCTTTAATGAACTAGTTCATCTAATGCTTGAAACAACTTTTAACTCTAAAGCCTAAACTGTTGGTGCTGCCTGGGTCTCTGCCTGCAATGAGCTATTGCATTCAAGACACAAGGGCAATATTCTAACACAGTGACTGTTCAACTTCCAAGATGCATATTGGAAAAGTGTCCCAGTGAACTATACCTTATCCATTCTAATTCCAAGAAGCAATGATAGGCACATTGTGTAACACTGAATAATCCCCAAATCATTCATGTACGTCAGACTTCAGAGTATGGTGTTTGCATTTATATTTCATATGATAGTTATCCTATTCAATGAACAATTCATTTTCAGTGTTATAATGAATCCTCACCCTAACTCAAGGACATGGTGCAGAGAAAAGAACTTAGACTAAGTGGATTCTAATCCCATTTCTACTAACGACTAGATGTGTAACATTGAGCAAGCTGCCTCACCTCTCCGGACCTACTTGGCTGGTAGACATTAAGTTCAGGTTAAAAATTAGAATGTCTTAGAGTTCTTTTCTTATTTCTATTTCCTGTGCGATATCTCCCTGTCTACTCTTAATGAAAATAGTGTTTTATGTTCCTGACTAAAGTACCTTTTATTTTTTTCTTTTAACTTTTATTTTAGGTAAAGAGGTACATATGCCTTTTTATGCTCTCTCAAAACTTTTGGGCCTATGGGCCTGCTTTTCTCAGGAGCCCACAGCCAGATGCATGACTCCATGAAGCAGAAAGCGGAGGCAGAGCACGAGAGGTCCTGTCCCTGCAAGAGCATCTGGGCCAAGAGAAAAGATACAGGAAGAAGGAATGGAATTGGAAGGAAGAAGTCTCATTTCAGAAATAAAATAGCTCCCCTCCTCTGTTGTAGCTGTTCCTCTGGCAATACAAACTTTCTGATTTCAGGGTCTGCAGAATTCTAGAACTCGAGCACCCAATCAGGATAGGAAAAATACATCCTCCACTGGAGTCCAAGTTGGCAGCAGGCTGTTGTGAGAGCAAGAAGCCCAAATTATCTGGAAGTGAAACACACAGTCACAAGAATGAGTCCACAGCCGTCCCCAGCCCTAGGTCAGGACCTCTTCAAAACTGCCAGCATGTAGACAGCAGCAGCAGATAGGAGAGTGTGTTGGACTTAACTCTGGGACCTGGAAGTGCTCCCATCACACGAATGAATCCAGCATCAGGAGCACTGAGCCCTCTCCCCCAGTCTAATGGAATGGCAGCTCCACAAAGAATCCGGAGGTGACTGCACAGATGTGCTGCTACTGCTTTACCAAACTCCACTGTCAGCTCTATGGCTTTCCACAGCCACGACTTCCTAGATTCACCAATGACCCCTGTCTGCTCTTTGTGACATGGAAGACAGGGAGGGACAAGTGGCTTCATGGCTGCATTGGGACCTTCTCAGCCATGAATCTTTATTCAGGTCTCAGGGAATACGTTAGCCATTGCATTTAAGGACAGCTGATATCTCCTCCAATCTGAGAGGGGCTGCGTAAGCTTTTCTGCTCTGTCTCCCTCCATACTAACTTTGAGGATGCTAGTGATTACCTGGACTGGGAGATAGGGGTCCATGGGATTTAAACTGAATTCATTAAGGAAAAAGGCATCAAACGTACCGCCTCATTTTCACCTGAGTCCTTGCTCAGGAAAGGTAGCTTTAAGGATCCAATTACCAGTGAATTTGGAAAAATGGTCAAACTCACCAGTTACTAAAGTGAGAAGGTGACAATCAGTTTTGCAGAGTATATTGCTTATTGACAGCACTGTTTCCAGAACCATACTCTTCATGCCCCGCCCCCTACAATCATTACTCCTGACACATGGCTGCATGACCAGTCCCACTCCCCTGTGGGCACCAATGGCTGTGACATCACTGGAGCAGGTGCCTCCTCTTCCTGGTCCAGTTACTTCTATTACGGCACCATTTTCAGCTTCTGTTGCCAAGTCTGCCTCCCCTTAACTGAGGGGTGGTAGGTTACATTGAATGAAACAGAACTTGAGGGGCCCAAGCCTTATCTCAGCCTTCCCTTAGTATGAGGTTCTGGTGGACTGGGGCTCCTCCCTGACTAGTGGGAATTACTGTGTGGGTTCAGAAGAGCCTTGTCTGGTATTTGCCACATGGGTTTGGCCACACTCTGAAGCTGGAATTGATGATCCACGAGGGTTGAACACACACACACCCCTGCAGCTGCCCCAGATCAAGTAGGTGTATTCCCCTGGTAGTCTGGGCAATGGAGACCAACAAGAAACAGTTTTAGGTTGTTTCAAATTCCTGTTTTTAGACTTCCAGTTTATTGCATACCAAGAGTTGAATACAACCCTGATGATACATAAGTGGATGCCACATCAGGGTTGGATGAGGGGATTACAAGTTATTCAAGACTTCTGGATGGAGACCCCCATCAAGATCAGAAGCCTTTTGGATGGAGTTGCAGATCTCATTGCTTGGCAAGCCATGGATATTTTCATTTTCATCCCACTCTTAGTTGGGTTTTCTGGCACTCTTCCTGCACCGAGCCTCCTGATTACTGAATAGACATCAGTGGCATAGCCTGCTGAAGAATGGAATGAAGATACCCATGGGAAGGTGTGATGTCACCACTGCACACAGGTGTGAAAGGAGAGGCCTCCTCCCTACCACTTGTCTACCTTGCTCACCTACTGGTAGCAGTGCCTATAGTTGGACCTATGTTCTCAGAAACATAGATGGGCAAATAAGCAGTTGAGTTAGGCTTTAGGAGGACACATCATAGGAGAGTGAGCATGCAGGGTCTCTGAGCTGGTTTTCTTTTCAGGCAGACATCTTGAGGGACCAGTAAGCAGGGGAGTCCTTTTTTCTAGTTTGCCTGTAGAAGTAGGAAGACTGTTGATGTTTCAGTCCTTTCAGGACTTTACAACATAGCTGTGTAATTTCACAAGGCAGATCTTTAGCTTGCCTAACAGGTTTGGAATCTTCACCCCACCAGGGCAAATTTCCAAATAGCTTGTTTTAATCTAGGCAATTCCAACTTTCATGTGACGTATTTCCCCTTTTTATTGTTGCTGATTTCCATGTTTCTGTCAGCAAGTTTTCTTCTCGCCTTGCTTGTTCTTCACTTGTTTGGTGGCAAAGTTCGTAGAACTAGGGAACTTGGAAGATGCTTTGAAAACATTGTCACAAAGGCACTGCTAAATGATGCACAGAAGTGGCCAGTGGGAAGAAGTGATCCCAAGGACCTGACACTGGTTTTCAACAACATCTCAGAAAACTCGTCAAGTGGATTGGGTGCCACGCCAGTGAACACAATGTTTTGATTTAATTATTTTTAAAAGTTGATGTGGTGATGGTGTGGCTTCCCGAAATGGGCAGATATTCAAGTCAGAAGAGCTTTTGCATTTTCTCCTGCCAGGAATGGGGGAGAGGGAGCGGGGGCACATGTGAGAAAGAACACGTGTACTGTTCTAGGCATCGCCGTCAAGTTTCTGGAAGGGAACGGGCGAGGGTGTGTTGGTTTGCTTGGCACTGTCCTGTGCTGCTTGAGAGGACCTGGGATGTGCAAGGGAAATGTGATGACAGGGTGCACAGGCCACAGCCCCCTCACTGCTGTACTGGGTTCCCGCAGCCTGCCACGTTTCCCTTGACAATGTAAATGAAGATGGAAGGATTGTTTTTATGACTTCCTGCTGCTGAGAATAAATGTCTTGTTAAAAACAGATGGGGCAACAATTACTCTTAGGTGTCATGGATTGATGTCAGGGTGATCAGCTCTGGACTAAGCCACCCACCTCCAATTTGAAGAATTATATAGGTCTACACTCATTACTGTGCAAGTGTTCTAGGTCAAAAGTTGTGTTTAATTTCAAAGAATAAAGAAAGCAAAAAAATATTGCTAAACTTTCACCCTTGAGCATGCACGCTTAGTGATATTGGCCACGCAAGAATTTACAGTGCCATGCTCCTTAAGCTGATTTTTTTCTTGTAGAAATGTTGGGCCAGGTTCAGTGGCTCATGCCTGTAATCCCAGCACTTTGGGAGGCCAAGGCAGGCAGATCACCTGAGGTCAGGAGTTGGAGACCAGCCTGGCCAACATTGTGACACTCCCATCTCTACTAAAAATATAAAAAATTAGCCAGGCATGGTGACATGCGCCTGTAATCCCAGCTACTCGGGAGCCTGAAGCAGGAGAATCGCTTGAACCCAGGAGGCAAAGGTTGCAGTGAGCTGAGATCGCGCCACTGCACTCCAGTCTGGGAAACAGAGTGAGACTCTGTCTCAAAAAAAAAAAAAAAAAAAAAAAAAAAAAAGTTGCTCTATTTATCTTTCCCAATGTATAGATATTTTTTCTTTTATTTGTTTTCTTATTATACTTTAAGTTCTGGGATACATGTGCAGAACATGCAGGTTTGTTACATTGGTATACACATGCCATGGTGGTTTGCTGCACCCATCAACCCGTCATCTACATTTGGTATTTCTCCTAATGCTATCTTTCCCCTAGCCTCCAACCCCTGACAGGCCCTGGTGTGTGATGTTCTCCTGCCTGTGTCCATGTGTTCTCATTGTTGAACTCGCACTTATGAGTGAGAACATACAGTGTTTGGTTTTCTGTTCCTGTGTTAGTTTGCTGAGAATGATGGCTTCCAGCTTCATCCATGTCCCTGCAAAGGACATGAACTCATCCTTTATATGGCTGCATAGTATTCCATGGTGTATATGTGCCACATTTTCTTTATCCAGTCTATCCTTGATGTAGATTTAGGTTGGTTCCAAGTCTTTGCTGTTGTGAATAGTGCTGCAATAAACATATGTGTGCATGTGTCTTTATAGTAGAATGATTTATAATCCTTTGGATATATATATACCCAGTAATGGGATTGCTGGGTCAAATGGTATTTCTGGTTCCAGATTCTTGAGGAATCGCCTATCCATCTGACAAAGGGTTAATATACAGTATCTACAAGGAACTGAAACAAATTTACATGAAAATAAAACTCCATCAAAACATGGGCGAAGGACATGAACACACACTTCTCAAAAGAAGACATTTATGCAGCCAACAAACATGAAAAAAAGCTCATCGTCACTGGTCATTAGAGAAATGCAAATCAAAACCACAATGAGATACCATTTCACGCCAGTTAGAATGGCGATCATTAAAAAGTCAGGAAACAACAGATGCTGGAGAGGATGTGGAGAAATAAGAACGCTTTTACACTGTTGGTGGGAGAGTAAATTAGTTCAACCATTGTGGAAGACTGTATAGATCTTTTTAATTACATTTTATTGACCATGGAGTAGGATACCTAGTATTTAAGAAAATGAATAGAAGATTTAAAATGCCAAGTGGTGGTGAAAGAAATTCAGTGCCCAAGAATCGGGCTGGTTAAGTGCAGCACCACACCAAAGTGGACTCTGGTTTTTGGAGTGAAGAAGCCTTCCTCCCCGCACATTCCCTTATCCTCCCACACAAGTCCAGCAATGGAAATGCTTCAGTTCCTCTTTCCTTGTCAAGAGGACTCAGGAGTAAACCAAGGAAAACTATTTGGCTCCATGAGGAATGAGCACTGTCAGTATCCATCCTGAACAGGGCCTAGTCAGGAAGCAGTCTGGAAGTGTATGGTCAAGGTTGCCTCATAAAAATGTGTGGCTGGTGGGTCTCAGGAAAAATGCCAAGTTTGGGTCATCCACGTGGCAGTTTTCCATGTGGAGATGAAGCTCCGAGCTGAAGCTGAATTGCCTTCCACACACTTGACGAAGGCACTGATGAGGGTGCCCACTACCTGCAGTGTGAGTGGTGGGTTTAAAGAAAAGGGAATGTTTTCTGCCGTTTCCTTTGTCCTTGGGCTGCTGAAGCTGGAGAGTAGGTAGCCACTGTTTTCTTTTATTTACTTATTTATTTATTTATTTATTAGACAGGGTCTCACTCTGCCACCTAGGCTGTAGTGCAATGGTGTGATCTCAGCTCACTTCAACCTCTGCTTTCCGGGTCAAGCGGTTCTCCCACCTCAGCCTCCCAGGTAGCTGGGATTACAGGCACACACCACCATGCCTGGCTAATTTTTTTGTTTTTAGTAGAGATGGCGTTTCACTATGTTGGCCAGGCTGGTCTTGAATTCCTGACCTCAAGTCATGAGCCACCGGGCCCGGCCAGTAGCCACTGTTTTCAAGGAACTAGCCCAAATTCTCTGGCTTGGTTTGGAGTTTGTTTCATCCCTAGCTGTGAGTGCCTTTTGGTCTAGAAACTTGGCTTGTCTCATAATAACCCAGAGCTAGGACATTCTCTGTAATTATGAATTGTCCTTGTTTTACATTAAAAGAGTATGTCTTTGATCGCTAGAGTTTGCACAATTAAATTATTTCCACTGTGAGATTCTTAAATTTTTTGCTTCATCATATTAAAATAACTCATGTTAGAGGTCCTTTCAACATGAAAGCTTTGTAGGTGAGATAGTATATATATATTTTACTGTTTATAATAAAAATCATTAATACAAAATAAGTCCTGGGTTTTAATTTTAATATTTTGTACAAGATCTGTTTTCCATAATGTGTTGACAGCTACAATTTCACTAACTGTTGATGTTATTTTCTATAGGGATTCTGGAGCCTAGGGAGCTATGTGGTTTTTTCATTTTCACTTTTAATACCCTGAAGCAAGAGACTATATGACCTTCAGTGCAAAGACTTCAGACCAATTCTTTGTATTACACTTGGTTGCCTCTTAGCTATATAACTCCTGAGTGCAAATCAACAAACTCTTTAGTGAAGTATTGTAGAGAATAAATCATAATGGACTAAAAAAAAACTTTTTAGATCCTGTAGGACTGTGAAGCTGCCACACCAGTCCATGGATTGCCTACTTACACAAGAGAAAAATAAACTTCTGTTGTGTTAAAAAAAAAAAAAGTTTGTAGAATTGGTAGAATATTTGGCTTAGCCTTTCATTTAAACAAAAAAAGAAGTCAACAAGCCAATGCTAAGCGAGATATCATCAGGGCAAAAACATCAGTTAAGCTAATTCAAGAAATACCATTATTTTTTTCTACCCAGGAAGCCTAAGTTCTAGCCCTTTCTCTGCCATAGACAAATTAGGTGACCTTGAGTGAGTCACTGTTTGGGGTTGCCCTGATGGCATTTCTAGAGTGACAGAGGTCATGGACACTCACTGTGATCCCCTGTGAGTGCTACTGGTATGATATGGTATGATTCTATGCAAATGATCTGACATAAGGAAGTCATGTGCTGGATAATGAACAATATAATCTCTCTCCTAGATAATTGAATGCTGCTATCTTATATTTGAGTTGATAATTAATTTTCTCTGTTTAGAGATTTTTCACATTTTCTTCAACTTTTATTTACTATATAATACCTTAAGATTTAAACTAATCAGCAACTGGTATCCTTATATAAATATTTTTCTCCAAAATCCCTCTAAACTGCCTTCTAAGAGTCAATTTGACTGAGGAATATTTTTTTTCTTATTCATTAATGAATAAGCATCTTCCAGGACCCCATCCAGACATATATATATATATATATATATATATATATATATTTATGAAGAGTGTAATCCATACTCAGCTTTCAGTTTCACATAGCATATTAACATGAGCCTTTCCTAAAAGATTTCTGTATAACATTATCATTTTCACCTTCACTAAACAACTCTGTAATGGAAGCAGCTAAGTCACGTATGTTTGCTACTTTGGTCAACACTTTGTTTTTTTTTTTGCAAAATAGTTGTACCTTATAGATGAGTTCTCAGCAGTAAGCCCATTTAAAATTTTTTATGCCTCATGATCCTGACAACACATCAAGAGGAGCTGATTTAGGAAAACACAGATTGTTTGCTAATCCCTACCGTGAGTGACTTTCTTACTAATTATTTTTTGACTTTGAACCTTTTAAAAATTTTCTTTGAAGGTAATTATTGTGTGGAAAGATTTTTTTGATTAAGCAAATATTGACTTTAGAACCTCTCTTTAAATCATGTTCTTTTTTAAGGTGCATGACGAAAATAAATTACTTAAAATATTGTTTTCTATGTACTCATTTATGTAGATTTTGCTTTTTACTTACATAGAAGATTTTTCTTAGAATTCAGGCTTCTCATCTATTCCCTTATGTTTTAATAGATACATACAAACCCACAGAATGCTTTATTTATTTCAAGCCTTTAACATTTAAATAATCAGCCTTCCTAAAATGATTGAAAATTGGATCTCTGAGTTTTAATAATTTCATAAGAAGTAAGAAAAAAATAATGGAAGTTTTAGTTTTTATTGGTGATAGAATCAAATTTACCTGTAGAATAAAATGAGATAGAATGGTTTAATAGAGGGGCTTTATCAAATTACTTTAAACAGAAAAGTTAAAAGAACTTGCTTAATTTCTATTTCATACATGCTTTTTTGATTAGTTGATAACAGGGAAAATTACAAGTTTCAAACCATACTAGTATACCATTTGAAAAAGGAATAAATTCAAGCCCATTTTTCTCTTTGTGTGCCAAATAGATTGCAGAACAGTCATTTCATGCAACAACTACTATTTTTTTTTTTTTTTGAGACGGAGTCTCACTCTGTCTCCCAGGCTGGAGTGCAGTGGCATGATCTTGGCTCACTGCAACCTCTGCCTCCCGGGTTTAAGCGATTCTCCTGCCTCAGCCTGCAGAGTAGCTGAGACTACAGGTGTATGTCACCATGCCTGGCTAATTTTTTGTATTTTTTTTAGTAGAGACAGGGTTTCGCCATGTTAGCCAGGTTGGTCTCGATCTCCTGACCTCATGATCTGCCTGCCTCGGCCTCCCAAAGCTCTGGGATTACAGGTATGAGCCACCGCGCCTGGCCAACAACTACTTTTTGAGTCCGTTTTTGGATGATCAGCACTGCCGGAAGAAGTAGCACCAGACAGCTTTTGTCCTCAGGAAGCTGAGACAGTAGTCTTGGTGAGATAAGTACCCAACAACACCTACAGAATGTATGCATGTTAGCTTTCAAAAAGCAAAACAAGGTAATGAACAATGTTGATACAAAAGCAATTTTAGAAAGTAAGTCAAAATAATCTGGATTGAGAAAGAGGAAATATGGATTCATGTACTCATGGCTACTGGAGGTGTAGGAAGAAAGACCAAGCCAAGGGGAGCAGGGAAAAAAAGGAGCATGTTGAGGATATAGACTTCACTGAGAGTTTGTACTGAAGTGGGGAACAGGAAAGTTCTGGAGATCTCCAGTGCTGGCTGGGAAGGCATTTGAGTGGAATCCAATTCTAGTCATAATACCAGATTCCAGCCAAGACACCTAAGCAAGTGAGGACTTGTACAATCTGTCTAAAGAGAACATTTTCTATTCAACTCCAGCTGTTGCAGCCATGAGCAAATGCAGATCTGGTGTCTAGATCTTCAGATTTTTCAAGGCATCCAGACACAAAGATTTTAAAGAAAATGCTCTTCATTTTAAACATTGACTCCTTTTTAAAAACCACTGCAGGAGCCAAATTAAAGATGTCTGCTGTCATGATACAGCCTAAGAAGGACAGGTTTGCAATTCTGCACAATCTTGAGAACCACCAGAAGATTTAAACGTGAGAATGACATAATGCTAACAGGGAATTAGAGAGAGGATCTTGGTAATCATGTGAGAAATTAGCAGGAATCAGATCTACACAAAAGTGGATCTGTGGAAACTAGATCTGAGGGTCTAATTTAAAAGAAATTTCCAAAGAAGTGACAGAATTTGCAAAGTTTATTAGTTCACATATGAAAATAAAATTCATGGAAAGAAGCCTATCCCAAGATCTTGTACTTGAGATTCCAGGATGATGGGGACAGAAAATGGAAAGTTGAGGACTTACGGGACAATGAGAACCATTTCTTAAATATGTTCCAGTTTTCATGGAGATACTGGAGGGATATCCTGAAGCAAGTTGGAGATTTTGAACTAATGAGTAGGAGATGTAAATTTCAGAATTGATTAGGTACTTATCTGATCTCCTGTATAAATAATATATATTTGTACATATTTCCTCTCCTACATATAGAAATCATTTATCTTTCATTTTTGAACTTGGGCAATGTAGCAGATCGGCTCATTTTCCAAATATGTTCCATCCTCTATTTACATATGCATATATTTGTCCATTCATGCATGCATAGTGTTGCCAGATTTTGTAGATAAAATGCAGGAAGCCCAGTTAAATTTTGATTTTAGATAAACTACAAATAATTTTTTTGTATAAGTATGTTCCAAATACTGCATGGGATATTTTATACCAAAAATTATTCGTTGTTCATCTGAAATCAAAATTTAACTAGGATTCTATGTTTTATCTGGCCACTCCATGCATGAACGCTTCCAGGTCATCATCCTATTTCTCTAGAACCCCAGCCATAGTCTTCTTACTTGCCCCTTTGTTTTCACCTTTGCCCCTCTAACTGCCATTTTGCATCCAACAGGCAGGGTGATTTTTAAAACTCTATTTATGTCATTTCCTTGCTTAAAACGTTTTAATGGCTTCAATTTCTTTTTCTTTTCTTTTTTTTTTTTTTTTTTTTTTTTTTTGAGACGGAGTCTTGCTCTGTCACCCAGGCTGGTGTGCAATGGTGCCATCTCGGCTCACTGCAACCTCCACCTCCCAAGTTCGAGCAATTCTCCTGCTTCAGCCTCCTGAATAGCTGAGATTACGGGTGCGTGCCACCACACCTGACTAGCTTTTGTATTTTTAGTAGAGGCAGGGTTTCACCATGTTGATCAGGCTGGACTCAAGCTCCTGACCTCATGATCCGCCCACCTCGACCTCCCAAAGTGCCGCGATTACAGATGTGAGCACCCGCCCAATGGCTTCACTTTCTACTAAGAATAAAATTCCAACATCTTACCATGACTTTGATCATCTAGTCCATGCGTTCTGCCCAACCTCATTTTGAATGTGCTTTTCTCCACCATACTGGTTAAGTTTAGCTCCTTTACCCTTCTTAATTTTTTTCAAACCATTCTAACTGGTTTGTACCCTAGGCCTTTTGAACTTGCTGTGCTCTTTGCTTAGAATGCTGTTTCTCCAAGATTTTGTTCATACGGCTCTTTATCATCAGTCAAGTCTTAACTCCAATGAGACCTCCTTAGAGAGGCCTCCCCTGATCACTCTTATCTAAAGATGAGTTTCTCAACCTCTACGCTATTGAGATTTTGGATTGTCTAATTCTTTGTGGTTGGCTGTCCTGTGCATTGTAAGATGCTTAGCATCCCTAGCCTCTGTGAACTAGCTGCCTTATTAGTGACAATTAAAAATGTCTTTAGGTATCACCAAATGGCTTCAGGGACAAAATAATCCCTGGTTGAGAATCGCTAAAGCAAACAGCCCCCTTCCATTTTATTTCTCTTACACTATCATATTTACCTAAGTTCACAGCACTTATGACTATCTGCATTCATTCTATTTGAGTTTGTTACTTGTTCAACATCTTTTTGTTTGTTTTTTGTTTTTTGAGACAGAGTTTCGCTCTTATTGCCCAGGCTGGAGTGCAGTGACACAATCTCGATCTCAGCTCACTGCAGCCTTCGCCTCCTGAGTTCAAGAGATTCTCCTGCCTCACCCTCCCAAGTAGCTGGGATTACAGTCATGTGCCACCACCCCCAGCTAATTTTTGTATTTTTAGTAGAGATGGGGTTGCACCATGTTGGCCAGACTGGTCTTGAACTCCTGATCTCAAGTGATCTGCCCACCTCAGCCTCCCAAAGTGCTGAGATTACAGGTATGAGCCACCACACCTAGCCTCAACATCTCTTTTTCTCCCTCACTAGAAGTGAAACTTAATATGTAGAAGATTTGGTCTGTTTTCTTCACCAGTCTATCCCAATTTTCTAGGACCATGCCTGGCACATAGAGGTGCTCAATAAACATTTATTGAATGCATGCCAAATAACCTAATATTGACAAGCTAACATGTCCCAGGTACTGTTAGGCTTAAGTGGCATAACAATGAATAAGACATTATCCCTGGTCTTTTGTCTTTGGTATCTTATACAGAAGAGCAGCCTTGAGCTCCTGGAGAAATGTAATAAAAATTTCAGGCCCTACAGGCTACTGAAACCTTTTATAAGGTCCAGGGAAGCTAACCATGATACAGTGCATGGGACAGTCCCATACAACAAAGAATTTTTCTGCCCCAATTAGAACATTGTCCCTGAGAGAAACACTGGCTGAGCCATTGAGGGTTCACTTGCAGAGTTGGGAATACCACCACTGGGCACAGACCATATGGAGGGGAATTGGGGAAGGGAATTTCACAAATGAAATTTAGGGTACTCTTAGCAGAGAACAGTCAGATACTTGGAAAAAACAATGCATGTCTTTTACAGTGGGGTAACTGTATCAATGGGAAGTTACTGAGGACTTTCTTTGAATATGGAGCTTAAATGGTTGCATGGAAAAATATTTATTTAGACCATATTTGTTGTACTATATTACTAATTAATGTATTAATTGTGATTCAATATAATTGCTATTAATAATAACATAAATTTCTGGACTATACTTGGCACTATTATAGAGGACTTTTTTCTTCCTTTTTATAGGGTTTAGTTATGTTTTAATGTAAACTTAAAAAAAAGTAAAAGTCTGTCATACCTGCTACGAAGTTCACAAATCATAAGTATGCAATTCAATACATTTTTTTAAATTTTTAATTGACAGAAAAATTATATGCATTTACTGAGCAAAATATGATATTTTTGGGTATATACACATTGTAAAATGACTAAGTAGCTAATTAACATATCCATTATCTTACATAGCTATTAGTTTATATCCACTCTTCTAGTATTTTTCAATAATACAATATATAATTAACTGTAGTCACCATGCTATATAGTAGATCTCTTGAAGTTATTCCTCCTAACTCACTGAAATTTTATATCCTTTTACCAGCATCTCTCCTCCTTCCCTAACCTCCCCAGCCCCTGGTAAACACCATTCCCTGCTCTCTAGTTCTGTGAGATCAACATTTTTGGTTCCACATGTAAGTGAGATCGTGCAGTATTTGTATTTCTGTGCTTGGCTTATTTTACTTAATGTCCTCCAAATTCATCCATGCTATAGCAAATGGCAAGGTTTCCATATATTTTATGGTTGACTAGTGTTCCACTGTGTATATATACCACATTTTCTTTGTCCATTTGTCCACTGATGGACACTTAATTGACTCCATATTGTGACTTTTGTGAGTAATGCTGCAATAAATATGTATACTGATTTAATTCTCTTTGGATATATACCTACAAAGTAGTGGGATTCCTGAATCATATGGTAATTCCATTAAGTTTTTTTCATAATGGATGTATTAATTACATTCCCATCAAAAGTATATAAGGGTTTATTTTTTCCCACATCCTTGCTACTACTTTTGTCTTGCTAGTTTCTTTTGTCTTTTTGATAACAGTCATTATCTTGTTAGGACTTTTGCTAGTATTATTATCTTGATAGTACTTTTGTCTTGCTAGTATCTTTTGTCATTTTGATAATATAATACTCATTCTAACTGGAGTAAAAAGATATCTTATTATGGCTTTGATTTAAATTTCCCTGATTAGTGACATTCAGCATATTTAATATGGTTCTTGGGTATTTCAATGTCTTTTTTTTTTTAAGATGATGTCTAGCTCTGTCGTCCAGGCTGAAGTGCAGTAGTGCAATCTCAGCTCACTGCAACCTGCACCTCCCAGGTTCAAGTGATTCTCCTGCTTCAGCCTCCCGAGTAGCTGGGACTACAGGCATGCACCACCGTGCCTGGCTAATTTTTGTATTTTTAGTAGAGACAGGTTTTCACCATGTTGGCCAGGCTGGTCTCAAACTCTTGACCTCAGATGATCTGCCCGCCTCAGCCTCCCAAAGTGCTATGATTACAGGCATTAGCCACCATACCTGGCCTTGAATGTCTTCTTTTGATATATGTCTATTTAGATCCTTTGCCCATTTTTTAAGCAGATTGTTTTCTTATTATTCAGTTGTTTGGGTTCCTTATACATTTTGGATACTAATCCCTTGTCAGATGTATGGTTTGCAAATACTTTCTCCCCTTCTGTGTCCTGTCTCTTCACTTGATTGTTTTCTTTGCTGTGCAGAAGATTTTTAGTTTGGTGTAATCCCATTGATCTATTCTTGCTTTTGTTGTCTGTGCTTTTGGGGTCATATTTAAAAAGTCATTGCCCAGACCAGTGTCATAGAACTTTTCTCCTAATATTCTTCTAATAGTTTCATGTCTTCCAATGAAGTCTTCAATCCATTTTGAGTTGATCTTTATATATAGTATGCGATAAGGGTCTAATATCATTTTTCTATATGTAGTTGTTTTTTATTTCAGCAGCATTTATTAAGGAGACTTTCCTTTTCCCATTGTGTGTTCTTAGAACCTTTGTTGAAAGTCAGTCAACTGTAAATGTAAGGATTTATTCCTGGGTTCTCTCTTCTGTTCCATTGGTCTGTGTCTGTTTTTATGCCAATACCATGCCGTTTTTGTTCTTGTAGCTTTGTAGTATATTTTCAAGTCAGGTATTAAGATGCCTCCAGCTTTATTTATTTATTTTTTTTGCTCAACATTTCTTTGGTTATTCAGGTTTTTTTGTAGGTTCCACATAAATTTTAGGATTTTTTTTTTCTATTTTTGTGAAGAATGGCATTGATATTTTGATAGGGATTGCATTGAATTTGTAATTGTTTTGGGGAGTGTTTTAGTCCATTTTGTATTGCTCCAACAGAATACCAGAGACTGAGTAATTTACAAAGAAAATAGGTTTCTTTACCTCATGCTTCTGCAGACAGGGAAGTTCAAGGTTGGGCAACTGCATGTAGCAAAGGCTTCAAACTGCATCATTACAAGATGGATGGCATCACGTGGCAGGAGCATATGCAAGAGCAACTGGAAGCATGCCAAGATGAGACCAAATCCAACAGGTGGCTTCACTTTATAACCACTTACTCTTGTGATAATTTATCTAGTCTTGCAAGAGTGATAACTCATAGTTTCCTGAGAGATGGCATTACTCCCTTAATGAGGGTGGATCCCTAATGATGCAAAGGCCTATTAAGGTCCCACTTCCTCTCAGTACTGTTACAGTGGGAACCAAGCTTCAATATGTATTTTGGTGGGGACAAATTATGTTTAAACAATAGCAAGTTGTATGGACAATGTAACAATATTAATTTTTCTAAGCTATGAACACAGGATATCGTTTCATTTGTTTGTACTATCTTCAATTTCTTTCATCAATGTTTTACAGTTTTCAGTATGGAGATATTTTACCTGCTTGGTTAAATTTATTTCTAATTGTTTTATGTTTTGATGCTATTTTGAATGGGATTATTTTCTTGATTTCTTTTTTAGATAGTTTGCTCTTAGTCAATAGAAAATGTTTATTTTTGTTTGCTGATTTTATATGCTACTACCTTACTGAATTTGCTTATTATTTCTAACAGTTTTTATGTGTATTGTGTGTGTGTAGAGTCTGCAAACAGGGACAATTTACCTTTTTTTTTTTTCCACTTTAGACACCTTTTTTTTTCTTGCTTAACTACTCTAGCTAGCTAGAATGTCCAATACTATGTTGAATGGAGTGAAGAGAGTGAGCATCCTTGTCTTGCTCTGAATCTTTGAGTAAAAGCTTTCAAAGTGTTCCTATTGAGTATAATGTTAGCTTTGGGTTTGTCATCTATGGCCTATATTGTGTTGAGGTACATTTTTTCCATACCTAATCTGTTGAGAATTTGTGTCATGAAAGCATATTGAATTTTGTCAAATGCTTTTTCTGCATCTGTTGAAATGATTATATGGTTTTTGCCCTACATTCTGTCAATGTGATGTGCCACATTTGCTGATTTACATAAGTTGAATCATCCTTGCATCCCTGGGATAAATTTCATTTGATCATGGTGAATGATCTTTTGTAATAATGCTGTTGAATTCAGTTGGCTAGTATTTTGTTGATAATTCTTGCATCTATATTCATCAAGTGTATTGGTCTGAATTTTTATTTTTGTAGTATGTTTGTGTTTAGTATCAGGGTGATGCTAGCCTTGTAATTTTTTTTTAAAGTGTTTCCTCTAGGCCAGGCATGGTGGCTCATGCCTGTAATTCTGGCACTTTGGGAAGCCGAGGCAAGTGGATTGCTTGATCCCAGGAATTCGAGACCAGCCTGGCCAACATAGCAAAACCCTGTCTCTACTAAAAGTACAAAAAATTAGCCATGCATGGTGGCACATGCCTGTATTCCCAGCTACTCCAGAGGCTGAGGCAGGAGAATCACTTGAATCTGGGAGGCGGAGGTTGCAGTGAGCCAAGATAGCACCACTGCACTCCAGCCTGGACAATAGAATGAGACTCCATCTCAAGAGAAAAAAAAAAAAAAAAAAAGCTTTTCCTTCTCTTAAATTTTTGGAGGAGTTTGAAAAGAATTGTTTTTAGTTCTTCATTAAATGTTTGATAAAAGTCAGCAGTAAAGCCACCAGGTCCTGGGCTTTTTGTTGATTAGAGATTTTTTATTACTGATTCAATCTCCTTATTCATTTTTGATCTGTTTAAATTTTCTATTTCTTCATAATTCAGTCTGAGTAGGTTGTAAGCATCAAGGAAATTATGCATTTCTTTTAGGTTATCTAATTTTTTATGTATAATTGTTCATAAAAGTCTCTTATGATCCTTTCTATTTCTGTTGTGTCAGTAATGTCTCCTTTTTAATTTCCAATTTATTTGGGTTTTCTTTCTGTTGTCTTATTACAGCTAAACTTTTTATCTGTTTTGTTTATCTTTTCAAAAAAACACATTTTAGTTTTGTTAGTCTTTTATATTGTTTTTCTTGACTCTGTTTTATTTATTTCTGTTTGGGTCTTTATTATTTTCTTCCTTCTTATAACCTCTGGCTTACTTTTGCATTTTTGCCTAATTTCTTGCAGCCTTAGATTATTTTAGATCTTTCTGTTTTTTGATATGGGTGTGTATTGCTATAAACATCCCTCATAGAATTGCTTTTTCTGTATTTTGTATTTCTGTATTTAATTTATATAGTTAAATTACTTTGGACTATAGTCACCCTGTTGTGTTAGCCAATACTAGGTCTTATTCATTCTTTCTGTATATTTTTTTACCCATTAACTATCCCCACTTTCCCTCCCACCAAACCCTTTCTAGCTTCTGGAAACAATGCTTCTGCTCTCTGTCTACATGAGATCAATTATTTTAATTTTTATCTCCCACATATAAGTTATAAGATGTGAAGTTTGTCTTTCTGTGCCTAGCTTATTTTCACTTAACATAATAATCTCCAGTTCCATCTATGTTGTTGTAGATCACAGGATCTCATTTTTTATGGCTAAATAATACTCCTTTGTGTATGTGTACTGTGTTTTCTTTACTCATTCATCTGTTGATGGACACTTGGGTTGCTTCCACATCTTGGCTAATGTGAATAGAATAGTGCTACAATAAACATGAGTGCAAATATCTCTTTGATGTACTGATTTCCTTTCTTTTGGGTTTATACCTAGTAGTGGGAAAGGTGGATAGTATAGTAGCTCTATTTTTAGTTTTTTGAGGAACCTCCAAACTGTTTTCCATACTGGTTGTACTAATTTACATTCCCACCAACAGTGTATGAGGATTCCCTTTTCTCTGTATTCTCACCTACATTTGTTATTGCCTGACTTTTGGATGAAAGCACTTTTAACTAGGAGGGAGATGACATTTCATTGTAGTTTTGATTTGCGTTTCTCTGATAATCAGTGACATTTGGCATATTTTCATATTTTTTTTTCCATTTGTATGTCTTCTTTTGGGAATTGTCTATTCAGATCTTTTGCCCATTTTTAAATTGGATTATTAGATTTTTTTTCTTGTAGAGTTGTTTGAGCTCCTTTTATATTCTAGTTATTAATCCATTATTAGATGGGTATTCTGCAGATATTTTCTCCCATTCTTTGGGTTGTCTCTTCACTTCATTGATTGTTATCTTTGCTGTGCATAAGCATTTTAACTTGATGTGATTCCATTTGTCCATTTTTGCTTTGGTTGCCTATACTTGTGGGGTATTACTCAAGAAATCTTTACCTAGTCCAATGCCCTGGAGAGTTTCTCCAATGTTTTCTTTTAGCAGTTTCATAGTTTGAAGTCTCATATTTAAGTCTTGAATCCATTTTGATTTTATTTTTGTATATGGCAAGAGAAAGGGGCCTAGTTTCATTCTTCTGCATTGGATATCCAGTTTATCAAGTACCATTTATTGAAGAGACTGTCTTTTCTCCAGTGTATGTTCTTGGTATCTTTGTCAAAAATGAGTTTGCTGTAGGTGTATAAATTTGTTTCTGTGTTCTCTGTTTTGTCCCTTTGGTCTAGATGTCTGTTTTTTTTTTTTGCCAGTACCATGCCCTTTTAGTTACTATAGCTCTGTAGTATAATTTGAAGACAGGTAAGGTGACTCTTCTAGTTTTGGTCTTTTTGCTCAGCATAGCTTTGACTATTCTGAGTCTTTTGTGGTTCCACATAAATTTTAGGACTTTTTTTCTATTTCTGTGAAGAACATCACTGGTATTTTTATAGGAATTTCACTGAATCTGTAGAATGATTTGGGTAGCATGGATATTTTAACAATATTTAGTGTTCTTCCAATCTATGAACATGGAATATATTTCCATTTTTGGAGTCCTCTTCAATTTTTTTATCAGTGTTTTATAGTTTTCATTGAAGAAATCTTTCACTTCTTTGGTTAAGTTAATTTCTAGGTATTTAAGTTTATGTGCAGCTATTCTAAATGGGATTACTTTTTAATTTCTTTTTCAGATTGTTCACTGTTAGCATATCAAAATGATACTAATTATATTATATGTTGATTTTGTATCCTGCAACTTTACTGAATTTGTTTATCAATTCTATCAGTTTTTTAGTTAAATCTTTAGGGTTTTCCAAATATAGGATCATTTCATCTGCACACAAGGACAATTTGACTTCTTTCTTTCCAAACTGGATGCCCTTTATATCTTTCTCTTGTCCGATTGCTCTAGCTAGGACTTCCAATACCATATGTAATAATGGTAGAAAAGGGGGCGTCCTTGTTGTGTTCCTGATCTCAGAAAAAAGGCTTTTAGTTTTCCCCCATTCAGTATGATGCCAGCTATGGGTCTGTCATGTAAGGTTTTTATTATGTTGAGGTATGTTCCTTCTATACCCAGTTTTTTTTTTAGGGTTTTTATTTGAAGGAATATTGAAATTTACCAAATACATTTTTAGCATCAGTTGAAATCATCAAATGGTTTTGTACTTCATTTTGTTGGTATGAGGTATCTCATTAACTGATGTGCAAATGTTGCAGCATCTTTGCATCCCTGAGATAAATCCCATTTCATCATGATGAATGGTCTTTTTAATGTGTTGTTGAATTTGGTTTGCTAGCATTTTGTTGAGAATTTTTTGCATCCATATTCATCAAGGATAATGGCCTATAGTTTTCTTTCTTTAATATGTCTTTGACTTTGGTATAAAGGTAATACTATGTCATAACCCATTATTTTAAGCTGATAACAACTAAACGCTGTTTGCATAAACAAATAAACAAACAAGCAAAAAAAGCTAACAAAATCTCTATACCTTAACTTCATCCCTTCTCTTGCTTTTTAACTTTGTGTTATTTCTATTTATATTACTATCTTATTGTACTATGTCTGTCTTTAAAAAGTTGTTGTAGTTATTTTTGATTGGTTCATTGTTTAGTCTTTCTACTTAAGAAAAGGATAGTTTACACACCACAATTACAGTGTTATGATATTCTGTGTTTTTCTGTGTACTTACTATTACCAGTGAGTTTTGTAATTTCAGATGATTTCTTTTGGCTCATTAACATCCTTTACTTTAAGACTAAAATACTCCCTTTAGCATTTCTTGTAGTACAAGTCTGGTGTTGACTAAATTCCTCAGCATTTTATTTATTTATTTATTTATTTGATCTGGGAAAGTATTTCTCCTTCATGTTTGGAGGATAATTTCACTGGATATACTATTTTAGGGTACAATATTTTTTTTCCCTTAAGCTCTTTAAAAATGTCACGCCACTCTTTCCTGGCCTGTAAGAGTTGCACTAAAAAGTCTGCTTCTAGATATATTGGAGCTCCATTGTATGTTATTTGTCAATTTTCTCTTGCTGCCTTTAGGACCCTTTCTCTATCCTTGACCTTTGAGAGTGTGATTATTAAATGCTTTAAGGTAGTCTTCTTTGGGTTAAATCTTCCTGGTGTTCTATAATCTTCTTGTACTTGGATATTGATATATTTCTCTAGGGTTGGGAAGTTCTCTGTTATTATTCCTTTAAGTAAACTTTTTACCCCTACTTCTTTCTCTACCTCCTCTTTAAGGCCAATAACTCTTAGATTTGCCCTTTTTAGGACATTTTCTAAATTTTGTAAGTATGCTTCATTGTTTTTATTCTTTTTTCTTTTTTGTCTCCTCTGACTGTGTATTTTCTTTCTTTCTTTTTTTTTTTTTTTTTTTTTTTTTTTGAGATGGAGTCTTGCTCTGTCACCCAGGCTGGAGTGCAGTGGTGTGATCTTGGTTCACTGCAACCTCTGCCTCCTGGGATCAAGTGATTCTCCTGCCTCAGCCTCCCGAGTACCTGGGATTACAGGCGCACACCACCACGCCCAGCTAATTTTTTTTTTGTTTTTCGTATTTTTAGTAGAGATGGGGTGTTTCCCTGTTGGCCAGGCTGGTCTTGAATTACTGACCTCAAGTGATCCACCCACCTTTGTCTCCCAAAGTGCTGGGATTACAGGCGTGAGCTACCGTGCCCAGCCAACTGTGTATTTTCAAATAGCATGTTTTCAAGCTCACTAATTCTTTCTTCTGCTTGATTAATTCTACTACTAAAAGACTCTGATGCATTCTTCAGTATGCCCACTTCATTTTTCAGCTCCAGAATTTCTGCTTGATTCTTTTTACTTATTTCAATCATTTGTTAAATTTATCTGATAAAATTATGAATTTCTTCTCTGATTTATTTTGAATTTTTTTGCATTTTGAGGTGCATATATATTTATAATATCCTCTTGCTGAATTGACTCCTTTATCAGTATGTAATGAAATTCTTTGTCTCTTTTTGCAGACTTAAATTCTATTTTATCTGATATAAGCATAGCTATTCCAGTCCTCATTTGGCTTCCATTTGCATGGAATATCTTTTTCCATCCTTTCACCTTTAGTCTATGCATGTGCATACTTACTAGTGAAGTGAGTATCTTGTAGGCAGTTTATAATTGGGTCTTTTTTTTTTTTGAGGTGGAATTTCGCTCTTGTTTCCCAGGCTGGAGTGCAATGGCGCGATCTCAGCTCACCGCGATCTCAGCTCACCACAACCTCCGCCTCCTGGGTTCAAGCAATTCTCCTGCCTCAGCCTCCTGAGTAGCTAGGATTACAGGCATGTGCCACCATGCCAGGCTAATTTTGTATTTTTAGTAGAGACAGGGTTTCTTCATGTTGGCCAGGTTGGTCTCCTACTCCCAACTTCAGGTGATATGCCGGCTTGGCCTCCCAAAGTGCTGGGATTATGGGTATGAGCCACCGCACCTGGCCAGGGTCTTTTTTTTTTAGAGAATATAATATATTAACATTCAAGTGAGCATTCATATGTGAGGACTTACTACTGCCATTTCATTCATCGTTTTCTAGTTGTTTTGTAGATCTTCTTTTCTTTCTCTCTTGCTGTCTTCCTTTGTGACTAGGTGATTTTCTCTAGTGGTACAGTTTGATAACTTGCTTTTTATTTTATGTGTATCTACTATAGACCTTTGCTATATCATTACCATGAGACTTAGAAAATATATCTTGTAGCTATAAAAGATTATTCTAAACTGATGAGAACTTCGATCACACTCTGACACACACACGTGTACACACACATAAGATATGCTTTTACACCACTCCCTTTTCCCACATTTTGAATTTTTAATGTCACGATTTATATTGTTTTGTATTTTATATCCTTTAGTAAATTATTAGAGCTATTTTTATTTTTAATAGTTTTGTCTTTTAACCTTTGTACTAAAGGTATAGTGATTTACACACCACCATTATAATATTAGAGTATTCCAAATTTCATTGTGTTCTTACTTTTACCAGTAAGTTTTATACTTTCAGGTATTTTTGCATTACTCATTATCATTTTTTTCTTTCAATTTTAAGATGGCATTTCTTTTAAGATGTTTATGGTACTGATGAACTTCGCTAGTATTTGCTTGCTTGGGAAAATCTTTATTTCTGATTCCATTCTGAAGGAGAGCCTTATGGCTACAGAATATTTGGTTGGTAGCTTTTCTTTTTTCTCTTTAGAACTTTGTTGTTTTTGTTTTTGTTTTGTGTTGTTTTTGAGACAAGGCCTCACTCTGTCACCCAGGCTGGAGTGCAGTGGCACAATCATACCTCACTGCAGCATCAACCTCATGCGCTCAAGTGATCCACCAGCCGCAGCCTCCTGAGTGGCTGAAACTACAGGCGTGCACCACCGTGCCTGGCTAATTTTTCAAATATTTTGTAGAGATGGAGTCTTGCTATGTTGCCAAGGCTGGTCTCAAACTCCTGGCCTCAAGTAATACTCCTGTCTTGGCCTTGCTAAGTGCTAGGATCCTTCAGAACTTTGAATTTATCATCCCATTTCTCATGACCTGTAAGATTTCTCCTGAGAAATTTGCTGCTAGGTGTATTAGATGTATTAGAACTCTTTTATATGTTATTTTTTTTTCTCTTGCTGCTTTCAGGATTTTTTTTCTCTCTCTCTCTCTCTTTGTTTTTTATTTTGACAGCATGATTAGAATATGTCTTAGGGTAGTCTTATTTGGTTTGAATCTGATTGGTGACCTTCAGCCTGAATATTTACATCTTCTTCTAGGTTTGGAAAGTCTTCTGCTACTAGTTTTTTAGATAAGCTTTATAGCCCTTTATCTTTCTATTCTCCCTCTTACATTCTTATGACTTGAATATTTGATTTTTTGATGTTGTTTCATGAATCCTTTCTTCATTCCTTTTCTTTCTTTTTTATTTTTCTTCTGACTATATTTTTTCAAATAACCTGTATTCAAGTACACAAGTACTTTTTCTCCATGATCAATTCTGCTGTGATGTTCTCTATTGCATTTTTTTAATTTCTTTTTTTTTTCAGCTCCAGGATTTGTTTGATTTAAAAAAAATTCCAAGCTCTCTATTCAGTTTCTTATTCTTATCATTTATTGTTTCCCTGTTTTGAATTAAAACAATTTTTTTTGTTTCAATAGCTTTGGAAATACACGTGGTTTTTGATTACATGGATGAATTGTATATTGCTGAGGTTAGGGTTTTTAGTATACCTGTCAACCAAATAGTGTACATGGTACTCAACAGGTAATTTTTCATCCTTCACTCACCTTCCACCCTCTCCCCTTGTGAATCTCCAGTGTTTATTATATCACTCTGTATGTCTTTCCATATCCATGGCTTAGCTCTCATTTATACATAAGAACATATGGTATTTGGATTTCCATTTCTGAGTTACTTCACCTAGGATAATGGCCTCCAGCTCCATCCAAGTTGCTGTGAAAGACATTATTTTGGTTTTTTATGGCTTAGTAATATTCCATGGTGTGTGTATATACATGCTGTGTGTATATTACATTTTCATTATTAACTCATCAGTTGATGAGCAGTTAGGTTGATATAATATCTTTGAAATTGTAAATTGTGCTGCAATAAACATATGCAGGCAGGCACCTTTTTGATATAATGACTTCTTTTTCTTTAGGTAGATACCCAGTAGTGGGATTGTTGGATCAAATGGTGTATCTATTTTTAGTTCCTTGAGAAATCTTCATACCGGTTTCCATATAGGGTGTACTAATTTATGTCACCAGCAGCAGTGTATAAGCTTTCCCTTTTCACTACATCCGTGTCAACATCTATCATTTTTTGACTTTTTAATAATGGCCATTATGCTATTATTAAAAAGTCAAAAAAGAACAGATGATGGCAAGGTTGTGGAGAAAAAGAAACATTTATATACTGTTGGTTGGAATGTAAATTCGTTCAGTTATTGTGGAAGACAGTGTGGTGATTCCTCAAAGTCCTAAAGACAGAAATACCATTCAACCTAGCAATCTCATCACTAAATGTATACCCAAAGAAATGTAAATTTTTCGACTATAAAGACACACACTTGCATACGTTCATTGCAGCACTATTTATAATAGCAAAGACATAGATTCAAACTAAATGCCCCTCAATGATAGCCTAGATAAATAAAATGTGGCATATGTAAACCATGTAATACTATGCAGCCATAAAAAACAAACAAAGTGAGAGCATGTTCTTTGGAGGGACATGGATAGAGTTGGAGACCATTATCCTTAGCAAACTAATGCAGGAACAGAAAACCAAATACCACATGTTCTCACTTTTAAATGGGAGCTAAATGATGAGAATACATGGACACAAAGAGGGCAACAACATACACTGGAGCCTACTGGAGGGCGAAGGGTAGGAGGAGGGAGAAGATCATGAAAAATAACTAATGCATGCTAGGCTTAGTACCTGGGTGATTAAATAATCTGTACACAAACGCTATGACACAAGCTTACCTACATGACAAACCTGCACATGTACCCCTGAACTTAAAATAAAAGTTAAAGAAAAAAAAAAAAAGGTCATTCTGGCTGGGTGAGGTAGTATCTTATTGTGGTTTTAATTTGCATTTTCCTGATGATTGGTGACATTGAGCATTTTTCATATTTTTTGCCATTTGTATAATTTCTTTTGAGAAAAATATGAACAGATATGTCTGTTCGTGTTATTTCCTTACATTTATTGAGATTATTTATTTTTTTTTCTTGATGATTTGAGTTCCTTGTAGATTCTGGATATTATTTCTTTCTCAAGTGTATAGTTTGCTAATATTTTCTCCCATCCCATAGGGTGTCTGTTTACTCTGTAGATTATTTCTTTTGCTGTGTTTTTCAGTTTGGCTATGTCCTATTTATTTATTTTCGCATTCGTTTTTGGAGTCTTAAGTTATAATTTTTTTTGCATGGGCCAATATCCAGAATATTTTTTCTTAAGTTTTCTTCTAGAATTTTTATGATTTAAGATCTTAGATGTAAGTCCTTATTCCATCTTGAGTTAATTTTTGTATCTGGTGACAAATAAGGATCCAGTTTTATCCTTTGGCACATGGCTATTTAATTTTCCCAACACCGTTCACTGAATACAAATTCCTTTCCCCAGTGTAGGTTTTTGTCTGCTTTGTCAAAGATTAGTTTATTGTACATATTTAGCTTTGTTTCTCTGTGTCTGTTCTGTTCCACCGGTCTCTGTGTCTGCTTTTATACCAGTGCCATGCTGTTTTCATTACCATAACCTAATACTGTAATTTGGAGTTAGATAATGTGATGCCTCTAGATTTGCTCTCTTTTCTTAGGATTGCTTTGGCTATTAGAGCTGTGTTTTGGTTCTATATAAATTTCAGGATTGTTTTTCTAATTCTGTGAAAAATGATCTATCTGGGTATTTTGATAGGAATTGCGTTGAAACTGTAGGTTGCTTTGGGCAGTATGGTCATTTTGATAACATTGATTCTTCCAACCCATGAGCATGGAATATTTTCCAGTTTGTGCCATCTATGAGTTCTTTCATCAGTGTTTTGTATTTCTCCTTGTAGTGATCTTTTACCTTCTTGGTTAGATATATTCCTAGATATTTTATTTTTTATTTTTTGTAGCTATTGTAAAAGGGTTTGAGTTCTTGATTTAATTTTCATCTTGGCCATTGTTGGTATATAACAGTGCTACTGATCTGTGTACATTGATCTGTAACCTGAGACGTTACTGAGTTCATTTATGAAATCAAGGAGTCTTTTGGAAGAGTCTTTAGGTTTTTCTAGGTATAAGGTCATATCATCAGCAAACAGATAGTTTGACTTCTTCTTTTCCAATTTGGATGTCCTTTATTTCTTTCTACTGCCCAATTGCTCAGGCTAGGACTTCCAGAGCTATGTTGTGTAGAAGTGATGAGTGTGGGCATCCTTGTCTTGCTCCAGTTCTTAAGGGCAATGCTTTCAAGTTCTCCCAATTCAGTATGATATTAACTTTGGGTTTGTCTTATATGGTCTTTATTATTGTGAAGTATGTTCCTTCTATTCCTAATTTTTGAAGGTTTCTATCATAAAGGAATGCTGGATTTTATCAATATTTTTCTTCCTCTATTGAGATGATCATATGGTTTTGGTTTTAATCCTGTTTATGTGTTCAGATTTATTGACTTGTGTATGTTGAACCATCCCTGCATCCCTGGCATGAAACGTACTTGATTCTGGTGAATCGTCTTTTTGATATGTTGTTGGATTCAGTTTGCTAGTATTTTTTTGAGGATTTTTCCATCAGTGTTCATCATGGATTGGATATTGGTCTGTAGTTTTTTCTTTCTTTCTTTCTTTTTGTCCTTTTCTGGGTTAGGCATCACGGTGATACTAACTTTATGGAATAGTTTTAGTATGAATTGTATCAATTCTTCTTTGAATATCTGGTAGAGTTTGGCTGTGAATCTCTGGTTCTGGGCTTTTTCTTGTTGGGAGATTTTTAAAATTACTTATTCATTCTCACTGCTTGTTATCAGTCTGTTCAAAATTTCTATTTCTTCCTGATTCAGGCTTGGAAGATCGCATGTTCCCAGGAATTTATCTATTTTCTCTAGATTCCCTAGTGTGCACGTATATGAGTTATTCATAATAGTCTCAAATGATCTTTTGTATGTGGTATCAATTGTAATGTCTTCATTTTAATTTCTAATTGTGCTTTGAGTCTTCTCTCTTTTTTTTTCTTGGTTAATCTAAGTAGTGTTATATCAATTTTTTTATCTTTCCAAATAATCAACTTTTTGTTTCATTGGTCCTTTGTATTTTTTTTGTTTCAATTTTGTTTACTGCTGGTCTCATCTTTGTTGTTTCTTTTCATCTATTAGCTTTGGGTTTGCTTTGCACTTGTTTCTCTAGTTCCTTGAGGAGTGATGTTATGTTGTAAGTTTGTGATCTTTCTGTCCTTTTGATGAAGCATTAGCATTATAAACTTTCCTCTTAATACTGCTTTCACTGTATCCCAGAGATTTGACAACTTGTTTCACTATTGTCATTCATTTTGAAAAAATTTTCTAATTTCAAACCTGATTTCATTGTTGACCCAGAGAGCATTCAGGGGCAGATTCTTTAATTTCCATGTATTTGTATACTTTTGTGAGTTTCTCTTGGAATTGATTTCTAGTTTGGGGCCAGTGTTGTCTGAGAAGATACTTGATATAATTTTGATTTTTAAAGATTTATTGAGACTTGTTTTGTGGCTTATCATATGGTCTATGTTGGAAAATGCACCATGCGCTGATGAGAAGAATGTGTATTCTGCAGTTTTTGGGTAGAATTTTCTGTAAATGTCTGTTAGGGCCATTTGTTCTAGATTCCAGTTTAAGTCCAGTGTTTCTTTGTTGGCTGTCTGCCTTAATGCTGTCAGTAGAGTGTCTAATGCTGTCAGTAGAGTGTTGAACTCCCCCACTATTATTGTGTTGCTATCTCTTTTCTTAAATTTAGTGGTATTTGTTTTATGAATTTGGGAGCTCTGGAGTTAGGTACACACACACACACACACACACACACACACATATATATATATATAGGATTGCTATATCTTCTTGTTGAATTGATCCTTTATTATTATATAATGACCTTCTTTGTCTTTGTTTACTGTGCTGTTTTAAAGTCTGTTTTATCTGATATAGGAGTAGCTATTCCTACTCCCTTTTGGTTTTCATTGTGTGGAATATTTTTTCCCACCTTTTGACCTTGAGTTTATATGAACCTTTACAAGTTAATTGGGTCCCTTGAAGACAGCATATATTTGGTGTGCTTTTTAAATTCATTATGCCAATCTGTACCTTTCAAATGGGGCATTCAAACCATTTACATTCAATGTTAATATTGTATATGAGATTCTGCTCCAGTCATCATAATAATTATTATCTAGTTGCTTTGTTTTTTTCATTGTGTTACTGTTTTATAAGCCCTGTGAGTTTTATGCTTTCAAGTGTTTTTATACTGGTGTGTAATGACCTTGTTTCTATATTTAGAACTCCTTTTAGCATTTCTTATCAGGCTGGTCTAGTGGTGACAAGTTCCCTCAGCATTTGCTTGTCTGGGAAATACTTTGTTTCTCCTTCATTTGTGAAATTTAGTTTTGCCAGATTCAAAATTCTTGGCTGGCGGTTATTCTTTTTGAAGACACTAAAGATAGGATCCCAACCCCTTTTGGCTTGGAAGGTTTCATTGAGAAGTGTACTATTAGTCTCATAGGTTTTTCCTATAAGTTATCCAATGCTTTTGTCTCATTACTCTTAGAATTCTTTTTTCCATGTCGACTTTAGATAGCCTGATGATTATATGCTTCGGTGATGTCCTTTTTTGCAATGAATCTCCCAGGAATTCTTTGAGCTTCTTGTATTTGGATATCTAAATCTCTAGCAAGCCCAAGAAAGTTTTCCTCAATTATTCCCTCAAATAGTTTTTTTCAAACTTTTAACTTTTTCTTCTCCCTCAGGAATATATCCCTATAGCTACTGGAGACTTTGTTCTTTTTAATCTTTTTTGTTTGTTTGATTGGGTTAATTTGTAAGTTTTGTCTTTATTCTTTCTTCTACTTGGTCTAGTCTTTTGTTGAAACTTTCCACTGTATTTTGTAATTCCCTAACTGTGTTTATAATTTCCCAAAGTTCTGTTTATATTTTCTTTTATAAATATCTTTAATGTTTCTTATTTGTATCCTGAATTGTTTCATTTCTTTATGTTGGTTTTAACTTTCTCTTGGATCTCATTGAGCAAATTAATAATATGCATTTTGGATACTTTGTCTGGTATATCAAAGATTTGATTTTGATTTGAATCTACTGCTGGAGAGTTAGTATAATCTTTTGGGGGTGTTGCAGAACTCTTTTTTTTCATATTACGAGAATTATTTTTCTGGTTACTTCTCATTTTGGTAGACTATTTATTGTGATTATTTCTTAATTTAGTTTTGATTCAACTGGATTTTTTAAAAATTCCTTTTGAGGATGTGACTTTAGTATGTATAGTTTATGGTCACCTAGCTTTGGATCTGGGTGCTTTCCATGGCAAAGACTCTGTATAAGTTCGTTGTTTATGGAGAATCTTTGGCTTTCTCAGATGCTGGTTATAGTAGTGATGTGCTGGGTGTGTGAGCAGGTTCACTGTCTCCTGTGGAGCCAGAATGGCAGAGGTCTCATGAAGTATATTCATTCAATAGTGATGTGCAGTTTTAAATTTTTTCCTAGTATTTTTTAAACTGCGTTAAACAGGTCAGCCTCCACCCCAGTAGGAGGTGCCCACAGGTAAAAACCAGCTGTGGCTGAAGCAGGTGGGTATATGCAATACCCCAGTGGTGGGCAGAAGTCCTGTTTCCCTCATTTCACAGAATCTGTATCTTTGTTGTTGTTGTTGTTGTTGTTTACTGAGCTTCCTTAAAATAGTTATTTTTTAATTCTTTATCAGGCAGTATATCCATCTCTATTTATTTGTGGCCAGTTGCTGGCATCTTATTTTTGTTCATTTGGTGATGTTATGTTTTCCTGATTGTTCTTGATCTTTTTTTTAGCATGATGTCTGTGTATTTTTAATAATAGGTACTTATTTCATTCTTCATACACTGATTTTGGCTGGGAAATTCCTGTAGCCAGCACAGTTCTGTGACACACCAGACGTCTGAGGCCTTCTATAGCAGGTGTGGTGCTTGGGCAGGTCAGAAGCCTGGGCACTGCAGCAGCTAGTGCAGCACTATCAGAAGCCTGTGTTAGATGTGGCCAGTGCTGCTCTGGGGCACACCAGATGCCCAGAGCTGCTGAGGGCTTTCTGGAGTATGGGCCCACTAAAGTTGTCCCAGCAGTAGTGTGGCTCAGAGATCAAGTTCGCCATACTATCCTGAAGCCTGATGCTGTGTGGTCTCTCCTTATGCCACAGTGGATCTAGAACTGATGTCTGTGAGTACTATCTTGGATTATGGGGCTGTGGGGGTTCTGCCTGTTGCTGTATTTTACTGTACCAGGCCCAACGTTGGAGTCCAAGGTAAAGTCCTCTACTCAGCTCTCTCTGTTTTCTTCAAGTGGACAGTTACCTGTTTTTGCAGTGTACTTCCTGGGTTTGAAAGATGGATGACATGTTTAATGTAAAATTGTCCTTCCTACCCTCTTCAATGTGTCTTTTCTTATTGTCATGCTATAGCCAGGTACTATGCTGTATCACCTGGCTTTCTTAGCTTTTGTGAAAGTATTTTTGTGCATGGATAATTATTAATGTTGTTGTTTTCGTGTGGGAAAGATTGATGGAGCATCTTACTCTGCCATTTTGCTCTGCCCTTCTCCACAATGCATTTTCACAATGGGACTCTACCTGTGTAACAGCCACCTACCTATATTAGGAAAAAGAGCATGACCAGACGCTCAACAGCCACTTTTTGTCCCACTCATTTTTTCTACCTTTCCCCTAAATCAACCATGATGCCGATTTCTGTCATCACAAAGTGATTTTGCCAAACTTTGAAGTTTATAGAAATTGAATTATACAGTATTTGTTCTTGTCTTTGCCTTCTGTTGCTCAACTTTATGTTTGTGATGTTCACCTATGTTGTTTTTCTTGTGGTAGTTCATTCATTTTCATTGCCTATATTATACCATTGTATAAATACATCACAATGTATTTCTTGATTATATCTGGGTTATTTTTGGTATGAGTTTTTACAAATAGTGTCTCTATAAATACTTATATCCATAAACTTTGTAGGTATATGTATTCTTTTCTGTGGGGTATATACCTAAAAGTGGAATTGCTGGGCCATAGGGTATGTGTATGTTTAGTTGCAATAGATTCTGCTGAACAGTTTTCCAGAATGATTGATTCAGTTGGCTTGCATGAGAAGTAAATTGCTCTATATAGAAGAGAATATTTTTAATGCAATAATTTATACGATCATGTTATGATGAAAACAAGAAATGTGTTGGCTTAAGAGAGACTGGGCCTAGTTTGTAATAATTTAATGTATGCTTGGCATACTTCACAGTTTATAACAAAGCTGATCACTTTATTTTGTGAAATTTTACCCATGTGTCTACTTGAACCTACTTCAGATCGGATCATGGTGGCAAGGATCTACTGAGGCTAGGAAATTTAAATTATCTACAGAATACTGGGGATATAGGAATAACTTGGTCTGTAAGTGTATAGTGCTCCTTTAACTAAATCATAAAAATCATTGCTGTTTTATATGAAAAGTTTATGAGGTCACATGAATGCTTGCTTACTGTGCATATGGTAAGAGCTGTGCATTTCAAGTTAAATATAGGAGCAGTTCTGGCTGTAAAGAAGTAGTTTGAGAAATCAAGAGAACTATAAACGGCCATCTGCTCTTTTCTCCATTTTTATTTGCTGAATTAACCCAGTGCAATATTTTAATGAATAATGGGTTGGTATTCCATCTGCTCATTAATTTTTTCACACTGTAGAATAATCCATCATTTTTACTGAGTGGAAACAATTTTCTACTTTGTAAAAATATTTTTTAAAATAGAGTCAGTGGGTATAATTCAAATTTCCATTAATTTCAAGTGTATTTTGGAAATGGAGGTGCTGAGAATATCTTTAGGGTCCTAGTGCTAGAAAAAGAATTTCAGTTCTTTGAGATGACAATGCATATTGGTTGATGTATATCTTTATTTTATCAGATACATTTGTTTTGGCTTATTTTGAAATAACCAGAAAAGAACCTTTCTCTGTATGATCAAAGGTTGCAGAGATGTAAATGGCATCAATGATAATATAACACTTTGTTAAGAGTATAATGATTAGTTCTTTAACAATAATGTAAAATATATGCCATTATCAGAATTGAGCTTATAGTATTCTAATTGTGATACAATGCCATGAATCTAAAACAAGTTGAGCATATTAATGTGTGTGTACATGCACATGCACATCTGCACACATTTAAATAAAAATTTCATTTAAGTGTATTTTTACTTTGTTTCTTCTTTATTGCCTCTGTCTTTTTATTTCTCTTAAGTTGGCATGGCACATTATATGATTTTGGACCATTTAAGGTTCACGTGTCTGGGAGCAGATGTCGGTTTAATGGCATCTTTAATGTCTGCTGTGCCATTTCCATAAGTAGATTCTCTGAAATAGAATTTGACCAGAGGGTTCAGACATTTGGAGACCTGATTGGTGTAGTGAGAGGTGAAAAAGAAAAGGGAAGGGGCTTTAAAATATTCCAGTATTGATGATTTCTAGGATTTCTACATCATTTACCAAATTTTTTCTCTCCTGGTGGTTTTCCAGCTCAGTCAGTTCTAAATAATTTATCAACAGATTTTGCAAAGGCTCCACTCCACTTCTTATCAGTTCTAGGACCTGAGGGTATTCTTACCTATCAGTGGAGATATATTATTCCCTTTAAAGATAAGGGATATGTTGTGCAGAAAGAATGGTGAATAATAAGTAAAAATATTCCTATGGATTATAGGAGCCTATAATATATATTATTTTGAAAGAATGCCTAAATGCTGAAAATTACGACTTACTGCACTAATCATCATGCCTAAAATAGGTAAACCATCTTAGAGGCACACACTTTAATCCCATCAGGTTTTATTTATATCTTTTTTTCTGTTGGAGTAGATAAAGCCATAACTATTTATTTACTTCACAGAGCTTTCTATAAACTATTACATACTTATATGTCCTAAGTCTCTTGGTCCCCACACATTGTTCATACGATCATCCACATCCATTTTTCTCCATTTTGCTAACCAGAATATCTAGTATAATCAGAACTATTCCATCCCAATATGTAAAGTAAATGATATATTGCCTACTTTTTCAAGAAAAGGTTTCATTAAAACTTAAAGACCAAGCAAAAAAGCAATTCAGAAAAGTTAAGTGACTCATTTAATTTCAAATGGTTCAATATTTTAAACCACCCAAGAATTTCTGTTTGGTGAGCTTGTTTACAGCAAAGGAAACTATTAACAGAGTAAATAGGCAACTTACAGAGTCAGAGAAAATATTCACAAGCTATGCATCCAGCGAAGGACTAGTATCTGGAATCTGTAAGGAATTAACAAGCAAAAAAAAAAAAAAATTAAAAAATGGGCAAAGGACAGGGACAGATACTTCTTAAAAGAAGATATACAAGCAGCCAACACACATGAAAAAATGCTCATCATCACTTGTCATCAGATACATGCAAATCAAAACCACAATGAAATACCATCTCATACCATGCAGAATGGCTACTATTAAAAAGTCAAAAAATAACAGATGCTGGTGAGGCCATGAAGAAAAGGGGACACTTATACACTGTTGGGAATGTAAATTAGTTCAGCCACTGTGGAAAGCAGTTTGGAGATTTCTTAAAGAACTTAAAACACAACTACCATTGGACCCAGCAATCCCATTACTGTGTATGTACCCAATGGAAAATAAATAGCTCTACCAAAAAGACACATGCACTCGTATGTTATTTGAAGCACTTTTCACACTAACAAAGATGTAGAATCAACTTATATGCCCATCAGTGGTGGACTTGATAGAGAAAACATGGTACATAATACACTATGGAATACTATGCAGCCATTAAAAAAGAATGAAATCATGTCAGTCACAGCAACAGGAATGCAGCTGGAGGCCATTGTCCAAAGTGAATTAACACAGTAATGGAAAACCAAATAGTATATGTTCTCACTTACAAGTGAAAACTAAACATTAAATACACATGGACATAGAGTTGGGAGCAATAGATACTAGAGACTGCTGGAGGAGGGAGAGAGGGAGGGACAGAGGGAGGGAGGGAGGGAGGGAGGGAGGGAGGGAGGGAGGGAGGGCTGAGGGACTGCCTATTGGGTGCTGTGCTCAATGCCTGAGTGACAGGATCATCCATACCCCATACCTCAGTGAAACACAGTGTTCCCACATGACAGATCTGCCCATGTATCTCCTGAATCTAAAATAAAAGTTGAAATCATTTTAAAAAAAGAAAGAACAGAAATAAAAGAAAAGTTAAAACTAACTACAAGGAAGACAAGAATGAATACATGTAACAGATAAATATCTTAAAAGAAATAGAACATGAAATAAGAGGAAAGCTTTAAAGCTCAAAAATAAACAAAGCAATAAAAAAGATTCAAGAGAAAATGACAAATATTGAAGACAAGAAAAGAAATTGAATATATGATAGTAGGAGTCCCTGTGGAAGAAACTTGGAAGCAAGAAAACAGAACAAACACTAATATGAAAATTCAAAAAGCTTTTCTAAGTAAAATGTGAAGCTGCCTACTGAAAGAGTACATCACATCCTTAAGAATATTGACTTAGAATTGTGAACATCAAAACATTGTGATAAAGTTACTGGACTTTAAAGAAAAAGAATAAATCATTTGGTTATGTAAACAAAAGGAAAAAATGACTTACAATGGAAAGAAAATTAGATAATTACCACATCTTTCAGCATCAATGCTTTATACCAAAATAAAATGAAGAAACATATGTAAGATACTCAAGGGAAAAACACACGAGACATGGATTTTATTTCCAGAAAATACAGCCTTCTAATGTCTAGCAAAGGACACAAGAAAACTGTCCACAACATGTAAGAACTCGGATCCTATAAGCACTTCCTGAGGAATTTATTAGAGAACCGGCTTGAGACAAGTAGAATAACTAGAGAGACATCATAAGAACTGGTGGAGAACATTAAATAAATAGTTACTTGTAGAGCTTAAAGTAAATGGGGCAGAAAAGGAGAGGGTATGTGATGGCCATATGAACTGAGAGTACAGACAGTGTAAGTACTTTACAAATGGGAGGAGAATGGAAAAGTAAACCTGTATTTTAGTGTTTTTACTAGTCATATTGGTGGTGGTATTATTGTTAGGTTCTGAGACTATTGTGTATATAATATGGAAAAAACTAATGAATAATTATGGGATAGTCTTGATGTATCATCCCGTGTCCTTGAGAATCAGATTTTTGGTTTTGAAGAAAGTAGATAGCGGTGTGCTAGAGAAAAAATTAAGTCAGGAATTTGAATCTAATCTGAATCATCAAAGCGAGTAACCTCAAGAGAAATTTTATTTTTAAATGCGTACTTCCCAGTTCTGTGCACTGAAAAAGCCCAGAAACTCTGATATGGCCTATAAAGTGGGCTCGGAAAATCTTGTAATGGTAGCTATCAAGGAAGCTTTCAGAGACTGTTAGATCCATGTTAAAAGTTGCCAACTGAATTTGAGCTTCAGTAATGATAATTGCAGTAGATTGAAGCCCATCAAATATGTTAAAATCTTTGCGTTCATAATGATATTTAAAAACAACAAAAGAATTATTCATCTTTGGAAGATAATACGAAACCAATCATTACATGAAAATTAGTCAATAAAGGGGAAATATATAAACATTTATTCTGACTTTCCTAAATGAACTATACCACTAAGTATCTAAATAGTAGATGTGGGAATATTTCTTTATAAAAGTAATTTCAACTAATAAATGAAAAATGAATGATAGAATGTTGCCATTTTGCAATTTCCAATGAATGAATATGGGCATTTAGCACAAACAGCTGCTAAGATCACATAACACAGATGACCGGATATTACGTGCCTCCTATAATCCTGCCAAATGCCACTAATAGTCATGACAAAAGATTAAACTTGAGTCTGATGCTTCTCTGGATCCAGCTGCAAATTGCAGAAGGCTATTGAGAGGACAAAGGAACATGCTGAACTGCACTCTCAAAAGGATGTGTTCTGTAAAATCCGGATTCTGGAAAACTCTATAGGTCAAATTGTCTGGGTTTTCCAAAAGATAAATTGCAGGAAAGTGGCAGATGTGGAGGAGGACCCTGTAGATTAAAAGTGACTTAAACTATATCAGGTTTTTAAAAATGAGCAAAACCAGAGTAATTAGAGACAGATATTGGAGTGATAAAGCTATTTTTAAAACACAATTAAAGTTAGGTATTATAAAAATGAGGAGAATGATGATTTTGGTGAGGGGAACAGAGTTGTGAATGGAATGGGGTTTCTGGAATGTGCGGTAAAGTTCTATTTCCTGACTGAAGTGGTATCACTGGTAATAATTCATTAAGCCATACATCTTTTGTGTGTGTGTATGTGTAGATAGATAGATAGATAGATATCTTTTATTTATTTATTTATATTTATTTATTTATTTTGAGGCAGAGTCTCACTCTGTCACCCAGGTTGGAGTGCAGTGGCACGATCTCAGCTCACTGCAAGCTCCACCTCCCGGGTTCATGCCATTCTCCTGCCTCAGCCTCCCGAGTAGCTGGGACTATAGGCGCCCGCCACCACGCCCAGCTAATTTTTTTGTATTTTTAGTGGAGACGGGACTTCACTGTGTTAGCCAGGATGGTCTCGATCTCCTGACCTCATGATCCACCCACTTTGGCCTCCCAAAGTGCTGGGATTGCAGATGTGAGCCACCACGGCCGGCCTCTTTTATTTTAAAATAAAAAGAATTTTAAAATTTCTGTTTGGTAGAATATAAATATAAAAATTACTAGACAGCACCAAATTATAAAGAGAGGTTTTCTCTGCTGGTTATACCTTGAAGATTTTTATATGTTTTTCCTTTCTTTTCATTCTTGTAAAATTTAGTTTTGAAGCAGGCTATGGATGTCTTTGGAAACCTGCATTCAGAGAGATGACACTGTAAAGTGTTTCCAGGGACTACAAAGCATAGAAAACTCATGACAAGCCATTGTAAACTGAGGCATGTGTCTGATATATATCTTATTGACGAGGTCTCTGTCAGTCAAGGCAGTGCTATGACTAGAACTCAGTTGATGCTGTCTCCCATCTTGTGCCAGATGATCCATCTGTAGCCCTCTCAGCTAGAGTTATGTATCTGCAAGATCATAGGAACATTTTCTTCAATTATGAAGCATGAATGTAATAGGGGAAAATTGTTATATTCTATGAAAAATTACCTGTATTTTTAATGAAAATAATTCCATTAAAACATACTTCAATTGAAAATATATTAAACTTTAATGCTTCTGATAATATTTGATGATGGAAAAGGAACTAGCAAGGGCAATATAGCCTTCTCCTTAAATCTTGAGGAAAGCATATATGATAGGAACTAACTTCCTTTCTCTTTTACAGAACAATTAGGTAAACCTCATAAGAACAGCTATTATGCTTGTTTTCTTCATGGCTGTATCCCTAGTGACAACACAGTACATGGCACACAAGCACGTGGGAGGGAGGATCTCAGAAAACAGATTCAAACATAGAGGCATGACTCTGTGAATGGCTTCTGGCATTAAATAGCCTGGTTCAAATCCCAGCTCTTAAAGTTAATGGCTTCTGTAGCATTGGAGAAGTTACTTAATCACTCCAAGCTTCAATTTATGCATTTCAAGGTAGAATTAGCTACCCTTCTGGGTCATTGTGAAAAATTAAGATTTTATACATAAAATGTTCAGTTCCATGCCTGGCAGAGTTTGTGTTCAATAAGTGGTAACTATTTCTTAGAATACATTCTGTTCCAGCTAGAATTATTTATTCATTTTTAAGCAAAAATTTGGGATGAGAAATGAGGCTTATGCATGAATATAAAAAATCCTAGAGGATTTCTTAGGACATTACTGATTTTCAGTGCCCCCATTATGATTTATTCTAATCAGCACCCAGAAGTATCAGGAACTGGTGTTATTCTCCTGTATAATGAATTAGTCGCTAACTTTTAAATGTACGTTGGCTTCTTTCTTTGTTCCTTCCCTTTTGCCATGTATACCTTGGTGTCCAGAAAGAAGGAATAGCACCAATAGCTTGAAATCCATCAGACGGTAAAGTATGTTATCAAGATTCATAAAGAATGTTTGGCTTGTGTTGATTATCATGTTAATTAGAATACCTTCTCTACTGAAATGTTCTATACAATTGATGTTTTACTTCCTCATGTCTGAAAGCATATAACTTGTAGTTTTCTGAAATAGAAGAGACAGATAGTACCAAATCTTTGCTTTAGAGCCCATTCCCCAGAGAAGTTTGTAGCTGTGCTGAAAAAAATGAAAAAAAAAAACAAAAAACAAAACAACCCCACAACTTCAGGCATATTGCTTGAAAGATATACTGGCATAGCATAGAAATGTTTTTTAACCTTATCATGAAAAGCTCAAGGGTATTACCTATATGATCAGCCAAAGAAATGTATCAGGCTTAAAAACAAACAAAGACCAGAGACATATCAATTCTCCTTTTCAGTGTTACCTTTCTTTTCATTTCTTTCCCTTTTTCCTTTTGTTTTCTTTATTTTCTTTTTTTATTTTTATTTTTTATTTTTTTAAATTTATTTATTTATTATTATTATACTTTAAGTTTTAGGGTACATGTGCACAATGTGCAGGTTAGTTACATATGAATACATGTGCCATGCTGGTGCGCTGCACCCACTAACTCGTCTTCTACAATTTACCTATCAACATTTTTTAAATGAAGGCAATTAAAAATAGACATTTATTTGATGAAATAAAAATAAATATGATTATAAAATTAACATTTAAAGAGAACATTTGGAGAGATTTAGTAGTAGTTTTTATATCAAATAATAATTTTAATAGAAACAAATATTTTATTTCAACAAATGTATGAATGCCAATTTAATGCAAGCAGTGTGCTAGGAACTATGATCCTACTGATAGAAACAAGATATGACCTCTACCTTCAAAGAGCTTCCAGTCTATTCAAAGAAATGAGAAAATGAGCAACTATGTAAAATAATTAAGTTAAAATGAAATGTGTGTGACAAGAATACAAAGCCCAAAGCCTCTGCCAAGAAGTATCAGAGAAGTCCCCATCAGAGATTTGGGATTCTGAGTTATCACTGAAGGACTGAATAGCCTTTGCTCAGGCATACAGGAGAGAAAATGCATTCCAGGAAAAGGAATGTCATGAAAAGTCATCAAATTATGAAGATTCAGGGACTAGCAATGGGTCAAGCTTGGCTCAGGCAGAGTGAGCATGGACAGAAGGGTGGAGACAAGACTGGGGTCAACAGGAAGCACCTTGAACAGAACATCCAGGGAACTGGACAAAGTAAGCAGGGGTCATCGAGTGTTTCTGAGGAGGAAATGATCTGGTCTGTGTCAGGAAAGTAACATGGCATTTGCAAGAATGGATTCCAGAAGCAACAACGTGGAGGCTGGTAGACAGTTAGGGGGCTGACTCGTCCACCTAAGAGATTGTGGGGACTTGATTTAGAGTAGTCTCATATGGGGATAAAAGAGAGAGGAAGAACTCGGGGATGTACACCTGCTAGGGGAGATATGGTGGGCAAAGAATGGGAGAAATACTTATTGGAAGATGTCTCCTAGTTTGAGTGATTAGGAAGATGTTACTGAAGCCATGAACTGAAATAGGAAACACAGGGTGAGGTTCCTGCTTAGGTCCTGAGAGTAGCAGTTGACTCTCTTGGCCACACCCTTTCTTCACATTTTTCATTTGGCTTCCCAGACCCCCACTCTTTCTTGGTTTCCCCCAACCCCATTGGCCCCTCTTTATTAGGGTCATTTATTGTAGCTTCTATGTCTTCACCACCTCTGCTTGTTGGTGTTCCAAGGCTGAGTAATTGACCCCCTAACTTATGTGTCCTCACTCATTTCCCAATTTCATGGCTCATAAAGTTATTTCCAAATATAACAAATTTAGCTCCAGCTCCAAGCTTTTCACCCTAATCCCAGACTCATATATCCAACTGCTTACTGGGCATCTAATAAATGTCTGAAACTTAAAATGCTCACAAATGAAGTTGTGATCACTACTTCAAGGGTGATTTTTCTCCTAGTTTGCATATCTTATTTGATACCAACTACATGGCTCAAATTCTTAGAGTCATCCTGGACTCCTCTCTCTCACATAGCAGCTGCAGTGCCCCTTTTACAACATCTACCTAATAAAATTGCCCTTCCATTCTAAATTCTCCAATGGTTTCTCATCTCACTCAGAGTGCACGGTACAGTCTTTATGATGATGTCTGAGGCCTTGTGTGACGTGTCCCTCTGTTACTCTCTAACCTGGCTTCCTTCCACCCCACTTCTCTCTGGCTTTGCTTCATGGGGGCGAGTCAGTCTCCCCTGGTTTCTTCAACACTCTGAGCAACCTTCTTCCTCAGAGCCTTTTCACAAGTCTATCCCTCTTCCTGTAATCTTCTTCCAAAAGAAAGTTGCAGACCTCCTTCACTGATTCAGGTCTCTGCTCAAAAGTCCCTTTATCAGAGAGACCACCTTAAGTAAAACTGCAATAAATGATCTCCACACTCCATTCTCTTGCTTTGCTTACTTTCTTCGTGTTTATCACCACTTGACCTATTATACAGGTGTATAGGTTGGTCTCTTTCTGATAGAATTTAAGCATCTTGAAGTTTTATTTATCAGATATTATCTATGTCAGGCAGACTTTTAAGAACTTTACAAATGTTAACTCATTTAATATGCATAACCACCTATGCCATAGGTGGTAACATTTCCATTTTATACACAGAAAATTGAAGCACAGAGAGGTTAAATAAATTACTTAAGATTTCACAGCTCATTTGTGGTAGGCCTGGGACTCAAACTTAAGCAGTCTGGCTGCTTCACCACCACAAGTTTTGCTTTTGAGAACAGGGACTCAGTTTCGTTCACTGCTTCACTACTTGCGTGGCACTGAGAATGTGACCTGGCTCTGTGTGTAATGAATGAGTCGACTTGGATATATTAATTTGAGGTGTTGGTACAGTATCTCTTTCCCATGATATAGAAATATAATGATAAAAATTCAAAGTTTGTTTTAATTCAATCACTATGTACTATTCCTTGTAAGAATATCATTTAAGTTTTTTTAAGTTCTCTGCATTTTAAAATCTGTCTACATGATTCCCTTTTCTATTAAAACACTGCTATTGTAAACTCAGCAGTAAATACTAAATATTAAATACTTGACTGCTTTCTTATGGTCATGGGCTGAGTCTAGCAAATTAATAAAAAGAGGGCTTGTCTGTAAAATTTCTTCCTTTTAATTGCACTGTGGGAAATAGTCAATAAAATATTTGATGAGGAATGTTAAGCATCTATTGATCACGACAGGTGCCAAGCACTCTGCTGTGCAGTGAACATAAAGACCTGTAAGGTATCCCTCCATCTGAGGAGTTCACATTCTGTGAGACAGACTAGTAAACAGGTACAAAAGTTATTACTGGGCCGGGCGCGGTGGCTCACCCCTGTAATTCCAGCACTTTGGGAGGCCGAGGCGGGCGAATGAGGAGGTCAGGAGATGGAGACCATCCTGGCTAACATGGTGAAACCCCGTCTCTACTAAAAATACAAAAAATTAGCCGGGAGTGGTGATGGGCGCCTGTAGTCCCAGCTACTCGGGAGGCTGAGGCAGGAGAATGGCGAGAACCCGGGAGGCGGAGCTTGCAGTGAGCTGAGATCGCACCACTGCACTCCAGCCTGGGCAACAGAGCAAGGATCCATCTCAAAAAAAAAAAAAAAAAAAAAAAAAAAAAAACAGTTATTACCAGAGTGCAGCAGAAACATAGAGATATCTCTTGGGAGAAATGGGTAAGGAGGGAAGGGTCACAGGAAAGGTTTGGTGGAGAGGATGTTGGGTGTCCCAGGAGGTGAGTATTTGCAAGACCAACTCAGAGTTAAGAGCAAAATAGGGCCAAGGGTGTTGGTGGGGATGGTGGGTTGAAGGCTTTCCAGACGAAGGAAAAAGCATAAATAATAGAAGCAGCTTATGTTGTGAATCTTTGTATGAGTTGATCTTTCATGAGGAAAAATATCTATTAACTTGTGAAAGTCCAATTTATTACTAGCTCAGTAAATTCTATGAGGCTTTTGAAGGATCAGAACTACATATGTATAAAGATTGCTGACAGGAAATAAAAATAATGTGTTATCATTTTACAGGCATTTAAAAATATATTTTCTTTTAATTATGAAAATGTAAAATGATGGTTTTGTTTAATTTCTTTCTGTTAGAATTGACGTTTTGCCACAGTTTCAGAAAGCAACCAAATTTCTACAAATGCTGGTTAAATTTTTACTGAATTTTAGGTTTGTTTTCATCTCAAATACATTTTTATAGTAAGACTATTCTTAACATTTATTTATAATATATCTTTTAAAACTTATCCAATCAGTTTATCTGAGGGTAGAGTTTGGCATAGATATTTTGTGGGATTCCATACATTTTTTACAAGATATCTTGGCTTTTTTAAAGAAAATTTTATATAATAACTCATCTTAGGTTTTATGATTTTGAAAATTTCTTATATTAGTATTAGATTGGTACAAAAGTAATTGTGGTTTTTGCTATTAATGGAATGAAAAAAACCACAATTACTGTTGCACCAAACTGTAACATGCTTTGTAACTTACAAAGACTATTGCTTCAAAAGTTTACTTTACCTGTATTGCTTCAGTTGACTGACCCTAGCAATAGTTCTGTGAATTAGACAAAAGATAGTAGTTCAGAATTCCATGTACATATCCCTGATTCTCTTTTTACCCACCCTTCAAATGACAGGATCTGATGAGTTCAGCTAGCTGTTGAGAGCATGTAATTGCAGAAAAGGTGTCAGGGCACCATGCAAGATTGTTGATCAGATGACATGATGAGAGCAGTGTCGATGGATGGTGGGTCTTGTGACCAGGGTTTTAATCAATCTTGGCCCATTCATCATCTGGATGTAGACCCTGTATATATCACTAGATTTTTCTGAGTCTCAATAAATCATATCTGAAAATAAGTTGGAAGGGAAGAGACAAAATCATCTCCAAGGTCCCTCTCTTCTAGTTTGAAGTTCTGAACCTTGATGTGAACTCAAAAGTAAATGAAGCAGAATAAACACAACCATTAGAAGAATCTGTTAAAAGGTTCTGATGAAGCATGAAGGTTTTTAAGACCTTGTGACACAAAGTGCATATGGACATGTTATCCTAGGCATTCTGCAAACAGGCAGCATCTCTTCTTATGGAATGTACCAAAAGCTGATTTCATATCCACACTGGTACCTTTTGTTATATGTGACCTGAGTTTACTCTGGGAAAGCAGTTGCTCCATGGAAGTGATCCACTTCTAGGAGGAATTTTTTATTTTTCTTAATTATAGTAAATGAAACTTTCCTACTAACAATTTAGAGAAAGGATCAAAATAATTACTTTCAGATATTGCAGATTAATGGAAACACAGTTGACACTGGCCAGGAAAAGTGTTTTTCTATTTCTGGTTAGATAGTATTTTCTCAACCATCTGCCTGTGAAATGTGGAGTGAAAAACTTATAGAAGCCATTTTTAGAAAGCAAGAATGGTATCATATGTTAATATTCCAGATCATATATTTATTTTCTCATGTCATCTCTTATATACAAAGGCACCTGTATCCCATGGTAATGGTCTGGAATTCATTATTTTCTTATTTGCTAATCCATAAACTAGACAATTGACTAGAAATCAATGCTAAGATTTATTGTCACAAATGGTACATTTTCTAGGGAAATGCAAAACTTTCTTTTACATTCTCTTGGATTAAAGATTACATTTTATCACCAGTTTTTTAGAAATTTCCTTTTCTGGAAATCTGTGTTCCTATTTGGAAAAATGCTTAATACCTTCTTATTATCAGCACTGCCACCAGTCTTCACCTTTGTAATAATTCCTATGTAAATGCTAATGCGCACAAACCCAACCTAAGTACCCCTGCTCCCAGGAGTAGAAAACATTCTAACCAGGGCCCATAATTTTAGAATTTCATAGAAATTACTCTGTTTTACAATACTAAGATTGCTGCATGAGAACATTGGATCTCTGTCCCTCCATTTCTATAGATTACACAGAACTATTAGAAAAAATAGTTTCATGAACCCAAAGCTCAATTATTATTTTATATCTCTGAGGTAACTTATTAGACAGTTGTAATAATTCTATTTCCTTTCTTCAGGTAAAGTAGACAAAGTTGGCTAATTCTTTGAAGGCTGGATCAGCATCTTATTAATTTGTGTTTCCTTTGCACCTGGTAGGTGTCAGTAAATTTCTGTTGAATAAACGAAGGGCCTCATAGGCTTCCAACAAAGGACACAAACACACAAGATGCTTATTGAAGAATAATTCATGAGATAATAGTGGTTAAAAGGTCATCTCTTCTTTCCGTAAATGTGTTCAAGAAACATAAGAGTTCAGAGTGAACTGAAGCCTTCCGAACCTTAATATACCTAGTGCTGGCATCTTAAACTAATTTATAGATATGACTTTTGTAGTATGTCATGGAGATAATTTGTCTACAGTCATTTCACTGGCATCACTGAATAGCCTTTCTCTAATAAAAGTCCATCATTATTATATTGAATCAGACTTAAATACAGAATGTAAGTATTGTAAAATACATTTAAATACCTTGATTAAACCTTACTAACTCAATTTCAAATGACATTTCATTCCTTTAGTCTCTTAGTTTTTGTCCCTTACATGGTAAATCCATTTTCTTGGCTTCTCAGTGTATTCATTGATTCTATTTTTCTATTAGTTACATAAAAATTAGGATATTCATCTGTTATGTTAACTACAGTTACTTAATAGTTTTAAACTGTGCAATAGTGAAGCTAGTTCAAATATATTTCTTCATGGTTGAATTGCATTTTAAGAGTCAGTCAGTACTTCCATCATAATCTTTCACTAATGTTCCTTCCTCAGCATCTTTTGGATTCCAGCTGTTGCTAATCCAGTCCAAAGCTTTCATGAAGGGTTAGAGTTTAGCTCCAATTTAGCTGAGCCAGTAAAAGGAAACCTGAAATATACTTACTGTGGTTTCATTCGAGGTAAACAAGAGATGAACAGGATGCTAGAATTAACTCAGTTTCTCTAGGTCAGTGGTTGGCAAGGGTTGGTCCCGAAGCAGCAGTATCAATCAACATCACCTGGGAAATTCTCAAACCAACTAGAGCAACTAGAGCCATAGAGTGAGAAACTCTGGAGGTGGAGCCCAGATATCTGGTTTCACAAGCCCTCCAGGTGATCCTAAGCACACTCAACTTTCAGTTCCACTGAAAAGAAGCCTTAGGTCTTCTCTTAATATGAAGTATTCTCCAGGGATTAAAACAACTAAGAATAACATCCCATCTTAGGAAAGTCCAGGTAACACAACTCAAATCTCAATTAACTTAAACTGAAACTCAATAGTATACATGGGTTTCTATGTCAGACAAACTTGAGCTTGCACTCCAATGAACAGACTCTTACCTCACTCATCTTGGGCAACCCCTGTGAGCCTCAGGTTCTTTTGTTTGTTTGTTTTAAGAGATGGGGTTTCACTGTGTTGCCCAGGCTGGAGTGCAGTGGTGCAATCATAGCTCACTGCAAGCTGGAACTCCTGGGCTCAAGTAATCCTTTCTCACAGCCTCCTGAGTGGCTGGAACTACAGGTGTGCACCACCACACCTGGATAATTTTAAATTTTTTTTTGTAAAGACAGGGTCTTGCTATGTTACCCAGGCTAGTCTTGAACTTCTGGGCTCAAGCAATCCTCCAGCCTTGGCCTCCCAAAGACTAGAGATTACAGGCATGAACCATCATGCCCTGGCTGGTTCTTTATTTTCAGAGTAATTTTTACCTTTCTGGGCCATTGTGAGGATAAGGAATGATATATGAAAAACAAGAACCAGGGTTGCTTTTATCACGTCACTAACAAGGCTCAGGTATTGGGGCCCTTATTTGCATAGGTTCCTTCTAAATAATAATATGCTTGAGTCTAATTTTATATTTGAAGTTTATACTCTCTTAACTTACGGAGGGCTCTCAATTTGTATTGGCTTCAGGCCCCATAGAATCTGGAGGCATTTCTGACGTGGTACAATGCCTAACGCATGGAAGAGGACTGACAAGTGTTAGTTATTTTGGTATTGAGTCTATTCACTATTTCTGCCACCTTTTGTCATTTACATTCAAGCCTTGAACTGTATACTAGAACAACTTACCAGCATAGCACACAGGCATATGATGGACCCATAGTACACATTTATGGATGACCATGCCATTGAACTGTATTTAGGAAACAAAACTTGAGTGCCAAGGGGGTTAATCTCTCACAAAACAAGAGCCTGCATGCTTCTCAGATCAGGCAAAGATTCCAGCCTTTTCATTTACATTTAGCAAATATTTGGCAAGCAAAGAATATGGAGGAGTTGGGTTTTTTTTTTTTTAAGGCAAAAACCTTTTTAAACCAATGTGAAGTTGCTTAAGATTCAAATGATAGTTCTTCTCTAAAAGTCAAATTGTATTCTTTGCCCTCTCTTTGACAATGATTACAGTAATTGAACAGAATATAGTCTTCTCCATTGAAGTGTATGAATGTAGACACTTAAGGTTACATTTTCAAAGAAGCATGAATAGACTTAGCCATGTGCCTCCTGTTAATACCAATGGTGTCATGCAAGGAAGTGCTTTTGGTCATTGGATTGAAAACGTACTCCATGACATTAAATGCAAGTATCCTTTAGTATCATCAATTATCCCATTTTTCTATGACTTCTTTTCAGTTAATTTTGTTCTGGAATGTAGAGTTATCTGACTTTTTTCTGGTTTAATGATAGTAGTGCTTGCATTTTTAGTATTTATCAAGTGCTGACTGGATCTTTTTGGTTAAAAAGTTGGTTAGGGAAATTACTATCAAGCTCACTCACCACCATAGTAACCAAATTTTAATACCTTCTGGGGATACAGGCATTTATATAATCTAACTCTGTGGCACTGAGGTGCAGTGTATGTAGTGTATTTATGATTGAACAGAAAGTTTCAAACAGCAGCCTGTGAAATTGGATTTTAGATGTAATGTACCATAAATAAGTGCTATAAAGATTGCCTTTAATGCTATAAATCAGATTTTATTGGTTTCAGCTATCTCATTCTGGTTATTGTATTACCCACAAAATCAGAGGAAATCAAAGAGCTGGAATATTTTTTATTTTAATATCCCATATTCTACAGTAATGGCACATGCACCCTTACAGCTTCCTTTTTGGGTAGGTTGGACAAGGTTGACAGTTGGCAGGCCCCAGCAACATATCAGTGGCAGTATTGGTGTAAACAATGAAACTTTGGGGCTTGGAACAGTTTAAGATTTCCTGTCTGTGAAACCTACAAGGTAGGTGAATTGGCAGATCCCTTCCCCGTCTGAGAAGCTGGTTGTCATGTTCTTCATGCTAAGCTGACACCTGTGAGATTGGCAGGTGATGTATGCTTTGCATCTTCTGGAAAGTTTATAGACTTTGGTGATGAGGCTATCTATCCATTGGGGATGGGGATGCCCATGCATGACTTACCTGAGTGATTTAAAGCACCCAAAACTATTGCTATAAAAGAAAGTTGTCTGCTTAAACAATCTCCCAATATTTGATTTACAACCAATGCTTCTGCACCCCTCCCTAACACTTTGATGGTTTTCTATTAAGTATGGTTTAGTCAAGAAAATTGACTGTTTTTTAAAAATGCTTGGGAAAGCTTACAAATGGACTGTTAGAGCCCAAGAGGCTACGGTAATCTAAAAATGAACTAGTTAGGTCCAGAGCAGTATTCAGGCTATTTAATGTTCAGTTTGTGCTTATGTGTGATTTTCCTCAATGTGCACTTACACAAGTACCCTGGGTTCGAGAAACAGTGAAGCACCTACCCAGGCCTTGAACATCTGACTTTCATTTCATAGTTCAAGGTTGAAGCCTTACTGTAATCTGAAGAAGCCAAGAGGACAAATGGGATTTCTTGAACAGAGGTCATCAGCGACATACATCCTCATTACGCTTCACTTTTTGATTATTTTATTTTTACTGTGGCATTATGCCAGATATGTTCTCATTAGTTCCCCCACCTGTAAAATAACCATATTTAGCAATCAGAGAAGATATTGAAATCTTGTGTTTTATCTTGATTAAAAAGAAATCTAATTCCACAAATGCTTCAGTGATCTTTAACCTGCTGGAAATATAAGCCATATATAACATCCTTGTTATGTCTGAGTTCAGCAATTAATTTTTTTTTAAATAGGAAATCTTGATGCCACCTTCACTGGCTACAAACTAAGTTGGCAGAACTAGGGCGATTATGCTGATTGGGGCTTGACATTTATTATTGCCAGTTCACTGCTGAAAATACAGCCAAGGAGCTCAGTCCTAGACCTGGGAGGCAGCTGGATCCCAGGGTGTGCTTTGGCACTTGTTTTAGGCTGTGCTCAATTTCCTGGGAGCCGCAAGGGCTGCCTGCATTGAACAAGGATCTGTTGCTGTCTAGAAGTGCAAGTGCAGCTGCAAGCGGGAGCAAGGGGGCTCTTTTCTTTAAACACTGTGACTCTTGTTCCATGTTCTTAATGGGGCATGAGGGAACCTTGATATGGTTTGACTGTGTGTCCCCACCCAAATCTTATCTTGAATTATAACCCGAATTGTAATCCCCAGGTGTCGAGGGAGGGACCTTGTGGGAAGTGATTGGATCATGGGGGCAGTTTCTCCCATGCTGTTCTCGTGATAGTGAGTGAATTCTCACGAGATCTGATGGTTTTTAAAATGGCAGTTTTTTCCTGCACTCTCACTTCCCTCCTGCCACCTTGTGAAGAAGGTGCCTGCTTCCCTTTTACCTTCTGCCATGATTGTAAGTTTCCTGAGGCCTCCCAGCCATGTGGAACTGTGAGTCAATTAAACCTCCTTTCTTTATAAATTACCCAGTCTCAGGTGGTATTCTTTATAGTGTGAAAACAGGCTAATACAAACCTCTTTCCCTTTCTCTCCAAGACTGACCTTCTTCAAGGTGCTATTACCAACCCAAACGCTCCGGATTGATTTAGTTACAGACTAATTGTCCTAATTTTTATAACTTTATTGTCCCTCTCTATATGACTTTCTTTAGGCAAATGCTGAAAAAAATAAATTGATGTCTTGGTTTGTTTGATTTGCCTTACCTCATCTCCTGTCATAGCCTAATCAGCCGAGATCACCAGAAATGAATTTTTACTCAGCAAAGTCAGGTTTATTGCACCATTGCAACGAGGGAGATCACATACCAGGGGAATTGTGAGGTGTCTCACCAAACAAAGGAAAAGATAGAGGTTATTATAGGATTTTGAGGGATAATGGAGTTGAGGTGAAACTTAAATAAAGCAGTGTTTGGATAGGCTCAAAGCAAAGCAGGGCTATGTGCAAAGGGTGTAACATCAATTCTGGACTGTGAAGTGGATCTAAGGTCCTGTTTCCTTGGAAACTACACAGTTAAGATAAATGTAGAATGTTGTGTCCAGAAACCCCTTATTTGGAGGTCTGCACCTGGATTTGAAATTGTGGCTGATTTCTATGTCAAAGTGATTTAAATCCTCTAGGCAAGAATGGGATGTTTCATTTTTACTGATATAATTTCAAAAAAAAAAAACAAAGTTTTTGATAGGTTATGATTTTAGACAACAAAGTATCTTGAGTAAAAAAAGCAGTAGTCACTGATAAAGGGGATTTTTATGACACTTTTTAGCTGTGGTAACTACTTGGGAGAAATATCATTTCCTGTTAAATTGTCAGCTGGCTTTATTTGCATCTATTATTCCAGTTTGTTGAATGGCCAGGTGTATTTTTTTACTTTCTCAGTCTGACTAATTTTTACTTTTTTACTCTCCATATCACTTAGAACAGTTAGTTTGTAAAGAAAAATACTTGACATAAATGGGATTAAATGGTTAAGAATATGTGTGGGCTAACAACAGAAAGTCAAGGAATAGAAAGGGTTTCAGGCAAGATTTGATCAAACAGCTTTTAAAACAATTACTATAAAATATCTTATTTCTGTCTCTTCCCATGGCTTTCTGTACTATCTACTTTTCCCACATCTTAAATATGGCTTCTTTTGAAAGTCACAATGATTAAGTTTTTGCCTTTTTGTTGTTTTCATCCTAATGCTATTCTTTCATTAATTCACATTTTTCTCAGTCCTACTTAATAATTTTCTTAAGAAAATATCAACCTTTTAGTTCTTTCATTCTGTCTTCATATGGTTGTTATTTAGCTGTTTAATGTGTCTCTTGTATTTTATATTTTAATTGCTCTATTTCTAGACATTCCAGGTGGTTATTTTCAAGTCTGCCTGGCTTTATAATATCACTCATGCTTTTTACACAATTTCAATCTCCCTTTTTATGTCCTCAATCATTTTAAGTATGTGTAGTTTTTATTCTACATCTCATAGTTCTATTATCTGAAATCCTTAGGATCTATTATTTTTTATTTATCTGCTGACTCTCACATAGTGAACTTTTTTCATTTTATTTGGTAATTTTGCATCATAAACTTATTTTCTTTTTACTTAGGTGTAAGCATTAGGGTGGAGGTACAGGTGGAAGGCAGGAATCCCAGGAGTATTACCAGCCAAGAATCAGGGTAAAGATTCAGACCATGAGTCTATGTGACAGCATATCTGTAAGTATATATTCTCGAGGAAACGTTGATTTACCCAGACTCTAGTATATCTCCCTGTGCTGGGGGGCACTGGGCAGGGACAGATCCTCATTTTTATTCATTATTTTTCAGAGGATTAGGCTTTAAACTTTGCTTACGAACCCAGTTATAGCTTTCTAACTTTCTGCAGGCAGCATTGGCCTATCTTGGACTTCAATTGAAAGCTGTCTCTCTCGGTGTCACAGAGGTAGCTCCCGCAGCTTCTAGGGGCAGGGATATGTAGCCAGTCTTGTTCACGTTCAACCAACAAGATAAGTGTCTGAGTAGTTCTTTCAGAAAACCTAGGAGGTATTCAGCCCCCTCCTGCCCCACTTTCTTATATCTCATTGGGTCACGTTTCATTAACTGTTTTGAACTAAACATTGGGAAACTAAATGATTGGGAAAAGCTGATTGTTAAACCAGTCGGAGCCCACCTCACTTGTTGAGAGTGGTGTTACCTTCCCCAGTGGTATACAGGGTGCCCGGGTGAGAGATGGAAATCCAAATGGAAAGTGGAACACTGATGCCAAGAAAGCAGGGCTAATGTAGCCAGTGTCACACATTCGCCCATTGCATTACACATACTTTAATTTAGTTCAATTCAACAAGCGTTTATTTATTGCCTGTTTTTTCCATGATAGGAAACAGCCCTGAACTTAAGATTGCATAATTATATTCCTTACTAAGAAAGATCTTGCTTCCACTAAGTATCTACCTTTTGTCAAATCTTGCTTGGTATATGAAATGCTACCTAAAAGTTGGCTTGTGATATGGTATTAGGTAAAATATGTTTTATTTTTTATTGTGAAACATACAAAACATAAAATATGTATTATGCACACACGTGTTTATGTGTGCATATATACATGTACAGGTGTGTGTATATATATATTTCATAAAGAATAATAATAAAGTGAAAATCTGTATGCCATTACGGCTTAAGTAATAATACAATACCAATAGCTTAAAAGCCCTCTCTACCTGACCACAGAATTTTTACTTCCTTCAAAGGTAACACTTCTGATTTTTGTATGATTGATACCTTTGGGTTTCTTTATTGTTCCACATACATATGTAACCATAAACCATATATTTTTTTTAGTTTTGCCTAGATTTGTATTTCATATAAATGGAAGAATAGAGTTTATTTTTCGAACTCACATTTTTTTCAATTTTTATTTTAGATTCAGAGGGTACATTTGCAGGTTTATCACAAGGGTATATTGTGTAATGCCGAGCTTTAGGGTATGATTGGACTGGTCACCCAGATAGTAAGCATAGTACCCAATAGCCAGTTTTGCAGCCCTGGCTCCCATCCCTCCCTCCCAACTTGTGTGGTCACCATTGTGTACTGTTCCATCTTTATATCTATGTATACCCAATGATTAGTTCCCACTTATAAGTGAGACATGTGGTATTTGGTTTTCTGTTTTCGTGTCTGACTCGCTTTTGTTTGCTCAGTTTTGTTTTTCAGATTCACCCATGATGGTGTGTGTGGTTGGTGTATTAATCTTGTTCACAACCATAAAATATACCATTGAATGAATATAACACAATTTTTGATTCATTCTATTGTTAATTTTTTTTCCAATTTGGGTTATTAAATAGTGGGTCTGCAGAGATTTTTGAGCCAGTGTTTTGGTGCATGTGATGCAGGGCAGATTCATGGCTTCATTCACTCAGGAAAGAATTCAAGAGCAAGCAGGCAGTGGAAGAAAGCAGCTTTACTGAAGCGACACTGCCACAGCTGAGGGACTGCTTCTTGTGGAGCAGAGCTAGCCCATAGGCAGTGCACAGGGAGTAGCAACCTGTAGGCTGTTGGCTTCCTGCATTGATACCCACTTTTAATTACGTGTGAATTAAGGGGCAGTTTATTCAGAAATCTCTAGAAAATGGGCAATAACTTCCTGGTGTTGCCATGGCATTTGTCAACTCTCATGACACTCGTGGGAATGTCTTATGCTGATGGGCAGCAAGGGTAACTAAAGGTTGCTTTTGGCACTACTTGCTGACTTGGGCTGGTTTCCCATCTGGTTCGGGAAACAAGTCCTTCCAGTCCCCTACCTCACATGTGTCCAGAAATTTCTTTGAGTATGTATCGAGCAATAGACTTGCTGGGCTCTAAGTCATTTACATGTCCAACTTTACAAGGCATAGCAAGTTGGTTGCCAAAACGACCATCAATTTACATTCCTGACAGTCTTATGTGAAAATTTCCATAGCTCCATACTGTTTCCAACACTCAATTGTTAATAATTTTTCCAATTAACACATTATTTAGGTATTAGATCAAATTACACTTTAAATTATTATATTTTAATTAAATTTTCCTAAATACTAATAAAATTGAACATAGTTTCTTGTGTTTATAAGCCTTTTTGTATATGTTAGTTTGTGAAATGCTTATTTGTGACTTTTGCCCATTTTTGTTCTTATTAAATATTTATATATTGTGGGTTCTAATTTTTGGCACATATATGAGTTGCAAAGAACTTGTCCCAATTTCTGTTAGTCTTTTTGCTCTCTTTATGCTTGTCTTTGTAAAGAGAAATTCTTCTTCTTTTTTTTTTTTTTATTCGAGACGGAGTCTTGCTCTGTCACCCAGGCTGGAATCCAGTGGCGCGATCTCGGCTCACTGCAAGCTCCGCCTCCCAGGTTCACGCCATTCTCCTGCCTCAGCCTCTCAGCTGGGACTACAGGCGCCTGCCACTACGCCCGGCTAATTTTTTGTATTTTTTTTTTTAGTAGAGACGAGGCTTCACCATGTTAGCCAGCATGGTCTCGATCTCGTGACCTCGTGATCCACCCGCCTCCGCCTCCCAAAGTGCTGGGATTACAGGCGTGAGCCACATCGCCCGGCCTGTAAAGAGAAATTCTTAATTTTAGCATAGTCCAGTTTGTCAGTATTTTCTTTTATATTTTGCTATTTTTCTATATTGTCTACATATATTTCTATGCTACAGTTCTATAAAAATATTCTCCTATATTGTCTTTTAATACGCCTAAATTTGATTTTTGTATATGACAAGGTATGCAATCTAATTTTATTTTTTTAGCATGGAAAACAAATTATCCAGTACTACTTATTGAAAAATCTACCCTTTCTCCACAGTTTTGCAACCAACTCTGTCAATTATGTTTTCACACGTGCTCTCAATTAAAGCTCTCAATTTTGCTTCATTGGTTTATTTAAATGTATTTAAACAAGAATTTTACTGTCTTCTTATATAACACAATAATAATCATAATGTTGATATATGGTGGGACAAGTATTCTATTTTATTTTATTCTTCAATTGTACCTTGGTTGTTCTTGATCATTTACTATTCCATGTAAAATTCTGAACCTATTTGTCTGTAGAAAAATTTGGGATGAACTGTTATTTTCATAATATTGGGTCTTTCTGTTCATGAACTTGACATTTCTATCAAATTTTTGTTTTTTTGTAGACTTTACTGTTCTGTTTAAAATTCGTATTTAAAAAAGTGTTGCATATCATTGGTTAAATTTATTTCTCAGTACTAAACATTGTTTGATGCTATTCTACATAGTATTTTTTTTAAAAAAATACATATTGTTACTGGCATATGGAAATGCAGATAATTTTCAATACTCATTTTGTATCTAACAGTTTTGCTGAAATCTCATACATTGTAACACTTTATCAGTAACTTTGTTTTGTATGCTGTGAATACACTCATATCATTTACAAATGAGGATAGTATTGTTTTTCCACTCTGGTTCCTGTATTTTTATTTCCTTACTATAGGCAGGGATCTCTCATCCAATGTTTTTAAAAGAAAAAGTAATACAAGTCATCCTTGTTCTGTTCTGACCTTCAAGTTAATGGTTGCAAAATGTATTTATTGCGTATGTTTTTATACAGCCCCTCTCAAAAGTAAAGGTGTTTCTTGCTATTAACTTTGTTAACATATATATTTTGGTTTGATTTAATCATAAATGTGTGTTGAGTTTTAACCAATGCTTTTGTGCATCTGCGTAAACGATCAAGTTTTTCTCCTTTTATCTTTTGAAATGATAAGTTAGAGTAATCAATTTTCTAACAATCTTGTATTCATGGAATGAAGACAACTTGGCTATGTTGAGCGTCTTTTTAATACCATGATAGATTTTACTTGCAAATGTTTGGTTTAGGAATTTGGGGACTTCTATATATCCATGATTTGTATTAGCCTATTATTTTATTATCTCATACTTGCCTCTATTTTACTGTTTGTTTTAAGGTAATATTACTCTCATAAACATGTTACAGTATGTGTTTTTCTATTCTCTGAAGTGGTTTGTGTATGCCTAGTATTTTTTATTTCTTGAATATTTATTTTAATAGTAAGACTCTCTATGTAAAGTTATTCAGGCCTGCTATTTTTTCTTTGTGAAAATATTTTAAACTATGGATTTACTTGTACTAAATATAGCCATTTATGTTCTCTCATTTTTCTTGAGCCAGTTTTGATGAGTTGTGTGTTCTAAAAATGTATTCATTTCACCTATGATTTCAAGTGTATTAGCATAAATGTGTTTATAATATCCTTTTATTACCTTTTAAATGTCTTCTGCATCTGAAGTTATATCTTCTTTTTCATCTCAGTTATTGTTTATTTGTATAATCTCTATCTTTTTCTAAATTAATATTATCAAATATTTGCCCATTTTGTTTTCAAAGAAATAACTTTTGACATTTTAGTTTTTTCTATTGTCTATTTGTTTTCCAGTTCTTTATTCTCTTTGTGAATGTGTTTATTTAATGTGCTTTATTTGGGTTTATTCTATTTTTCTTTTTCTAACTTTTTAAGTTTGACGCTTAATTGATTAATTTGACAGTTTTCATCTTTTTAATGTATGCATGTAAGCTTATTAATTTCTCTCAGTATTCACTAACTTAATCCCACAAGTTTTAATATGCAGTATTTTAATGATCATTCAGCAATTCATTTTAAGATTTTCCGTTATTTCCTCTATAATCTACGTTTTTCAGAAGCATGTGAGTTTTTTAAATTCCAAATATATAATTCTTTTTCTAGGTATTTTTTTGCTTTTTATTTTTAACTTCTTCATGTTTATGGAGTATGGCCTACGTGATACCAATCTTTTGAAATATATTGAGACTTATTTTATGGCCTCTTCTGGACAATTTTTATAAATAGTTCATAAATTCTTAAAGAGGAGGCTATATTCTAAAATCATTTCATCCATTTAAATCAAATTGATGCTGTCCAAATCTTTACTTACTGGCTTTCTGTTTGCTCAGTCTATCAATTTTTGAGAGATTGCATTAAAAGTTCCCAATATGTTGGTAAATTTGTCAACTTCTCCCCGTGTACCTATAATTTTTCAAAGCATATAATTCAAAGCCACATTGTTACATTTTATATAATTCTAAAATCACTATGTCTAACTGGTTAAACTTTTTAATCACTTTTTTTCCTCCTTAGAGTCTACTCTTTTTGTGATATTTTGGTTAGCATTTGTTTGGTGTGACTCTTTTTATCCTTTTACATCCTTATATGTTCAGAATGTGTGTGTGCATGTGTGTGTGTGTGTGTTGTTTAAGATATATGTGTATATTTGCATATGTACGTACACATGAACGAAATGTGAATCCGTATATGTGTGTGTATGTGTCTACTCTATCTCTTTAAATTACTGCATAGGTTATTTCATTGGAATTTTATTTTACCTTCAACTCTTATTCATTTTCTGTCATGTCTTGTTTTTAAATTTTGTCTCATTTTTGGCCTCCTTTGGAATTTCATCTGTGTACTTGTTTTTGAAGTTTATTCTCTATGCTTATTTTTTTAGCATTTACTGTGGATATGCTAAAATGCATAATTAGCACAATTTAAAATTATCTTAATCTTACTCTCATTCCAACTGTTCCAAAGACCTTAGAATGTTTTCATTTTAACCACTGCCCTCCCAACTTGTATACTATTATTTTCCACATATTATGTTTCATCTTTTTATAATCCTCAGAAATTAAACTGTCTTATACATCAATGTTTCTTTGTATTTGTCATATATGTGCCAATATCTTTCTCAGAATCCAATCTTACATTTCAGGCCTTTCATCTTGACTAAATTTCTTTCCTCTTGAAGCATATCCTTTAGAATTTCATGTGAGGAGAGTCTGTATGTAATGAACACTCATAGATTTGCTTTTCTGATAATGTCTTTATTTTGCCTTTGTTCTTGAACATTAGTATTGTGGGTGTGGGATCCTAGGGCCACGTCATGCATGCGTTCTCTCAATGCATTGCACACTGCCTTCTGGCCTCTATTGTGTTGAGAAATCAGTCATCAGTGTTAATTGTTCTTTTGTAAGTGATATTTATTTTATTCTGTGCTTCCTTTAAATATCTGTTCTTTATTTTCAATGTTATGTACTTTCATTATCAATATTTCTAGGTGTGGATTTCTTTTTATTTAGTTACCTTGGAAGCCATTGAGCTTTTTGTATCTGAGGTCTATTGTCTTTCAAAATTGTTGAAAAACATTTTTCAATGATTTGCTACCATTTGCTAAATGCAATGTTTTTTTTTTCCTACCAATTTTATTCATTAGCTCCCCTAGAAATATCAGGTAGAGGACTTTAAACTTTCTCAGTCTAGTTTCTCTACATCTTTTTCACTCTTTTCTATTTTCAATATTTTTTTCTCTGAGTTGATTACTTCAGGTTCATTAATTCAGGTTCATTAGTTCTTCAGCTCTGTTGAATTTACTGTTAATTTATCCTACTGAATTTTAAATGTTATTTAAAAACTTTTAATACATTCACATGCTATTTTAAAACTTACTTTGTTAAAAAAATATTTTTTTCATATTTCCAAGACTTTCTGGGAGCATGTGAAACATAATTCTTTTATATTATGAGTGCTATGGACTTAACATATGAAGTATTTGTAGGCCATTCTGCCTGTCTCTCATTCTTGGTGTGCTGTTTCTGTGTGTGTGGTTTTTAAATTGTAATTTCCTTGTTTTTATTAGAATGACCTTGAGGACCATTTGATCTACAGCTTGATGTTGAGTTCCTCCAGAGAGGATTTCCCACGACCACTGGAGACACATTTAATTATTCGCTATGCTTGGGATTTTCAAATTCATACAGAAAGCATGAATGTGGGTCACAAATTCCTTATTCCCCACAGTGATGAACATAACTACTAGTTCTCAGATTTACTTTCTCTTATACCTAATGGCAGGTGCCCTCACTCGCCTTTCCTGCAGGTGTTTATCATTTACTCTTCCACTTTGGGGTCTCAGCTTTCTATAGGGTTCTATTAAGTTCCTCACTTTGAGCAGACTCTGGCTCTTATCTCTTCCTCCTATACCCTGACAAGCTACCCAAATAGAGAGTCAGGGTCACAGGATTTGGCTAATATTCTCGGGGCATCTGAGGCTTTGATGCTGGCTTGCCTTTCTGGAGTTTGGTTTTCACTTTATTTGGGGCTTTCAATTCATTTTGGATTCCTTATTTTCTCATCAGTTTAGAGATTGCTTTTAAAACATATCTGTTTTAAATTATTACAGTTTTTCTTTTGGAAGGTTTTGATGGGAAGTTGTTGGGAAAATTCACTTTCAGAAATGGGAAGTCCTTTCTATGTTGTCTTTTTGTGTAGTGTCTGTTGGAATAAGGATGTAATTACAAATTATTTTGAGTCTTATATTTTTTAGAAGTACAGCTTATTATACACAGAAATCAATGGGTTTCAGTACTCAGATGTTAAATAAAGACAGAAACATGCTCAACGTATAAGCACAAATGCATATGAGACATTGTTGCTAATTTCTTATGAGGAAATAAAGATCTTCAGAACTAAACAGTAGTCAAATGAGCTGAAAAGGTGCTGGTGATATATCAGGCAGGCACCTTGGTTTCAAGCACAGGGTTGGCATACACAAAACAGCTCATCTTTTCCCAAGAACTTCTCAGCCTTTCAGAGTGGTTTTATTCTAGCATAGTTTATGCACCCTTCCTCCCCTTTGTGCCTTGATATTGTCTGTCAATTCTCTTCTGTTTCTAAAAATAAATATTTAGCAGCCTATGGTGCTGTTTAGATCAAAGGGAGTAGGAATTATAAATTTTTAATCATGAAATATCAGCTATAAATGGTATAAATTTTGTTCTCAAAAGATTGTTAACAGAAGACACTGACTTTGTCCAATAGCTTTCAAATTTAATCAGGTAAACAAGCAATTTTTAAGAATAAACAGTGTACTTTGTGTGGAAAAATAAATCCTTATGACCAGTTATTCTATATGAAGATTCTATTATCATTAAGGGCTGATTCTCAGCCCCAGTCTGTATCATCTCATAGTTATCTACTGATATCCCAGACATGTTGCAAAATTCCCAAAGTGCAATTAACCTCAGTACATGATGACTGTATGTCATATTTCTTAACAACTCAAGGTTTTCTCCAAGTAATATTGCAAAATTCTCAAAATCCCAATTAATTTCAATTCGCTTTTGTAGGGATGTCACATATTCCTTAAACATTTTCAGTAACGAGAGGTCATCAGAATCAGTATTGTGAGGTTTACGAAAACTGCCTTGAAATCAAAATCAGAGACTCAATGCCAAAGCAGGGTGGGAAGAACTGCCATTTGTCAAGCCTGATGCAGATGTGTCTGGAAATCTATGCAAGGGTGATTGGGCTCTTCCGTTGATTGGACTTGCTATGGTTTGAATGTTGGTGTCTCATCCAAAATTCATGTTGAAACTTAGTGGCCAATGCATCAATATTAAGAGGTGAGGCCTTTAGGAGGCAATCAGGCCATGAGAGCTCCACCCTCCTGGGTGAGATTAATGCCTTATAAAAGGGCTTAGGGGAGTGACTTTGCCCCTTCATCTCTTCTGCCCTGTGAGGATGCAGCATTCATCCCTTTTGCCCCTTCTGTGCTTGTTTCCACTAAGTGAGGATGCAGCAAGAAGGACCTTGTGAGACATCAAATGCTGGTGCCTCAATCTGGGACTTGCCACCTCCAGAACTGTCAGAAATAAATTTCTGTGTTTTTTTTTGTTTGTTTGTTTTTGTTTTTTTGTTTTTTTCTGACCCATTCTAGGGCATTTTGTTACAGCAGCAGGAACTGACTAACACAGGACCTAATGGAGACTTCTTTTAATTCAAGAATATCAACTCGTGAACAGTTGTTTTGGGGGCTCCTGGATATCAGCTAATATGCTTTGATTTCTGATTATCAAAACATTGTTTGCTTTCTGCAATTCGATCTTTTTAAATGCTGTTGCAGAGAAGTTCCAAAGCAGCAACCCTTGGATACACGGAGAATTTAAGCTACCATTAAGAGTTTAAATGTATGCTCTCAGTGAAGGAAGATGGGATCACTGGTTTTGACATTTAGCTATGGCCTGCTGAGCTCTGAGAACAGTATATGACATAAACAGGATTCCAGTCTTTAGTAACTTCCATACTAAAAATGAGTCACTGTTTTGCAGCAATTACATTTCTTTTCGTTGTTAGCATCAGCGATGGAACTTTGATAGTTCAGGCTGTATGCAACATGCGTGATTAAAGAAAACAGTACCTCTGACAAGATGGGGCATCATCTGAATACACCAGGCAAGATATTAGTAGATGTAAAAATCTGGGAATATGTGAGTGAGATGTGCATGTTAACAGTGAAATCACTCAGGTCATTTATTTGTGTTTCTCCTCTCACTGTGCTGAAAGCCACACTTGTAATCAGAACCTCTTCTAATTTTTTTTCTGTTTTTTCATCTTGCTTTCCTGTCATTCTTCTAACACTGGAAGTAGCAGAATTGGCAGTGTGCCTCACCCCTGCAGTGAGTGAAAACATGGAGGAGTGATGCCAGTTCCATTCCGTAAATCGGCCCGGGTGTGCACGTCAGCAGGGACGGTGTTCCTTGGACTTCGGCATGGAAAGGCAGGAACATAAATGGGAGGCATATGCATAAAACACAATGGGGAAAGCAGAAATGAAGAGCAACTGCAGAAACAAAATAAGTCTCAGCTTGTTTCGGGAACACACAGCACACAGTTCTGCCTGTGAAAGAATAAAATTTTTAGTCACAGAAAGATGAGTTGGGGACTGAGATATTTCTTGAGCACTGATTAAGTGAATGCAGTATGCTCCAAAGGTATTAGAGAGTGAAAACCCTAGAAAAACTTTAAAGTGGAAGAGAATTTAGAAGTCCATTAGTCTATTATTTCAATTCTAAGATAAAAGAATTAAGACCTAGAGGTATAATGGACTCAGATGTAGGCATTGAGCACAGTGAAGAAATTGGTACTGAAACTCTGACCTTGTAGAGGTTTGGTAATAAGTCTTGATGTTTCCAATGTTCATCAATATTCTTGTTGGCCACCTGTTACCCCAAATATACATGTAAATGTGGAAGTGGATCTTATGGATTGAACGTTTGTGTTCACCACTCACCTTAGATTCATACGTTGATGTATGACTGAGAGTAAGGTGATGCAAGAAATGCTGCATCAAGAACAGGCAGAATGGGAACGACATTGTCCTTGGTTAGACATGGAAGTGAGTGGCTTGAAGTACTCACTAGGCCTTGGGATATGTGAGTCTGAAACTCAGTGAAGGGTCAGAGATTAAGATTAAACCTTGTCACATTGATTCCCAATGTGACAACATTTGGAGGTGGGGCCTTTGGGAAGTGATTAGGTCATGAGGATGAAGTTCTCATGAATGGGATTGGTGCTGTTATTAAGCAGACTCCAGAGAGCTCTCTAACTCTCCTTCTGTCCTGTGAGGATATGAGGAGGCAGCCATCTGCAGCCTGGAAGAGGGCCCTCACCAGAACCTAGCCATGCTGGCTCCCTGAGCTGGGACTTCCACCTGCAAGAATTGTGAGAAACAGATGTCTGTTGTTTTTAAGCCACCCCATCTATGATCTTTTGTCATAGCAGCCGAACTGAGCAATGGATCCTACTTGTGACAAGTGAGAAGGGAGCATGTCCCTGGCTTCTGCATTTGCACCTCAGTGCTTGCCCCATCTGTCATTGCTGATATGCACAGCAAGGAGATGTGGAGAAGTCAGTCAGTAAAAGCTCACATCGGAATGGCTTGTTTTGTGTCACCAGTACTAAATAAGGACCTGTAAGTTTAGAGGTTTGTGTTCCTTTGAAACTCAACCTTTGTCCAACAAATAAAGCCTCACTCTTCACATCCTAAGGCGACAGAGTCAGAGAAGACTTAGTCTCCTCCATTCATTCATTTATATATTTAGCAAACACTCAGTATGAGTGTCTTTGCTACTAGAAAGGTATTTGAAGACTTGCTTATTACCAAAAAGATTAGCTATTACTCTACATTGGCTTCACTCTACCGCAATGTGGCATTAACACTCTTTCCTGCCTTTTCTGTGAAAAATCTTTCCTACTGAGCCTCCGGGAACTCTCATTCTGTCTCACATGTATGTCTCTGAAATATATTCTCATCATTTGCAGAGGTGCCTGCTTCCCACCACCCACTAAAGTGGTGTCTCTTCCCAGCGATTCTCGACTACTGCTTCTCTCTTTCAATGAGTTATTCATGGAAAATTTCATCTACTCCCAAGGATTGTTTCTACTCCTACAAGTTTGAGTCATTAGGTTTAATCTTAATCTCTGACTCTTCACTGAGTTTCAGACTCACATATCCCAAGGCCCAGTGAGTACTTCAAGCCACTCACTTCCCATGTCTAACCAAGGACAATGTCATTCCCATTCTGCGTGTTCTTGATGTGGCATTTCTTGCATCACCTTACTCTCAGTCCTAATTAACACTGCCCTAATAGAAGCTCCCGTGGTCTTTCATCAAGATTATTAAAATTGCTTCTCAGTTGGGTTCCCTATTTTCAGTCTTGCACAAATAAATGTTACTCCCTTTTATATGTTCCCAGTTTAAACTATTAAAAACACAGATATGAGTCTGTTTCCCTTAGGATTTCAATGCCCATCTTTTTCATAAGATGTAAGTTTTTTTTTTCCCTTAAGTGCTTATTTGCCTGGACACTGCCTACCTCTCAAGTCCCAATGTCCTGCTGGTCCCAGCCTAGCCCTTGAAATTTGCAGGGTAAACTGCTTGTAAGTTCCTGCTCATTTCTGCTATTCCATGCCCTTCTGCCTTAGCTTATGCTGCTCCTCCTGCCTGGAACCCACCCCCCTCTTCACTAACTCTTGACTTGATACCGATTTCTTTTTCAGCACTAATTCTGACAGTCTTCTCCCAATAGTCTTCCTGACTGCACCACCAGGGTTACATACCCATCTTGCTGTGTTCCCTTTAGCACCTTGGGCATAGCTCTATATAACCTCCAATCACATTGTATACAAATATTATGCTTATGCATCTGTGTTCTGACTAGAGTCTATGTCAAGAGAAAGAAGTATACAACCTCATCTTCTCCATGAATGAGTTGCAGTGCTCCACACATAATAGGTAGACAACAAATGTTTCTTGACCTGAACTGCTAGACCCCTTGCTACATGCCAGAAATTGAGTGATAAACACTATATTGGCCCTGCCTCTGGGAGCCCACACTGGATGTGGGAGATGTATGTACTGGTAACTTTTAACCCTACATGAATATGATATATAATACTACACGCAGGGTATAGAAACCACCAACTCAGCCTATGGGAATAAAGCAGAGGAAAGGATCAGAAAATTCTACTCCTCAAATAATGTAAACCTTCAGCTCTTTTCTTCACTTACCCTCTTCTGTACTTGACTTCATCAATTAAAGAAACACAATCCCTTAAAAACCTGACTGTAGAGGCACAGACTACTTCATCGACAATTCGATGAAACCCAGAGTCTTCCCTGGGAGCCATTTCTTTCATCTGGCTTCTGCAAGTGTTTAAGCCAAGAAGTGAGGGTACATTTGCGTTTGCCAGGGACTTGCAAAATGTGCTTCTGACTGGCAAAACACAAAAAGCTTTAAAAAGTGAGAAAATCGTACAGCAAGCACTGCCATCTGATAATAGCAAACAGGCTCACATTTGTACAGAAATTGGTAGAAAGGCAGTTACTAAATAGTAAGTATGTGGCTGATAAGAGAACTAAATAGTGCTATTGCCAAACATCATTTTTATATCTGCACTTCATACCTACTGACTTTGGATGAAGTTGCCCACACAGGGCTGAGAGGAGAATTTGGCTCCAAGTGTGCAGTTTGGCCATGGCTGTAGCTCTGACTATAGAGAAAAGAGCAGCATGCCATTGGAGGTAGGGTCTGGGCAAATCAACTGATTTCTCATCCTATCTCACAGGCTCCCTTGGGTCCAGAGCACAATATGAGTCATTTTATTTACTCTTGGTACTTTGTGGTGCCAGAATTAACAGCAGCCCAGCTCTGAAAGGAAGCTTGACATATTTTTCCAGGAGTCCCTATTGCTAGAAACTCAGAATATGGAATTGACATAAATCTAATGAAGTAAAAGCTCTCTCTTCCCCTCCCTAGAATCACAGAAAGCAGTGGCATTTGGAAAATTGTGTTTTAAACGAGTTGACGAGGGCAGGAGTTCAGTAGAAGCCAGTTATGAATTTATATATATTTGGAGATTTCTGCTCTATTCCTTTCCATTCTGCTGTTTGAAGATAAATCATATTCGGCTTTAGGGAGTTTAATTTAAATATCATGCATGTACACCTGAGGATTCCTTTTAAAAACAGAAAAAGAAGTTTTAGAACCACATAGGTTATGAACAAAAATAAAATTTAAATTTAAAAAAAAAGAATACAAGTGTTTTCTTTAATTTCATCCTAGAAATTATTAATAGAAGAAGAAAAAACTTAGGGAAGTTATTATATATTATTTATGCACTTAAAATTTGCTGGTGCTTGATGAATTCAAAGGTTATTATATAACTCTGTGTTAATTTGAACTTTGTTAGTTGGAGAGAGGCCCAGCTGAGACTACCTTTATGCAAGATAGGAAAAATATTTACCTTACCAGATTGGTATGATAAACAATATTGGGAGCAGGAGTGGAAAAGTGTCTATGTAAGGAGCATTTGTTAAGCACCTGATATTTTGTGCTGTACACTGTGTGGGTACAGAAAGATTTCATGCTATCAGGATGTTAGAGTTGAGAAAAATACAGCACACATATGTGGTTTAGACATTAATTTTGAGGTCTTGACAAAGTTACTTAATCTCTCTTATGTTTAGCTTTTCATCTGGAAAATGGGGATACTTCAAAAGCTTGTTCTGCTGATGAATTGAGATACCATCATGCCTGAGACATAACAAATAGTTCATTCTACTAGCTTGTATTAGTATTAAGGCAAGAGATGAACAAGGCAGGTGATAGATGATAATTAAGAGCAAGGCCTTAGAAGTTACATGGTAATTGGCTCAACAAATATTTACTGAATACTCTCCAGGTACCAGGAATTTATTAGATGCTGTATATTCAGTGGTGAACAAAAATGGAGGAAAGAGAGTAAACAAATAAAAAAAACAATAATACATACTTTCTTCCTCTCTAAATGGTAATGACTTCTTGCATAGTCATTCTTTTTATTTAAAGCCCAGGTTAAAATTTTGTCTTTGTTTTGCTTCTTCATGGTGTTTCCGTGGTGCCTGAGAAGGGTTCCTTGTAATGAGTTGATTCAGAGACACTCCTCTGGTTTAGAAGCCACTTAGGGTTGTTGAGGGACATGGTCAGCTATAGCATTCTTATATCTTGGGTGATAGCTCTTTTCATTTCTGGAGAAAACACCTAGGCATTGTGAAGAAACACTTGTAGCTTGTTCATTCCCTCATGTGACCAACCACCTTGGTTTTACCTGGACAGAGAGGATTCCTACTACTTGGAACTTTTAGTGTCAATCCTGGGAAGGTCTCAGGCAAAGCATGATGAGTTGCTCACACTACTTATCTTACCTACTTACCTATCATCAGTACCAGAAATATATAATTCCACACTGTAAAAAGTCCTGTGAAGTAAGAGAATAGGATGCTGTGAGATAGAATTACAGTGAGGGCCTTTTACATATTGGGTGGAAAATATCTCAAATGAGGTAATATTTAAATTGAGAACTCAAACATTAAAAGGAATTTAAGTTTTGCCTACACATTTGTTTCTTATTAATTGGTTAATCTTAGGCAAGTTACATACCCTCTCTACTGCAGTTTCTTCATCTGTAGTAAGTGGATTGATATGGCATGGCTGTGTTTCCACCCAGATCTCATCTTGAAATATAGTTCCCATAATCCCATGGGAGGGACTAGGTGGAGGTAATTGAATCATGGGGGCAGTTACCCCTATGCTGCTGTTCTTGTGACAGCGAGTTCTCATGAGATCTGATGGTTTTATAAGGGGCTTTTTTCCCCTTTTGCTTGGCACTTCTCCTTCCTGCCATCATGTGAAGAAGGACATGTTTGCTTCCCCTTCCACCATGATTGTTAAGTTTCCTGAGACCTCCCCAGCCCAGCGGAACTATGAGTCAATTAAACCTCTTTTTTAAAATAAATTACCCAGTCTTGGGTATGTCCTTATAGCAGGGTGAGAATAGATTAATAGATGGATAATCATCCTATGTAATCACACTATACTATAGAGTACTGTGGAGAATTAAAAAAAAAATAAGATACACTAAAAACTTAAAAGATTTCCCATCCATTGAGTTTTAATTCATTCAGTTTTAGCAATATGCATTTAAAATCATTGAGACTTGTTTTATGGCCTAACATATGGTCTATATGGAGAGTGTGCCACGTGCACTTGAGAAGAACATGTAGTCTTCTGTTGAGGGGAGACTTCAACAGATTTCTGTTAGGTCCAGTTGGTTTGTAGAGTTATTCAAGATTTCTGTTTTATCTATTATTGAAAGTGGGTCATTGAAGTTCTCAACTATTATTGTTAGAATTTCTGCTTCTCCCTTAAATTCTGAGTTTTTGTTATATGTATTTTGAGACTCTTGTTAGGTCCATATATGTTTAAAATTGCTATAATTTCTAATAAATTGGACACTTTTATCAGTATAAAATGTCCTTACTTGTTTCTAGTAATGAGTTTTCTTTTATAGTCCATTTTGTCTGCTGTTAGTATAACCACTCAGGTTCTATTTTTGTTACTGTTTGCATGATACATCTCATTGTGTCTTTTACTTCCAACCTATTTGTGTCTTTGAAAGTGTGTCTCTTTTAAAAGCATGTAATGGGATTATATTTTTAAATCCATTCTGCTAATATCTGCCTCTTAATAATACATCTATTAAACTTTTAAATCTAAACTCAAAAGAGATTTAAAAAAAATTTTTCAACTTTTATTTTAGATTCAAGGGATACGTGTGCAGGTTTGTTATTTGGATATATTGTGTGGTGCTGAGGTTTGGGGTATGATTGATCCTGTCACCCAGATACTGAATATAGTGCCCAATAGTTACTTTATCAACCCTTCCTCCCCTTCTACCCTCCCCCAAAAATAGTCCTCAGTTTCTATTGTAGCCATCTTTATGTCCTCAAATACCCATTGTTTCACTCTCTATTATAAATGAGAACATGTGGTATTTGGTATTTGGTTTCCTGTTCCTGTGTGAATTTGCATAGGATAACGGTCACCAGCTACATTCATGTTGCTGCAAAGGACATGATTTCATTTGTTTCTTATGGCTGTGTAGTTTTAGTATTCCATGACGTAAATGTACCACATTGGCTTTATCCAGCCCACTGTTGATTGCATCTAGGTTGATTCCATGTCTTTGCTATTTTGAATAGTGCTGCAGTGAGCATATACATGCATGTGTCCTTTTGGTAGAATGATTTATTTTGGTGGGTGGGGGGGTATATACTCAGTAATGGGATTGCTGGGTCCAATGGTAGTTGTGTTTTAAGTTCTTTGAGAAATGTCCAAACTGCTTTCCACAGTGGCTGAACTAATTTACATTCCCATCAACAGCATATTAGTGTTCCCTTTTCTCTGTAGCCTCACCAGCATGTTATTTTTTGATTTTTTAATGATAGCCATTCTGATTGGTGTGAGATAGTATCTTCTTGTGGTTTTGGTTTGCATTTCTCTGATGATTAGTGATGATGAGCATTTTTTCCTGTTTGTTGGCTGCTTATATGTCTTCTTTTGAGAAGTGTTTGCTCATGTCTTTTGTCCATTTTTAATAGAATTATTTGGTTTTTGCTTGTTCAATTATTTAATTTCCTTATAGATTCTGGATATTAGACCTCTGTCAGATGCAGAGCTTGTGAATATTTTTTTCCCATTCTATAGGGTTTCTGTTTATTATAGTTTATTTTGCTGTGCAGCTCTTTGGTTTAATTAGGTCCCACTGTCAATTTTTGGTTTTGTCGCAATTGCTTTTGAGGACTTAGTCATAAATTCTTTCCCAAGGCCCATGGCCAGAATGGTGTTTCCTAGTTTTTCTTCTAGGATTCTTATAGTTCGAGGTCTTACATGAAAATTTTTCATTCATTTTGAGTAACCTTCTGTATATGATTATAGGTAGGGGTCCAGTTTTATTCTTCCGCATATAGCTAGCCAGTTATCCCAGCACCATTTATTGAATAGAGAGTCTTTGTTGCTTTTTTATTGACTTTGTTGAAGATTTAGATGGGCGTAGGTGTGTAACTTTATTTCTAGATTGTCTGTTCTGTTCTAGTAGTCTGTATGTCTGTTTTTATACTGGTACCATGATGTTTTGGTTACTGCAGACTTACAGTATAGTCTGAAGTCAGGTGATATGATGCCTCTGGCTTTGTTTGTTTTGCTTCAGATTGCTTTGGCTGTTCAGGCTCCTTTTTGGTTCTATATGAATTTTAGAATAGTTTTTTTTCCTAGTTATGTGTGAAATAATGTGGGTAGCTTGATAAGATAGCATTGATTCTGTACACTGCTTTGGGCAGTATGACAAATGGATTTCCTTTTGTTTGTACCATTTATGATTTTATTTCATCAGCATTTTAAATTTCTTCTTGCAGATATCTTTCACCTCTTTGGTTAGATGTATTCCTAGGTACTTTTTGTTGTTGTTGCTTTTGTAATTGGGATTGTGTTCTTGGTTTGGCTCTCAGTTTGAACTGTATTGCTGTATAGAAATGCTACTGATCTTTGGACATTGATTTTTTAAATACTGATTTTTTATACTGGAGTTATTTATCAGAGCCAGGAGCCTTCTGGCTTTCAGGGTTTTATAGATATAGAATCATATCATCCATGAAGAAATCTCTGCCTCTTAATTGAAACATTCACTCCATTTATATTTAAGGCAATTACTGATAAGGTGGGATTTACATCTGCCATTTTGCTATTTTTTTCTATATGTCTTATGTCACTAATGCCATGTCCATTACAGCCTTCTCTAGTGATAAATAGATATTTTCTGGTGTACCATTTTAGTTCCCTTGACATTTTTAAATTATATTTTTTGAGTTACTTTCTTAGTGGTTGCCCTGAGGATTATAATTAACATCTGAATTTATAACAAGGTAGTTTGGATTTATATCAACATAGTTTCACTAGTATGCAAATATTTGTTCCTATATAGCTTATTTCTTTCTCCTTCCTTTGTACTGTTATTGTAAAAGAAATTATATATTTACCCATTTTGTGTCCATCAACACAAACTTATAGGTATTTCATTATGAAATTGCCTTTTCTGATAGGAGACAAAGGGATTAGCAACAAACAAAAAACATTTATAATATCTTTTTTTAAATGTACCTATGTGGTTAGATTTACCAGTTCTCTTTATGTGGATTTGAATTACTGTTTACTGTTCTTTTACTTCAACCCAAAGGACTCCCTTTAGTATTTCTTATAGATCATGAAAGAAAACAAATTTTCTCAGTTTTGAAGGGGGGAGGGATGTCTTAATTTCTACTTCATTTTTGAAGAATTTTGCTGGATATAAAGTTTTTGGTTGCTAGTTTTCTTTTTATTAACACTTTAAATATATAATCCTACTGTCTTCAGGCCTTCATAATTTATTATGAGAAATCATCTGTTAATCTTATTAATGACCCTTGTATATAATGAATCACTTCTTTCTTGCCTCTTTCACTATTCTCTGTTCATCACTATCCTTGACTTTTAGCCATTTGATTATAATGTGGCTAGGTATGCATCATTTTGAATTTATCATACATGGAGATTTTGAGCTTATTGGTTGTGTAGATTTATATTTCCCATCAAATTTGGAAGTTTCTGCCATTACTTCTTTGAATATTCTTTCTGCTCCTTTTTGCTGCCCTTTCCTCCTTTATTTTGGGACTCCCAGTATGTACACATTGGTTCACTTGATGGTGTCCACAGGTCTCTGAGGCTCTGCTAGTTTCCTTTTATTCTTTCTGTTTCCTACCTAGATAATTTCAATTGACTTATCTTCAAACTGACTAATTTTGATTCTGCCTGCTCAAATTTGCTGTTGTGCCTTGAGCCATGTAGTGATGTTTCTACTTCAATTATTCTTTTTGCCATCAGATATTCTATTTTATTCTTTTTAAAAACAATTCCTATCTTTTTATTGATATTCTCTATTTGGTGAGGCATCAGTTTCACATTCTCCTTTAGTTCTATAACATGGTTTTCTTAAATTCTTTAAATATATTTAAAATAACTGATTTAAAGTCTTTGTAGTAAGTCCAACATCTGGCCTTCCTCAGGGACAGTTTCTATTGATTGCTTTTTTCCCCTGTGTTTAGGCTCTCCTTTCTTGTTTCTTTGCATGTTTTGTAATTTGGGGTTGAAAACCACACATTTTAGCTAATATAATGTGGCAACACTGGAAATCAGATTCTACTCACTCCCCAAGATTTGTTGCTATTTATTATTTGTTTGCTTAGTGACTTTTCTGAGTAAATTCTATAAAGTCTGTGTTCTTTTTGTGTGTGGCTACTAAAGTTCCTGCTAGGTGACCTTAGTGGTCAGCTAATGATTGGAAAGAGACTTTTTTATATGCCTGAAACTGATGAATCTTCCAATTTTTGCTGAGCTTGGTGTGTGTACAGGGGAACACTTTTAATACTCAGCTAGGCTGCTCATTCTTAGTCTTCATTTTTTTACTCATACAGAACCCCAAGTCCAGCCAGAGGTTAGACTTTGTTAGATATTCCTTAGCATACACACAGCCTTAGCTATATGCACACCCCTACACATGCACAAGGGCTTCCAGATTCTCAGGAATTTGTTGGGTTTCTCAAAGACTCCTGTGGACATCTCATTACCTATGTTTTCCTTTTAAGCTTTTTGTTTAGTGTTTTGTGTCAACTGTTATCCACTGCTTCAGGTAGTAGTTAAAATTTAAACAATTGCCTCTGATTTGTGTGTGTGTGTGCACAAAAAGGCTTTTTAAAGCCTTTTTGTGAAAGCTCATTGGGTGAGCTTTTTGTAAAGTTGACTGGGTGAGCTTCATGTCACTTCAAGTACCAACAGCCCTGTGAGTGGAGTCTTCCAGGGAAACATTAGACAGACCAAATAATGAATAATTATATGGAAATAGAGCTTTGAAGGGGTTCTTACCCTATTTTACCCCCTCCAAATGGCTTCCCAGGCTGCTGGTGTTAATTATGATTGTGGCCTGTTGGTTTTTAAGGTTACCTCAGAAATGAGGGAGGAGGTGGATGGGCATAGGGCAAGTTAAAATAACATACAATGTGCTTTTCTTAATAAAATTTAGCTTCTTTTTAGGAAAAATGAATGTTCTCTGAATTGCTGCAAGCCTTTGGGTTAATGGCTAGAGTTATAAAAAAGTTGATTCTGACATTTTTTGCCATTATTTTCATTGCTTTTATGAAAGATAATCTTTTTGGATGTCCTTACCAGCATTTTCCACTGATGCTACTTCTCACTATTAAAAGACTCAATAAATGATGTTTGTTTTTGTTATCAATTAGCTAACCAACTTCATGAGATTATCATTATTATCATCATATTGCATATGATAATGAAGCACAAAAGAAGAAAAATACTTTTTATTTTCCACCTCCTTTTACTGCACTTTTCCCATTTCAAGTGCCAGTGAAGCTTCTTATTAATATCCAGTCTCAAGAAAAGGTTTGACATTCATCAATTATGTCATATAGATTCGGGGTCATATGTTACTTCTCCCAGGAAAATGTGTACTGAATCAAAACATATTCCTATTCTCTTAAAGGTATATGAAGCCCCAGTGAGAAAACTGAAATTATGATTTAAGGAAAAGAAGCCCTTGAAATATCGGAAATAGCATTATACAGGCAATAAACCTTAGTCTTGTTAGTGGGTTTAGTTTGGAGTCCACCATTGCCCATGGGCATGGAGATCTGCCAGGGCTCATGTGAGATGATTAGGGCACTGCCTCAGGGGTGCAGAATGCAGAGAGTAGAAGCAGCCTAGGAGACTGATTAACATTCTTGGCAGAATGTGGTGAGGACTGGCTTCATAACATGCAGTCCGTGACTCAAGATAGGATATGAAAATTAATAGCAGAAACCCATGGCTGTACCTTAGGATCAGAATTGTCATAGGAGCATGTTACTCAAGAAAGCAAAATTGCCAGACCCTCTTGTTGGCTTCTTGATATGGTAAATAGACAAACCATGCTTCAAAAAAGAAACCTCTGGAATTGGTTTTCCCTCTATGGATCTTTCTGCAGGAATAGCATGCTTCCATAAATAACAATTATTTTAAGGATGATCTCTAAGAAAATTTTTTCTTAGGTGGGAGAAATATTCTGCTTTATAAAGTAGATCAGTCTTTTACTAGAAATACTAACTGTTTGAATTCAAATATGTGTGCTCAGGTCACTAGATATGCGCCATGAAGAGATTCAGAGGCCTAATGATTTTTTTTTAAATAAATGTATTGCCTAATAGGGTTACTGGCATCAGAACATGGGTTAACCCTGTAGTGCTGCTCACTTCTGGTAAATGTTCTCACAATGCTTTTAAGAGAAGGATTGCAAAGATAGAAAGTTTAGCACAATCTTGGGTATGTACTAAAGCCAGTTGTGTTCTTGGTGTCTTTTCTGTTTTTTGTTTGTTTTGTTTTGTTTTAGGAGGAGCAAGAGCAAAAACCTGATGTTAATCTGGTTTACTTTTAGCCACATAGACCTGTTGGATCACATGACTTCAGAAATAATTTTATAAATGAATACATTAAGGCCCAGAGAGTCTGAGTAACTGTCTAATGGAATCTATAAGAGTCATAGCACTGGACTTTAAATACCTATGATTCCTTTTATCTAGTATCTGTTCCATGTCACTGTTCTAATTCACGTATTCCACCGAGGTGAAATATAATATTGATTTGAGAGAGCCTGAACATGCATTGAAATCTCCATAAGTGTGTTTGACCTTATTATAAGCACTTTGGCTAGAGGATTCATACTGTCTGAAAAAAATCAAACATATTTAATAGAGAGCAGCACACAGTATGAGCACTGTCTTAAGATATAGCTTGTATTGAACTATACCATTTTATTCTATAAATAAACTTAGGAATGATGGCTCATCTTAAATGGTTGTTTTGAGGGTAGCTCTAATTCAGGCAAGAGAATTTGAACTCTGTTTATCAGCTTAAAGGGGAGGAAATGCCATGGAAATTGCTAAGGGAAGTTCTGGGTTTGTTGTACTGAAAATAGTTTATAAACAATTTGGTAGCATATTTTCCCTCTAGTTCTGTTTACCCAGTGGTCTACTTGGGACTAGGAGATCTTTCAGATTTCTGAATCTGTAATTTTCAATTGGATGCTATTACAAAAAAAAAAAGTTGCTACTAATAGCCAAGATGAAATTCAATAGACTTAGAAAGACAATTTCCTAACAGATAAAACTTAGAATTTTCAAGTGTACAAAGGAAGAAACAGACGGACCAGTAATAAAAGCCTCCATTTAGAGGGCTAAAAAATAAATAATGTCGCCATGTTATGCATTGTGATTATGAACTGCTGAATTGGCGTTTGCGGTGACAAGAGTCTCCAATTTATTGGATGCATGTCATTGGAATTTGCCCTTTCTTTTTATGTGTCTTTCCATGATGAATGCCAGTGCTGGGAAATGAAGAGCTCTTACCCTTTTCATACTTTGCTGGATGCTGGTGAACTTGCCAATTGATGCTTCTATAATTTTTGCTTCAAGGTCACCTGAGTGAACAGAGTCATCCAAACAAGGTCACTGAATACATTGAATGTGAATCATTCTTTCTTGAAAAGAAAAGTCACAGAAAAATTAGGACACCAGGATATAATTACTATAAGATGGCAAATGGATTAAGAGAATATTTTGTTATAAAATATAATTCATTTAAAATAAAAAGTGATAAATAGTGCTTGGACAACTAAGGTCATTTGGTGTGCTCTCAGTAATTCAATTAGGTGAATCTGAAAGTGATAAGTGCATGGTAGGTGGGAGCTGTAAAAGCACTGGACTGTTAATAATTTGAGACTTTCTCATCCCTTTATGCCGATGAAAGTGGATCAATTATGTGAACATGCAGGTCTCCGTATTGTTCTCATTTCACATATGGGCCCTGAGGGAGATTGCACAAGGACCCCAAACGGTGAGACAGAGCCGTGTCTTTTGAAAGAGGTTCACTCTCTTCAACTGGATTTTCGATCGGGGAAAAATTTAATAACTGACTTTTTCCCCTTTTTCAAGTCACAATTTCAATGTACTGGGAACAGAGAACTCCTTAGATTCAGAGGCTCTTCTAAGATCTAGGGCGAGCATTCAACTACAATTTGAGAAGACATTTAGCATTTATTATAGCAAGCTAGGACTAGCTGAGCTTCCCTAAGAGTGCAGACCCACTGAACATGTGTGTTAGATGATTGCTGCTTTTTCCACAATAATTCTTAGACTTAGGTGGCCTTCTCTGCATCATCCGTCAGACACTGGGGGTGGAATCTAAATTTAATTCAGCCCAAAGCAAATCTGCTACTAGTATTAATACTTTTCAAATGAAAAGAAATCAGAATACTTAATTTGACAATTACAAATACATTTATGAGAATAATGAGACTGTTCTGGAAAATTCTAGAAATATGATTACCATTTGTATGCTGTAACCCAAATCTAAATAGAACTTTAAAAAAGTGATATCACATGTCTGGTTATCCACAACGTGAGTTGCATCTAAATAAATGAGAATTAGTCATGCTGTTTTATTCTATTCTTCAACAAAGTTGCACAAAGAAAAAGCAAATTGTCTAGATGCACCCATCCTTTCCTAATGCCCTTTTTTTCAGTATTAGTCAGTTTGACAGTCTGTTTGACTGTTTAAGTGCGATGCCTTGTACCAAATGTCACCTGGATTAAACAAACAAACAAAATTTTGTATTAGCAAGTCTGGGAAACCACATTGACCATTCTGAAAATCATATGGTGTAAGTGTTGAAGTATACAGATGTCATAATAACTTTTTTGTTAACGGAAAGCTGAAAGTTTGTAAAAATTATTCTTACAAAGTTGAAACTGACATCCTTTTATAGATATGATGAAGAAGTTTTACCCATTCTCTGAAATGCTAAATGTTTTTTTTTCTGAATCTGTTATACTTTCATTTCACAGGAAAACATAGAAAAAAGGAAATAAGAGATACTTTGCAACAGTAGCAAAATGATGGTAGCTTGAGAAACTATTCTGGAATTTAGCTTCTTACCTTTATTTCTTCATTTGGAAATCTTCTGAACTCTTTAATATGGACATTTACCTACATCTTGCCTTTGGTTTTCTTTTTATTATATATCCTTGGGAGATTTTATCCTTTCCTTTGGCTTTAATTACCACTTGTTAGAAATGATTTCTCAAAATATATTTCATAAGTTTAGTGTTGATCTTTGCACACTATGTATCCAGTAGTGACTAAATACAGTGACTTCAAGTTGGTAGCTCAAAATTGGCCATGATGGAGCTTTTATACCAGAGAAATTGGCAAATGCTACAAATTACAGTCCCCTCCCCTGGAGTTGGTTGTTAAATATTCACCAGCACAACACAAGCTGTCACCTGAAATTTGTAGTTACACCTCAAATATAACATGCCTAAAATAGAACTTGTTTGTCTAACCAACCATCTCTCACCAAACTCAGATTTTCTCTTATTCCCCTAGGGATGTTAGTGTTATTCTACCCAATCTCTTGAGTGCCTCTGGACCCAGTCCTTGGTCCTATTTTTTCTCTGCCAGATCTATACCTACTTATTTGGTAATTTCATCTTGTCTCATGAGTTTACCTTCAGTTCATATGCTGAGCACTTTCCACTTTCTTTTTTTTTTTTTTATTTTATTTTAACTTCCAGGATACATGTACAGGATGTGCAGGTTTGTTACCTAGGTAAACGTGTGCCATGGTGGTTTGCTGTACCTATCAACCCATCACCTAGGTATTAAGCACTGCATGCATTAGCTATTTATCCTGATGCACTCCCTCCCTCTCCCATGCCCCCACAACAGGCCCCAGTCTGTGTTGTTCCCCTCCCTGTGTCCATGTGTTCTCATTGTTCAGCTCCCACTTATGAGTGAGACCATGCGGTGTTTGGTTTTCTGTTCCTGTGTTAGTTTGCTGAGGATAATGACTTCCAGCTCCATCCATGTCCCTGCAAAGGACATAATCTCATTCCTTTTTATGGCTGCATAGTACTTCCTAGTGTATATGTACCATATTTTCTTTATCCAGTCTATCATTGATGAGCATTTGGGTTGATTCCATGTCTTTGCTATAGTGAATCAGAGCACTTTCTACTATCTATATTGATCTCAGACCTCTCTGCAGACCCCTATATTTGATCTCTTATTTAATATTGACACTTGGACATCTTGAGCTCAAAATGTGATGATCTGGACTCCTGATTTTCCCCACAGATTTGCCCCACCCACAATCTTTTCTATCTCACTTTATGGCAATTCCATCTATAATAGTCTGCTCTCACAGTGCTAATAAAGACATAACTGAGACTGGGTAATTTATCAAGGAAAGAGATTCAGTTGACTCACAGTTCACCATGGCTTAGGAGGTCTCAGGAAACCTACAATCATGGCAGAAGGGGAAGCAAACATGTTCTTCTTAACATGGTGGCAGCAAGGAGAAGTACAGAGTGAAGAGTGGGGAAGCCCATTATAAAACCATCAGATCTCGTGAAAACTAACTCACTATCATGAGAATACCATGATTCAATTATCTCCACCTGGTCCCTCCCATGACACATGGGGTTTATGGGAACTACAATTCAAGATGATATTTGGGTAGGGACACAGCCAGACCATATCACCATCTCTCTAGTTGTTCAGAAAGAAACAAAGAAAACCTTTGAATTTTCCTTGACTCTTCTCTCTGTTTCATGCTTCACATCCAATTTGTCAGAAGGAAAGCCTGTTGCTTCTACCATCAAGATGCCACTTGATTCTGTCCACTTCCTCCACCTCCATTACTGTATCCTGATGGGACTATCATCATCTCCCACTTGGATTATGGTAGAAGCTGCTCAAGAGTCTCCCGTTTTTTATCCTTGCCCCTTTACAGTTCTGCCTCAATGTACACTCAAAGTAAAATTCTTAAAAATATAGGTCAGATAATGTCACTCCCTGACTTGAATTCTCCAGTGCCTTTCATTTCACTCAGAGTAAAAGCCAAAGTCTTTACTATGGCCTGTAAAATACTGTAGATTTTGCTGTGATCTTATTTCCTGTCATACTCCCTCTTACTTACTCTGCAGTAGCTATGCTGGCCTCCTTGCTGTTTGCTGAACTTCACAAGCTCCTGTAAGTTATTCTTTCTGACCAGGATGCTCTTCCCTAAAGACTCACTTGGCTAATTCCCCCACTTCTGTCAACCCTCTGCTTGTTTCTCCCTTTCCTAGTAGGGCAGACCCTGACACCTCTATTCAGTGTGGCATGCTGTTCCCACTTCTCTCAATGCTGATCCCCCATACCCTGCTCTACTTTTTCCATAGCATTTTACATCTTCAAACATATTATATAATTTATACAAATATATGTCATACCTATTGTTTACCATGTATATCCCCAACTAGCTGTTAAGCTGCAGAAGAACAGGAATGCCAATCGTTTTGTTCTTTGGTTTATATCAAGAATGAAGAGCTGTGACTGGCACTAGCAGACACTATAAATATCTAAGAATGAATGATTTCCTTTGAAAGGCAATTCATCCTTGACTTTCATTTCTGTCTTATATCTATATCGAAGTCATTCCTCTTCTACATTCTTTCTTGGTGGGTCACTTCTGAGGGACTCAAGGAATAAGGTACATTCTGAACGAATGAGTCACTTTTGGGGTTTTTCTCTAGAAGCTGAGGCTGGGATGAGGGATTTGTTTATCTGAAACAACCAAGAACAGAAAGAGTACAAGAATGAGTACTGAATGTCAAATTGAGGAAGTAGAACTTGATTTAAGTCCAAGAGGTGTATGGAAACTTAAAACAGGCAGCAGGGTGGAAGACTGAAATATAAGAATGATGTGGGTGAATGCATGGGGAACCGAGTGAGTGTGAAGTTCACACAATGGCCACAGGTAGGCCTGAAAGTCTTGTGGTCTATATGTATTGTCCTGCAAAGTTCTTCTATGTGTGGGTGGATAAGTCTAGTAAAACTATATAATACAAGTAGATAGTTCATACTGCCTTCCATTCATTCTGTCCATTAAATTTCTACTCCTGTCTAAGTCCCTTTTAACTTTAGTCTGTGATACTACATCACAGAAATAGCCTGTTCTTTCTGACATGCCCTCTCTAATCCATTCTTTTTCTCAACACCAGGTTCATCTTCCAGATCATAGTGTTGACTTGTCATTATTTTCTTTCCAAATCCTTTAATACCTCCCTATTGGCTACTGGAAAAAGTCCTGACTTCTTAGTCTAGAATTCAAGGTTTACTTCTAACCTATATTTTGAAAATTCTTTCCTTCTAATTTTTCTATCATCAATTATTTATTCAACAAATATTTATTGAGCTCCTACTATATGCCAGGAAGTAAGTATTTGTTATCCTAATCCATTCCTTAAATCAACATTATATGTTCTTATCTCTACTCCTTTCCTAATATCATCCTCTTTTTCTGGGATGTTCTTTTTTGCCCACTTCTGACTACAGAAACTGTATTTATCTTTCAGGAGTTAGTTAAAATGCCTTCTATCCAGCATGACAATCTGTGACCCTACCACTGATTGCTTCATCCTCAAATCTAGACTCAGCGGGGCACCTACCCCAAAATCTTGCCTCCTCTGATATCCCCAGCTTGGCTCCCTTATGCACCCTGCTCTCCAGGTGTATGAATCAAGCGGCCATCCATGAGCATGCTGTACCCTCCTCATCACATGCCATCACTCGTATTTCCCTATTGGCTTGCAGAACTCTGATTCCTTCTCCAGCTGTTAAAATTAGATAAAAAACTTCTCCTTCAAGTAACATTTTCCTATGTCCTTCCCACCTTGGACCAGATCATAAAACTCCCTCCTTTCTCCAGTGCCTCTCAGCATCTAGTTGTATCTAATCAGGACACTTGCCTCATATTACTTCGTTTATTATTTACATGCCTTTTCTCACTGAAACAAAGTTCATTTGGACTCCAGAACCATGTTCTAACCTTGGCTCTTTATCCTCACAGTACATGGTCCAATTATTTATTGAGAAGTCTTCAGTTAGTATATGTGTAATGAATGGAAGTATTCAGAGAAGTCTTCAGTTAGTATATGTGTAATGAATGGAAGTATTCAGATTTGGCTCCCTATGTTACAGTCATGACACATATCAGACATAAAGAGTATTAATACCTGATATATAGTCTCAGGCATATATATACATGACAAATGTGTATATACATATACTTGTATTAAACTTCTATTATATATAATATAGTTGTGTAATACAGTTTATGTATACACACATCTGTGTATAAAATATACTGTATTGTTTCTACTACATATCTGATATGCATATATCACACATATATATAATACTGTATTAAAACTCTACCATTATATATAATTTCTGTAGCTATATACACACATACATAAACACACATCTGTGTGCATACTAGTGTATACATACACACATATGAATGTGTTTTTTATGTATACATATATGTATTTGCTATGCAGTCCCGTCCCTTTCCTCTCCCCATTTTTCTTTTCCTTTCTTCCATTTCTTTCCTCCCTCCCTTCCTTCCTCACTACTTCTGTTCCTTCTTTCTTTCCCTCATGTCCTTCCCTCCACTCCTTCTTCCTTCTGTTTGTCTGCCTCTTGCTTTCTCATTTGTAATCTTTAACAAATGACTGTGCTTTAATGTACTTGGTACACACAATAAAAGGTGTTGGTATTTAAAATAACCATCATCACCTTGTGCTGAATTGTTGATATACAGCCCTATGATTTGAAAGCACCTCATCTGTTTGTTCTTGATTGTACAGTGCATCAGAACAAATTGTTTTGTATGTCTCTATGAATGGAAGATTGGATTCAGCAACCCAGGTGTTTGGCAATCTGTAATGTGAGTAATGCCTCCAGTCTTTGAGGACCTCTCTAGGGGAAAGGGTTCTGAAAACATTGCTGCAGTTAGCAATAGGATTCATAATTACTCTCAAACTTAAAAAGGTGGTGCTGGGTCTTCAACCTCATATTTAGTAGCTCTTTAGATATACTATAAAATAAGCAGCACTTACAGGGAAAAGTGGAGAAAATGTTTTATTTTGTCACAAAATTCAAATCACACTATAATAGTCATCAATAAATTGATGACCCAACTCTGATGGTTGACTGTTTGTTCTCCAAGAAAATAGAAATGATCATTTTAAAAAATGTTTTGTTTAATGTCACTGCTGTTTGGGGACTCATTTTTGCTAAACTCTTTTCTGAGGTGGATGCAGAAAAGGTAGGGGAACTTCACTGTATTATTCAGCTCAGTCTTGAACCAAGAGTGACTTTCTGAGGATTGGGAAACCTCAACTGTTGGTTCATGGCATGTGTTTGATTCTTTTTATATATTTTTTTTATTTTTATACTTTAAGTTCTGGGATACATGTGCAGAATGTGTAGGTTTGTTACATTGGTATACATGTGTTATGGCGATTTGTTGCACTTATCAACCCGTCATCTACATTAGGTATTTCTACTAATGCTATTCCTCCCCTAGCCCCTCACCCACTGACAAGCCCTGGTGTGTGTTGTTCCCCTCCTTGTGTCCATGTGTTCTCATTGTTCAACTCCCACTTATGAGTGAGAACATGTGGTGTTTGGTTTTCTGTTCTTGTGTTAGTTTGCTGAGAATGATGGTTTCCAGCTTCATCCATGTCCCTGCAAAGGACATGAACTCATCCTTTTTTATGGCTGCATAGCAATCCATGGTGTATATGTGCCACATTTTCTTTATCCAGTCTATCACTGATGGGCATTTGGGTTGGTTCCAAGTCTTGTTATTGTAAACAGTGCTGCAATAAACATATGTGTGCATGTGTCTTTATAGCAGAATGATTTATAATCCTTTGGGTATAGAACCAGTAGTGGGATTGCTGGGTCAAATGGTATTTCTGGTTCTAGATCCTTAAGGAATCGCCACACTGTCTACCACAATGGTTGAACTAATTTACATTCCCACCAACAGTGTAAAAGCGTTCTTATTTCTCCAATCCTCTCAAGCATCTGTTGTTTCCTGACTTTTTAACGGTCACCATTCTAACTGGCGTGAGATGGTATGTCATTGTGGTTTTGATTTGCATTTCTCTAATGACCAGTGATGGTGAGCATTTTTTCATATGTTTGTTGGCCACATAAATGTCTTCTTTTGAGAAGTGTCTGTTCATATCCTTCACCCACTTTTTAATGGGGTTGTTTGTTTTTTACTTGTAAATTTGTTTAAGTTCCTTGTAGATTCTGGCTATTAGCCCTTTGTCAGATGGATAGATTACAAAAATTTTCCCCCATTGTGTAGGTTGCCTGTTCACTCTGATGATAGTTTCTTTTGCTGTGTAGAAGCTCTTTAGTTTAATTAGATCCCATTTGTCAATTTTGGCTTTTGTTGCCATTGCTTTTGGTGTTTTAGTCATTAAGTCTTTGTCCATGCCTATGTCCTGAATGGTATTGCCTAGGTTTTCTTCTAGGGTTTTTATGGTTTTAGGTCTTACATTTAAGTCTTTAATCCATCTTGAGTTAATTTTTGCATAAGGTGTAAGGAAGGGGTCCAGTTTCTGTTTTCTGCATATGGCTATCCAGTTTTCCCAACACGATTTATTAAACAGGGAATCCTTTCCCCATTGCTTGTTTTTGTCAGGTTTGTCAAAGCTCAGAAGGTTATAGATGTGTGGCATTATTTCTGAGGCCTCTGTTCTGTTCCCTTGGTCTATATATCTGTTTTGTTACCAGTACCGTGCTGTTTTTGTTACTGCAGCCTTGTAGTACAGTTTGAAGTCAGGTAGCGTGATGCCTCCAGCTTTGTTCTTGTGTTTGATTCTTGTCTTCCATTCTGTGCCAAAGAAACACAGGATGAATATGATGCGATGTATGAAATATTTTTAATTTTTTTAAACTACTGCTTGTAAAAACTAAATATCCTGATTGAAACAAAAGATGTCTGTAGTGAAGCAGACTCTCTCTTGTTCATTTTTAACCATCAATTTAAGAACACACACTCTATCTGTATTACTTTTACACATTCTAGATGTGCCTGCTCCTTAAGTCATAACTATTAGAAAAGAGCCTGGAGTTAATGTGTCTGAGGTGGATATTTATCCTGACAAGGGCAGTGCCAATTTTTCCCCTGAAGAGTTTACATTATGAGATTTTGAATAAGGAACTTCTTGGCTGTCTTGGCTGGCTCACCAGTGATTTTCCTTATTTTTAAGCTGTTTATAAGTGAAGGAAAAAGATCACCTGAGCCCTTAGGGCATTGTTAAGTTTATATTTTCTCTCTGCCAATATCCGTCAAGGGAGAGCAAAATGAGCATCTTAGTTCCTTATTTTATGCTTTTCAGCTCAACCGAACTTCTCCATCTAACACACTCATGATGATAAGGACTAGAAAGACGGTGAACCCCTGACAGTCGCCTGCCAACTTTCCTTAAGGAGAGTAAATCAGGGGACATTTCTGATGTGTTAGAAATGTGCTTTCAGAGTCTAGTTCATTGGGGACTACCAAAGTGTTGGAAAGCAAAAGATTATTGCATATTTCCAGGAGGGGGATTGCAATAGAAAAATTATCATCCTTTTGAACTTTTACTCAAAACTTGTGAATGGAGTTGTCAAATGGAGGATTGCTGATTATCGTTTAAGTCTTTTCATTTGTATCTATCCTGAAATTGTCTTCTTGGAAGCCTATATAAAATAGCTAATTCTTCTATTTATAAGATTTTTTTGAAGCCTCTGATATATCTATAATGAGCCATCTCTAGGAAAAAAAATTCTGATTTTTTTTGATTGACAAAAGTCACTACTGTTTAGTGCTGAGGAAAAACGTACTGTGGATAAAGAATGAAACAAAGTCACCAAATTCCTACTGATCTTGTCCCTTCCATACTAACCAGATACATATTTTGTTCCTGGGAATTGGGTGATGTTGGCTGGGAAAGGAGAGATGGGTAACACTACTGCAGAGAGAAGAGCTTTCTCCTAATCTTATTTACTTGTCAATCTTCTATCAGGCTTCTCAGGGTTCCACTTCTTTCTGGAAGGAGATTGTGCATCTCAAGGACGAAGGCTGGGTGTAGTTCATGATAGTAAAATATGTCACTCATTTTCATTGTTATTATGATTACCACAATTATAATTCAGAATCTGTGCTTGACAAGAGGAAATTAGATGATGTATAAAACATACTAATTGATATAATCCCCTCAAGAGCTTCCAATTTAGACTAGTATTTCTGTGCCTTTGTTCATCACCTAAGAGAATTACAAAGATTTTCTTAGGGCTACCATTGAAGAAGCATTATTGAAGATAACTAATGTGGTATTTGTAAAATGCAAGCAAAATAAATTAGAACAATGAGTCTAGATTCCAAGTCTAAAGTTATATGCTGAATTGAGCAGAGGAGACCACTAAAGCAATTTAATAATTTGCTCTCCAATAATGCTGTCCATCCATGATTTCTCAGATGATTTACAAGTTATGTATCTTTACAAGATTCCAGTTATGTCACATACCCTTTTTTCCATTAAGGGAAGCCTCATTTTATTTCTGTCACAAATCAAAAGTTCAGATCTAGAAGTTATTAGATAGTAAACTCATGTTCCAAGAGATATGACAGAAATCCATTGTTGGAACTAATTCTGACCACATTTCAAACTTCTGCTCACTCTGAAAGTAGAATAAAGGCCAGGAAACAAAAGAGATGATGAAAACAAAATATGTTGATGTGGAAGAAATGTGTTTAGGGCCAAGGCTTTGGGCTCAAGGTCAGGGTCACTGTGAACTTTTCTGCCTCTGGACAATGTGCGGCTCTGAGCTCTTCTGTAGTAGAATGGAGGAAGGAGTCGCAAAAACGATGGCATAGGAATCCTGGTGGAATCCTTCAATGAATTGGCTATTCTGAGAAACCAAGGCTGATGCTCTTGAGCTCCAAGCTTTAGGCAAGTTCTAAACCTTACATTTCATAGCAAACTGACTGGATTGACGGAATTATATACAAAATAATCTTATGCTTGCTCTAAAGCCATGTTTGGAATGTGTCACGGCCAGATGCAGTTTGTCAAAACCTGAATGTGTTATGGCCAGATGGATTACTCTGGCTTTTCTTTTGTGTGTGTGTGTGTGTGTGTGTGTGTGTGTGTGTGTGTGTGTGAGAGAGAGAGAGAGAGAGAGAGAGAAAGAATGAGAATTTACATGTGCACATGTGTCTTACCCTGCCACACCTGGGATGTGCCTCAAATGGCAAAGCAGGAAATAATCAAAGGTAGAACCCAACCATCCCTAATATTTATTCAGCACCAACAGAGATGTATTCTTTCCTAATTTTTGTTTATTGCAAAGCAAAATTATCAAAATAATGAGGAGAAATTTTAAAAAGAAAAAAGATATTGTCTTACCAACCTAGAACTCATTCACTTTTACGATGCTTTAAGGCCAGGCACAGTGGCTCACACCTATAATCTCAGCACTTTAGGAGACTGCAGTGGGAAGATCACTTGAGCCCAAGAGTTTGAGACCAGCCTGGGCAATATAGGGAGGTGGCACATACCTATGGTCCTAGCTACTTGGGAGGCTGAAGTGGGAGGATCGCTTGAACCTGGGAGGTCAAAGATGCAGTGAGCTGAGATCATTTCACTACACTCCAGCCTGAGCAACAGAGCAAGATCTTGTCTCAAAACAAACAAATAAGCAGTTTAAGATCAGAACACAATGTCCTGTCAATTATTGTTTCAAATGAAAAGTTTTAGGTTTCAAATGCTTTGCTGTGAGTGATCATGGTCTACACATGCCATTGGTTGCTTTTTCAGAAGAGCTTTTGTAAAGAATCCTTGACGGTGGACATGCTAATACCAGAAATACTCAATGAGATCCTACGGAACCTTACATGGCAGCAGACATGGAGAAATAGATGAAGGGAGAGGGGATGGAAGATTCTGCAAAAACTTGTTTTATCCAGTGGAAATTCAGTGTTTGAAATTACCACCCAGGCAATGTGAAGAACAAGGCAGCACACCATAGCTAGTAGCTGAAGTCAGGCTTCAGTCCTCCCATAACAGTTATGAGACATTGATCCTGAGGAAGCACAATGAAACTGAAGCAACACTTGACTTGGCAGTTACATGTAAGTGTCACATCAAAATCTAGAACAATTCTGGCATTCCAGAAAGTTCTGTTGTACCTCTTCCCCATGGGGATGATTTTTGATTTCTGCCATCACTTGTTAATTTTGCCTATTCTTAACGTTGACATAAATGGAATCATATCATCTGAACTTTTGTGTGTCTGGATTCTCAACATAATGTCTGTGAGATTTATTCACATTGTTGCATGTATTATTAGCTTGTTGATTTTTTATTGCTATGTACTCTTCTGTTATATGCCACAATTTATCTTTCTTCTTCTTCTTCTTCTCTTCTTCTTCTTTTTTTTTTTTTTTTTTTTTTTTTTTTTTGAGATGGCGTCTCACTCTGTTACCCAAGCTGGAGTGCAATGGCACAATCTTGGCTCACTGCAACCTCTGCCTCCTGGGTTTAAGTGATTCTTCTGCCTCAGCCTCCCGAGTAGCTGGGACTACAGGCATGCACCTCCACGCCTGGCTAATTTTTTAATATTTTTAGTAGAGATGGGGTTTCACCATGTTGGTCAGGATGGTCTCGAACTCCTGATCTCAAATGATCTGCCTGCCTTGGCCTCCCAAAGTGCTGGGATTACAGGCATGAGCCACCATGCCTGGCCGTATCTTTCTTCTATTGATCATTATTTGGGTTGTTTCCAGTTTCTGGATGTTATGGATAAGGCTGTTATGAATGTTTTTGTATGGCGGTTATATGAACTCTTTTATTTATTTATTTATTTTATTTTTTATTTTTATTTTTGAGATGGAGTTTCACTTTTGTTGCCCAGGCTGGAGTGCAATGGCATGATCTTGGCTCACTGCAACCTCTGCCTCCCGGATTCAAGCAGTTCTCGTGCCTCAGCCTCCCAACTAGCTGGGATTACAGGCATGCACCACCACACCCAGCTAATTTTTTTGTATTTTTAGTAGAGATGGAGTTTCACCATATTGGTCTGGTTGGTATCGAACTCCTGACCTCAAGTAATCCACCGCCTCTGCCTCCCAAAGTGCTGGGATTACAGGCATGAACCTCTGTGCCTAGCCTGTATGAACTCTTTTACCTTGGCTTTATGCTTAGCAGTGTTGATTGCTGTATCATGGAGGAAAAATATATGTAGCTTAAGTAGAAAATGACAGTTTTCTGAAGTTGATGCAGCAGTTTATTCTTCCTTTAGCAAGATATGAATGGTCCAGTTACTCTGCATTATTGCCAACAAGTGGCATTGTCAGCTTTTTGGATTTAGCTATTCTATAGAGAATGTAGTGGTTTGGGGTGGTTATTTTAATTTGCGTTTCACTGGTGATTGATTACATTGATATTTGCTGATTTGTCCTTTGGATATTTTCTGTTGCAGAGTGTCTTCAAATCTTTTGTTCAATTTTAAAAATAGTTTCATTTGCCTTTTTCTTATTAGGTTATGGGAATTCTTGAGATAGCCCATATATAAGCTCTTTGTTAGACATATGTATTATGATTATTAATATCTTATCTCTGGATTATTTTTTCAATCTCTTCATGGTATATTTTAATAAATTACTTCTTAAATTTAAAATGTATAACTTTTCTTTATTGCATTTTTTTGCTGTATTAATGAAGAAATAGATTTCTGTCCTAAGGTATGAAGATATATGTTTTCTACTATAATAGTTTTTATTGTTTTTCTTCAAATTTTGATTCATCATCCATCTCACATTAATTTTTAAAATATAGTATGAAATAATGGGGCAATGTTCATTTTTTTGGTCTCATATAGCTATCTAATTGCTCCAGAACCATTTATGGAAAATAAATTCCTTTTCTACTGAATTTTAGTGGCACCTTTGTCACAAATCAACTGACTTCATGTGTGTACATCTATTTCTGGACTATCTCTTCTGTTGATACATAAACAGAAAAGTTTATATATTGGTTAAAAGTTACAAAAGATGTGTTTTGTAACTTTTTAGCACTTATTATATTAGGGTTATATTTTCATGACAATAAACATTCAACATAATGCCACTTTTAATTGATAGATGGGATTTGATTTATAGATGCACTAATATTTACTTAATCCTTTAAGGCTTGCAAACTCAATGATTAAATTTGTTTTTTTATTAAGTATACTGAATCATAATGCACCCTCATTTCAAACCAAAGCTGTAGGAATAACAAGACAATTAAATTTTTAATGAAGAAAGCCTCTATTTTGTAGTGTGAAATGCATTAATACAGTATCAGAAGAACTGAGTTTCTATCAAGATTCTACCACTTATTAACCATACAGAATAATTCTCAGCTATAATTTCAGTACAATAACACCTGCCTCCCAGGATTATTTTAAAAATAATACATACTAAAGGGCACAGGAGCATTTTGAAAATTGTAAATTATTATACAAAACATTTTCTGTTACAAATAAATAGTAGAAGTTTGACAAATGTAAAATCATATTAGCCAACATTTATTCATACACAATGAGGAAAGGATAGTCTTTTCAATAAATGGTGTTGGGAAAACTGCATATCCATGTGCAAAAGAATGGAATTTGACTCTTATCTTATACCATACATAAAAATCAACTCAAAATACATTAAGGACTTAAACTTAAGATCTAAATCTGTAAAACTCCTAAAAGAAAACACAGGGTGAAAGCTCTGTGGCATTGGACTTGGCAATGATTTTTGCTTATGAAACAATAACTATAATGTTAATAGAACTCAAAGAATTCTATTAATATCAAACAATAAGAACCTTAAGATAATAAATATTAGAAACCATGATGGTTAATATTAAGTGGCAACTTGATTGGATTGAAGGATGCAAAGTATTGTTTCTGGATGTATCTTGGTGTTTCTGGGAGTTTCCAGAAGAGACTGACATTTGAGTCAGTGGACTGGGAGAGGAAGACCCACCTTCAGGGAGACCCACCCACAAGGTGGCTGCCAGTGTGGCTAGAACAAGCAGGTAGAAGAAGTGGGAAGAAGGTGGAAGAAGCAGACTTGCTGAGTTTTCCAGCCTTCATCTTTCTTTTGTGTTGGGTACTTCCTGCCCTCGAACTCCAAGTTCTTCAGCTTCTGGGCTCGTGGACTTATACTAGTGGTTTTTCTGGGGCTCTTAGGCCTTTGGTCTTTGGTCACAGACTGAAGGCTGCACTGTTGGCTTCCCTACTTTTGAGGTTTCAGGACTTGAACTGAGCCACTACTGGCTTCCTTGCTCCTCAACTTGCAGATGGCCTATCATGGGATTTTGATTATCTGCCTCGAAGATCTACCTAATACTGTTGGCGGTGTGTTGAAGTCCCCCACCATTATTGTATTTTGGTCTATCTCCTTTCTTAGGTCTAGTAACATTGTTTTATGAATGTGGGTGCTCCAGTATTGGGTGCATGTATTTTGATGATTGTTACATCTTCTTGTTGAATTGAATCCTTTATTGTCTTTTTTTTAACAGTTATTGAGTTAAAGGTTGTCTTATCTGATGTAAGTGTAGCTACTCCTGCTTGCTTTTCTTTTTCCAACATTTTACTTTGAGTCTGTGAATGTCTTTACCCATTAGGTGGGTTTCTTGAAGGCAGTATATGGGTGAATCTCAGTTTTTTAATTTATTCTGCCAGTCTGCATCTTTTAAGTAGAGCATTAGTTCATTTATCTTCACGGTTAATATTGACATGTGAGGTTTTGTTTCTGTCATGATATTAATTGTTAGTTGCTTCATAGTCATAAATGTGTGTTTGCTTCATAAGACCTGTGAGATTTTTACTTTCACGTGTTTTTATGATGGTGAGTTTTGCCCATTCTTTCCCATGTTTAGAATGCCTATGGCATTCCTTGTGGGTCCGGTCTATTGGTGATGAATTCCCTTAGTGTTTGCTAGTCTGGGAAAGACTTTATTTATCTTTTATTTTTGAAGCTTAGTTTAGCAGGATACAAAATTCTTTTCTGGCAGTTCTTTTCTTTAGGAATATTGAAAATAGGATGCCAATTCCTTCTGACTTGTAAATTTTCTGCTAAGAAGTCTACTTTTATGACTGGTGGTATTTCCTTTATAGATAATTTGATGCTTCTCTCTTACTGATTTTAGGATTTTTTCCTTTACGTGGACTTTGAATAGCCTGTTAACTGTATGCCTTGGTGATGTGCATCTTGCAAACTATCTTTCAGGTGCTCTGAGTCTCTTGTGTCTGAATATCTACATCTCTAGCAAGCCTAGGGACATTTTCGTGAATTATTTCCTCAAATAGGCTTTCCAAACTTTTTCCTTTTTCTTCTTCTGTCTCAGGAATGCCCGTGACTCACTGGTTTCATCACTTTACATACTCTCAAATTTCTTGAAGCCTTTGTTCATTTTTTATGTAGTTCTATTTTTTTATTCAATTTCCTTCTGACTGGGTTAATTCAAAAGACCTGTCTTCAATCTTGAAATTTCTTCTGCTCCTTGGTCTAGTCTATTGTTGAAGCTTTAAAGTCTACTTTGTAACTTCTTCAGTGAATTTTTCCTTTCCAGAAGTTCTGTTTGATATTTTTTTAATCGATCTCTTCTTTCATATCATGTTTGTGTGTGTGTGTATGGGGTGTGTGTGTGTGTGTGTGTGTGTGTGTGTGTTGGTTTTCAGCTTTCTCTTGGATCTCATTGAACTTCCTTAAAATCTATATTTTGAATTTTTAATTTGTCATTTCAACATTCTCATTTCAGTTAGGATCCATTGCTAGAGTGCTAGTGTGATATAATGGGAATGTCACAACACTCAATCTTTTAATGGTGCCAGAGTTCTTTTGTTGGTTCTTTCTCATCTGGAGAAGCTATCATTTTTTAATTTTGAATTTTCTTTGCTTTGGATGGGATGTTTTCTTTCCTCTTGAGAGTGTGACTTTATATTGGTTAGGGTCTTTGCTCTTCTGTCAGCAAGTTTTGTGTTGGGTTGTGCAGTTCAACCTCCAGGCCAGTAGTTGGTGCTTATGGATAATAGCCAGCAATGGTAGAAGCAGATGGGTGTGTGCTTGATTTTTGTTTGTTGGGAGGTGCTCTCTGTTCTTTCAGGTAGTGGGCTGGTCTGTGGGATGCCTGCTGCCCTAAGTTCCCTGTTTAGCTGGGAGAGGGGACAAAACTGGGAAAAGCTGGACCGCTGTGCTCACCCACAAATACCCCAGTGATGAGTACAGGCACCAGCCCTGACAGGGGTGGCTGGGGGAGCTCCTGGTGAAATGAGCTGAGGCCACTGCAGAGGTCAAGGAGTCTGCACCAGCTTCATGCCCTGGACAGGTGGGGATGTGATCTGTTTCCTTATCACACCCCTGTCCCGGGGATCCTGACTCTCAGTTTAGACTGTTATTTATCTCCAGGCCACAATGTACCTGAGAGCTGTGCAAAACTTCTCTCCCACAGTTCTCCATGGGAAATTTGAGTAAGAATATTTTACCAAAGAAGTCATGCAACTGGCTAATAAGTGCATAATAAAGTACCAAACATCATGAGTCATTAGGGAATGCAAATTAAAGCCACAGTTAGGTGCCATTATATATCCATAAGAATGGCTAAAATCAAATAGATGGAAGACACAGAGTATAGGTAATAACATGGAGAAACTGAAACTATCATCCATTTTTAATGGGAATATGCAATGCTACATCTACTTTGGAAAACATTTTGGCAGTTTCCTAACAAGTTAAATATAACTGTACCACACAGCCCTGTTCCCACTTCTAGGAATTAACACAAGAGAATAGAAATATATGTTTGCACAAAGAATTGCATGTGGATTTTCACAGCAGTATTATTAATCTAATAGTCCAATTCAAACGTCCATCAATTTTAAAATGTGATATATCCATTTAATTAAATGCTCTTTGGCAATAAAAACAAGAAAATACTGATATATAATACAGAATGAGTGAACCACAAAACATTATCCTAAGTGAAAGAAGCCACACAAAATGAACAAATCTCTATATTGTATGATTCCATTTATATAAGATATCCATAAAAGGCATATTTATGGAGCTGGCAGATTAGTGGTTGCCTGGGCTTGGAGGTTGAAGCAAAATTGAGTGCAAACAGGTTTAAGGGAATTTTTTTTTGAGTACTGAAAATGGTCTAAAATTGCTTTGTGGGGATGGTTGCCAACTCTATAAATTTATTGAGAATCATGTAGTTCTACAAATGCAATAGGTAAATTTTGTGGTGTTATATAAAATTATACATTAATCAAGTTGTATAAAAAGGAAATCTCGGCTTTCTCATCTGTAAAGAAGGGATATATGCAACATAGTGTATGTGTGTATGTGCACCCATGCATGCTGTGTGTATGTAAGAAATAAGATAATTCATAGAAACAGCTTTGCACAGTGCTTGATAGTAACAGTGAGTCAATGTTTCAGTGTTTGTCATTGTTGCCATTATCATCATCATCGTCATCACTGTAATTTTTATATTGAGTTTAACCATATGTCATTTCATCACTCAGACCCCAGTTGCTGTGCTGTGCCATGCAGCAGAAAATACTATCCAAGCCAATATAGATCAAAAACACTGAAACTTCATAGTCTCTAACTTTAGCTGAATATTAATGCTTCCTGGGAGCCCTGTGTCTCTCATTTCTACCTTCTCCAATACTCTACACTCAGGTCTTCAAAACCCCATCTTCCTCCTCTCACTCACTCTGACATGTGAATTTCAACTCCTACTTTACAGAGAATGTAATATAGGTGAGGGGATCTCTTTTGAAAATAATTTCTGCATCTACAACTATCTTTCCATCTTCTTTCCTAAGACAGTATCAGAACTGTTTCTCTTCCTTTTCTTGGGCAGTTCTTACTTCCATGGCCTGATCAAGTTCTCTGACTTTCCCAGGGACTTTACCCCATCTCTTATAATAACTCTACTGTATCTTAAATTTGTCTATTTCTTCTTTTTCTTCTTTAGCATTCTCTCATTAATAAACAAAGGCAGGCTAAGCATGGTGGCTCATGCCTATAATTCCAGAACTTTGGGAGGCCAAGGCAGGAGGATTGCTTGAGTTCAAGAGTCCAAGACCAGCCCGGGCAACATGGTGAAACCGCGTCTCTACAAAAAATACAAAAATTTGCTGGGCATGGTGGTGTATGCCTATAGTCCCAACTACTCAGGAGGCTGAGCTGGGAGGATGGCTTGAGCCCGGGAGGTCAAGGCTGCAGTGAGCTGTGATCATGCCACTCACTCCAGCCTGGGCAATAGAGACCCTGTCTCAAAAAGATAAAATAAATAAATAAATAAACAAGGCCAAAAAGAAGCATTTGCCAACCCAAAGCTTCTTCATTCTTCATTTAGTCATTCATGCATTCATTGATGTATAAGATACATTTCAATTGAATGCCTACATTGTGCCACATACATAGCAATGGAGCTGGAGACATCATGGTGAGTAAGAGAGAAATGGCCCTTGTTCTCATGGTACTTACAGTCTAGTAGTGAAGGAGTACTAAAAATAGGAAAATAACTAACTCATTTTAATTATGCATAAGTATACCAAAGAAAAAATGTCAGAATGCTAAGAGAACATAAAATAGAAGCATTAGGGACAGCTCACTGAAAAAATTATATTTAAATAAATTTTGAAGGATGAATAGAGTTTAGAAGGCAGTTGGAGATTTAGGGTAGAAGAGTGGGAAAAGAATTTCTAGCACAGGGGCAAAAATGTACAAATTTCTTGAAGCTAAACCTATGAAAATAGCTTGGGTTTTGGAATAAACAGGCCTGATTTGAATCGCAGCTCTGCCACTGGCTTTGTGGCATGGTGTGATCATGAGCATTAAGTAATAGAACCCATCTGAAGATCCCAGAGTACAATGGACTCTTATTATCCTACAGGAATAGTTTAATACTTTAAGTCTTGTTATTACTCATGGTAGCTCTAGTTATTATTACCTCAAGTTTTAAAAGTGAAGTCAGAAACTCACAGGACTTGATTGGCCCAAGGACACAGACTAGTAAGTGTTGAGGCAGATTTTAAACTAAGCCTTTTTGAGTAAACTATGTTACCATGATACGAATACATAGTAGGTGCTTGTATTAGTCCATTCTCATGGTGCTAATAAAGACATACCCGAGACTGGGTAATTTATAAAGGAAAAAGGTTTAATTGACTCAGTTCAGCATGACTGGGGAAGCTCAAGAAACTTACAATCATGGAGGAAGGGAAAGCAAACATGTACTTCTTTACATGGTGACAGGAGGAGAAGTGCTGAGCAAAAGGAGAAAAAGCCCCTTATAAAACCATCAGATCTCATGAGAACTCACTCACTATCACAAGAACAACAGCATGGGGGTAAGCCCCACCATGATTCAATTACCTTCCACCAGGTCCCTCTGATGACATGGGGGGATTATAGGGACTACAATTCAAGGCGAGATTTGGGTGCAATCACGGACAAACCATATTAGTGCTCAATATTATTTTTCTTTTCTTCTATCCCTTTATTATTCTCTTCCCTTTGATCTGGTAAGTCTGTCATCAATTCATTAAAATGCATCACATTCATGCTGTTTTTCCTCGTATAACTTTCTTTTCAATATTATTAGATTAAGATTATTATACTATTATACTATAGTAGTATTATGGTTAATTTTTCAATGGCTGAAGATATTTTAATTTTCTCTTTACAATTGCTCTCACTTGATACTTCATTTAGCATATTACAGCAACACGTTGAACTTCGGCTTATTTCTAACATAAACGATATGAACCATAGAAGTATCATCATTTCCACCTCTAACAGGTTGTGAATGTACATTTCTAGATTTTCTGTGTGACCTCATTTTCAAAATTTTACTTCTTTATAAAATAGTTATATTTTATGCCTTCATGAAAATAACTAAATGAAAATAACTCATACAGGTATTGCACCTTGTTTTCAAGATATGCAATTTTTATATAGGAGAGTGAGTCTAGTTTAGTTACTATTTTATGTAACATTTTACATTAATACATTTTAATTGTATAATGTCATCCATGATGAACTATGCCAGTAAATTTGCCCATTTTTTATTATGTAGGATGTCATTTAGTCATGGAATCAAAAATATCTTTCTCATGCTAAGATACAGTCTTTCAAGCCAAGATAAACACCACACGTCCCACTTGTATTTCTTTTATTTATGATACTCATAAAATAGTATGACTACAGATTATACATGGAGTAATTTATATTTTGCTAATGCAAAATTCTATAAATCATATTGAATATGAATTAAAACTACATTTGTAAGGCAATATTAAAACAGAGAAATAGCAGTAAGTAGCAGACAACTTCAGGTAGATTTTCTATTCTCTTAATTTCTAAGTTGTAACGAAATCTTCTGAAAGGGTCAGTATCCAATTAAACTCTTGCATTAAACGTTGAATACAGAATCAGTTGCTTCTTTGCAGAAAATATGCCTTCTGGAAACTTCTATAATGCATGTCAAGTTATAGGATAAAAAAAGCCCATTTGTTATCCTAGTTCAGAAATAATTGCTTGCCATTAGGTTGGTGAGAACGTAAATTTTACTCATTTCTGTCAGCTAGCTTGTCACCTTCCTAAACTCCATCTCCATCTGCCCCTCCAGTGACAAGCTGAATATTATTTAGCCTTCCACCAGAACGATAATGACTCGTAAATGTAAATTTCACTGAAATCACACGTGGGGAAACATTTATTAACTTATTTTTTTAGAAATAGACAAATCTGATGGCTTGATTTTTGTTCAGCAATGTTACATATAAAAAATCTCCCCAAACCCATTTGCTATTCTTGTTAAAATGGTGTAAACATTATTGACTTTTTCCTTTTTTGCAAGAATTATACATGGACTTGGCTGTAAAGCCTTAGACATTACAGTGTCACAGAAGGGGTACTTACTATGCCTTCCTCTAGGATGGGGGAAAGGGGAGTGGAAAAAGCCACCTGCATGTGCCCTTGTGCCAGAATTCTTGTCTGTAAACCCAGAAGCCACATTTTAGCACTACAGTCTATGACTGGAGGGAAAATATTTAATAAAAATAGCTATTTCCAAAGCACCTACTGTTTTTGTTTTTCTCCCTCTAACATTCACCAAGTCCTTACTATCTGCCAAGCTCAGTTTTAAGTAATGTACAAGGGTTAAATCATTTTAATCTTCACAACAGCTCTTTGCAATAGATACTGTTATAATGCCCATTTTGCAGATGAAAAAACTGAGGCACAGAGAGGTCTCTCTCTCTCTCACACACGCATACACACACACACACACACGCACACACACACAGCTGGTGAAGAGTGAAGCCAGAATTTGAACCCTGGCAATCTGGTCTGGTGGAGCTACTGTCTTACAGGCAACATGTTGTAGCTTTTAATGGATTATCTTATTCAGTCATGAGAAAAACCTAAACAGGCAGGATGAGAAAACTGATGCTGAAAAAGGTTAGACAATATTCACGAGGACACACAACTAATGCAACTAATAAGTGGTAAAGTAATGCCTGTCTGATGCTAAAGCACATGCTCAAATGCTTCCTGACATAATAAGACCTGCTGGCTCACCTGCCCATACCCTGTGAGGCAGCTCCCTTCTGCTGAGGGACAAGGCAGGAAAACCTCACAGAGCTACTGTCGCTGCTACATTCTATCCCATTCCTGGCAAAATCTTATTGGAGACAGAAGAACTGGCCAGTGCATATTCACTGCTGTGTCACCCTGGTTCTGGGAAAAGAGGAAGATAAGAGAGGGAGCTGAGCACAGTAGTGCCAACCTTTTTTTTTTTTTTTTTTTTTTTTTTTTTTTTTTTTTTTTGTATCAGGTACATTTGTTGTTATGCACATTCAACCTATTCATCTAGATATTTCAAAAAAAAAAAGGCAACAGTTTTTCTATAAAGATAGGAAATCCTTGCACATTAGTCTTACATTTACCCTTGAGGATAAGAATTCTTGCTGATAAGAAGAGAGCTATAAAATATGGATACCATGTCTCAAGTATTTAAGGATAAAGCGATAAACATGCAGATGGAGCCATTAATGAACATTAATTGCTTTAAATTAGGTTTTATTGTGCAGTGGGTAAATTGGAAAGTACACATTTGCATTGGTAATAGAAAATTAATTTAAATGCTTCAGGAAGCAAAATATCACCTGATGTGCTAAAACCTGTTATTTGTGGTAGACCTAAAAGGAAACTTGAAGGGCACTGTGTATTCAAATAAAATAAAATAAACTAAGCTGGAGGCACACATATTTGTGAGAATCTTCTTAGGTATAAACCCTATATGGATATTGAGTTTGTCTAGGCCAAGAAAGGTCCAGATGGTGACTGGTTTAATGTTACATGTTTACTGCACTGTGTTGCCAGAGAGTGGTGGCACTGTAGTGCACTGTGCAACTGTAAATCTAGGAGTTAGATGGGCCCTCAGGAGGTAACTGGATCCTTCCTTCTCCCTCCAGGAAAGACATGTCTTGAAATCTTTCAGGACAGATTGTTGCCTACCCAAGTGTTCGAAGCACTTGGAGGGAAAATGCTGCACCTTCCTCAATGGCCCATTTTTCTAGCCGGAACCCATCTGAGCTCACATTGAGGAAGGCTTCCTTTAAGTCTCTTCAACAATGGCTTAAACTCATATCTTCTTATTTAATTTCTAAAGAGTTGGTAACCAGGGCATATGCATGGTTTGGTGGTTCTTCAACTTTCCTACTCCTGGATAGAAGTAAACTTTTTTCTTCTCTTTAGTACTTTTTTCTTTTCATTTGATCTTCTTACCATTGTTTTGCTCTGGATCCTGCTGTAGAACAGACAGTGTTTAAAATAGTAAAAATTCTCTAGTAAAAGAACTACGTAATAAAGACCCTCTGTTCTAAGGCTAAAGTGGTAGGAAATTGTCATTATAGTTGCTATATTGACTTAGTTGTGCAGCTGTTTCTTAAGACAGAGGAGAACATGAGTGGGTTTTGAGGAAGAAGAGGAAATTAAGGCTTAAGTAGCCTAAAATACACTGGTGTGGAGTTCAGGAGACAAATAGGGGCTAGAAATTTAAATTTGAGGACCACCAGTTTTTAGATTATTTTTAAAGCCATGAAATTGGATGAGATGACCTAAGGAGTAAATGTAAAAAAGTGAAGTTAATATAAAAAGTGCCTCAGGGCACTTTGACATTTAGAAGTCTGAAAAGAGGGACAACTCAGTAAAGAAGACTAAGAAGGAGCAAGGTCAGAGATAAAAAAGAAAAATTAGAAGCATGTGGCATCCTGGAAACCAAATAAAGAAAATGTTTTCAGAAGATGGGAGTGGCTAGCTGTGTTTAATGCTGCTTAGAGGTTGAGGTTGAGTGAGAGGAGGTTCTCACTGGCCTTGGCAAAAGCATTTTTAGTAGGTAATAGGGACAAAAGTCTGTTTGAGGTAGATTCAAGAGAGAATGGCAGATGAAAAGCAGGGCTAGTGAATATAGACATCTTTTTTGGGAGTTTAATGTAAAGAGGAACAGAGAACAGGGTGAGAGCAGAGGGGATCGTGAGATCAAGAGTAATTTTTTTTAAAGGCATGAGATCTTATAGCAAGAATGTATACTAGCGGGAATAATTCAATAGAAAGGAGAAATGGTGATGCTGGAGAGAAAGGAGGTTCCAGGGAGAGGATGGAATACAAACCACAAGAGTGGTATTGATCCTAGATTCATCCAGGGAGAGTTCATCTATGGTTATTGGTTGGAAGTCAGGTTGTATGAGTACAGATGAAGGTAAGCCTAGAGATTTAATCAAATAAAATATTGAACTGTTCTTTTTATATTTTTGAATTAAATTTTGATTTCCTGGAATGAAATATTTTCTTATACTTTAAGACAAAACATTGGCCCTTGGAAGAGGACCTGTCCTACCAAATGGACAATGACTGGCCAACAGAGATGGAAAATGTTTTGCATCTGTGCAGCCAGAGGTCCTGCAAGTGCTTTCTGCTGGGCAGACACAGCTGTGCTTCTTGGGGGCCTACTGCTGATATTCCCCTCTGGCTGCTCCTTGACCATGTCTCTGATACCTGGGATTAGGTCTCCAGTGCAACCAATGGCAGGCTATGAATTTTAGTAGCTTTAGGGATAGGCTTTACTTTACTGAACACTTAGGGGTAATGAAAGTACACCACTGGAGAGTAACTTACAAATATGACTAGAAGGGACCCCCTCAGCCTAAACCTGACCTCAAGAGAATTTTTGCTACAGCAGCTGCCTACCTGCTTCCACACAGGTTGGAGCCAGCTAGTTCTCCTCATTGTTAGGAATGCTCCAAGTGTCATCAGAGCTTTGTGTACAGGCTTGGATGCCTTTACCCCACCCTCCCAAATTCTTTTGAACCCAAATCAGAAGGAAGTCTCTTCTCCCTTACATATTTCAAAGATGGCTCATTTCCTACACCAGTATTTACCCTCTTCCCAGTGTGATTGAGAGTGGCAATTCCCTTCAACTGAAGTTATGCCCAACTAACTACAAAGATGTATCCTGGATCCATGTCCAGGATTGACCTATGGTAGGACAGTTACCATAAATCAGTTGCCAAGTATATTCATGTGCTAGGGCTACTGTAACGAAGCACCACAGACTGGGTGACTTAAATAACAGACATGTATTTTTCTCACAGCTTTGGAGGCTAGAAACTCAAGATCAGGGTGTTAGCAAGGTTGGTTCCTTCTGAGGGCTGGGAGGAGGATCTGTTCCAGGCCCCTCTCCTTGACTTACAGATGGCCTTCATGTTCTCTTGGTGTTCTCCCTGTGTATGTGCCTGTGTCCAAATTTCCCCCTTTTATAAGGACACTAGTTATATTGAATTAGGGCCTACCCTAATCACCTCATTTTAATTTAATCATCTCTTCAAAGACTCTCCAAATAAGGTCACATTCTGAGGTAGGATGGGTTAAGACCTCAGCATATGAGTTTTGGAAGGGCATGATTCAGTTCCTAACACCGAGTTATGATTTATTCAATCTTAAAAATATATTTTTAACACACTAATACCTAAAAACAAAATAGTGGTTTTAAAAGTTAGAATATTGCATGACATGATGAAATCAATACTCTCCTGCTCCACCAGCTCCATCTGCAATATTTGCTCCCTAACAGTAGCCACATTCAAATATTTATTCTTCTGTCATTTATTCCCATATTTCTAAATACCATGCTCAGACTGCTATTAATTTTCATGATAAATATTCTGCATTGGCTCCAAAGTATGGAATATGAAGATTTTGCTCTCTTGTGTCTTCTTATACACAATACCTGTCCACTCCCAATACAGATGTATTACCAAATGGTTAGTCAATGTTTACTTTATTATGACTATGTATTGTTCACAGCTGATCCACAAGGACATCATATTTCCTTTCTTGTACTATATTTTATTGTATGTACAGCTTAAAATTACTTTGTTACTTTGCTTAATTTTTGTGCCTGTCACTAATTCATCCCCAAACATTCTCCCAATATTTCAAACTCCTGTCAGTATGGTCAAACATAGAAGGTCATCTCAAGAGCCTGCGTGTTTCCTTGGCAACCCCTCTCCAGCAGCCCTCCATCTCCAACCTCAGCTGTGGACTCCAAGACTATTTCATAGTGATATCCTGGAGCTTTCCTTCAGATTCATCCTTTGAAGTCTGTTCATTGCTCTCCTATGTTGGATCCCCCACCTCCTGGATCTCAATCCTTCTTTCTTGGTTGACTCCTTCATTTTGATGGGGGCACATACTCCAACCGCTTCCTGAGAAAGAGGGCATGGGGGATAACTGTTTGAAGACTTGGAATATCTGAATATGACTTTAGTTTACCCTTGTAAATAACTGATAATTCACTTACCTGATAATTCACAATTATGGATGGTAAATCATATTCCCTGAGTATTGTAGAGGCACTCTTTTATCTTCTTCTATCTTTTAGTGTTTCTAATGAGACTCTTGGTTCAGCTTAGACTTTTGACCTTATGAGGGTGTATTCATTTCGTCTGGTTGTTGTAACAAATGACAACACTGGGTGGTTTAAAGCAACAGAAATTTGTTGTCTCATAGTTCTGGAGGCCAGAGCCTGAAATTAGCAACATTGGGCTGAAATCAAGATGTCAACAGGGCCATGCTCCTTCCAGGGGCTCTAGAGGAGAACCCTCTCCTTTCTTTTTCCAGTTTTAGGTAGCTGCCAGCCTTCCTACGCTGGTGGCCATATCACATCAGTCTTCAAGGCCAGCATCTTTAAGTCTCTCTGCTAAACCTTCACATCACTTTCTCCTCTGTGTGTGTTAAATCTTTCTTTGCCTCTCTCATAAGGAGGCTTATGATGGCTCTTAGGGTCCGCCTGATAATCCAGGATAATCTCCTCATTTTGTGATTCTTAACTTAATCACATTTGCAAAGATCCTTTTCCCAATTAAGATAACATTTACAGGTTCTAGAAATTAGGAACCGATATCTTCGGGTAGCTATTATTCAGCCATATATAGGAAGTAAACTGGTATTTCATTCCTTTTAGCTGTTAGAATCTCTTCTCTTTGAAATTTCAAAATGAAGTGTTTAGTCTTCATCAATCATTTTGTTTTGTAGGCAATTAGAGGGCAATTTAATCTATAATTTCATGTTCTTTATTTCAGGGGTATTTTCTTTATTGATTTTTGAACTTAATTCTCCTATATTTTCCCTGTTCTCTTTTTAAAGAATTCCTCTAGTCAGTTGTCGTTTTTCCTGGGTTCTCCTAGGTGGATTCCCTAATTCACTTAAATCTTCTGTTGTGTTTTCTGTTTCTTGAATTTTTTGTTCCAGTTTCTGAGATATTTCTTCAATTTATCTCTTCTAACCCTTCTGCTGATATTAAAATGTTATTATCTAATTTAGTGTTCTTCCTTATGCCATCTCAATTCTTGTTTCACGACCACAGTATTTTTTCATTTCTTAGGCATGATTATTTAAATTAGATTTTGAACTTTCTGTATCATCTTTTTTTCCAAGTACTTTAAAAAATATATTTTTTCCCCTCTTTCTTTCATTTGAGAAGATTGCTTCAAATGTCTGGATATTTGCTTATATTTCACGGTGAGGTGATAAAAACTTAAAAGCCAATCACAATGTGAGTCAGCATTTTTGCTGGGTGATATGGTTTGTATTTGTATCCCTACCCAATCTTGTGTCGAATTGTAATCCCCATTGTTGGAGGAGAATGGGAGGTGACTGGATCATGGGTGTGGCTTCCCCTTGCTGTTTTCATGATACTGAGTGAGTTCTCATGAGATCTGGTTGTTTGTGGAAACGTCTCCTTCCCTTTCTTTCCCCTGCTCCCCCCATGTAAAACAGGCCTGCTTCCCCTTCACCTTCCGCCATGATTGTGTGTTTCCTGAGGCCTCCCAAGCCATGCTTCCTGTACAGCCTGTGGAACCGTGAGCCAATTAAACCTCTTTTCTTTATAAATTATCCAGTCCCAGGAGGTTCTTTATAACAATGCAAGAACAGACTAATACACTGTGAAACCTCCAAAGGTCAATTTCTCCAGTCTTTTTTTGTTTCATATAGGTGGTCCTTCTCAGAGAGGATTTAATCCCCCGGGCTTCTCCTGGGGGTGTGAGCCAGGCTACTAGCACTCTGGGAACAGGGGGAAGTTAAGGGGCTAGGATTCTCCTTCATGAGCCGACTCTCACATCGTCCCTCTATTAGACGTTTCCTCCATGGCCCTCACATGGACTCGTTGTTGTTGAGTTCGCCTCACTGATTCATTCTCAGCAGAAAGTAAATATCCCTTATTCAGCTGGGGGATGCTGGAGACACATGGAACCTCCAGTTCTGAGCCTTTTTGTGATTCTGCAGTGGTCCACTGCTCACTTCTTCATCTAGCCCTATCTCTGTTCCTCCTCCTATGCGTCATACACTTATGTTTCAGCTCTGATTTCAAAAATTGTGTTGATGCCTGTCACTTGCTTTGGTCTCCTCTCACATTCTCAAGAGAAAGATTTTTGTGAGTTTATGCCCTTTTCATCCCTTTACAGTTCTCTCTGTCATGTTTCAGGAGGAGAGATAAATGCATGGCTTTCACTTACTATGTTTAACATTAGTCGGAAATAACAGTAAATGCAGTAGATCATCCATTCCAGCTTTTGCTGTGCTGTGCTCAGTCTAAGTTCAGGCCTGCAAACCTTTATTACAGGAGTCCAGTCTCCACTCCTGATCTTTGAAAAGCTAATGTTTGGACAAGAATGCGAACAGAAACGAAACATAATATACATGCACAAATACACCCACTCTCCCAGTATGAATTATAGTTTTAAGTATAAATTTAATTTTAAAATTTAGATCACCCTAAATCTCTATCTAAACCCAGATTTAGAGAAAATCAAGAACTACATTTTCTGATTTTGAGATGAATATATATATGTGACATATATATTTATATGTGAACATATATGTATGCATGTATATATGTTACATTTAAATATATATTTATGTCATATTTATATATGTCACATTTGTTTATATATGTGTGTTTGTCGCTCAATTTTCAATATAAAAAGATATATTTATTTTTGTTTCATTCAGAAGAAAGAGCATTTGGGTTATTTCATTGAGTGTAGGGCTTCCTCAAGAAACAAATGGGTGGGAATATTGTCATATCTGTGGAATGACAATGTCCTACTGGAGGGTTCTCTCCCAAAGGCATATTGAATTTTACCTTTGGAATCTTCTGCCATTTGGAATAACTGTTTTTCCAGTTTCAAAACAATGTAAGACCCTCTGCATATTGAGTTACATGACAATGTTTTAAGAAAAAGTGTGAGGCAGGAAAGATTATTGTAAGGCAAAAAATGAGGATTGGAGTTGGATTTGGAAATCAGCCTGAGGCAGCTTGAAGTACTGACCTCTCTAGTTTTCACATGGTCTCTCCCTGTGATGTCACTTATTTCTGTATGCCTGCATCCCCCTTTTGATTAACTGTCAACCTACTGTATCCACCAGTAGGATTCCTGGAGTGAGCCAGTCTGTTTGGGTAGCTCTGGATCATTGTCTGATTGGGCAGTGATCTGTGCTCCTGGCCACCCTATAGGGTCAGTCAGCCTAGAGATGAGTTCCCCTCAGGTCACTTGATCATCCTTGGTCCAGTAAGATCCACCCGTGCACAGGCAGCCCAGAACTGCTTCTTGGAACAGGGTCCCTGTTAGTTTGCTAGGGCTGTCATAACAAATCTCCACAGACCAGGTGGCTTAAGCAACAGAAAATCATTTTCTTACAATTCTGGATGCTGGGAGTTTGAGATTAATGTGTCAACAGGGTTGATTTCTTATGAGGCCTCTCTCCTTGGTGTGTAGATGGCCATCGTTCCCTATATCTTCACATGGGGTCTTCTCTCTGTGAGTCTAGATCTGAATTTCCTCTTCTTATAATGAGATACTGGAGGTAAGGACTTCATTGTATGAATTTTGGAAAGACATTATGTAACCCCTAAGAGACTCTATATGGGCAGAGCCACTTGAACCAGAAGTCGAATCTCAGGGTGAAAACACCATCATTGACATACCCAGTACAACGTTCACCTCCATTACAGGTCCAGTAAAGAAACATATATTTACTGAATTAAATGAAATTGAATTATTCGAGATATGAGCCACTTATATCAATTGTAGGTGAGACCAGGCTCAGTATATTTCCCAAATTGCTTAATGATTCACATTCCATCCCAAGAGAAACAGATAAGATTTTCTTTTTCTTGAAGTCCTTATTCCTGGGTTGTAGTAGTCTACCTCAAGGTTTTTGAGGTCTAAGTCATAATTTTCTAAATTATTTATGAACATGTTCCTCAGAAACTACCAGGAAAAGTTGACAAGTCTTATGAAGTCAAGATAAATGACACCTTCTTCTCTCTTTCATCTGTAAGATCCATTACTCTGTCAAAGGAGTAATTTAGATGGCTGTGATTTGTTCCTCAAAAAGTTATTTTGCTTCTTCTAGCATCCTCTCCTTGGGTGTGGTAATCAGCAGGTTTGGAGCTTAGTTGGAAAATCTCACCAAGTGAACTAAAAACAGGAGGAGAGTCAAGGTCATAGTAAGTAGAGAAAAGTTGGCTTTTTAATTTGTCTTTTTTCAAATACTTACTACATAAAGATGTGTGCAGCAAATCTTTGTGGTAGAGCAAGGGTCATCTCTATGAGTGGTTGGGGAAATTTTCAGATTAAGAAAAATTAATTGCTTCAATTGGAACTTAGGTTACATTATATGGGGGCAAAGTACAAGAATGTCTATATTGTCTTTTAAGAGTCAAAGTTATCTGTATTTAATTGGGTTGTTTGGGTTTGTTTGCATTTTGATAAGATAGTTTCTCTGCCAATAAAGATGAAATAAAATGTAAGATAAAAATACATTAAAAGAGCAGGCACACTAGACAGATTTATGTCAATTACATTCTGATTGGCTTTGTATCCTTCCACTTTTTGCCAGCAGATATGGTATCTGGCTAGGTTGAAAGCCTTTCTGTTAATAGGATATGAGTAGGCTGGTCTTCCTACAATGGTCATGTGTATTTCTTGGCATTTTAAATTTAATTTAGGGATGTATATATGTGTACACTTACACATATATATACACATACATATGTTATATATGCATATATGTGTGTGTGTATATGGATGTTTATATGCACACATCTCATACATTTTTTATTTGAGAAAAATTAAAGTGAAAGAAAAGATTAAATATCATTTTTTCTTCCTTAAGCTATATTTCTTGCTTGAAAGATTGACTTTCAGGATATTATTAGTAATGCTGTACCCATGTCGCTCTGCACTCAATTCTTATATTTATCTTATGACATTGTGTAGTAAATATTTGATTACATCTCTTTCTCTCCTCTAGAATTTGCATCATCCTAGACTCAAATAAATCTTATTTAAGATTTAAGCGAATATTGTACTTGGCTAAAATGTTTACTTATTTATTGTTTCATAATGAGTTGTTTAAATTAGAGAAATATTTTTAGAGCTCGGGCCTGTAATATTTGTCAATACCATTTTTAATATGCATGTTCTTAGTCCATTTCATGCTGCTGTAACAGAATACTGCAGACTGGGTAATTTATAATCAATAGAAATGTATTGACTCATGATTCTAGAGGCTGGGAAGTCCAAGATCAAGAGGCTGGCACCTGGTGAGGGTCATCTTGCTGCATTATTCCCTGGCAGAAAGTGGAAGGGCAAAGAGAGGGTAAGCAAAAAAGCAAGAGGGGAATGAACTGGCTTTTAAAATATAAATGTAATAAACTCAGTCTTATGATAACAAACACACTACTACAATAGCAGCATTAATCCATTCATGAACATGGAGCCTTCATGGTCTATTCACCTCTCTTTAGGCCACACCTGCCAACAGTATTGTTTTGGGGATTAAGTTTCCAGTGTATGCTTTTTAGGGGACACATTCAAACCAAGACAATTAGTATAGCATGATAGCTAGTATTTAAAACAGAATAAAGGCCAGGCTCAGTGGCTCATGCCTGTAATCTCAGCACTTTGGGAGGCCGAGGCAGGTGGATCATGAGGTCAGAAGTTCAAGACCAGCCTGGCCAAGATAGTGAAACCCTATCTCTACTAAAAATACAAAAAAATTAGCCAGATATGGTGGCGGGTGCCTGTAATCCCAGCTACTCGGGAGGCTGAGGCAGAGAATTGCTTGAATCCAGGAGGCAGAGGCTGCAGTGAGCCAAGATCGCACCACTGCACTCCAGCCTGGGTGACAGAGTGACAGAGTGAGACTCTATCTAAAAAAAAAACAAAACTAAACTAAAAACAGTATAAAAGCAGGATTGGCCTTGACTCAAAAGCAATGTGAAGAATTGACAATAATATAGAGTTGCTTAGATATAGATTCTGATTCACCTCATTATTTGTGCAACTACTAATTACCTCCCTATCCCTTTCATTATTCATTTATTTTTCTTATCACTCCAACTATTGATGCAGCCCTTAAAGTATGAGGAGTATCTCACAGAGAACAAAGACAGCAGAATTTCAGACAGATGCTTTTGTTATTCACAAAACAGTGCATTAAAATGTCAACCCCAACCTCACCCTGGGTGTGGAGATGATAGGAAAATTATATGTATTTCCTGAGCTGGTCATGGAAGAAAGAAGTCACTCCTGTAGGAACCAAGGGAATTCGTGCCTGGGCTCTGTTCACTGCGTCACCACACCCTCCCCTATCTAGTTTGCCTCAGCAAAATTCTGCTATGCTTCTTATTTCAGTTCCACAAGGCAATATAATCTTCAGGTGGTGGTTGGGTAGGGCCAATGCTTATCTCTGGGTTCGAAGCATCAGTAGCATTTATAGAATGCTAACATCGTAGTATCCTAATATAACAGCTAAAGTGGACTGATGTCTGAGCTAATTAATTAACAATATGAGACTTGAGCATCTCCTTTAAAATCTCCGAGCAGGCTTGTTTAAAGCCCACTGCCACATCCCTGTTTGCCTCACCCCAAGAGACTGAGACCAGGCACTCCTAACCACCCCAGCCCCCAGCAGCTGTACATCTTCTTCATGTAAAGTGGTAACATGGACACATTCACACAAGCATATTTGGATCCTTTTATTTACTCTCCTGTTTCTCATCCCTCACCATCACCCATGCTTTAAACCTCAGCCCGAAAGTAATTGCCCAATGCAGAGCCAAAGACAGTTTATCCTTAGCAAGCCCCTGCAGCTGCTTTCTGGTCTTTTTGATATGCTTCCCTTTTGTTTTAGTAGGAGGAACTCACTTGAATGCTGCTCTTCCCTAGCTTCCTGCCCCTGTAGCCCCCTTCTTTCCCAGAAGTTGCCTGCTGGTTAGTGTGGCAACGGTGTTGCACACAGCAGATTGTTCTTTGAGGTATATATCACACATTCATTCATTAAACATTTAAGGATATGGTATGTGCTGGGGTCCAACAATGGGATCAAAAGGTCCAAGAGACTTGGCCCCGGTCTTAAGAGCATTATTCTGGCAAGGGACCTTGGGCATCATAAGAAATGGGGATACCAAGACCACAAAGATCCTGTTTCAAGCCTAAAAGCAGAGGTGGTAGCAACGTGGGGAAGGAAGGCAAAGGGGGGAAGTGGAAGGCCACTCTGGGATGTAAAGAAAGGGACCCTGAGTCCCATCCCATCCATCCAAGACAGGTTTGGTGCCTGCATGATGCCAGTGTCTGTGGATGAGAGCCGGCTGCTATGAAAGACCTTAAGCCCATCCCAGCATCTCTCTCTGGGGGACAACTGACACAAACAGGCTGCCACACAGTCCTTGGCCTCTCAATCATTTTCTGCACTTCCTGATGGCATCTAGGATCCTAGCCTTGTCACACCACCATGCCATCACCACCTGGTCAGCAATCCCTCCACTCAACCCAAAAAGATGTTGTAGTGCAGCCCAGTCCTGCAATTGGATATGTGGAACCTGACAATCTCCCTGCATATATGTAAGCCCTGTGAGATCCCCAGACTGCTCTGAGGGAGAGTAAAGAGGATGAATTTAAACTAAGTGTCATTTGAGGCTGGGTGGTTAGGCACTCATGTACCTGTACCCTGGAGGACCCTTTAGTGCACTCCAATCGGGGGTTAGAGGGAAGAGGACACTTTCATCACACAAGTATGGTAAACTAGATTTCAACAGAGGTGTAAACAGTGTACTAGCACACCTGAGGGAAGTTTCGAAACCATCATACTCCTAAGAGGTTAGATCACAGTTCTTGGTTATATCTGCATGGGCTGCCATGGACCAACTTGTGAAGAAGACTGGCGTGAGGGGCTGACCCGCCATCTTGACATAAGCATCTTCCCTTCTAGCCATGGACACATTTTTCTTCCCACTTCAGGAATATTTAAATTTCCAGGAAATTATATACTTCATAAAAAGTCATTTCTGGAATCCAGGCTTGGTCAAAAATATTGGGGAGGCATTAGGAGCATGTGGGTGGGTGAGAAAGAGCATGAAGGCTTTGGAGCCACATAAACATCTTGGAATGCTGGCTTCGCTACTGACTAGTTATGGGACACTGGACAAATTATAAGTTTTCAGGCCTTCAGTTTTAAAATCTGTAAAATGGGGCAAAACTACTCAGCATCATAAGTTGTTTTTTCCTAAAATCCTCAAAACGTGCCATATAGATATTTGTTTTCTTTGCCTAGTTGAAATCGTGGACTGTGCTTATAGGGGTTCTCCACAGTTTTCACTCGAAGAAGAGTGCTGGATCATGTTAATTTTGTTTGCATTAGTTTGATACATAAATATTGTAAATAACTACAAAACTATGCTTTACGTTGATCATGATAAGAATGCTTTGTTAGATAAGTCATTATGAAGCTTGTTTGCAACCAATCACCTTTGTCAAATCTGGGAAATGGATGTAGACTGTTCTTTCTCTTCCAACCTCTACATTCAAATGCTTGTCAATACCTTCTCTCCATTCCAGTTTCCTCAGTTACAGGCTCTCTTGATCTCTTAGCTTATGTCTTTTCATTCCCACTGTAAACCATTTTCTACCCTCCTGCTACTGGACTTACCTTCCCAAAAAGCAAACTGATCCTATCACTCACCTCATTACATCTTTCATTGGACTTTCTGTCCTAGATTGACAAGGATGGGCATGCAAGGTCCTTAATTAATGAAATAATTAATTTTTAATGAAATAATTTTAAAATGTATTTTCTTAGCAACAGATTATTTCTTCAGAGGAAATCTGATTTAAAGCCTCATTTGGAAAATGAATAAAACTGGGCTGCTTTGCTTAAGCTCTGGAGTGGAAATCTGGAGCTCAACACAATCTCTTCCATTACTCCCACCTCCCCCTTTTCCCTGCAGTAAGTCTACATAGCCCAGTTTTTAAACCACTAAGTCTGGATTTGCTGAACTTATGGCCATTTATTGAACCATCCTTGTTCTCTCATGCCTCATCTAGAAATCTTGTTTTGTCCTTTCTTTTTCACACCATCTGTGTGAAAAATACTTCCTCATCCTTTAGTATTCTGTTCAAACATTACCCTCAGTGCAAAGTCTGTGCTGACTACCTGGACAAAGTCATGGGTCTATTTTCATGTGACTGCTTGGCTATATTGCTGCTGGAAGCCAAGGAAATGTATTATTTATCTTGGTGCCTGGACCATAGTGAGTACATCATAGATATGGAGGGAGCTAATAAAACACAATTCATAAACTTACTAATTATTTTTCTTCTCTCAAATATTAACTAGTACTCAGGTCTCAGTCTGGATGTTGAGGATGTCTGTCCATATTCAGACCTATATATATTTATACATGCCTATATGCTTTTGTAGCCACAAATACATACTGAACTCATTGAAATTGTGTTTGTGCATAAATATTTAGGGGGCATAATAACCATTTAAGGCATACAATCTCCATATATTTTCTTTTCTCTTTATATTCACCAAGCTCAGTAAAATCTTGCCTCCTGAAGCTAAATGTTTTATTCCTCATCCATGTTTAGTTCATCTTTTGTTCCTACGCAGTTATATTTAAAGATTTGTAGAAACACAATGATTGCTTGATACGTGCAGAATTATCACAGGAGCTCTGGCTGTAAATTGGGCAAATGTAAGAGAATGATTTTGACTCCAAAGGCCACCAGTGAGTCTTAGGAAACTGAACACAGTGGACTATGCCATAGATCCTGGAGCTGTAGTACCTGGATTATAGACCTGATACAAAAGAGACTTCATAATAGCACATTTTTTTCATTAAGCTAAAGTGCTTAAGGTGAATTCATGGTGGAAACCTCATTAAAGGCCAGTAAGGAAAGAAGCTCTTGTATTGATATTTTAAAATAAATGATGGGTTTATTTCTTTTATCTTTACCATGATGCAACCTTGCATCAGTTGATGGATTTTTCCCATGTCTTTTGTTAGTACCAAGTGAAAATAATTCCAGAATAGCATCTTATTAGTGTCACCCGAAAAAGAAAATCGTTGACACATTTTCAGAAGCAACTTTATATGCTCCCATTCATTTTTATAAACAATAAATTAATTACCTTTAGGTATTTTATGGGAGACTTTTTCTTTTTCTATGCAACAACTTACCTGCATTGAATGGAAGGTATTTCATGAAGGTTTGTTTGATGCAACAGAGTTGTTATAAGGATTATTTGCATTACTTGTCCTAGTCTCTGCCTTGTATATTTAAAGTATCTGCTTATCCTTCTTAATATTGACAGTATGTTAGAGATGGGAGTGTATAATATATCGCTTATGATATTTAAATGTCAAACACTCCTTCATCTAGCTAGAGTCCAGCTATATATAACTGCTCCCATTAAATCTGTCTTATCTGTGCCTCAGTTAGAAATGTCAATTAAAGGAGGAATCTAATCTCATTAGAAAAGCTCAGTGACAGTACCATGATATTCACATTTATCTGTCAAATTGTGTCTCTTCCCACATTTTGATGTTTTAATTAAACCTTGATGTGCCTTAGCAGAATTTTTACTGATAGAGACCATTCTCTAAAGCAGTCTCTTCTTTTTATCGTATGTTTAAGACATTGTAAGAGCATGCATACTAGCAGGTATTATTTCATCATTGGTTTAATACATTTATAATTTATTTATTTTTGGCACTTCGTCTCAGGCAAGTGCTAGCCAAAGCACTGTGGAAACAGAACTGGTAGCCATTCATACCAATAGATGTTAGTTTATTTGGCTAAGAAATTGCTTTGTTGTAAAATGATCATCAGTTCTGGAAGAATAGTGTCTCATCATATGTTTACTTTCTATTGATATTAATAAACTCTTGCTTGCATTTTTCTGCAGGAGGTAAAAACATTAGTAATGATAATAACAAAACTAAACAAATCCTTAGTCACATAGCATAATAGAAGACAATTATTTCTATCTTCAGTTTAATAAACTTTGTGTTAAGAAAATTACAAACCGCAGAGTTAGAATCTGAAAACAATTAAATGTGAGTAGATGGATTTGGAGGGTAGAGTTTGTTTAAGTAGGCATTTCTGTGCCAAATTACTCTGCATACTTTTCTAATTGAAATGATCTTTGTATATGGGGAAATCTGAAAGGCTGAGAGCTAAGTCACTTTCTACAAGTCCTTTAATATTTATTTACCTAGAAATATTTCAGCAGTTGTAGTTTAGGGGAAAGAAGTTTTGGGTGGCGTAGACTAACACTGATTTCACACATATATGCATTGCCCCAATAACTAAGCTATTTTGCTCAGAGTGAAAACATTCTACATTTTCTACCATATGTAATTTCTAGGAATCTGAATAAAATAATGTGTCTTGTCTCTTGATCTCTCTTTTTAAATTTTTTTCTTAATGTACCTTTTCATTGGTTTTTCTACATGCATGTTCCAAAAGTTGGTCTGTTTTAAACTATATTTCTGCATCTAGAGGCATCCTGTTCTAGGGAAATGGGAGATGTCTAATTTTTGAACAACTTTAAATAGCTAACTTAAACATTAGTGTTAATATTTGACACCATCCAACACTTTTGAAATGAAGTCTTCACTTGTAGTCAGAAATATAAGTGGAATCAGGGCTAGGCGACTTATGTGTATAATTTTAGAGGCTTCTCCGAAACTCAAGCCTAAGAATAAATTTCTCTGTATGCGCATATTGGTAAGGGGTGAGAAGCAGGCCAGCTAATCCTAGAAATAGATTCCATGGCAAAGGGAGCTTGTTGCTTGACAGAGGGCCAAACTTTGAATGACTGGGATCTGAAGTATTCCCATTGTGTTGTCATCCTTTCACTTAATATCCTTTCACACTCTTGCTACTTGAACTGACAGCCCTAACCTGTTATCACTAGGTAGTGCAGCTCCATGACATAAAATATACAGCTAATTACAATGCACTTCACAGTGGCATATGACAGCAAGGGTGCTAGAAGAAGACCCGCCCAAGCAAGAAGCCACTAGATGCATTTAAGAGCTGCTTCCCAGGACAGTGACAGTAGAGAAATGCTCTGTGTTTATGTGTATATAATACATATATAATGCATAGATTGCATATATGTGTATATGTGTATACACACACAACACAAACATATTTGTACACATTGTTAATTTTGTTCTTTAGCTTGCAGCAAAGATATAAAGTAAAAAAAGATCAATACATAAATTGAGTATTCAGAACACAGCAAACAGAAGTGACCTGTTTGGCAGGGCCTGGTTCTCTTAATCTGACAGTCTTCTATTTTTAACTGATAAGTATCATTTAGCTATTATTCTCTCTGCCATGATTTCAAAACAAACCAGTGAAAAGTGATATTTCAGGTTAAACTAATCATTTTGGCACTACGTGGCCCAGATATTGATTATTTTGCTTAAGTCAAGAGGATTTATGTGCAGATAGCTTATTCATCTCATTACCTCATTTGGGGTTTCTTGTCATATAAAATACAGAAATACGACTACTGGATGTGGAAGGAGTACTAACTTTTAAATATTTGGCATAGATATGTGAAATATCAAAGTCTGTATTGTATTTTGTTGCTTTATTCAAGTTTATATCATAAGCACATATTTATGGTTCTGATCAGCCATTTATATGGTGGGTTTCATGCCACCAGGATGTAGTATTTGTGTTAGATACTACATAGAAAATGAACCTGACATCATGAGCTAACACACTGACACAGTTATCATATATTGACCGTGCACACATCTGAGGCATCATGCAGTTAGGTGTGTAATGTGTATGCACAATGTCCACCCGTCGGAGAGCATACCTCTTCCATGATGGGACTAATGGAAAAAGAAGTAGAATTATACCTCAAGGAGATAAAATATATTCTCTTAAACACAGACACACAATGGGAGAGGTAACAGCTACTGCCATCTCATTCCCGTTTTCCTTCATTGACCCAGAGTAGTTTCCCAAAACTTCCAAGGAGCCAAGAAATGTGATCCACATGCCCGGCATGCCACTTTCATTCCCTGACAAATCATAAGGGCCAGAAAGTAATTCAGAGAATGAGATGTTCAAAGTGCATTTTAGGTGCTCACTTAATGACAGTGACAGACAAAATCACAGGTATATAGCTTTGGGGTAATCTTTTAAAACAGAAAATAATTTCATTTTTGGAGTGTACAACTTTACTTACCTAAGTTATTACTTTCCCACTGGAAACGTAACCCATCATTAAATTTTCATCCAAGGAGGAAGGCGTTTGCCTGCAGTTACACACAACTCATCATCACACTTTCTCATTACCATACACGTCTCCTCCAATTCAGGGTCTCATTTTCCTTAGAAACACAGCTTGAAAACCTTCCTCTTCACCTATTTGTTCAAGCAAATGATGACCTTTCAAGCCAAGAAAATAACTATCACAAGTGAAAAGATATTTTTATTGATGTGGAGACCAGATTGTAGGTTATTCCACAGCAATGTATTCATCCCCCCCACTCAATAATTATAGTTTATTGCCTGTGTAAACAGTGCTGAAATGGTATTTAAGTACAACTCAGAGGTCAAAGCCATCTAAAAAAGTGCCTTGAATTATTATTTTCATTGAATGCAAGGTAACTGAAACTATTCCATGGCTTGTGCTGACTAAGCACATCTGAGAAGCTTTGATCATCGTTTTTTATTGTTGTTTTTGTTGTTGTTTGATTTTAGTACATCTACTATTTCTATTACTGAGACACTGAAGGCACAAGATAGCTCATCTGTCAAGAAGTGTATGACAGCGGGCCTATGTGTCCTGCAACTAAATATTAAAACAGAAAGTTTTACTGACAAAGCAGTACTCTTAAGGTCAATAAAAGTTACAATGTCATATATTTGTATCAGGCCCCTAATCAAGTTTGTAACATTCTCGCTGTGGGGCTTCATTTCCCTATTGTGGAAAGAGACTTAGAAGATAACAGTACATAACATTGGTGTGAGGGATGGGATTCATAGCCATAGGTAACAGATACACTTTATTACACATCTGTTATCTACAGTTACTTTTCATGCTATTCCTCATTGTGTACTCCAAAACATGTGATAATCAGGTATATTAAAATGTGGGTTTTGGTATTTAATACTTAGTGGAGATAAAAGCACAATTTAATTTATGCATGCATGCTACTCTTTTTCCTCAGGGCCTCTTTTCTCCTTTTTGTTAAAGAAACACTGAGCAAATACCAAATATATACTGAAAAAGCAAGAAGTGCTTTTTTTTTTTTTTTACAAATATGGTGGCAAAATGTTCATTTTGTGAATATTTTTATTATAACAAATATACAAAATAATTCTGTTAAAAAATAATCTGTACGGTGAGACCAATTTACACATTCTAGCCCCAGTGAATAAATTGTTTTATTCATAATAGAATCTTTGTGTGCTTTCAAGGCAGGCTATTAAAAGTTTTTTGTGGTGGAAACTTCTGGGTTTGGGATGAGTTTTCGTGCTATAACACATGGTGTGTTCTTTTTTGTGTGTGCGATTTGGTCACAGTTGGCTGAAAGTCAATTACTTTGAATTTGGGCAACTTATGTTTGTAACACATCTAGACAGGGTGAATTTAAAGAATGACTACAATATGCAGAATGTCTGTAAACATGCTCACAGTTGAGCTCACTTTGGTATTTTAGATTTGTAGGAAATGAAGGGCAGAAATGATTACATATTTCCAACTCACATATAAGCAGATCTCTGAAAAATATGAAGCATTTTCCATCTGTAAAATGATCTAGTAGTGTGCATGTCAGTCTGAGAGGCAGTACACACTATGATCTGTATGTATCTAAACATTATTGCGGATAAGGGCAGGTGTGGTGGTTGGTGGCATTGGGAATATAGTAGTAAAAGATGAAGGGGATTGTTAAGGATTGAGACTCTCCATCTTTTTAGGCATACGGACAATAGATGGAGAAGAAAAAGCCAATAAGACAGAATGACTGACATTGTAATTTCTCACTAAACACTGGCTAAAACAATGAATGAGACAGTCAAACACTGCATTTGTCTCCATTTGCATAATCTTGATAAATCTGTGAATGGGTTTGACTATCTCTGGAAACCATCATTCTTAGCAAACTATCACAAGGACAAAAAGCCAAACACCACATGTTCTCACTCATAGGTGGGAATTGAACAATGAGAACACTTGGACACAGGAAGGGGAACATCACACACACACCGGGGCCTGTCATGGAATGGGGGGGGGGGAGGGATAGCATTAGGAGATATACCTAATGTAAATGACGAGTTAATGGGTGCAGCACACCAACATGGCACATGTATACATATGTAACAAACCTGGACATTGTGCACATGTACCCTAGAACTTAAAGTATAATAATAATAATCATCATCATCATAATAAAAAGACTCTCTCTGGCTTCAAATTTGTCAACAAATGCCTTTCAAACCTCCCTCTGGTGGTACTAAGCTAGGCCAAGGGAGCGTGGATGAATGCTGTGCTTCTATGAATTTGTTTTATATTTTAAATGGATTTTGATAGTGGGATTTATGTGGCTTCGTCAAGCTGAGCTGGTGGCGTGAACAGGCAGGATTGGTTTAGTCTGGATCCAAAGAATGAAAGATGCAGGGTGCTTTCTTCCTTCTGCTTTTAATTGCTGCGTGCACCTTTGCAGGTCTTATGAAGGATAGTGCTGAAGGAATAGCGGAGAAGAGACGCTCACTTGATATAGAGCTTTATTCTAACCCCATCAACTGTCAAATTAACAACCTCTAAATTTAAGAGTGTTTTCGTTGAGTTTTTCTTGAACTTATGAATCTGTCAGTTGTGTATGAACTCCCTCTCCTTTAAGGTGACCTATTTAGCATAATGAAATATATTTATAATCTTCATTAAATAAGCTGCCCATCATCATGCAAAGGACCCCACTTGATATCCCTGGCATACGTCCTTCATCCACCCAGTGTGGTTAGAGTACACCGTGCTTTGCCAATCCTCATTTACCGAAGTTTTCTCTCTCTGAGCATCCTCCTCACTACTGTGTGTTTGAATCCTGCATATACTTAAAAATCCAGCTGAAATCCTGTCCTCCCAGAGGTCTTTTCGATCACCTCCATCCAAAGAGGCACCATCTTTGGAGTACCTATTATTTGGGTCTTCTGCTAGGGGCTTGCATTTGCCAGTGTAGTGGATATTGATTCACACTTTATAGTCTGATTGTGTTCTGCTGTTTATCAGCTGTGTGACTGGGGCAAGTTATTTAACTTCTCTTAGTTTCCTCTTCTGTAAAATGAGTGTAATCAAAGTACAGTCTTCAAAGGAGTGTTCCGAGGCTCACATAAAAATGACATATATAAGGGTTACCACTGTACAGAGTCAGCACTTGGCAAGTTATTACTACTCCCAAGCCTCATTAGGGTCCTGAAAGGCAGGTAACAGTAATCTCTTTACAGCTAGTCAGTAAAGGAACTGGAATTTAAATCCAAAATGTTGGGGACAATAAAATCCAGGGTCTTTTCTATTTTCCATATCTTTCCCTCATCTAAATTTAAGATATTGATCTGTAGCAAATTTAACCTTTATAATAAACTATATTCTGGTATAGTTTATGCAGATGCCCTATAACCCCAACTACATTGCCAGTGGAAAAAAAGGGCAGGTGCATCATGGCTTATGCTTAATAAGAGGGTCCCCCAAAATGTGTTAATTGGTTGCTTAGTCGTCAGGATCACCCATTGTGTTTGTAGTTTTTGCTTTCTTTCTTTCTTTTTTTTTTTTTTTTGGTGATTGTATGGAGATTGGCATATGAAAATAAGAATACCTGCTTTATAAACACCAAGAAAATGCAGCACAAGTTGTGGTCCATGTTTAGAGATAGATAGATGTGAAGAAAAGAGAGCGGCTGCTCCCTTGGCTATTCTTTCATTATTTATTGTCCAGAAGTTTGTCAATGGATGTTTGTCAACTTCGGAGGATGTGGGCTGCAGGCACCTCTTTTTTATTATACTATGCAGTATCCAGTTTTGATTTTGCATTAACATTGATAACTTAGCTATATGATAGACTGAAGATTCACAGCAGAAGGGGGTAGAACAAGTAGGAAAAATTGGCCTGTTTTGAAGAAGGCACTACGTGTCCTTTAAATGCTCGTGTTTTAAATTGCAGGGAAGAAAAAGCTCTGATAGATGCTGGAACAGAAATCCCTTCTTAAGGACTGGACATTGCTAAGTCATAGGTTTGAGATGTTGGACTCATTCCTTACGTCCTTACAAGGGGGTTTTATACCATCCCATTCCTACAACATTAGGTTTAATAGCATGGATGAATCTTTGAATGAAATGAAATAGAAACTTAAAGGAAAATATTATCATTTAAAATATACTGGACAGAGAATTGATGGACTCTGAACCTTGGGCAAAAGTACAAAAATACTAGAACATTTGGTTTGATTACTCAGGTTATAATTTATATGCAGACATAATAGACTGTGTGTGACTTACTATTCAAAATGTAATCAAGTCATCCTTGATAGATTGGTATTTTGAGTTTTCATAACAAAAGCTTTTCTAGACACTATTGCATGACTCTCTTCTGATTTGGTATTTGAAACCAGATAATGGGATATCTTATAAATACACATAGACTTCTCTAGTATGTGCCCCAGGACCTGCATGGATCATTCTGAAATAAAATCATCTCCCGGGCATGGAAGGAATAAATGCTGAGGAAGTACTCTTGACTCTGGCATCTTGTAATATTTACCTCCATTTGCCTGGACAGAGATTACCCTTCAAGTGCTGTCAAGGACTTCTGAAATTGGTGAAATGCATTTTTTATCACTTTTCAAAAATGCCTCTGTGCAGCAATCATTACTCTGCATGGAAACTACCTAGGGGTAGGGAAATAAAATTCATTACAAACACATGGGAAGGTCTTATCAATTGTGAAATGAACACATGTAGTAGATATAAGGAAATAATCTGAATATGACTTATTCTTCTCATTGTCACTGCTCAACTATGATTGTTTTTAAATTTTTCCATCTCTAAGTTGAGAATGAATGCGTACCTAATAAATTATTTATAGAGAAACATAAAATGTCAAGTGTCTAGCACAGTCCTTGGCACCCAGTACTTTCCAATTCCCTTCCCATCCCATAGAGAATTCATCACACTGGTCAACTATTACTATGTCTGCACAATGGCAAATATTACATCAGAGAGTAATAAATCAAAACACATGACTAGTAGCCTTTAATGGATCTGCTTCATTTCACATCTCAGCAAAATGTTTATTTCAAATTAATGTGTCCTGACATAAGGAGGGGGTGTTTTCAGCCAAAATATTTAATTTGCAGCTGCTTCATGATTGATAAGTTGTCACAGGGCCATGTGTAAATGATTGCTCTGGTGACAGGCTACTGAAGATAAGGGATTTAAACTGGGATGTTAAATATAAGATGGCAGTTAGCTTCAATATGTCCCTAGCCTCACTCATTTGAACTCCATAGTCTTTAAAGTGTTGAGTACTTGAAGGAACCCTATTGTCTTTTTTCTTACCACTGGTAGTCATATATAAATAACAGAAAGATGGGACAATCAGTTGGAATTTAAATAAAGCTTATAATTTAGGTTTTTGACTTTGTAAGATGGCAATATTGGTCCAGCACATTTTGAGAGTTTGCTAGCCAGCTCAGAAATCTCTGATCAGTTCTTCTTCTTTATTTTATCTTATTTTATTTTTCTTTCTTTTCTCTTCCTCTTTTTCTTTTCCCCTTACTTTTCTTCCCTTCCCTTCCCTTCCCTTCCTTTCCCTCTTTCCTTTTCTTTTACTTTGTCCTATGTCTTTGAAACAACCTGAACACTCACTCAGCAGAGAAAAGGTGTCAAAGATAAATAGCAAATTTGGATGTGTAACCTAAAGAAATTAACTCTTACATGAGTGCTTGCTCTTAGCTAGCTCTTAATCAAGGCACTCTTTAATCTCATTTAACTCTAACACCAGTTGATTACCATCAGGTAGGTGTTAATATTCCTACTCTACAGTAGAAGAAAACAGTGATAGAAATTAAACAATGCACGTTCAAGGACATACAACTTACACGTGAGAGAAACAGCATTCAAATTTGAGCCTAAGCCTAAATACAGTATATGGTACTTATACTCCAACTGCCATAACTAAATCATGTTTATTATGACTCAGAGAAAGACTAGTCTTAGAATATTGAAGATTGATCGTTTGGTAATTAGGCAAGATTGAAATTTTTAGAGTCATTCAAACAAATATTTCTCAGAAAGAAATAATTTCTTCATTTCTGCAAAATTATGTAGCCTTGGGGGCCATGACATAGTACAGTTTCCCATCAGTATCTATGAGGGATTGGTTTCAGGATCTTCCTCAGATACCAAAATCCATGAATGCCCAAGTCCCTAATACACATCCTCCCATATACTTTAAATCATCTCTAGATTACTTATATTACCTAATACAGTGTAACACTATGTAAATAGTTGTTATAACATATTATTTAGGGAACAAAAACAAGAAAAAAGTCTGTGCATGTTCACTACAGAAACTTTTTTTCCAGATATTTTGTATCCATGATTGGTTGAATCTATGAATGTGAATGGAACCCACAGATACTGAGAACCAACTGTATATTCAAGGACACTTGCCACTATTATGTTCCCAAATCTGTTAGGAACTTTAATCACAGATTGCATTCAGGGGGCTTGTGCAAAGCCTGAAGATGAAAATAATTAAACTACACTAAGATTCCATACTGAACAATTCAGCAGCATCTATTTTTATGTGAATATTAATAATGTTTAAGGGGATAGCGGATGTTCATTTTTCATTTCTTTTTTCTGGAATAGCTTTTATTGTTCAAATTTGTAAACAAAAATGTATATTTTTGCATCCACTTATTAATTTCAATCTATTCTTTTGTGATTTATTTATGTCTTGCATTCAGAATTATTCAAATCCAATTGCTACTATCAAAACTTACTATGTAGGAGAAAATATGTTGTTGTCAGATTGGTGCTTTTTCTAATGTACTATTTGAGGGACATTGTACAGTCTATATTTTGCCAAGCTCATATTGTAAATTTCGCTTCAAAGGGCCATTTGTAGCTAACTGTTGGTTTCCATTTGAGAACTTAAGTTTCACATTCAGGCACAATAGCCTCCAAGGGTTGATGTCCATCTACAATCCCAATTCATACTTTCATTTTACTTCTCTAAAATAATACTCACCCTTCTTCTATTACCTCACTTTTAGGTAGATAAGGCTACCGTCTCTATAGGTGATGGGTAAAAAAGTTGATTGTCCTGTTTCACCTGTTTTTAATAAAAACATAGAAACAGATCCCAAGCTCATCATTGAATATGGAACAACCTTCTCTAATGTTTGATAGAAATAACTTTGCTATGGAATTATTTTTTGATTTGGCCAGATTATTATTATTATTATTATTTTGAGATGGCGTTTCACTTTTGTTACCCAGGCTGGAGTGCAATGGCGCAACCTTGGCTCACTGCAACTTCCACCTCCCGGGTTCAAGGAATTCTCTTGCCTCAGCCTCCCGAGTAGCTGGGATTATAGGCATGCACCACCACACCCAGCTAATTTTGTATTTTTATAGAGATGGAGTTTCACCATGTTGGTCAGGCTGGTCTTGAACTCCTGATCTCAAGTGATCCACCTGTCTCGGCCTCCCAAAGTGCTGGAATTACAGGCGTGAGCCACCATGACCAGCCGGCCAGATTCTTTAGAGTTGCATTATAGTTACTGTGTAATCCAAATTGTTTCAGCTATTTATTCTCATGGTAAAATGATGATTGACTGTAAGCAGAACCTAGGAGGAATTAGGCAGAGTCGGTGTGACACCATCCTTTACAAAAGTTCAAGCTGGAATGGAACACTTTAGTATTTACATTCTCAATCTCTGAACATCTTTTATTTGGGATGTAGAGAGACAGAAACAGAGACTTTTCTTTAAACTAAAGTTACATGGGTCCAGATTTAACCCTTAATTCATATTTGCTGCTGTTCTTAGCAATTGTTTATAACTTACAGACCTAAAACTTCAAAGGCAGCTGAGCTTGAGCAGTCATTTCCTTCTTATATCTACAGGAAGTTATATCTTAGTTTCCCGTCTATAGTTTTACTTCTTTTTTTAATTTTATTTTAAATTCAGGGGTACATGTGCAGATTCATTATAGAGGTAAACTTGTGCCATGGGGGTTTTCTGCCCAGATTATTTAGTCACCCAAGTATTAAGCCTAGTACGTATTAGTTATTTTTCCTGATCCTTTTTCTCCTCCCACCCTCCATCCTCTGAAAGGCCCCAGTGTGTGTTGTTCCCCTGTCCTTGTGTTCTCATTATTTAGCTCCCACTTATAAGTGAGAACTTGTAGTATTTGGTTTTCTGTTCCTGCATTAGTTTGCTAAGGGTAATGGCCTCCAGCTGTATCCATGTTCCTGCAAAGGACATGATCTCATTCTTTTTTATAGCGGCATAGTATTCCATGGTGTGTATGTACCACATTTTCTTTATCCAGTCTGCTATTGATGGGCATTTATGTTGATTCCATGTCTTTGCTATTGTAAAGAGTGCTGAAATGAATATATGAATGCATGTGTCTTTATGATAGGTTGATTTATATATTTATATAGATAGAATGATTTCTATTCCTTTGGGTATATACCCAGTAATGGGATTGCTGGTTCAAATAGTAGTTCTGTTTTTAGGTCTTTGAAGAACTGCCACACTGTTTTCCACCATGGTTGAACTCATTTACACTCCCAACAAGTGTATAAGTGTTCCTATTTCTCCATAAATTCACCAACACCTGTTATTTTTTGACTTTTTAATAATAGCCATTCTGATTGGCATGAAATGGTATCTCATTGTGGCTTTGATTTGCATTTCTCTAATGATCAGTGATGTTGAGCTTTTTTTCATATGCTTTTTGGCCGTGTATATGTCTTCTTTTGAAGTCATAGTTTTAAATTTTATGAGGGAAAAAAACAACACAAACTTGATATATATGCATGTGCATACTCACACTGATTTTTACAGCGACATAGACAACTAGAAACTCGGTCAAAACTGTCTTTAAAAAACTTTTGGTCAAAAGTCCCAGCTGTTTGATGCTTGCTAGCATATCAGCTAAGTGTTTGAACATGCCTAGTGATGAGAAAGCCCATTTCATGTAGGAATACTTTTGTAGTTTTTTAAAAAAATTATTTTTTATTTAATGTCCTTCCTTATGTTGGTCAGAAAAAAAAGCCAGCTATCTCTTTAGATTCTGCTCATTGGTCCTAGTTTACTTCTTTGAGGCAAAATATTGAAGGTGGCTTTCATGTAACCTCTGATTTCTTCTCTAAATCAATCATCCCACTGAACATAAGACATCTTCTAATTCTACCCTTTGTGATGGACAGTCTCCTTTGAAGGTGTTGCAGTTGCCATTGCCCTTCTGAATGTCTGATAGCCATTCTCACATCTTACAGGTGGCCATGAGAAATAGGCATACAATTCCTGGAGAAGTTTGGCAATATATAACGAAAGATTTTAGAAAGTACTTACCCTTTTTATTGTTTTTGTCTCGCTGTTTCTCCCAGACTGGAGTGCAGTGGCATAATCATGACCATAGTTCACTGCAGCTCGAATTCCTGGGATCAAGCAATCCTCCCACCTCAGGCTCCTGAGTAGCTGAGACTACAGGCACATACCACCACCCTCAGCTGTTTTTTTTTTTTTTTTCTTTTACAGATGGAGTCTCACTATGATCCCCAGGCTGGTCTTGAACTCCTGGCCTCAAGTGATCCTCCCACCTCAGCCTCCCAAAGTGCTAGGATTATAGGTGTGAGCCACCATACCCAGCCAGTATGTACCCTTTGATATAGCAATTTCTCTTACAAAAATTTAGTATAAAAATGTTGAGAAGTATAAGGTTCATGATGTTCAACCCAACATTAACCATATTAACAGCAGTAATGAAAATTTGGGGAAAAATATCCAAAAATAAGGGGTTAAAGAATCAGGCCTTCTGAATCCAAATGTTAAACTAAGAATATATATTCATAACTTCTTCCTTTGTAATAACTTGTTAAAATTTAATAGTATAAATCCATAAGCAGTAAAGAACACTACATAGGGAGAAGAGTCTCTCAGTGGATGAGAGAGTTCAATAAATTTCTAGATGTATCAATGAGGGTCCTACCAGAGAAATTGTAGGAGATATGTATTAAGAAATGTATTTTAAGGAATTGGCTTACTTGACCGTGGGGCTGGCTAGACAAATATGAAATCCATAGGCCAGGCTGTCAGAAGGGCCGGCTGGAACTTTCTGGCATGGGCTGCAGTTGCAGTCCCCAGGTAGATGTCTTCTTTCTCAAGGGTGTCTTGGCTCTGCCCTGTGGTCTTGCAGCTGAGTGAGGCACACCCGGATTATCTAGGATAGTCTCCCTTATTTAAAGTCACTAACTACAGGCTTTAATCTTATCTACAAAATACCTTCACAGCAACTGCTAAATTAGTATTGATTGAATAACTGGGAACTGTGGCCTGGCCAAGTTGACACTTAAGACTGACCATCGCACTTCAAAATATAAAATGGATGGAAGTATGTGCTCTGATGAACTGGAGAGAAAGAAGTCCCAACATATGTAATACACTGACCAACAACAGCAGAGGAAGGGGCTGACCGGCCTGGCCGATCCCCAGGAACAGTGTTCAGGCAGGACTGGGAAGTCAGACTGAAAAGTGTGTTTCCGGGAGGTCTGTTGGTCTCCTAACATATTTCTTTCTTGCATTCTTGCACAACAGCACACAAATGACCTTTATACTTGAGCAAAAACATGGAAAATTTTTCTCTAAGAGAGAAGAACTACCACCTGGAAAGAATTAGGACAGCCAACATGGGTTTTGACAGACAAGAGTAAAGCCTGCCTCATTTGGCATTTAGAAGGGGTCCGGAGCCTGACAGGGAACTCAAGACCTGCTCTCACCAAACCAAAAAATAATGAATGAATGTAGTCCACACGTACAGACATGCCTCTCAGGCAGTCTGTTTTCTCATTCTTAAATATAAATGGGCAATCAGAATCTTCAGACATTTGAGGAAGAATGCAGCACTAAAAAAAAGCACAGTAGAATAAATATCCCAGAAAATTCGGGAAACAGATCACTTATAATAACTATAACTATTATATTCAGGGAGATTTGAGAAGATAATACATTCATAAAACAAGATGCCATGAACAAGAGAGACAAAAAAGTACCCATGGAGATTTTATATATATATATAAAATGTATAGATGTGTGTGTGTGTGTGTATATATGTATATGTTATGTATATTTGTATGTTCACATATAAAATATATAAATGTGTGTGTGTGAATCTTTTTAAATGAGCAGATTGGGTGGACAAAGAGGAAAATATATTCCAAAAATAGTAAAAATCTAACAATTGGAAAATATGAGATAAAATGTTAGATATTAGGACCAATCCATGTACTCTAACATATGGCAAGTAAAAGTTTCACCAAAAGGAAAGAGAAAATATAGAAGGAGAAAATAGAAAAGAGATAATGCAATAAACTTTTTAGAACTGAAGAGGACAAGATCTTTCCAATTAAAAATTTCTATGAAGTGCTGAATAAGAAAACACCTATAAACACATATAATGAATAAGAAAACACCTATAGCTAGATATAGCAAAATTTCAGACCACCAGAAATTTTTTAAAAATCCTAAAAATGTCCAGATAGAAAATGTTAACAGAAGTGCAGCTCACCTTTGAAGGAGGTCATAATCAGCAACACTATATCAAAAACTGGTTTCAAGCCAATCTGATAACCTCTATGACTTTTTCGATAAGATATTAGTAAAATTATTTCCTAACTTTGCCAAAGTTAAGTTATAAGTTAAACCCTGTATATCTTAATGGCCCATCCAGCTCAATTAGGCCTTCAAGATGTGGTACAATGGTACAATGCCTTTTTGAAGACAACGGTACAATGCCTTTAAACTAAAAGTATAAGGGAAAATTGTTTTCTAGTGGTTAATGGTTATCTTTCGGTGGCAAAGTGACTACTTATTTCATTTGTCTTTGAAGTGTTTTCATATTATTCTCTGCTATTTTCCAGAGAAGGATGTAATATGTTTTTATACTTTTATTTTTATTTATTTATTTATTTTTAATTATAGTTTTTAAGTTTTAGGGTACATGTGCACAACGTGCAGGTTTGTTACATATGTATACATGTGCCATGTTGGTGTGCTGCACCCATTAACTCATTATTTAACATTAGGTATATCTCCCAATGCTGTCCCTCCCTGCTCCCCCCACCCCACAACAGGCCCCGGTGTGTGATGTTGCCCTTCCTGTGTCCATGTGTTCTCATTGTTCAATTCCCACCTACGAGTGAGAGCATGTGGTGTTTGTTTTTTTGTCCTTGTGATAGTTTGCTGAGAATGATGGTTTCCAGCTTCATCCATGTCCCTACAAAGGACATGAACTCATCATTTTTTATGACTGCATAGTATTCCATGGTGTGTATGTGCCACATTTTCTTAATCCAGTCTATCATTGTTGGACATTTCCAATAACACACAAACAGAGAGCCAAATCATGAGTGAACTCCCATTCACAATTGCTTCAAAGAGAATAAAATACCTAGGAATCCAACTTGCAAGAGACATGAAGGACCTCTTCAAGGAGAACTGCAAACCATTGATCAATAAAATGAGAGGATACAAACAAATGGAAGAACATTCCATGCTCATGGATAGGAAGAATCAATATCGTGAAAATGGCCATACTGCCCAAGGTAATTTATAGATTTGATGCCATCCCCATCAAGCTACCAACAACTTTCTTCACAGAATTGGAAAAAACTAGTTCATATGGAACCAAAAAAGAGCCCACATTGCCAAGTCAATCCTAAGCCAAAAGAACAAAGCTGGAGGCATCACGCTACCTGACTTCAAACTATACTACAAGGCTACAGTAACCAAAACAGCATGGTACTGGTGCCGAAACAGAGATATAGACCAATGGAACAGAACAGAGCCCTCAGAAATAATGCTGCATATCTACAACTATCTGATCTTTGACAAACCTGACAAAAACAAGAAATGGGGAAAGGATTCCCTATTTAATAAATGCTGCTGGGAAAACTGGCTAGCCATATGTAGAAAGCTGAAAGTGGATCCCTTCCTTACACTTTATACAAAAATTAATTCAAGCTGGATTAAAGACTTATATGTTAGACCTAAAACCATAAAAACCCTAGAAGAAAACCTAGGCAATACCATTCAGGACATAGGTATGGGCAAGGACTTCATGTCTAAAACACCAAAAGCAATGGTAACAAAAGCCAAAATTGACAAATGGGATCTAACTAAACTAAAGAGCTTCTGCACAGCAAAAGAAACTACCATCAGAATTCACAAGCAACCTACAGAATGGGAGAAAATTTTTGCAACCTACTCATCTGATAAAGGACTAATATCCAGAATCTACAATGAACTCAAACAAATTTACAAGAAAAAAACAACCCCATCAACAAGTGGGTGAAGGATATGAACAGACACTTCTCAAAAGAAGACATTTATGCAGCCAACGGACACATGAAAAAATGCTCATCATCACTGGCCATCAGAGAAATGCAAATCAAAACCACAATGAGATACCATCTCACACCAGTTAGAAGGGCGATCATTAAAAAGGAAACAACAGGTGCTGGAGAGGATGTGGAGAAATAGGAACACTTTTACACTGTTGGTGGGTCTGTAAACTAGTTCAACCATTGTGGAAGTCAGTGTGGCGATTCCTCAGGGATCTAGAATTAGAAATACCATTTGACCCAGCCATCCCATTACTGGGTATATACCCAAAGGATTATAAAACATGCTGCTATAAAGACACATGCACACATATGTTTATTGCGGCACTATTCACAATAGCAAAGACTTGGAATTCAACACAAATGTTTTTATAATTTTAAAAGTGTGATATGCAGAAGCAAACACAAAATACAAAATACCACATATTGCTGAATCAGTGCTAAATAGTGCTGCTTTATTACACAACACCTTTAAAATATTTCATTTCTACTGAGTGATGAACTGAGATTGTATTAGCCTTCTTGGTGACAATAGCTTTCCTGAATCCTAATGAATTTATTGACAGTCTGGACCCCTAAACTATTTTTCATCAGTGTATACCTTAGACAGCTCTCCTGTATTAGTCCATTTTCACACTGCTGATGAAGACAAACCTGAGACTGGGCAGTTTACAAAGAAAAAGAGATTTAATAGACTCACAGTTCCATGTAGCTGGGGAGGCCCCACAATCATGGCGGAAGGCAAAAGGCAAATCTTACGTGGCAGCAGGCAAGAGAGAATGAGAACCAAGTGAAAAGGGAAACCCCTTATAAAACTATCACATCTCGTGAGACTTATTCACTACCACGAGAACAGCATGGGGGAAACCGCCCCCATGATCCAATTATCTCCCACCAGGTCCCTCCCACAACACATAGGAATTATGGGAGCTACAATTCAAGATGAGATTTGGGTGGGGACACAGCCAAACCATATCATCTCCCTTGCTCAGGACCTGAGCATTTCTTTCCTGTTTACTTGTTTGTAGTTATGTCAAAAACTTTACATTATTCCTTTTACATTCTTTTTATTTGAACAACCATCATGTATGTTGTTGAAATTTTTGTGGATGATTTTTATCTCATATAAGAAACCTATACTAATGTATCTGTGAGTCTTCATGCTAAAATAAGTTGAGTCCTTTGCTTGTCACACTGTGTCTGGGTCTGTGTAGGAAAGGAGGAAAAATTATCCACTGTAAGGAGAAATAGAATTTAATTCCTTCTGGCTCCAAAGAGACTGCTTATCACACTGGAAAAGGTCATTTGCAAAATTGTTTCCTTCTGGCCTAAAATAGATGGCACACTTCCTCTAGAGTGAATGATTCACTCTTATCTCTTTGGATTTAATCCTTAGGCTGGAAAATGACTTAATGAGTATAAACTCCTTACTCATGTCAGGCAAGGGCATTGGGACATCCAGGTCTCATTTACTTCACCGGAAGCAACATCCCAGTTAGTGAAGATTCACCTCATAGAATAAAGGTCACAATTTAAGGGTGAAGAGTTTATTCACAGACTTGTTTCGATCAGCATATTAAGCAGAACAATTTTTTAGCTGATTTTGGGAGAAAAAAACACGTTGGATAATCATCAGTGGTTTTAAATAGTTGGATTGATCTGTCAATCAAAATTACCATCTAACAAAAGAAGTACTATACTTACCAAAGTCACAACATTTCTATCATGACGACTGGTGCAGTGTATGATTAAAACCCGCCTTTCACTTTGTTTTCACTTCATCTAAGATACTACGTGCAATTTGAGACAGGTGAAATGTTAATTACTGGTCTGATGATGTAGAGAATGACTAATGGAATAATGTGGTAGCTCACTGAGATTCCACATTATGTATAGACAAATCCTAATTATGGTATTTAAGAATAAAATTAGAAGAGGCTGGGTTTTAAATAACTATTGGGAGTGGTTAAATATACACACTTAACTTGCCTTCATTTTTTTTCTCAGATGTAGAAATAAAATTCAACACTGTGGAGTTCACAAAGCTGGGAAGGAAAGTCAGTCAAAATTTAATACTTAGAGCACTTTCCTGTATACTTGGCACTTCATGGTCTTAAAAAGGAGTTCCCATGACAAAATTGTTTATAATTTAATGAGGGAGATGAGAAAGATGCAGTAACTGACCTATAAGAACAACCAGGCACGGTGTCTCACGCCTGTAGTCCCAGCACTTTGGTAGGCTGAGGCAAGCGGATTTCTTGAGCTAAGGAGTTTGGGACCAGCCTGGGCAACATGATGACATCCCATCTCTACAAAAAAAATACAAAAATTAGCCAGGCATGGAGGCGTGAATCTGTGGACCCAGCTACTCAGGAGGCTGAGGTGGGAGGATCACTCAAACCCAGGAGGTGGAGGCTGCAGTGAGCTGACATCATGCCACTGCACTGCAGCCTAGATGACAGAGTGAGACCAAAACTCACAAAGAAATGGCCTATGAACAAAGGGATCTGAGGGAAACATGATATAGCATATACAACAGATGTAAGGACAGAGGCTGCATAGAGATGAGCACTGGAATCCACAGGAAGATGGGCTGAGAGATGATGTGAAAAGGGAGATGGTAAGATGGACCGTATCGATGGAGTTACATATCTTGGTGAAGTCAATTAGAGGCAACATTGGGTTATGGTTTCATTTTAGTTGTGGGAAAAAAATCACAGATGTAGGAGAGGATTAAAGAGGATGTAGTCCACTCCCCTTATATCAAAAGCTTTCTGCAGCCCTCCCAGTAAGACAATCCAAAAGGAGTCTGCTTTTTCTTTAGAGATTTCCCTGTCTTTATTTATAGTCTCTGGGGCCTTTCACGCAAACCATTCTGGCAGTTCAATGTCCAGACTGGCTGGCCCTTTGGGGACAATCTTTCTATGTAGTACAGTTGGCATTTTTTAAAAGAAAATACTGTCAGTTAGTGTGTAAGTGAGCCAAATCAATAACATTAGCTGATAACACATATTCCTGCCATGCTTTCAAAGTCTAATCTTGAACCTTCCAGAGTACAGTGCGGATCATCTACTTTTTTCTTGTTGGCACTACCTTGGGTATCAGCACAGCTTGTATGAAGCCTGCTGACTGCTTCTCTATTGCAAACCTACAAAGTGAATTGCTTGCAGGTACAGAAAAAATGAAACTTTGGAGGGTATACTCTTTTAATTTCAGAAAGCATCCAAGAAAAACAAAACTAAGCCCACTGGATTTAAACCTCTTTAAGGAGCTCTTAAATATCTCACATAAAATAATCTTAGTATGTAAGTTCACAAGGCATATTAGCTGGACACGAGTAAAAGGGGTGAGAGATGAAGAGGGTAGGTGACCTGGGAAAATAAATTAAGCCTCAATTTCCGAAGCAGGAATGATATACTTGGAAGTGTTTATAAACATAGAAGTTACACAGCATACAGTGTTGTTATTGTTGTTATTTTATGCTCTATAACTTTGGGCTAGCCCATTCAACTACTCTAAGACTTCTTTCTTTGCCTTATAAAGTGATGGAATTATAGAATCTCCAAGGCCAGGCTTCTTGCAGGTCTAAAATATTTATGTATATTAGATATATTTACTCCATGAATTCCTTACATTAATTTCAAAATCAAATCCTAATACTAGGCAGAAGAAAACTGTTATCAGTAAGAGCATTGGCTCCCAAGTAGCAAACCCTGTGTATCTATGAGGTAGCTTCCACTGAAGACTAACTTCTCTAAATGATCTATTGACGTCGGCATTGCCCATCATTGATGCTTTTACACAGCTTGCTTAAGAACTGTATTTAACAAATGGCACTGAGAATTTTTAGTGTTAACCTGAGAAGCAGCTCTGCTCATCTGCATTTGTTAAGGTTGTGAGAAGAGGAAGCAACCTGTAATTTACTGGTGCATCCTAATTAAAAATGGAGAATGAAAATAATGTTGTGCTCTCATCAGAGGCACTTAGCCTGATTGGGCGCTTGGTTTTTGTGCAGCATAAAATTGCTGCAAATATTTTCATATGTCTAAAGTGGGGATAACAAAGAAAATGCAATAAATTCACCAGCATCAATGTTACCACTACTTACTACAATTGCTCCATTATGTTCTATTTGCTGGATTTGTTGGGATTATTTATTTCACTGCTGGGGCATTTTACAAAGGATTCTAGATATTTTCTGTTTTAAAGGAGCTTGGCTTAAGCATGTTGATATTAGTCCTTACCCTCAAAATAGTCTGACATGGTTTGGCTCTGTGTCCCCTTTCAAATTTCATCTCAAATTGTAATCCCCGTTTATCAAGGGAGGGACCTGGTAGGAGGTAATTGGATCATGGGGGCAGTTTTCCCCATGCTGTTCTCATGCTAGTCAGTGAGTTCTCACAAGTTCTGATGATTTAAAAGTGTTTGGCTTTCCCTCTCCCCACCCCCACAAGCTGCCATGTAAGACATGCCTTGCTTCCCCTTTGCCTTCCACCATGATTCTAAGTTTCCTGAGGCCTCCCCAGCCATGTAGAACTGTGAGTCAATTAAACCTCTTTCGTTATAAATTGTCTGTCCTCAGGCAGTTCTTTATAGACGTGTGAAAATGAACTAATACATAGTCCCAAGTAAGCACTTCCTAATTAACTCCAAATATCTCAGATAGTTCCATAATTTGCGCCAAAGCAAATAGAAATCAATGGGTCATAATATCAGCACAGAGTGGACTGTGTCTCTGGCTAACTTTAAGGAGATCAGATGGAATTCTGCACGTGATATTCCTATAGTGTCTGTCTCCTGTTTCTAGAATAAGTCCCAACCTGGAAGTTTTTGGTTCTCCACATACAATATGGAACTGGTCTGGATAGCATACAGGACTTATTTCTGAGCTATTCTGCCATAAACACCCTTGTCAAGAGAAAATATTAGTAGTAAGATCAGTCAAATTGATGTGGATGCCTCAAGTAGGAAGGTAATTGTAGATTAATAAATTATGATTTGATGAGGAACAAAGATCAGAAATCAAGATGGTTGAATGTACATAGAAGCAGTATGTCTAAAAATTCAATATAGAATTAAGGTGTTGCTCTTGAGTTGGGTACCCTGAGGCATGGGCTGAAGAGAAGCCTGAGGAAGAAGCCAGATGCAGGTCCTCTGAAGAGTTGATCTCATGGGGCTTAGCAGAGAGGAAGCCAGGTATGAGGGAATGGGATGAAAACTATAAAAACTGGAACGCCAGGTGGCAGGGAGACTGACTCAGAGGACTGCAAGAGAAAGAAATTCCCCCAAATTCCTAAATGTCTGAGCGCACAACTATAATACGTAGGTAACTTGAGGTTTCTATCAGGGATGGGGAGGCAGCTGTTAAGGGTCCAAGTTGCCTGGGATTCCATAGGGGTGCTATCTGGCCTCTTTTCAGAAACTATTTAAGCAATATCATTTTGTTAAGAGACTTTACTATGATATTTTAAAAATAAACTTTATTCTTTAGAGCAGTTTTAGGTTCACAGCAAAACTGAACAGAAAGTGCAGAGAGTTTCCATATACTCCTGCCCTCCTGTGTATGTATAGCCTCCCTCACTATTGACATCTCCCATCACAGTGGTGCATTTGCTACAGCTGATGAGCCTACACTGACACATTGTTATCACCCAAAGTCCATCATTTACATTCAGGCTCCCTCTTGGTGTTGTACATTCTATGGGTTTGGACAAATGTATAATGATTGGCATCCACCATTATTGTATCATCCATCATAGTTTCACTACCTAAAAATTCTCTTTGTTCTGCCTATTCATTTCTCCCTCCTCTCCAATCTCTTGGGACTTTTAAAACTGCATATGGACAAAAATAAGGATAACTTTGAGAAGGGTAAAATGACAAGAGTCAGGTTAACTCTTCTGTCAATGTGATTTTTACTCAAATTCTCCAGGTGATAATATTCATGGGATACTGTGTATTTTGGCATATTTCTCTTCCTGGGAGCACTGGAAATCAGAAATTACATATGGGTGCTGCAAAAAGATACTGAGCCTTAGGGGACCATCCCAGCCTCTCAGTGTCCCTCTTCCTCCCTTGCACTCAGATGCTGATGGTCCTTCTATGGGCCCATAGGGGAAACTTGAAGGTGGGTTACTTCCAGCTCAAGCTTCACCATCCTCTCCCTATTTCTCATCCTCAAAGGGCTGCTTTGTGCATTCCTTCCCAAAGCAAGTCCTTGTTCGTGGCATGGGAGGAACCTCACAGGCAAGCAAACAGCATCCTCTCCCATCAGGCTCACCAGAGCAGGAGCCGGTGTCTCCAAGGCAGCATGCTCAGTCTCCGTCCACCCACCCCACTGGCCTCTGGGCACAGGCACAGGTGACTCTAGTCTCATCGAGTCTCCAGCTGTGGGTTCCATCACTAAACTTTTGCTGATTTTACCCAAGGGAAGGTAACAGGGACAAACAACTCTCACTGGCTCTCATCTTCTTTTCCTTTTAGATATCTAAGTATTCTCCACTTTTAGTAGAGGATTTTTCAAGTCTAGGCTTATCTGAGAATCCTTCCTTTTGGAATAATCCATTGGTTTCTTTCCTCACCACACTTGCCACAAAACATAATCTTAAGTTGTCTTTTTATTCTTCGTAAGAAAGGAAACCACTTACAACTGTTTCTCTTATTTTTTAAGATACATCTGTCCCCAAAGAGCAGAAAGGAAATGTGCATGTTCCTCTTCCCCTAGGACCATATGCCCCTAACAAATGAACATTAGTTCCCGGATGCTGTGTTTGAGATTCTGTGTTACACCCAGAGATGGACCAAGAAGGAGGCAGTGTTGTTAGTAGCCTGAGTCTCAAAATCAACAAACAAAATCTCTAGAAACTAAAACATTACTGGAAATGTAACAGCAAGAAAAATTATATATATAAAATATAATAGAATATATTTTATATATATATATATATATATATATATAATCAGGGAAAGTAGCGTTTGGTTTAAGATGAATAAGTGATGAGTTACTAGGTGTGATATTGAGGCTCTCAGGAGGTGGGCTTTTACAACAACCAATGGTCAAGTAAATATCTTCTGAAGACCGTGGGTCGTTTTAATTGCAGGGCTTTTGTTTTGTTGAGAGGGTACCTATGAGTTTGAGAGAGCGGAGTTTCTCAGGACAAGAAAAGTAAAACTGACCATTGCCCCCAACAATCCATCGTCCCCTGCTTTCCCTTCTGCAACATTCTGCCTCTTCCACGTAGACATTTTTTTAAAAAACAATATTTAAAGACAGCTACAGTAGAGGAGTGACAAGTTATTAACCTGCTTAGGAGGCTCACGTGACTGAGTCTAGTTCTGATTGTACCAATAGATAAGATTCTTTCTCATTCCAACCCTTGCCATTTTTAAGCATGGGGAGAGGTTGAGATCTTGCCTTAACAGCAGTACTCAAACCTGACTTTGCATTAGAATAATCTGAGTAGCTTTCAAAAAAAGGAAATATATATGTTTCTTTCCAATGTGAAATCAGACTAATACAACATGCAAACACACATGACTACAATTTCTTTGAGTTTAGGAAATGTGTCTTATTCATCTTTGCATCCTGGAGGCTTGGATTGGCTATGGGTTGAATTTTTTTGTCCTCCCAGAACTCATATGTTTAAACTCTAACCCCTACTGTGATGGTATTTGGAGGTGAGGGTTTTTGGAGGACTTAGGCCACAAAAGTGGAGTCTTTATTAGTGGGATAAATGCCCTTATAAGAAGAAACAAGAGAGAGATGATTTATCTCTCCTCCATGTGAGAATATGGCAAGAAAGCGGCTGTCTGTAAATTGGAAAGAGGCCTCACACCAAGAACCCGACCATGCTGGCACCCTGATCTCAGACTTGTAGCCTTCCTAACTATGAGAAATAAATGTTGTTGCTTCAGCCACCCAGGCTATGGTAGTTTGTTACAGCAGCCTAAGCTGACTAGAACAGTGAGCAATCAGTAATCTCTATCAGTATCTCTAGAAATGTATCAGTATCTCTGTATCAGTATCTCTAGAGGCGATGCCCATCAATCTGAATTTTAAAGCCTACCCATTTCATTGTGATACATTTAGCCAGGCCTGACTCCAAGAACCTACATGGGAGAAGCACTGAGGCAAACACTGTGGCAGTGTGCATATTGAGTGTGCTTCCTTCTGGCTTCTGTATATGTGCACTGGGAGTCAGGCACCTTTGACATTTTCTCCTTTGCAGTCTGTGTGCTCAGCTCATATAAAGATGCCCTGACAATCCTAGTTCTCATGTACATGTAGAAAGAATGGAAGATGAATCTGGGATTAGTTTATTTCACTCTCCTATTCCTTTTTCCATAGAGAGCCAGGCTTAGCATGCAGTGTAAAACAAAGGAAAAGTATTCAATACCAGTCCTCTGAATGAGAAGTTAATAGTGAACCACTTCAGGCCCTCTATTGACCATTAATGATCTAAGTGAAGAACTGGAGTTAGTGAGGTTTGCTGATGGCATAATCAGCATCAGTCAGTAAGAGTTGCAAAGGAATAAGGACATTCCAGATAGGCTTTAAAGTTAGGAAATCTAGTAAAATAACTTCTAAGGATATTGGATTTGTGAACCTTTCAGCCATTCTGCAGAAAAGCACTAAGTGCTGGTGTCATGAGTTCAAGAAAACAGCTGCCAGAAATCATTATGGGACTCTGGTTTACATGTTCGCAACTTCATAGTGTGTTTGTGGAAAATGAATAAACAATGCACTTAGAAGCCACTTTACCCTTTTCCATAATTATTTGAGTACAGTTAATGACTTTGCATTAGGGTTTCTGAAAAACATGAGATCATATGAAAATCTGGACCTTCTATCTAGAGCATATAAGATGGAATTCTTAATATTAACTTTCTGTTCTTCCAAAGCATGTCCAACTTGAGAATACCCCAATCTCTTTCTCTGACCTCTGGCAGGCCAATCGTCTTACAGAGGGAGGTCGGAAAAATATTGATGCATAAAATCAATAATATTCAATTTGCTTAGCACATCCTACACTTATTTTCTTGTCACCTGTACTACTGTCCTCTCTCCTTCCCTCCTCATAGAGCCTCTGTCCTCTCCATACATATTGGCCAGGCATATACACAACTAGGTAGCTTTCATGCACAGCCTGAAACCTAATTCACTCCAGGGAAATGTGAATCCACAGAGGAAAAATCTCCCAAGGATCCTGGCCAGGCCACACCAACTGAACTGGGAGATTCAGTTCTTTTCAACTCATCTGGGGAGCAGTTAGTTCTCTGGCATGGCAAATTATGGAGAAGGCCTATCAATGAAGGACAAAGGAATGGAAAGGCGATATTATAACATAGATGCTCTTCAGTTGTTAATGGATGGAAGAAAGGATAGGAGAAAAAATAAAGGTTGGATACCCCTGTCCCTGCCCCGTTCCTAAACGTTGTCTCTTCTTTTCCTCTATCTCTGTTTAACTTTCTTTCTGACCCTCAACATGTGATATGATTTGGCTCTGTGTCCCCAGCCAAATCTCATCTCAAATTATAATCCCCATAATCCCCATGTGTTGAGGGAGAAACCTGGTAGGAGGTGATTGGCTCATGGGGGCAGTTTCTCCCACGCTGTCTTGTGATAGTGAGTGAGTTCTCACAAGATCTGATGGTTTTATAAGTGGCTCTTCTCTCTTCACTCATGCTCTCTCCTGCCTCCTTGTGAAGAAGGTGCCTGCTTCCCTTTCACTTTCTGCCATGACTGTAAGTTACCTGAGGCCTCCTCAGCCATGTAGAACTGTGAGTCAATTACACCTCTTTTGTTTATAAATTACCCAGTCTCAGGCATTTCTTTATAGCAGTGTCAAAGCAGACAAATACAACATGTAAACACAAACACACGACTACAATTTCTTTGAGTTTAGGAAATGTGTCTTATTCATCTTTGCGTCCTGGAGGCTTGCCCAATAGTAAATGCTATGGTTTGAATTTTTGTGTCCTCCCAGAACTCTTATGTTTAACCCCTATTGTGATGGTATTTGGAGGTGAGGGCTTTTGGAGGACTTAGGCCGTGAAAGTGGAGTCTTCATGAATGGGATAAACACCCTTGTAGGAAGAAACAAGAGAGAGATGATTTCTCTCTCCTCCATGTGAGGATATAGCAAGAAGGTGGCTGTCTATAAATCGGAAGGAGGCCTCGCACCAAGAACCCAACCATGCTGGTGCCCTGATCCTAGACTTGTAGCCTTTATAACTATGAGAAATAAATGTTGTTGCTTCAGCCCCCCAGGCTGTGGTAGTTTGTTACAGCAGCCTAAGCTGACTACAACAATGAACAATCAGTAAATGTCAAATAGATTGCTCAAGGTCAAGCATTTTAAGATATACTTTTTAATTTGAATATCCATAGGAAGTGGTAAATTGAAACAGAAAATTCCATCTTTCTTATGATTACCTTTTGGTAGCTTGGAGAAGATGTAAAGAAACCCATGCACAATTCAAACAAGGGCTCTAAGTGGCAGAGCCGTATTTGAATCTGCATCCTCAGTCCATGTCCTTAACTGCAACTCTGTGCTGTTTCTCAGTCACCTGGGGAGGAAAGGTAGGTAAGGTAGATGAAAAACTGCTGCTGCACAGTGAATAATCACTTGGTTGTATTACTGCTGTGGTTACTATTATTCTAATTTCCCTACTATATATCATTAGGCTACTAAATGTGTAACTCAGGATTTTGAAAATGGCCAAAAAAGACAGCCAAAGAAAATAGGATGAAGTAGTAAGCAGTGTCATCTGAAAATAAATTTAGAAATGAAAGATAAAGCAGGACCTAGGCTGCACTGGCCACACTCATTTGGGGGCCTGACTCAGCAGAGCTCTGCCTGCAGGCAGCTGGTGCTGGGTCATGCCTGCATCCCACACCCAACAGGGAGGCTTCCTGAGCACAGACCATCCAGAGCTGACTGCTTCAGGGCCCAGAGACTAAAGTGAAAAAACTAGGCTACATCAAGCCTTGGCCTTTCTCAGGTGAACACAAGTAACAGTAGATTTTCTCTGCAAGTAAATACACATGATAGGCAGATAGCACATTCTTTTCGTTATTCAATAAATGTTTGTTAAATACCTACTTCAGCCATCTCTCAGCATGAAGAGAAGCAGGCTGATTGCACTGTCTTGGGTCCCCCAGTGCACAGGCCTGGATACTGCGGGAGGACCCGAGTCATCACTTCCACCCACTGAACAGGTGTTGCCTCCTAGGCCACCTCCTGCCCCTCACAAATTCAAGCCAAGATGCCCCTGCACAGGCACATTGTTGCTCTTGGCCTGGTGACCAGGAAGTTTCTGTGAGCAGAGAGGTGAGGATTCTGGATGGGAGATCCATCTACCTCTGCCCTGGGAAGACAGGCCTAAATTAACTGTCCCTGTTCTTTAACAAGAAATGGGAGCTATCTCAGAATGGACATAGCAAGTTGGAACTGGATTAATCATGTTGATATTAGAATAGCACATTTCTCTCAGACTTCTTGATGATTCCGTGCCTCAACTGGTCTTCAAACAAAAAGCACCCTTTGTCCTACGTCTTCTTTTGTCCCTTTTGTACTACATCTGAACCTGTCTTATGTGTCACCTGCCTCGTCCAAAATGAGGCAAGCAACCTGTGTTTCTTCCTCCGCTCTTGCATCTTTCTTAGCCCTGCACCTGCACCAGGCAGTAACCTCAGCCTGGCTTGTCTCCCCCTTGGTTGGCCACACCTCAGCCTATAACCTCTGACCTGCCCAAAATGAATAACCCAACCTCTCAATTTCTCAGAACCTGGCCAGCCAGAACACCCAGCAGTCATAGAACTATTTGGAGAAAATAAAGGAACTGAACTAAGTGCTCTAATGATATGTAACGTATAACTTCCTAAATATATTCATAATTTATTTATAAAGTAATACTGTAGTAATAAAATAATAAGAAGGAATAAGTAACATTTTAACATCTAGATGCATTTTTATTGGGAAATATATAAATTTACTAAGTAATTCTCTGTGTGAAAATAGCATATAGGCGATTGTGATACAATGACCCACGTCTTTGTCTGTCTTCACTCCCTTTTACTTTTGTCACTTCCTGTCCTTCTATGAACCTCTTAGTTTCCTCTTTGCATTCATGTATTTTTTTCTCCTAGCTTCTAAGGATGTCTCTTTATCAAACCACCATCCAAAGCATCAATTAAGCATCTGCATATCCATAGGACTTTTTCAGGGGCTGCCTTCCCACATATTTTCTATTTATATCATTGTGTGTCTCATTTCGGACTTTCCACGTGTTTCCCAGTACATTTTGTGTCACACTCTCCCTGTGGGTTATTCTTTATGGGTCCATGTTTGTTTTTGTTTCTACATTGCGGCTTTATAATCCAGATTGTGACCAACCTGAATTAATTTATTATTGCTGGTATGTTCTGCATAAAGAATGACATTGAATATGGTTGCAATAAGTTGAGTAGATCAGTTAGTATTCTACTTTGAAGTTAGGATTTCTTATAATGATTCTCTGCCCCAGTGGAATATAAAATATATGTATTGTGTTGAACTCCATTTTCCTGGGATAACAGATGCTTTTCTCTAATATGGTGTATTTGTCAGTGATTCATAAGCCAAGTGTGGTTTGATTTCATTTCTTATCTATTGAATGAACCAGTCCTGATTTTTCTTCACTTCACTCAGTGACCTGTGGATTAGGGATTATGTGAAGGCTGCCTAGGTTCATGAAGAATGGTTGAATCAAATGGAGGTGAATGGCAGAGGTAATTAGGACATGAACAGCAACGTAAGAGACATAAATTCATCTCTCTTGATATCCAGATCTCTATAGATACTTCCTAATGCTTGTAAGAATTTGGAATACCGGTAAAGGAGAGAAGAGACATCAGTTGATGTCTTGGAGCTATGGAATGAGTTTCATGGTGATAGAATTTGTTAGATTGGAATTTTGTATGAACACAGTGAGATCTGAGGCTCACTGAAGCAAAAGCATAGGGTCTCTATTATTCCAGGGTGGGGGTTCAAAGGTATTGTGTGGCCAAATAACAAGATAATAAACTCGCCACCAGCACTGCACTTTAATGCTTTGGGAGCGCCAAATAGCAGTTTCTCCTGGGCAAGAAGAGTTGGCCTGCCATCCAAATCGATCAAGGTGACTCAATTTCATATGTCGATAGGCAACTGTCAGATGGCTTCCGAAGGTCCACTACAGTTTCCTGACACTCTTCAGCCCAGAAAGGCTTTCCAAGAATCTGATGCAAATTCTGGTCTACGGCTCCCTCCCTACACACCCAGTTCATTTAAAGGACTCAGTAGGTGTGATTTTATTCTTTCATTCAAACAATGCAGTGGAAATGTAAGTGGTTCTAAAGGGAGAAAAGAACAGAAATAGAAACCAAGGCCTGTGCAAACTGAATCAAATGGGATTTTTAAAAATGGTAAAGCTTCAAAGCTTATTTTCAGAAGAAATTGTCTTCAAAATGACTCCTACTGAGTAACATAAAATGAAAATCCATTTGAGGATATAAAAAGGATGCACCAGCTTTCCTTGTTTGGTACCACAACTTTACTATTGTGAAATGTCATCTTTTTCTGTGCTAAATTTTCTTGGCCTTTTTTGGGTGTTGATGTTAACGGGATATTTTCGAAATTCCACATCTGTCCCAAGCTACAAAGAAGCATTTATAGCCATAAGTTTGTAGGACTGCTAGTTACAGGAGTTTTAAATATGGACTCTAAATATTCTACATCTTTCAAAACCATTGATTGCCATTGATCAAAGAGAACTAAACTGCTTTTGAGGCTCTTTGGATCCTTTGCATAAATACATATTGAGGGGCTGTTTTAAATGTCCATTAGATCTTAACATTTCTCTTTGGAACCATTACCATTTATCATATGACTGTAAATATAGATTCAGAGATGTTTAAAACACACATTATTTACCTGGCAAGGCTTAATGGCTCCAAAAAATGCATTAAAGCCCATTTTTAACTCTTCTCCAAGAATAGATTCTGAACACCTCTCATATATGAATTTTATTTTAGACCAGTGGAGGAGATTATGCTACTGAGTAATTTACCCAGTGTTTTAAATAAAATATATTTTCAAGGCATGTGCATTCAACAATTTTGTGACTATTTGTAAAAGTAATTTGCTTTGAGTAGGGCTTTGGTAGAAGCAGCCAGACATGGTTTTACTAAAGCATTTTTTTTTCACATAAAGCCTCAAAAGAGAAATAAGTTCTTTATCTTTAGAGTGAAAAATTACAAGATTTTCCATTTTTATTAGTTTTTATATGTAAATACATATATATGGTTAAAATCAATATTTCAGAAGACCTGATAATAAAAAATAAATAATTACTGGAGCAGAACAAAGAGCCTAGCAATCTCCTTCACATTTATGGAAATTTGGTATGACAGGAGTAGCATATAAACCAGTAGAGGAAAAATTGGCTGTTCAATAAATGTTGCTGAGATAATTGGTTATCCATAAGGTTAAAATAAGACCCTTACCTTATACTATGTCCAAAATAGCTCCCATGTGGTTTAAACAATTAAATGTGAAAATGAAAAAGTTTAACATTTTTAGAAGAAAATATCAGAATGTTTTATGACCTTAGGGTAGGGAGAGATTTCTAAAGGTACAAAACCTCCAAACCTTAAAAGAAAACATTGATAAATTTGAGTATATTAAAAAGTATAACGTCTATATAAAACATATACAAAGTAGAAAGATAACCTAGAAAACATTTGTAATGTATGTCACAACAGATTAGTATGATACGGATAACTTCTACATATTTATTACAAAAAAAAACACAATTGAAAAATGGGCCAAGGGTAAAGAGTAGGATAAGCATAAGAGAGGAAGGGCAAATGTCTGATAAACATATGAAAAGATGCTCTACCTTACTAATGATCAAGTAAAGGGAGAATGAAGCAAAGCAATGCCGGTTTTACCTTCTCAAGTTTCCAAAATTAAAGTTTTAGGATGCCAAGAGTTGGAAAGATTTGAAGCAAGAGGAACACTCAAGTGTTGCTGGTAGGAATTTTAATTGGTATCAGTAGTTTAGAGATTGATTTGGCATGATATACTAAAGTTGAAGATGTGCATTCCCTACTCTCTAGCAACTTACTGCTAGCTACATAGCCTAGAACAATGCTTGCATATGTATATTGATACATAAGTAGATATATATTCTTTTTAAAATTGTTTTTTAAAAAAGGGTCTTGCTATGTCATCCAGACTGGAGTGCAGTGGTGAGATCATAGCTCACTGCAGCCCTGAACTCCTGGGCTCAAGTGATCCTCCTGCTCTAACCTCCTAAGTAGATGGGACTACAGCTGCACACCGCCATGCCCAGTTAATTTAATTTTTTTTTCTTTTGTTGTAGAGACAGGGTCTTGCTATTTTGCCCAGGCTGGTCTTAAACTCCTGGTCTCAAGCAATCTTCCCATTGTGGCCTCGTAACAGCACTGGAATTACAGGTGTAAGTGACCACACCTGGCCCTAGGATATTTATGATTATTTATAATAGTGAAGATTTGCAAACAGCCCAACTGTGCATTAATGGAAGGATTAATAAATACATTGTAATCACAAATACTATATTAAATAACAAAAACAAAAATCCTGAATGAAGAAGTAGGGCTACATATATCACGATGGAAAAATCTTAAACAAATAATATTGAAGGAAAAATTGGCAAACTAGTTACTTAAAGTAAAAAAGAAATACTATGTATTTTATGGATTTATGCCTATGAAGAAAAAAAAACATTCAAATGAATGAAGAACCAATGTCTAGCTAGTCATTAACCCTGGGAAAGGTGGGTAGATGATGGATTAGAGAAGTACATTTGGTTCTTTAATTATGTTTTACTTTTTTTAGCTTAAAAAGAGCTCTAAAAACTTTGTAAATAAGAAAAACTAGAACAAATATGGCAAAATACCTAAATTTGATAAACTTGGGATGTACTTGGATATTTATTATGTTATCTATACTTTACTTTTTTGAATTCTTAAAATATTTCTGATTTAAAATTTAAAAAAATTTAAAGTAGTCTCCTTAGACTTTCTTTCATTTTTTGTACCACTTCCCAGAGGCAACCATTATTAACCACCCTTAGGTTTCTTCTAGCAGTTTCTCCCCTATCTCTAGTTAAGCTGAATATTCCACTAATTGAAACATTATCTATTTCCGATAATGAAAGTTGTTAATTGTGCTCAAATACACCACTTTCTACCTTCCCTCAGCAATTTTTAAGCATAGTTATATCAAGATTTTTAGTTCCTTTATTGGTTCATATACAGTTTTAAGAAACATGTTATATCTAAATCTTAATTTCTAATTCCATGAATTATAGATAGTATTTATTGCTGCTCTCCTGGAGACACTTTACTGTTTTCCTTCCCTTCCATCTCTGAGACTTTTTCTTTTATAATTTTACATCAGATTGATAATATCTACATTCTATTCCATAATCATCGTATAATCTTCTGTGCCTTTTCTCTGTGGTATACTAAAAATCAAAATTAATAAAGACTATTTGTAGTATTGTGATTATTTTAAGTGATTTAAAACACATTCAAGCAGCAAATTATAGTTTTATTCTTTTTCTCATATTTGTTTTTATGATTCCTGGAAATTTTAATCACTCTTATTTCTTTAATTACCTACCATTATCTCAAAATTTTCAGATGTCCCATAATATCAAGCATTCCATTGAGGGGCTAAAATGATTACGAAAGATTTTTGTAAAGTAGAAATTAATCCAAACAGATAACTGAAATCACTTACTAGATGTCTAAAGCCTAGAAGAAATAAACTACTGAAAAGCATAACCCATCATTGTTAAATAGCAAAGAATTTTTTAATCTTTGGCTTTATATTAAACAGTTATTTCTTGAAGGAATAACAACCAAGAGTGCAACTTAAATTCCATCTCTAGGAATAACCAGGAGAGTATATTTGATCTAGACTCACCATCAAATAATGACATGTCACTAAGTAATTGCAACTCTCTAATATGATAATTAATGAAAAATGCTCACTGCAATATTTGTCTATCATCTATTTACCTATCATTTATGATCTATTATCTATGATCTATCAATCATCTATCATCTACCTATCATTTAATCAATCATCATCTATCATCTGTCATTTCTCTATTATCTATCTATCCATCCATCTATATAATCTAGATATCTATCTATCTAAATATATGCCTATCTCTAGCTGTTTTATTTCTGTTCTTGTTCCATAAAGCACACAAAGTGGTTTTCAGACTTTTAAAAGATAGCATACAGTAACCGTAAAGTGAAAAAGAAAACAAGAACAATGATAAAGATAGCAAATTCTCTTGACTCCTCCATTAGTGTAGGTAAGTGGGCCAAGTGTAAGATCAAGCATGAGCTAGGAAGGTAATGAAGTAACACCAGGCTGTAATGGAAGAACTCCTAGTATTTTCCTTCATTCAGGAGGGACTGACAATCGGGTCCATTAGCTAACGAGACCTGTGAAATGTGGAGCTCAGAGGGGAAAATGCACAGAAACAGGGCAGCACAAGAACATCTAGCCCTTTGTGTCTGGGATGTTAGTAAACATCCAGGAGTAATTTGTGAGCAGAGAACATTGCTCAGTTTTTGAACCCATAAATCTGAAAGGGATGTAGTCAAGAAAGAGAGAGAAAGTATAGTTTTATAGAGTAGGGACACTTGTGTGGCAGATCATATGATTCTGCTGTCCACTTGCATGAAGTAAATCTCCTACAATGCATTCCAGTGGGTGAGTGTTTAGGTAGGCAGATGGGTGGCCCATTGGCTCTTCTAGAATTGATAAATTATACTCTTAGAGGGAATGGGTTCTGAGAAGAATAAAAGTGTCTGGCCCCAAGCAAATGTGAAATGCCATATTTACTGTCTTTTTCCAGTTCATTGTCTTCCAAATACTTTTTGAGAATATATCACACTCTACATACTTTCACATAAAGGACTGCACTGAATCCTCATGCTAACCCTGCAAGCGTGTTTCCTTATTTTTATTTGCAGAGAGGTAAAGAAGAAAGAAATAAGTAAATGAAAATACAGCATAGCTATTCGTTACTAAGTACTGTGTCAGGTACCATTCCTATTTAATTTTATTTATTCCTCACAACTCCATGAGGGAGGCCTTATTTCCTTAATTTTACAATGAAGAAATCAAATCTCAGAAATGAGACAGACCTCTCCTGGTGTCAAGCTGGAAATGGTGAATGTGAACTTAAGCCTGGTGTGTGTTCCCCAGAGCTTACCTCATGGAAGGGAATTCCGCACAAGGATCCCATCAGGTGCTTTAGCAGTTGCACATATGTGTGGGGAAATTTCATTTTTAATGCATCACTTGTCTATATATCTAAAATAAAATATACTCAGAGATGTGATATCCCAGATTTTCGCGCACTGAGGACCATTACATTTGACTTTCCCTGACTTGCAAAATAAAATTGTCACAAACTTGCTTTACCCCAGTCTCCCTGTCTTAGACTTCACTCCATAATCCTTGACACCTCCCTCTTTCCCAGCCTTCCACAGCCAATGGATCCTACAATCGTGGAGATGTCCTGAATGCCCCAGTCTGGGTCAGCATCCCACCTAACATTTGCAAAGCACTCTGTAGTACTTATTGCAGTGATTATTAAATAATCATCTGTGAATTAATTTTGTTTATGTCTATCTCCCCCACAAGATTTAAATTCCATGAGGGTAGCAAGCAGTTTCTCACCACATATTTCTAGTGGTGACCTATTAAATCTATAAATAAATGCCAGGTTAAATCATTTTTGTGCAGGCCTCAGATCAAAGCTTTCCTTCCATCTCTTTTTAATTGAAGAGTATCTTGAGATTATAGGACATGCTGTCATGCTGTTAAGGAACTGTTACCAACTGTGACTCCTTTTCAGTATGAATCAAGATATTTTTTCTATGGGATGGAGCCAACAACAAAAAGGGCAAAAAAGAAATTGGATGCTGACCTCTGTAACTACCAATTTCTAATTTAGGGATCCACCAAAATAGCCATATTGTTTGGTGATTGACTATAAAAAATAAAGGTTATAAAATTGAACTTATGACCTACACCTAGTTTCATAAAATACCACTTTAGTAAGTTTTATATAAAGTGAGAGGTCATGAATAATTGAATAATGACTAATACAACTCCCAAAAAATACTACTGGGCACAGAAGAGGCCCTCATTAAAATGCGTTAAATGACAGAATGAATTTAAAGAATGAATGAATGCTTATATCTGGTAAATGCCTGCATTAGCCATTGTGACTACTATTTTCCACTTTATTCATCAGCTATCTCTGTGCATCCTTTCACTTTGTAGTAAAAAGCTTTAGTAAAGGTGTACCTTTATAAAGATGCTTGTTCCTTTAGAGAGTCTAGGCATATACCACTCAAATTTCTTTACACAATCTTTGAAATAGCACCTAAGAAGTTTCTATTTCATCCGGTCATGGTGGCTGACGCCTGTAATCCCAGCACTTTGGGAGGCCAAGACAGGCAGATCACAAGGTCAGGAGATCGAGACCATCCTGGCTAACACGGTTAAACCCCATCTCGACTAAAAATACAAAAAATTAGCAGGGTATGGTGGCGGGCGCCTGTAGTCCCAGCTAGTCGGGAGACTGAGGCAGGAGAATTGCTTGAACCCGGGAGACGGAGGTTGCAGTGAGCCGAGATCATGCCACTGCACTCAAGCCTGGGTGACAGAGCAAGACTATGTCTCAAAAAAAAAAAAACCAAAAAAAGAATTTCCTACTTCAAGAAGCCAGAAAACTGTGAGACCAGTGTTTATTCTTGGTTTAAAAGACAGCAGAAAGAGCAAGAGAGCCTGTTTGATTTCATGCTTTTTTTTTCCTGTAATGTTTGTGTTTTGACTTTTAAAATTATTAAGGTTTTCATAAATATTTGAACCCTGTGAAAATAATCTCATCAGCATTCTTTTTCTAGGTCTATAAAGCAATTACAAGCTTGAAAGTGCTATTTTATTGTAATAAAAAGGAGAGTATTGGTGATATGTGGTTTGTGCTTTATTAAAGCCAGCTTGCTTAGACTTTAAAATGAGTAATTGCCAGCATAATTACTGTTTTACATTATGTGATCTGCACTCAGCTTTTTCGGTGAATCAGATGTCTTTCCACAGGTTTATGATGCTGTTGCTCACAGGACTAAAGAAAATCTAGTTAAATAATTTAGCACCTCTACCGTTACCTGTAACTGTGAATCTCCCTTTTGCTAAATTGGCCTGGAGCTTCTTTGAGTTAAGCCCAGAATAAAAATACCCACACACACTCTTGACTGCCTTGAGAGCCCTGTCTCCCTAATGTGTTCATTTCTTCCTGTCTCTTCTTTCTCTCCTGTCCGCTGAAGGGCTCACGCCTTCACAGGAAGCTGCATTTCTCCTTGGGTTAAAGGGGGTGCTGTCTCATTCTCACAGACAAGGGGCTAACAAATTGCAGGGTGCATATATCATGGGGCTCCAGACACCAAAGCATCAGTTATGTCTCATCTTTGTTTCCCCACTCCTCCTCTCTCTTGCCTTCTTTTTTACTTCCCTAGACACTGAAGACAGTAATTAAACACGTCACTCTGCCTCCTATAAATGCCTGCAATGTATATAGGCTCTAAGACCTGGTTATCACTCATCATGCACTGCCTTCTAAAGAATTTGGTTTGTTTGTGTAGTTTTATCTTACAAAATAGATTATAAGCTCTACAAGACCATGACCATCTTCTTCTTTTGTCTTACTCATAGTAACTTGGATATAGTAGGTAGTAATTAAGTACAGAAGGGAGAGACTAAACCTACAGGATGCCTCTTCTCTAGTCTGAATTAGCCCCTTAAAGCCCCAAAGAAGGAAGAAAACCTGAGATTCATATTCATTCTCCCACCATCCTTGGGTTTTGCACTAGCTTTATTTTGCTTTTGAGGCTTATGGGGGTCGGAAAAAAAAATGAAGAGAGAGTCTTTCAGTGACATGCTTGTGGTCTTCTATTTTCTCTCTAGCTTATTTTTAAGTGAGCCAGCATATCTGGTTAGCTATAGTTATCATCACTGAGTAGGCTCCTGATAACGCATTTTGTTGCTATTTCACCATCCTTTGCTTTTATCCTCATCTCAAAATAGACGCAACATGTACTGCGAAAGGAAATTTCTTCTATTGATGCAAAGCAATATGGAAATAAGATTTTCCTCTTCTGGTTATAATCCTTGTATCTTGATAGGCCTCTGGCTCCTAAGATGATGACATAGATATGTTTTGCAGTATTTTGAAGTTGGCTGCTCACTTAGGAAGTCGTGTTTTATGTCTTTCCTATAGCATGTTTAAGGGTGTCATTAAAAGAACAATTCACATTAGCATATCATCCTGTTCTCTCTTCCTTGCATATCTTTATAAGAACTCAATGAAATACTATATAATGATAAACCCTGCAAGAAACTGAAGAAAAATCATAAAATTTATAGAAAGACTTACGTGAGCAGATAGCGGGGACCTAGAAACTGTGAATTAACAAGCAGCCTCTGTGGCAAAGTTTTAAATTCTTCGAAACCCTCTCCTGCTGATTGTCTCTCTACTGAGCCTAATGATAATTCCTCTTGTTATTGAAGAGCAAGGTGTTCATGTGTTTTTATGGTGCATATCACCTGAGCATGAGGTGCTTAGATATATAATTTTAGAACAAGACACAGCATTTTTATATCTTTATCTACTTAATGACCTCATATTTGTCTCTCCTCTGGTAAGCCAGTGATTTGTGTTTCACTTAGGAGTCTTCAGGGATTTACCACAGGTACAGTGTTGTCTCTGAGGGAGATTTTTCTATGACCAAATTGAACTGGGTTAATTAGAATGTTTGCATAAATAATAATATTTCTCTAATAATAATACTGAGAAGTTTATATTCAAGGAATATTTACAGACACATCATTTTCATGGAAGAAAATGCACCTCAGGTATTGACTTTACTGAGCTAATGTCAAACGAGCCAATCTGGCCATGGACTAATAATAATAATATATTCTATACTTACAGATTTCTCAAGTCATCCCCAATGCTTTCATAGATATTACCTTATTTGATTTTCAATAGTAGAAAGATTGTTATACAATCTACATTACCTTATCTAAACACATAGGGCCAGATATGTTTCTTAAACAAAAGTTTCAGACTGTTTAAGATAGCATTGTGCATTGGCCGTATATTACATGACACCCAGGGCTTGTCTGGCAGTTCCTGGAGCCAAGCTCATTAAAATTACTGCAGTGAAACTTATGAATAGCTAAACAAAATAATTTAAGTAATAAATATAAAGGGTCTTATTTCACTTTAAATCAGGTTTTGACAATCAATGATTTAGGGAAAAAAAGGCGGGGTTTTCAGAGATTGGGGATTTAACATTTAAGTAAGAGATGGTTACCCTGTATGAAATACATGTGGCCGGGTGCAGTGGCTCATGCCTGTAATCCCAACACTTTGGGAGGTTGGATGGGCGGATCACCTGAGGTCAGGAGTTTGAGACCAGCCTGGCCAACATGGTGAAACCTCGTCTCTACTAAAAATACAAAAACTAGCCAGGCGTGCTGGTGGGTGCCTGTAATTGCAGCTACTTGGCAACTGAGACAGGATCATCACTTGAATCTGGGAGGCAGAGGTTTCAGTGAGCCAACATTGTGCCACTGCACTCCAGCCTGGGAAACAGAGCGAGATTCCGTCTAAAAAAAAAAGAAAGAAAGAAATACATGTTAAAAATCCCAGGTTTTCACTGGCAAAGCCAAAAATATTCCATAGGATATTGCATCTCAATTTCTTGTTATAAAAATAGTCTCACAAATTTGTCAATGCACTGTCCTGTTTTTTATAAAGTCTTTAATCATTCCACTTGAGTCTCCTGCTTCTTTTTTGAATTCACATTTATGCTTTTCTCAAGAAACTTTCCCCCGGGGTCGTGACTCTTATATTTTCTATTTTCAACTGTAGAAAGAACACATGGGTGTTCGCTTTGGATCCAGACAGATCTAGATTTTAATCCCACTGAGGCTTTCAGTAACTTACTTGAACTCTGGGAACCTTATTTTATTCTCCTCTACAATGGGAATAATAATATCTATCTTGTAGTTTTTATGTGAATGTTAAAATATATATGTTGGCTGGGTGTGGTGGGTCACACCTGTAATCCCAGAACTTTGGGAGGCTGAGGCAGGCAGATTGCTTGATCTCAGGAGTTCAAGACTAGTCTCAGCAACATGGCAAAATCCCGCCTCTACAAAAAATACAAAAATTAGCTGGGCATGGTGGCGTGCGCCTGTAGTCCCAGCTACACGGGAAGCGGAGGTGGGAAGATTGCTTGAGCCCGAGAGGTTGAGGCTGCAGTGTGCCATGATCGTGCCACTGCACTCCAGCCTGGTCAATAGAGCAAGACCCTGTCTCAAAAAAATATACGTGTGTGTGTGTGTGTGTGTGTGTGTGTGTGTGTGTACAAGATACAACAGTGCTTAGCCTAAAGGAATTGGTAGCAGAGATTGCTCATTGTATACCCAATGTCTCTGTTATCCTCTTCTCTCTTGATGGCAGAACCTTAATTTTAGCTGGTGCATGGCGACATCTCCCAGCCTTCCTTGCAGCTGGGTATGGTCATGATACGAAATTATGGCCAATGAAATGAAAGCAGAAGTTCTGGGTGACACCATCCAGGAGACCTTAGGAAACAGTGGGCATGTTCTTTTTGTTATTTCTGTTTTTCCTTCCTCTACCCTGCGATCCCCATAAGGTTCTCCAGCAGAAACCCCTGGACTGTGATGAAGAACCTCGCCCTACGCATGATGTAGTGATGAGCAGAATAAACTTGGGTGGCTCCTGATGACTCTACAGAGCTGACCTCCCAGCCCTGCACTGCCTATGCCCAGTTTCTTGCATATGAGAGAGAAACAAAAGTCCATCTTGTTAAGCCGCTGTTATTTAGAGGTGTCCGGTGCCTACAGCTGAACCTAATTGTAACTGATAAAACTTGCAGTAAATGTTTCTCGCTTCTCATAATCTGCTTTTCATTAGTACCTTTAAACTCTCTTTGCAGTTCTTCTGAACCTTCCAGTCTGGGTTTACTGGGTAATTCCTGTGTTGCATTCACAGCCCACCCATGGATAACCTCCCAGTCCTCTCCCCTGGCAAGTGCCTTCTCTTTCTCTACCCTTCAACATGATTTTGGTTTAACCAGCAGTTTGTAATGTAAGGCATTTTACATGACATTTCTGTTTTATCCCACTTTTATTTCCTGCAGGCTCTTAAAGATCTTTTTAATGGTCTCATCTTAAATTCCTTTAATTCCTATTTTATGATTATAGAACTCTTTTGATGTTTCATTGTGAAATACTTTACCAAGCTTCCTTTTAGCTTCCTCTCTTCCAACTTCTTCATCCTATCTTTTCTTTCTTGTTATTTTTTTCTTTAGTCTCCTTTTTCATTTTACAAAAAGTTTTCTCTTTATTGCTTTATTTCCCTCTTGGGATCATATTCTTCGTCCCAGCAGGCTCCTCAGCTTCAGAAGTGAAGCTCATGTATCTTTCACAACACTCTGGAGAGATTAAAGCCAATAAAAAGTAATGTGCACATTATATTAACATTTATGAACACTTAAAACACACAAAACAGTAGTATGTATTGTATGGGTACGCTAAAATGTAGAAAAAACTTAAAAAATGCACTGAGCAGATAGAGATCAGCTTTAGTGGTAATTACATATGTGGAGACAAGGAGTGAACTGGGTAAGGTAGGGATTCTTTAGTTATAGCTCTAACTTTTTAAGCAGTGTTCTTAAGGTATAATTGACACACAATAACAAGGCATTTTTAAAATGTACAATTTCATAAATATTAACATATGTGTGCATCATGAAGTCATCATTACAATCAAGATACTGAACAGATCCATCCATCAGCCCGGAACCTCTCTTTGTGCCCTTTTGTGATTTCTTCTGTTGGCTCCCCACTCCCATCCCTATCTAGCAAACACTCATCTGCTTTCTGTGACTATAGATTAGTTTTCATTTTGGAGACTGTTATAGAAATGAAATTATAAAATATATACTCTTGAGGGTTTTTTTTGCTCTAGCTTCTTTCCCTCAGCATAGTTTGAGATTCATCTATATTTTGTGTACATCAATAGTTCATTTTTATTGCAGAGTAGTAGTTCATTGTATAGAGATGCCATTATTTGTTTATTCACCTACTGGTAGATAATTTGGTTGTTCTCAATCTTGCGATATTATAAATAAAGTGGCTAAGAACATTTCTATCCAAGCCCTGCATGAACATACATTTTATTTCTCTTGAATAAATACCTAGGGATGGAATGACTGGATCATATAGTAGGCATATGTTTAACTTTTTCAGAAATTGCCAAATGGTCTTCCAAAGTGGCTGTAACATTTTATATTCCAACCAGCAGCATATGAGAGTTCCATTGCAGAGTAATTACTACAATTACTCCGCATTGTCCCGGACACTTAGTATAGGGGATGTGAACTATCTAAGAGAAGTTTAGCAGTATCTGATAGTGCTTTTAATTTGAATTTTCCTAATGACTACTAATGTAGAGTATTTTTATGAACTTATTTGCTCTTCACATCTCTTTAGTAGTGTATCTCTTCAAATGTTTTGTCTATTTTTATTGTTTTTCATTTTTAATTATTCAGTTTTGAGAGTTTTTTACATATTTTAGACACAAATCTTTGGTCAGATATGTGATTTGCTAACATTTTTTCCATAATATTTGGCTTGCCATTTAATTCTCTTAGCAGCGTCTTGAAGAGAAGAATTTTTAAATTTTGAGTAAGTGAAGTTAATCATATTTTTCTTTTATGGATTGTAATTTTGGTGTCATATCTATGAAATCATCACCTAACCCAAGGACACAAAGATTTTCTCCTGTGCTTTTTTTCTACGTTTTGAGTTTTAGCTTTTACTTTTTAGCATTATGTTCCATTCCAAGTTAATTTTTGTGTAAGTACAAAATGTAGATAGAAGTTCATTTATTTACTTATTTATGTAGTATTTATTTATTTTTGCATAGGGATATCCAATTGTTCTGGCATCTTTTGTTGAGAACACAGTTTTTCACTGAATTGCATGTGTGTGTGTGTGTGTGTGTGATTGTGTGAATCTATCTATCTATTGAGAAAAGAAGAGAGAATGTCAGGACTCTATTCTGTTCTCTTAATATATTTTTCCATCTTTGCAAACACCTCATTGTCTTGTCTTCGTGCTTTATGATATGTCTTTTTTTTAATTTATTTTATTTGTTTTTATTTTTTTAGACAGAGTCTTGCTCTGTCACCCAGGCTGGAGTGCAGTGGCGCGATCTCAGCTCACTGCAACCTGCACCTCCCAGGGTTCAAGTGATTCTCCGGCTTCAGCCTCCTGAGTAGCTGCGATTACAGGCGCCCGCCACCGCTGCTGGCTAGTTTTTGTATTTTAGGTAGAGACCGGGTTTCGCCATCTTGGCCAGGCTAGTCTCTAACTCCTGACCTTACGATCCACCCTCCTCGGCCTCCCAAAGTGCTGGGATTACAGGTGTGAGCCACCGTGCCCGGCCTATGATATGTTTTTAATTCAGATATATTAATCTGTTGATTTTGATGTTTTTATCTAAGGTAGGTCTGGCTGTTTTAGATCTATAGCATTTCCATATGAATTTTAGAACATCTTTACAACTTCTACAGAAGTTCCTGCTGGGATTTTGATTGGAATAGTATTAAATCTATAAATAATTTGTGGAGAATTGAAATTATAATAAGATTGATTCTTCCTGTCTATGGATATGGTATAATTTCCCATTTAGTTTTTCTCATGAGTGTTTTGTTATTTTCAGTGTACAGGACTTATATGTCTTTCATAGGATTGATGCCCAAGTATTTCATATTTTTGATATTGTAAATTAGTCTGCTTTTACATTTCAAATTCCTACTTTTTGTTGCTAATATATGGTTAGTAATGAGTTTTTAAATATTGGTCTTTATTATATAACCTTACTAAACTAAGTTATTCTTGTAGCTTTTCTTGTATAATTCATTGGACTTTGTGCATAGACAATAATGTTATCTGTGGGGAAAAACAACTTTATTTCTTCTTTCCTGTATGGCAAACCATATTGCCCTCTACTATAATTTTCCATATGCCTTCCTTTAAGATTTTTGGAAGATATTTTTCTTGGTTGTAGCCACTTTTTTTTTCTTTCAGTACTTTAAGCTTGTTGCTCCATTGTCTTCTCATTTACATTATTTCCAGTGAGAAATCTGCTGTTATCCTTCTCTTTTCCCTCTGTATGTTTCATGTCAGCAGTAATTCATATGCTTGTGCTGCTCAGGGCTCTGTTTTCAGTCCACAGCTATATAGTAGATAGGTCTGGATTCATGTGCTTTCTTTGCTACTCTGTGTGATATTAGGCAAGTTATCTAACTATTCTTAGATCCCTTTTGTCATCTACTTAAGTTTTATACCCACTTCTTTGATTAAAGTCTATCTTTCTATCAGTTTGAAAGGAAAAGGATCATTTTCTGTCTGGTTTAATACTCTTTACTCAGCACCTAATATTATCTGTCAGAAAAAGTATGTGAACTTAATAAATGGAGTTAGATACACTTACCTTCAAGCATAAAAGATCTTGAGGAGACCCTGGTTTTTTCATCTGTAAAGTGGGGATAATAAAGGTGCCTATATTATGGGCTTGCTGTGAATAATAAAGTTTCATAGACATGAAAAATATTCATCGTAGTACCTGGCATGTAGAAATGCTCAACATGCATTTATTCTTCTGATACTCAATATGCATTAGTTCTTATGATGATCACTATTATTATCATTATCATTAACATTTCAAACTCCACTACATTAGGTCAACTCACCATCGCTTCTCATTTAGATTGTTACAGTGGCTTTGCATCCCTTTTCTCCTACAATCTGTTCTCTGCTCCAAAGCCAAAAGTGCTTATTGTAAAATAAAGATTGTAATCATATTGTTCTCAGCTTGTGCTCTTTTAACTGCCCGAATAAAAAATAAAATAAAAAATATAAAAACTCTCAGGAAGGAGCCAGAATAACACATTAGCTTAAAAACTACTTGGTAATCTGTTCTTTGTCTCCTTTACCACATACCTCATGGTTTGGCAACATTTTCTCACCCCAGTTCCATTCAATCACAGTCAATTATTCAATCTTAATAAATTACTTTGTACTTCTCTTTTCCCAAAGAGTTATGCTTTCTTTCACCTCTCAGCCTCTTCCCATGCTATTTCTTTCTGGAACACCTGCATCATCTGCATTATTCATCTGGCTAATTTCCATACAACTTTCAAATTTTATTTCCACTGCCATTTCCCCAGGAATATCCCCAACTGCCTAAGTCTAGTTTAGGCATTGTTTGATAAATTTTATACAACCCTTTTAGTCCTCATCGTAGCTCTGGTTAGGCTGATTGTAATTCTCTCTTTTCTTATCTATCTATTCCACTGGTTTTAAACTTTTTGAAGGCAAGAACAATGCCCACCTACCCCACTGCTTGGCAAAATGTACCTTCTCAATAAATACTTGTTGGATAAATAAGTAAATAAAGTAGGAAGAACAAGTACATAAGTACTGAAAATAAATACAAAATAAATAAGTAAAGTACACTTTTTTATTGTATATGTTCAGAGGTAAGTGGGATTAGTTCCAGTTGGTAATACTCTAAAAATGTTTAATGAATAAATAAAGAAGCCCAATATTATATTCATTCACCTAACTTATGTTAGACTCATATGTAGAATTCAGGATTCAGGTCTTATAGATTAGGGCAGTTTCCATGGTATCATTCTGTCTCCCTAAAATATGGATGAGAGAGAGATACTCTACAGTTGAGATTAAACATAATTCAGGGGACACCTTAAATATTTATAAGAAATGTTTTTTCTAACATTTAATGACGTCTATTCCCGAACATTGTCTTCTACCCACTCACTGTTTGAGTAATTTTCTAGATGTTGCATTGTGCAAAATATGAATAGAATAGTGAGTCATTTTCAGAATTATAATATCAATGATCTAGCATTCTTTTTTGTCACATTCTCATAGTATGACAAGCTCAAATGTAGAAAGGCATTATCTTGGAACCCAGTCAATGTGGCACCTTCCCATAATCATGATTTTAATCAATCATCCCTGTTCTGACACATGAAACATAATCATGTTCAAGGGAGAGCCACAATTGTTTTTTTTCCTGAGCTGCATTAAAGGAAGTGCTTTCTACCATTCAATTTCCAACCAAATAAAAGACAGAGTGTTTGTGATGATGGAAGTTACCTTCCTCCTTCATTCAGTGTAGGTTGGAAAGAGAGAGAGTGGAAGAGCCAGAAGTTTGCTTCATATCAAATTGTGAGTTTTCATCTTTAGGTGAGTGATATGTGCCCAACCAAGCACTGTGAATGCCTCATGTAAGAATGCATAGGGAATGCTAGAGGAGTAAGAACTGAAGCTTTCTTTCGTTGTCTAATCCAGGAACAAACTTAGATAACAAATATAGTATTTTTGACAGAGAACAAAAAAAGAATAGGGTTCTAGTTGCAATGGGCAATAACGGTGCCCATTAGTGGGGTGGGAGTGTGGGGAAGGGTGTTTTTCCTTTAGGGTATTAAATAGAACGGCCACTCTGTGCTGGAATCCAACCTCTGCACTCTAAGCACAGAACCTTCACAGACTTACTTCAAAAAGTAGTGCTGTCCTTGCATCATCCCAGCCTTGATGTGAATGCAAAGAGTCTACCTTCAAAGGATCAGAGAGAAAGCATGGGCCATCCTATACCCTGAACTAAAAGCAGGATGATGGAGCAAAACCTGGGTGCCATGAGATTACTTAATTCAGTAATCTCTTCCAATAGTGACTTTATTTATTTATTTATTTTGAGATGTAGTCTCATGCCATTGCCCAAGCTGGAGTGCAGTGGCCCGATCGTGGCTCACTGCAGCCTCTGCCTCCTAGGTTCAAGCGATTCTTCTGCCTCAGCCTCCCAAGTACCTGGGATTACAGGCCCATGCCACCATGCCCAGCTAATATTTTTTGTATTTTTTTTTTTTAGTAGAGCCAAAGTTTCACCATGTTGGCCAGGCTGGTCTCAAACTCCTGGCCTCAAGTGATACCCGACTTTGGCTTCCCAAAGTACTGAGATTACAGGCGTGAGCAACCACGCCCGGCCCCAATATCAACTTCTGTTTTAGTATTTGTTTGAGGCTTTTAAAAATAACTTACACTTTCTATACTCAAAACACCACAAAATATTATTAGTTCATTTGGATAGCAATTGGCTTTCCAGTTACCTCTTCATTTTCTATGTATGTAACACTTTGCTCTCTTTGGATTTTATTGTTTTACTGACTTCTCTCACCTCTGAGACATGCTCAATCCAATTAAAGGATTTTTATCCTTTATGTAGAAAACAATGGTTTTTAACATGAGATTTCATGCAATTGTATCTTTTCTGTATGCATAACCTTCATTTCTTGCTATTGTTAGCCTTTGCATATAATATTATCTCTCTGTTTTCACTGGTGAGCTTGACAATTCCCCATTTAGTGTCATTTGGAAATTTCATTCACGCAGGTCTTTTTCCAGATCATTAATAAAGTTGTGGCTCAAACTGAATCTGACATTTATTCCCATGGCTCCCTTCTGGTCATCTTCTTGCAGCTCAACATGTTGCCCTTCATTATAGGTTTTTTTTAAATTTTTTTTTGCCAGCCACTTTTAAATCCTCCAAATATTTCTAAATGTCTAGCCATTTTAAATAAATTTTGTGATTGGTGTTTCAGAATCTCATAGAGTGCCTTGCAAGTAAAAAGCACTAGATAAACACTAGTAGAGTTAATTGGATCACCAGGTCAGCCATTGGCTTTATTCAGTTGTATTTGCCTCTCTCATTCCTACCCTCCCCCACAAAAATCTTTTCGTGTGTGACACACTTTTTTTGACAGATAAAAGTGTGTGTATTTATCATGTACAATGTGATATTTTTTTTTGAGACAGGGTCTCACCCTGTTGCCTAGGCTGGAGTACAGTGGCACGATCATTGCTCCCTGCAGCCTTGACCTCCCAGGCTCAAGCAAACCTTCCAACTCAGCCTCCCAAGTAGCTAGGACCACAGACACAGGCCACCAAACTTAGCGAATTTTTTAAATTTTTGTAGAGATGCGGTTTCACTCTGTGGTCCAGGCTGGAGTGAAGGGGCACTATCATGGTTCACTGCAGCCTTGGCCTCCCAGGCTCAAGCAATCCTCCCACCTCAGCTTCCTGTAGCTAGGGTGACAGGAACACACCACCAGACTCAGAGAATTTTTTAAATTTTTGTAGAGATGAGGTCACACTGTGTTGCCCAAGCTGGTCTCAAACTCCTGGGCTCAAGCGATCCTCCTGACTCAGCCTCCCGAAGTGCAACATGATGTTTTGAAGTATATACACTGTGGAATGGTTAAATTAAGTCAGTTAACATAAACATTACCTCGCATAGTTATCATTTTTGTGATGAGAACACTTAACATCCACTCTGTTAGCATTTTTCAAGAATACAATATACCATCATTAACTATAGTCACTATGTTGTACAATAGATCTCTTGAACTTATTCCTTCTTTCTAACTATAAATATAGTTTAACCAGCATCTCCTCAAAGTCTCCTCTTCCTCTAATGATCCCAGTCTCGGGTAACCACCATTCAACTATTTCCATGAGATCAACTTTTTCATATTCCATATAAATGAAGTCATGTGGTATTTGTCTTTCTGTGCCTGGTTTATTTTTGTTATTCAGTTAACCTGATGTCCTTCAGGTTCATCCATGTTGTCGCAAATGACGGGATTTCCTTCTTTTTATGGCTGTATAGTATCCCATTGTGTATATATGCCATGTTTTCTTTATCCATTTATCTTTTCATAGATACTTAGGTTGATTCTGTATCTTGGCTCTTGTGAATAGTGCTGCAGTAAACATAGGGGTCCAGATGTCTCTTTGATATATTGATTTCATTTCCTTTGTAAATATATATGCCCAGTAGTACAGTTGCTGGATCATATGGTAGTTCAATTTTTAGTTTGTTTTGTTTTTTTTTTGTTTTGAGATGGGGTCTTGCTCTGTCTCCCAGGCTGGAGTGCAGTAGTGTGATCACTGATCACCGCAGCCTTCCCCCTGGCTCAGGCAATCCTCTTGCCTCTGACTCCCTGGTAGCTGGGACTACAGGCATGCACCACCACACCCAGCTAAATGTTTTTATTTTTTTAGAGACAGGGTCTCGCTATGTTGCCCAAGCTTGTCTTGAACTCCTGGGCTCAAGCAATCCTCCTGGCTCCATCTCCCAAAGTGCTGGGATTACAGGCATAATCTACCACACAGAGCCTATTTTTAGTTTTTTGAAAAACTTCCATACTGCTTTTCATAATGGCCATATTATTTTACATTCCCACAAACAGTGTGCAAGGCCTCTCTTTACGCACATCCTTGCTAATACTTGTTATCTTTTATCTTTTTGAAAATATCCATTCTAACTGGAGTGCGATATCTCCTTGTGCTTTTGATTTGCATTTCCCTGATGATTCATGAAACTGAACACTTTTTCATATACCTTTTGGCCATTTGTATGTCTTCTTTTGAGAAATGTCTATTCAGGCCTTTTTAAAATTTTTAAATCAGGTTATTTCCTTGCTATTGAGTTGTTTGAGTTGTTTATGTTTTCTTCTAGTAGTTTCAAGTCTGACATTTAAGTCTTCAGCCATTTTTGAGTTGATTTTTGTATATGGTGTGATATAAGGGTCCAAATTTATTATTCTGCATGTGAATATCTAGTTTCCTTAACACCATTTATTGAAGTCTGTTTTTTCCCCGTTGTGCGTTCTTGGTGCCTTTGTCGAAAACAGTTTCTGGGCTCTCTATTCTGTTCCATTAGTCTGTGTGTCTTTTTTTAATGACAGTACCACCCTGTTTGGGTTCCTATAGCTTTGCAGTATATTTTGAAGTATGGTAGTGTGATGCCTTCAGCTTTGTTCATTTTGCTCAAGATCAGTTGGCTATTCAGGGTATTTTTTGGTTTCATACAACTTTTAGAACTGTTTTTTCCATTTCTGTGAAAAATGTAACTGGCATTTTGATAGTTATCAAATTTTGCATTTAATCTATAAATTGATTTGAGTAGAATGGACATTTTAACAATAGTATCTTTTACAATCCATGAGCATGGGATATCTTTCCATTTATTTGTGACTTCCATCAACGTTTTATAGTTTTCAATGTAGAGATCTTTCACCTTGTTTGTTAAATTTATTCCGAAGTATTTTTTGTAACTATTGTAAATGGGCTTGTTTTCTTCATTTCTTTTTCAGATAGTTTGCTGTTAGTGTATAGAAATACTATTAATTTTGTATGTTGATTTTATATCCTGCAACTTTACTAAATTTGTTTATTATTTCTAACAGCATTTTGGTGGAACCTTTAGGGTTTCCTATATAAGATGTGTTACCTGCAAACAGGGACAGTTTAACTTCTTTCTTTCCAATTTGGATGCCTTTTATTTATTTCCCTTGGCTACTGCTCTGGCTAGAACTTCCAGTACTATGTTGGATAGGAGTGGTGAGAGTGGGCATTCTGGGCTTATTCTGGATCATAGAGAAAAAGCTTTCAAGTTTTCCCCATTGAGTATGATGTTAGTCATGGTTTGTCATCTATCGACTTTGTTGTGTTGAGGTACATTCCTTCAATATGTAATTTGTTGAGAGTTTATACCATAAAAGAATGTTGAAGTTTGCCAAATGCTTTTTCTATATCTATTAAAATGATTATATAAGTTTTGTTTTTCATTGTGCTATTGTGCTGTATCACATGTTACAGACTTCTAAAAACAATGTTTAGCCATGTTCTCCAGTCATTTTAAGTACTTAAGGATTGTACATTTCTTTTGATAGTTTATATGCTATCTTATTCCAGGTAGTGTTATAGATAATAAAAGCAATCAAGACACGTAAACATGATATATATTCTATAACAATTTTGATATTTGTCAATTTTAAAAATGTCTTTGTAACCCTACCTTAATTCCTAAGGAGATTCCTTCACCAATGAAATGGGTATAATAATAAACTCTGAGGTTTTGTGAATGTCATAGATAATGTAATGAGCTGGGGAAACTCTTGGCATACCGTGAGCTCTGGACTTACTCCTGCCCCATTTCCCCAGTCACAGAAGGTAGTTCTGTCCCATTGTTTAAGAGAGACCTTTGATTGGCTTCCTGTCTCTCTCCTCCACATCTAATCAGTATCTAGTCCCATTGCCCCTTTCTCCAGAATACCTCAATTCCTCCCACTGCCACCACAGCCTTGCACCTAGACCACTGCTACAGACTTTAAATTTTTCTGTTTCAATTCAGCCTACCTCCAGTTCACTGCCTAGAGCAGCCAGATTTAGCTTTTTAAACATGCACATCAGATCCTGGCCATTTCATTGCTTATACCTTGCTGGGATTTCTAACTGCCCTTGAAATAAAATCCAATCTCTTATTTACTTATAAGCTGGCCACTTCACTCAGACCCCAAGCTCCATGAGGACACGAACCAGATCTGTCATTTCAGTGCATGCTGGCAGTGTGCAGCAAATTGCCTGACACCTAGGAAGTACTCACAAGTAAGTGCTGCACAAAGGAAATACTCTACACCATTGCTACAAGGAATAAAGAAAAATCATTTGCTCCTAGCTTGGTCATAGACTTTCTTCCTAGGTCAGTATTTTGAAATAAATTGTTTAAAGATGTCTAGCAGTGAGGTATGGTGAAACTATGATTTCTCTTACATTAGTCCCACCTTTGTTATCCAGACTTTGACATTTAATAATCATTGAGTATTCAAGAATGCAGTTCTTATAGATTAAAGTAACTATTTGTTAGAGAGGAGGGAACTGAAATTAAAATGGAGAATCCTTTGATGAACATTACATTCCAATCATTAGAATTTCATATAGATGTAATTGCTCCCTCAGAAATAGATTAAATATACACAGCATTTTAAATGACATTTTTACATTGTTAAAGCACAGTTGATTATAAATTGAGTCTTTTAAACCAGGCATGCTTCCTCTCCATCAATCAGTGTTATCGTGGCCATCTCTTTAATAAGATTATTTGCTAATGCAAAACTGAAATGAGCAATGCCTGAAGCAGCATTAACGCAGAGTGATCAAGTGACAGCGCACCAACCATTTGATTCTCTTCGCCAGATCAGTGTCTGGAGAAATTTGCTTTCCTTCATTCACACCCACCAGTGTAGCTTCTACTAATGGGTATTTTTTTTTTCAGTTGAGGAGTCATGAGTACCTTTAAGCTTTGAGGTGCTAATCATTAGCAGTTAAGAAGCATCTTCTAGAACAAACTCTGGCATTCTCCCCAAAAGCTGATGGTTGAGATGCTGCAGAGCTATTTTGGATGCTGGATTTTGACATTTATACTCATTCAAATTAAGAACATAGTATATTAAGTTGACAAAGAAAGTAAAGTCATCAGGCTTTCAGCTGAACAATGCAGTAGACTGCTCAGCTGAGTGCATTAACCAAAATAGTCTAATGTGCTATTTACCTGCACATTTTTAAAAAAGATTCTGGGATGATATATGATGGAAATCATCTAAAGAAAAAAAAAAAGAACGTACAAAATTTCCAAGGGCAAAATTATTTTTATTTTATAAACCTAAGAAGAGTTTATGTGTTTTGCATGGGGATTCTGGGAGGGGGATATGAGAAAGAATGATGCATGTTCAGAAATACTGGGAATCACAATGGAAAGTTATCAGAATGGAAACTTGTCAATAATATCAATCATAAGTTACCTATATATTTTATCAATCTAAGTATTCACTGTAAAGGAAATCTTGACATATATAAGGGAGGATATTAAGCATTAAAACTTGTTAAAAACATAGGAAGGATATTGGTATATTGGATCAGAAAACAGAGTGCCATATCCTAAGGAACAAACAATGAAGAGACCCAAGATCCTCATTCCTGCAATTCAAGAGTTGGCCCTGTCTACCTTTCCTCGTATTTCCTGAGTTCTTTGCGCTAAACCAATGGAAACTGTGCTCTTTTGTATCATATACTAAGCAATTAAAAATGAGTAAAATCAGTACAAGTGGAGCTAAGACTAAATGTATCTATCATGTAAAAAAGTTTAAGCTGTTTAAACTCACCTAAGGCAAAGATTCTCAGGCAACACAAAACTCACCGTATGCTGTAGAAAAGGAAGACTCTTGAAACCAAGTGGTATGTATACACTGTGGAATACTATGCAGTCATAAAAAAGGAATGAGATCACATCCTTTGCAGGGAAATGGATGGAGCTGGAGGCCATTATCCTCAGGAAACTAACATAGGAACAGAAAACCAAATATGGCATGTTCTCACTTATAAATAGGAGCTAAATGATGAGAACACATCAACACACAGAGGGGAACAGCACACACTGGGGCCCATCAGAAGGTGGAAAGTGGAAGGAGGAAGAGAATCAGGAAAAATAACTAATGGATACTAGGCTTAATACCTGGGTGATGAAATAATCTGTACAACAAACCCCCATGACACGTGTTTACCTATGTAACATACCCACACATCCTGCACGTGTACCCCTGAACTTAAAAAAGAAGTTAAAAAAACAAACAAACAAGTGACCAACAAAGAGAAGAAGTCACAGGATGGGCAAAGACACCCCAAGCAAAGGCAAATGCAAATATTAATAAAGTATTGGCAACATTGTTGATATCAGATGAATTTGATTCCAAGGCAAATTTAGACAAAGAATGGCAGTTTATAAGGATAAGAGTGCAGTTCTAACAGTGGAAGTATCTAATCATCAAATAATGTAGTATCAAAATTCATTATAAACATCATCATAAATACAAGGCAATATAGAGACTTTAAGCTATTTATTATAGTCATCAATACACCCAATGTACCAAACATAACTAAGTGTATAGAAAACCTAAATAGCAGAATTAACAAGGTAGATTTAATTCATGTAAGTGTGTGTATATGGATACAGATAGATATAGATATATCAGACTCTTTACCCCCAAGAGAATAAGAACATTTGCAAAAATTAATATACTGGCCATACATAAAACTTCAGCAAATTCACCAAGGCTAAAATAGAACCAAAAACATTCTTTGATCAAATTCAATGAAAATAGAAATTGCAAAATATAATTATTTGGAAACAGTGAAAAGCACAGCTATGTGGAAATTTTCAAAATTTCTTTTAAACAAACATGGAGACAATAAGAAAATCAAAACCCAAACTGTAATACATTCAGAAGAGACTGATGAAAGCATGATATGTCAGAACCTATAACATAGATCTGAAGTCAGGCTCGAAATCATAGCACTAACTGATTCACTAACAAAAAAAATTAAACTTCTAACTAAGAAAAACAAAATAATAATTATGAGGATAAAAACAGATTTTAATTATTAGAAAATAGAAAAATTATACAGCTAATCAGTAAACCCAAAAACTGATTAACAGGAAAAGGGCAAATTATTAGCTAGTTTAAACAGAGAAAGAGAGAAAGAAGAATTTATAAAAATTGACAGTAAGTACAAATGCAGTGGAAATTAAAAGAATCATAAGAGACTATTTTGCTCAGTTTTATACAAACATAATAAAGAACATGAATGAATGAAGAGGATGAATTTGTAAAGAAACATAGAATATAGAAAATCTATGCAGACATATTTCTATAAAAGAGATTATTTTGGCCGGGCGCGGTGGTTCACGCCTGTAATCCCAGCACTTTGGGAGGCCGAGGCGGGTGGATCATGAGGTCAGGAGATCGAGACCATCCTGGCTAACAAGGTGAAACCCCGTCTCTACTAAAAATACAAAAAATTAGCCGGGCGCGGTGGCGGGTGCCTGTAGTCCCAGCTACTCGGGAGGCTGAGGCAGGAGAATGGCGTGAACCCGGGAAGCGGAGCTTGCAGTGAGCCGAGATTGCGCCACTGCAGTCCGCAGTCCGGCCTGGGCGACAGAGCGAGACTCCGTCTCAAAAAAAAAAAAAAAAAAAAAAAAAAGAGATTATTTTCAAACCACGGGCTATTGGAATGTTAAATCACAGAAAACTCTCATGCTGTTCAAACTGTTTCAGATTATGTAAAAACTAAGAAGGTTTATATGTTATTTTAATAAAGCTATCATCTCTAGGTGAGAATTTATTTTCTTGCCTTTCCAGGTTCTAGAGGCCTTCACTTTTGGCTCTGACCCCCCTCCCATCTTCAAGCCAGCAGTCACATTGTTCTGACCTGGCTTTCTGACATTCTTCTCTTTTCATCTCCTTCTCTTTCTCTCTTGCCTCCCTTCTTCATGTATAAGAACCTTGTGATTACATTAGGTTTACCCACGTAGTCCAGGATAATATCCCCATTTTAAGATCGTTACATTATTCACAAAGTCCTTTTGGCCCTGTAAGGTAATATAGTCACAGGTTCTGTGGATTAGGATGTGAGCAGCTTTGGGAGGCCATTATTCTGCCTCCTACACTATATTACCAAAGATTATTATCTTTATTAATATATTTATTTGATCACACCCTATGTTCACCAAAGATGTGGATCAATAGGCATTCTCAGACGTTACCGAAGGCTGATGTAAGCTTTCTGCATGGCCATTTGGATTGTCCATAAGATAACAATTGCACTTTTGGGAATTTCTCTTTCACCTGCACCCACACATGCTAAGGATGATTGTATGTACAAGGTTATTGACTGCAGTAACATCAAAGAATGTCCATTCTTTGAGCTGGTTAAAGAAATTCTGATAAAATGGAATATACTGCCATCGATGATGCTGTTCTGTTTGTATTCAAATGGAAAAAATCTCCAGGATGCAGATCATGTTTCATTGTTTATGAGAGGAACTTTTTAAAAATTTTTAAGCATTTTAGCATCTCTGAAATCAGGATGTATATTTCAAATAATGCCCTATTATTGTTTAAATAGCAGAACATTTTTTCCTTTTGTAGTGGCAAAACAGTAATGCTGTGTCTTGTGGTCATTGAGAATGTAAATGTGACGAAATACTGAAATTAAGTGAAAAAAGTTGAGTTTAGTGTGTAGCAATGTATCATATGTGCAACAAAATAAATATATTTAAACCCAGTTACATTTTCCTCTTAATGAGATCATTACTATCAGCCTTCAAACTAGCTTTTTATTTCTCTCATGCAGAAAAATCTCTTGATCATATTTCACCCCTTATTACTCTTTTTCTTGACTCTCTTTTACAGCAAAACACCTCAAAAGAATTAGTCCATATTTAACTTCTCTAGTTTCTCCTGTGCTTTCTATACCTAAATCCATTCTCGTTTGTTGTTGTTCCACTAAAACTCTTCTCGTCAATATAACCAATGACCTTGATCTTGATAAATCATTTAGCAGCATTAAACGCAACTGTCATGCCTTCTTGCAATGTTTTTCTTCCTTTGGCTTTCAGGACACCGCACACATTTTTTTTTTCTTCCCCTTTCTACTCCTTCTTAGTCTCTTTGCTTTTTCCTCCTATCCCTTTTACTACCAAGTGTTAGAGAATCCCAGGGCTCCATTTTTCATACCCCTTCTGTTCTCTATCGACATTTGCTTGTGTGTGTGTGTGTGTGTGTGTGTGTGTGTGTGTGTGTGTGTGTGTGTGTGTGTGTGTTGGAGTGGGGGATTCTCCTCCAATTTCACAGCCTCAAATATCACCTCTTTGCCTTTGACTCTCGAGTGTTTATCTTCAGCTTAAATCCATTCCCTAACTTTATACTGGTGTATCCAACTGCCTACTCAGCATTTCCAACTTGATATCTACAAGCCTCCCAATCTTAGGATATCAGAGACTGAACTGCTCACTTTCCCCCAAAATATCTACTCCAGTCTTTCCCTTCACAGGGAATGGCCACTTCTTTTAGTTGTTCTGGCTAAAATCGTTAGAGTCACTCTTGACTCCTTCATCTCACAGCCCACATCCAAGCCATGGTCTGTTCTTGTGACACTGCCTGTCCAGTACATCCAGAATCGGACCATTTCTCACCATGATTATTCTACACCAATCTTCATCTTTTGACCATATAATTGCAATGCTCTTTTTAATGGTCACGCCACTCCTCTTCAGGCTATTCTCAACAAAGCATCCAGCGCAGCCCACCAGAATGTAAGTTAGATCATGTCACTCCTTGCTCAAAACCCTTCAATTACTTCCTATATATTTTTTTCAGAATGAAAGCCAACTTCATCACCATGACAAATCCCAGCCTGATGTGATCCACTGTGGACCTTGACCTCATTTCCCACTTTTTGCTGCCACTGTTTCTGGATGCTATTTCCCAATAACCACAGTGCTCACTTATACTTCCCCTTCAAGTCTGTGCAAATGTCACTGTGTCCATGAGACACTTTCTGACCACTGTAAAATTTTGCCACCTATTTCTTCAGCCTCTCAAGACTCCCTACCTACAGTCTCTGTTTGATTTTTTCTCCATAGTAACAATCATCTCCTAATAGATTATAAAATAGCATATTTATCTTATTCATTGCCTGTCTCCCCACACCAGAATGTACACTCCTTCAAGGTACGTGATACTGACTCTCGTTCACTCTCATATGCCCCGAATTCAATGCCTGACACATATAGAGTGCTCAGTAAATACTTGTTGAAAAGGCTGTTGGTTCCTCATATGTGCATGGCATAGTTCTGGAAGGATTCATGAGAGAATGAACACAAAGGCTCCTCTCTGGAGAGGAACTGGATTTCTGGGGGACAAATGAGGAAGGGAAACATACCATTTATTTTATACATTTTTAATCTTTGAATTGTATGCTTGTGTTATATATTTAAAACAATCAAATTCAATTATTTACAAACAAATGTAAAATATGAGGGAAAGGCTAAAATCTCAACTATAAGTTGGGATGGAGTAATAGCTTTTGAACCAAGAGTATGAAGCCTTCCATGCCTATTTGGGTTTGTTAATCACTCTCTTTGCTATGGACAGGGTTTTCTGCTAGTGATATGGTAATTTAATATGTCAGTAAGGGGAGAATTGGTGATATTCTCCATCACTGGTTTATTTTCTCTCATGCCATTGCTTTACTTTTTAAGAGAATTCATGAAAGTCGTGTTGAGGAAGGTAGTGCTCCTCAGATCAAAGTCAAATTAGTGCTTCAGCCACAAGAACAAGATTTCCTCTCCTCTTCTAAGGGGGAGACAGAAGTCAGCCTGAGGCTGTCAGATGGATAACTGCTCACAAATGGACCAACTCAGAGTCTCTGGCAACAAGGCTGAGGCAGAAACAATACTTGATTAAACAAGTGCCAGATAGCAGCACGTAACTGTGGGAAGTTAGAAGTAGCAGTTATGATACTGCTAAGCAAAGGCACTTTGTTAGCATTAAGCATTTTCCACTTCAACTGAAATATAAACCCACGAGGAGAAACAATCCATTCTTTATTATTTCTAAAAGTAACTTTCTGTCTGGAAAACAATTTACTGCCACCAGAAATGTCTTCTTTTAGAAAAGTGTATAATTGGCTGCCATTTGACATTATGTGGCATTATTAAAGTCTGGAAATTCTCATAATGTGCATTCTTTTTGTTCTTGCCACTGAGCAACATTTTCACAATCCCGAAGATTCCCTTGCTATTTTACCTAGCCTAATCTATTTCAAAAGCTTCTCAGCCAGAGACAATTTCAAAAGAATCAGCTTCTTGGTACAACTTCATAGGATTAAATGTGTCAGACTAATATAAAGATCAAATGTAATCATGGTTATTATTATTTTGATTAGCTTTTCTATTCTGCACACTGCACTTCCAAGACCTTGTCAACTAATACCTAAACTTCTAGTTTATAGCTTCCTTGTAGAATTCTATATCCCTTTGTTCTAGTGCAGCTACCTACTCCAATGTGGCAAACATTTATAAAGCACCACTGTGTGCAGAGTTGCCAGGACAGACCATCCAAAGGTAATCATGCTTAGTCTTCATCTAAGGGAGGTTGCTTGATAAAAATACAAATCCCAAGATCTCCCCACTGACTGACAAGCTTTACCCTGTGACTTTAATACACCCTAAGGTTTGAGAATTGGAAAATAAATAGAAGAAAATGTATTAGTTCCTTTGAAATATACAATGTCATCAGCTAACACATTCCTTACAAATGAAGCAGTTTGGTTTTAATAACAAGCAAATATGTCAATAGCATGAGCACTTCACAAAACTCTGCTCATTGAACACATGGATGGATAGATGGATGAATTCAGCACAGACTGAATACGGGGGTCTGATGACCACACTGCTCCATCCCCTCTTCCCATTCATGCTACTCTGACTGCCTTCTATGTGATTCATTGGTTTCCCAAGGTTAACAAAACATCCCCTGTCTCTGCAAGCCAGATTAGGCTTTGTCATCTTTAAAGTTATATGAACATCCCGTTGAGAGAGAGTGTGTGAAAGCGGTAGCTATGACAATTGTAAAAATGTACAAAGTGCTTCACTTACTTTGAATGAATCCTACATAATATAAGTGGCTATGAAATAAACTAAAGAAAGAAAACAGTGTATGTCACACCCAAGCCAGTGGCAAGAGGCAGGGGAGTACAATTTTAAAATTTGAATACAAAAATACGGCAGAAAAGGAGGAAAAAATAGATAAAAGCAGAAAAAATAGGAACAATAAAATAAGATGATTAGAAGTAATTCCAAATATATCCATAATCTCAATGGATACATGGCCAAACTGTAGCTTTAATACAGAGATATTCTTTTGAATACAAGAAAATTAAAATTCAGCTATATTCTAAGTGATACACATGAAATGACACCCCTAAAACATACAGACACAGACGATTGAAAGTGAAAGGATGAAAAAAGATATACCAGGCAAATGTTAACAATAAATGTACTTGTGGTTGAGGCCACTACAGTGAAGTTATTTGCTACCTGTTGCTGTAAAATTTCCAACTCATGCACATCTTAAAAGAACAAGAGCACACAATTAAATATCACAATTTCAGGTACGTGATATTTCAACTGCATATTCAGACTTGTTTTAAATTCTGAGATCATTTTTTCCTAGCAAAATGCCAATTTCTAAGTTTATTTCTATAAAATAGAGTCTTATTTTTATGATTAGGGATATTAATTTCATTTTTGTATTAAAATGCTGCAGATGAAGACACATTTTATATGAAACAAGTTTCAGTATGAAATTGCATCCTATCAGTTTTCGCTATAGCTCATGAATGTGAATATCATGATGCTACAATCTAAGTCCAGTAAAAAATCTGAATGTAGGGAATATTGAGAACTAACAACTTCCTTAATAAAACCCAGTTCAGATTGTCAGTGTTGGAGTGGAGAGAATCTTCTCTGGAAGAGGAGAGTGTCCACTCTAACCTTTTTCCTGTCCTCCTAGGATAAAAGAAAAACGTGGCTGATTTTTTGTAATGTTAGTACTTATTTTTCATGTAGCAACAGTAAGGAATATGAGCTCTCCAAGAAGATCATGCTCCATCTCCAACCTTGGATGATCAGGTTCCGTTTTTATTAATACCAGGGAAGGTGTAGGGTTCTTTATGTTTGAACCAGTGATTAATTTATGCTGTTTCAGATCATTCTTTGCTCTGTGTTATTCATCAGGAGTTTCTTAAAAGAAAGTCATTCAATGTGGAAAATTGAGTTTGAAAAACATTGAGGGGTCCAAATTTGTGCTAAAAGAATGTGAAGGATATTGAACAGTCACTCGGGCAATCCCAATATTGACTTGCTGTGGCCTCATAGGCAGTCCTTGAACTGCTCATTTGTGTTGGGAAGGAAAGCCTCTAAGATGACCCAGCTTTCCCTGGAGAACATGGTCATTAAGCTTCCTCTATTCTTCTCTTCTAGGAGCGCTGCATACTGTGAGTGAAATCCCATAATGACAGTAGAAATGTTACTTAGTGAATAACTGGTCTTTCTATTAGTTTTTGAAGTGAGGAAATGGGGGCATGTTTCTTTCTAGTCTTTCTGAAGCTCTGAGTCCTTGTGGTGTGTGAAATAAAACCAAAACACAGCTTGTGGTCTTTTCTTTCTTAGATTGACAATGAGGGTGTTGTGAATTGTGAGATTTCAAGAGGGCTCTCTTGTAATATACATTTGGGGTAGGGTCTAATTTTTGAAGATTTATCAATCTGGTGCTTGAAGAGGCATATCACAGGAAATGTTTTGTACCTTACAACTCTTTTTTCCTGGCTATGATTTATTGGAGCATGGTACTACAAATCATGCTTTTTGACTCCCCTTTCTTTTTCTGAAATAAGTGACTCATTCTGTAGGGCCAAGCTCGTGCTTTTTTCTTTTTCTTCTCTTTTTGAATTTTCACTGAAAGCCTTGTTTCAATCTGCCCCAAACCTATGCATGTGATTTTTTTATTTTAATTCTCATTTAAAGAATATTTCTATAAGTCACATCTCATCTAGTAAATGCAAGAAGTTAAACATGTAAAATGTGAGTTTTTCATAAAATGCATAGACTCCAAGATATAAGCTACATTATTACTGGAAAACATGTTATAAATGAAATTTTGTCTTATTTTAATTTTTTTTCTCTTTCCATAAGGAGTGTAATTTTCACTGGGCTTGGAAAATATGAATTCAAATTACAAGTCAGTTTGCATGCAATGTTTATTTTTTAAAGCCAAACTTCTAGAAAACCATAAAGAAAATAATCATATTTTTTACAACACTGCAGGTAAACAACAAGCATATTTAGAAACTAAGAGATTTTAAAGTGAACATCAGGGTAAATCAATAACTCCTACATAGAGGGAAGAAATGATTTTCTATTCAGGATATCAAACAAAACTAACACGATATTAATGGCTGAACGAACAGGCTTTCCATTTGCACTTGCATGAGGGGGAGGTTAAGGATTGGCAGTTGCTCACATAAATCAAGTCTGGTAAGAACCGTATGAATAACTGTTTGACATTTTCAGTTGGAAAGGAGCAGCTTGTCTTCAGTTCTGAGAAGCCTTCCCCTTGTGACAATCATCTTTTTCCTCTTTTGATGAACCAGATTTTTAATACCAACTTTGCATAAGCAAATGCACTGCAGTCATGAGGGCAGAGCTTTCTGCGGTGGCAGGGTAGCCAAGATGAAAGGGGAAATGTGACCAGATTTTCCCATCAAAATCAAATCTATCGCTTGTGTATTTGCATGGGCAAATTTTAAAATGGGCAAAGAGCCCATTTTTACCTGGGTTCTTTCTACATACTTGGGCTGTGTTTCACAATTCTCAAGTCCAAAGGAACAAAGGGAAAATGGTGACCTATAAATCAGATTGCTTTCTACTTTTTGTCAGTTTCACAGAGGAATCTAGTTTCTTACTGATCAAATATCTTACATAGCAATTCCATGTTGAACAACTACTAACCCAACATTTCCTTCTGAAGGCCTACTAAATGTCCAGAAATTGTATGATTCATATCCAAGAAGATACATGGCCTCTTAAGTGCAAAGATCACCCAAGACAGCTGAGTTCTGCTCCAATCTCTACCACTGCTCCTGCCATCCATGCAGCCACCTAACCTCTTGACCTTTGCAAAAATGAGAAAACTTACATAAATATTTTCTAATGCACCTTCTAGATCAAACATTATAGCCTCAATTATTTTAAGCTATCCTCAATTTGAACCTATTTCCCAAACTATGGAGGAATTAGGTGGAAATCAAAAGGCAAAAGAGAACAGATAAAGTGCAAAACAACGGTAGTGACAAAAGGTGTTAGGATTTAAGGCAGTGCCCAGCCATATGGTTGTAAAAGTGATGACCTCTCTCATCTGGTGTAGACAAATACAATTCCATGTCCGTTTAAAAGAGATTAATCAGATCTTCAGAAGCTATGTGTGAAAGCATAGCTGGAGCCATTTACATTTCAGCAATGTACCAGAAGTCCCGAGAGTAACCTCGAGAGAGTCACCATGCCCCCATTGAAATTGGTTTGGTCATGGAGGAAAAGGATAAAACCAGACCTTTTTGTAAAGGGCGAAGAATTTCCAGGATGGGTCAATTACAGTTAATGCAAATTCAATACCTCAGAATTCATTTCAGTGCATTAGATTAGTTAGGTCTCTGGCTTGACTCACACTGGAGGTGGTTTGATATGCACTCCTAGAGCTTTCTGCTTTGATTCCAACATTACTCTTATAGCCAACTTCCCACTGGCCATGCCCTGCAAACAAACTTCCTCTTGAACCCGCTTCTATCTTCTTGACATTGTTCCTGGAACCTTCCTTTCATCTTCAGGCTTTCCCATCGCTGCAGAAATACAAAGCCCAGGCAGTGTGTTGTAGCATGTATAGTAGCAGTTTCTGATTGGTTTTTCTAATGGGCATAAGTTGTCTAGTTTTAAAAAAAAGGATACCCCAGAAATATCAGGACTACACCCAAGAAATGCATTTGATTTGTTGTAAGTACAAAAACTTCCACTTGAAACTTGTCCAGCCCAACTCCCAATTTAAAAAGAGTGTATTTTCTTGCCAGGATTAAGGAAAAGTAAGGGACTAAATCCAGGCACTTTTATATAGTTATGTATCTAACCTTCTTAATAACCTTTAACATTTTTAATATAATTCCAGTTTTGCATTGAGGAATTGAAAGCTTAAAAAGGTTAAGTAACTTATCCAAGGTCATAGACTTGATATATGGGAGAATTGGATTAAAACAGCTGCCCCCTAAATTCTATTACTTTTACCTGCTATCTCCTTTAACAAGTACATAAAATAACAGTTATATTCATTTCTCCCCAAATTCTAAAGGTGTAAAGAAGGATAGTAATTGAAAGATATAAACAAGGAATATAGAATGTGCTAACCATATTGTTAGCTAGTTTAGATTAGCTAGTTCAATGCTTTGGGTAGAATAAAGAGAAGTGTAGGTGCTTCCCATATGAGATAGGAAGTCCATTTTTTGCATTTTAAGAATAACATGATTTTGACTTCTATATTGGTCCCACATGAAATCATGAAGCATAATTATAAATGTTTGAGTCATGAATATTAATAATCATTTTTAAGTTAAAGATATAACATTTGAACACTTCCTCTGTAATTGTTATTTTGAAAATTCTATTTTTACATCAAGATATCCCCTGGAACTCTAATCTAATTAATGGTATTATATCTTTTGATTTCTAAAGTGATTTTAGGAATAGACCTATATGGGAGTCATCAATAGCCCTGAAAAATCTAACCTCATTGATAAAAAGTAAATTGCTAGAGAACATCACTTAAAGCTGGAAGGTTCTTATGCCATTGATTCTTGCCATGGTACTAATAGATATTTTTGGTTTGATGTCAGTTGTTTGTCAGGGAATTATAATAATATTTTTCAAAAAGCTTTGCTTTGACTTCCATTATACTGCGAGACTATTTTTTTTTCCCAACCTCCCTACCATCTGTCTTGATTCTACATTGGAAAGTCTCCCAGATATTCCATCCAGAAGGGCTAAGTGAAATCAATATGGCAACAGCAGATTGCTGATGCATTCCAGCTTTTAAGTGGGATGTTGTTATGATTAACAGTGGCCCAGCTCTTTACCTCTCTATTATCCCATTGCCATCTCAGAACACTTCAGTTGCTCATCAAATTCAGTTAATTCTATATGCTTCCTAACAAATGCAGCATAAGGCTGAAAGAAATATGAAGAAAAAAGATCAATTATATTTAGCTTTTGGCGGGATTGGAATGATATGGTTTTCCTTTTTATCTATTTTGGTTAAAGACTGATCAATATATAAAAAGACCATGTGTTTTAAAATAGGTGCTATGAAAATCATTACAAGATCTTTTCTTTTATGTGCCATATGCTTAGCTAGAGATTGTGTAGAAAACTTGAGATTTTAAAAGTATTACTATCCCAAATAAGAATCTTTTAAATACTTTATGGCTAGTTTTATCTGTATAATTAATGTGATTTTCTTTGTAACTTTACAACTAATAATAAACTTTATATCCCATTATATTATGCAGTGTGTGGCTGTTGATTTTTCATAATCTAGCTACTAATATATATATACACACATATATATAACTAATAAAAGTGAGGATATTATTGGGAGAAACCATTTTGTAGTGAGGCAGTTCTGGTTAATGAGAAGGATCTCACTGTGGCCATGGAAATGAGTGGTTGAAGCAGACTGAGGTTCAGGGGAACTAGAGACAGTGTGCTCAAAAAATGATGATGCTAGGGTGTTCCATATGGGAATGCATTCCCATATGAAAGTCTCTCAGGATTGGGGTAGCTATTAGGAAGATATATTCAGGAGGCATTTTATTGCAAGTGTCAGGAATTCTAATTAATGCAAAAATTAAGTTCTTTGGCTTTTATAAGTGAGAAGGCTGTAGGTCTGTCTCACTTCACATGTGATGTAGGACATTTTTCTTGATCCATCTCTCCTATTGGCTTGTCTCTTTCACTTTTGTGTTTACTTCATTCTTTGTTGTTACAAAACAAATACTCCCCATATGGCATGGAAGAAACTCATGGCATCCCAGATTTCTGCCATCCAGGTCATCAGAGTATAAAGAGGACTTGTGTCTTTCAAAGCGCACGTACAACTCCCAGGATAAGATTCTCTGTACCTCTGCTTGGATCCTGTGCCCTCCCCTGGACCAATCACTGGTTGGAGAAACAGAGCTCCTATGCTTGCTAGACAAGGCTTAGGTCAGGCTTGTCTACCCCTGTAATCCAGGATGTGGAGTGTTATGAAAAGGGTAGGAATCAGGGGGAAAACCTTCTAAAACAGTTGAGGAGGAAGACCACAAGCCAGGAGCAAAAGTCCTAAGTTAATATGGAGGAAAGTTTTTGGTCCTGGCTAATGAGTTAACCGTGGCTAATCTTACACAGGAACAGTCTAACTTATTCAGTTGTACAGTATTTAGCTAGTCAGAACTGTGCTGGTTTGCAAATATCTCACATGCAATCTTTGTTACCCTCCTTGTATACTTTTCCATAAATGTTTTGCCTGGTCTCACCCACTACAATGTAAATGTTCAAGCTTCATTGAGTGACTATGCCTCAATGAAGTGTCACTTGAGTGCTTGAAGTCACTTGAGTCCCTAAATGAGTGACTTGCCTGCTCTTCTGCCTGGCTTGTAGTAGACCCTCAAAAATGTTTGTGAAGTAAATAATAATAATTATACTCCTTCCTTCTTTTATAGTGCAACTAGAAGAGTCTGGTTGTCACTAAATGCTCTGTATCGGTACAAATTCTTGCCATTTTCATTGCCTTCATTTGAGTTGGCACTTGATAACATCCTACAAATTTCTGGTCTCTCCTAACCCCTGCCCTTCCTATTATACTTCAGTTTAGGAAATAAATGTCTCAGTTAAATACTTTTAGCTCGTCAGATTTACCCTCACTGCCGTCCTTCCATTTTTTCTCTGCTCTGTTAATTTCTCACAAAACTAAAATTAACCGTTGATTCCACAGTTATTTGAGGAGTTATTAAAACTATCTAAAATGAGCAACTTTCAGGTACTTGAGTATTTCCCCCAGTATCACTGCAAATATGCTCTGTCTTCAGCACAACTACATTTTTTTTTATTTTGCCATAAAGTGATAATTTCAACAGAATACTTTGTGCCTAATAAAATACTATCATTAAGGATAAGTCAAGATATTTTTCACATTTTAAGTGAAAAAAGCATAATATGTACCATCTGTCTTGTTATTTATGTATCATTATGTATTTAATTACACATATCTCTCTATATGCATGTATATAGTTTGGATTATACATATATACTCAATTTGTCAGTAAACATGTAGATTAATTTTGCTAATATTTTATTTAGGATTCTTGCATTTAATTCATAAAAGAGAGTAATTTTTGGATTGTATGTGTACGTTCATGAGTGTTCACCTAGCCCAACTTTGGAGCCAATGTTATATCAGCATTGTAGAATGAGTATAAAACCTTCTATTTTTTTCTAATCTCCAGAAGAATTTAAGTCAGATAAATACATTTTATTGCCTTGTTTTTTTGGTGTTGACTTATAAAATTATGTGGGTTGGTAGTCTAAATTAGAGCTAAAGATTCAACAAATTTTAATTTCTTCTATGGTCACTCATCTGCTGAAGTATTTTAAATCTTTTTGAGTCAATTTGTATAATTTGTAGTGTCATTGAAAATTGTCCTTTCCTGCATATCTTTAAATGTATTTGTATAAGATTATGCATAGTATTCTTACACTTATTCAAGTCATGTCTGTATGTATATAATATTACTTTTCTAATATTATTATTTATATTTCTATCTGATTCATCAATTACCTAATCCATGGGCATAAGAATAAATCACACTTAAAATTCTTGGCTGTCAGTGTACTATTTGATAATTAAATTGAAGAAGATATAGTTTTGTGTAAAGAGTTTAGTAACCACAGAGATCTTGAACACACATTTCCATTTATCAATGTTATCAGTTTAACAAGAAGACAAGTGAAATAATCAAAAGTTCCAAATCCCCTTATTTACATATTTAAGTTACTCTGGCACCATACAAGAGATATGGTAGCAGTTACCAAGCATTGCCAGGCTGGCATTTGGTAAAAAAACTCATAAAGTGTTAGTTACATGGCCCAGGAAAAACTACTATCCTTTGGATAGGCTGCTTAGGTTTGCACAAGCCCCAGGGAAGACCAGGGATTGTAAGAAACGTGATATTACATGTGGCAACCTTCCGTGACACTGAACTGGTGGTCATGACCTTGGTCCTGTCCCAGACCACTCCTTCCTCACTGGGTGAAGGAGACAGGCCACATCCTTTCTTCAGCATGCCTCTGTATTTGTAGTGAAGCGAAGATAAAGGCATAAGCCATATACCTCCTGATAACTCTTTCATTAATCAAACGGGAGGAATGTTACTGTGAATGAGACAATTGTTTTAAATGCTTTGTATATGTGTATTTATGTGTATATGTATGTGCCTTTTGGCCAAAATAAAATCTGTTTCAAATGAAGAAATGCTGCAAGGTCCTTAGACTCATATATAAGTCTGACCCCTATGCCTTCTGTTGAGGGGAAACAATTAACCATGTAGACATTCAAGAAAGACTGGAAACTTTGTCCAATAGGTAGGAGACGAGCCATGATGTATCAAACTGAAATATCATTAGCTTCCCTTGAAAATTCTGTTGACCTAAGTTAAAATGTAAGTGAAGATTTCAAAACATAAAAAAGAAACATGTCAATAGCATTTTAGTTTCAACATGAAAAGAGCTTAATTTTTTGCTTATAAAAATTACAGTCTCATTGAAACATTTTCATACACTATAGAGAATATAGAATTAAAATTGCTTATTTTCTTCCATACACAGAGAATCAATATCTGGCTAATACTCTTTTCAGGCATCTATCTATGTTTATTTTATCTACATATTTGCATTAAGAGAATCACACTTTTTTTTACCCTCATCATATGTTTTGAATATTTATTGAAACAGTATTTAAAATAAAACATATAGAGATATGCTTACTGATGTGGCTTGAAGGGTGCTCCTCCTCCCAGAATATGTCCACTTGGAACTTGTAACTATGACCTTATTTGGAAATAGGGTCATTTCAGAGGTAATTAAGTTAAAGACATTGAAATGAGATCATTCCAGACTATCTGGATGAGCCCTGTAAATCCAATTTTGTCATTATAGGATAAAGGCAGAAAGAAACTAGAGAGACCCAGAGAAGAGGGTGGGGTGAAGATGGAGGCAGAGATTGGAGTGATGCAGCCATAAGCCCAGGAATCCTGAGAGCCACCAGAAACTGGAAAGGGAGGGACAGAATCTCACTTAGAGCCTTTGGAGGGAGCGCAAACTCAATACCATCTTTACTTCAGACTTCTGGCCTTCAGAACTGGGAGGGAATAAATTTCTGTTGTTTTAAGCCACCAAGTTTGCAGTAATTTGTTATGGCAGTCCTAGAAAACCAATATAGACAGACAGGAATTTATATAAATGAATACATTTTTAAATAAAGCCTGGACTCCTAATGTGTTCCAAGAAGGCAGGCATGTAACTAATTATAGTTAATGCAATGTTTCTCTTCGATATTCTGTTTAAGGAAAAAAAGGCTCTATTTTCAGTGGCTTGTGTGTATGTGTGTGTGTATATATATGTGTACATATACATATATACATATGTGTGTATGTGTATATATATATACACATATGTACACACATATAGTATATTTATACTGCATAACATAGCCTTCTTCTTTAAAAAAGTTTATATATATATAAACTATATATATAAAATCATATGAAAGTTATACAAATAATTTAAAAGCTAAGACTCACAAACTGTTCACTAAAGTTAAGAATGGGATTATTACTAATACTGATGAAGCTCCTTGTATGGTCTCCCACGTGCTCCTGTATATCCTTCCAATGTAACTACTATAACTTTTAAAAATCATTTCTTGTTTTATAAAAGTTTTAAAAATGCATATGTTTCCTGAAGTACTATACTGCTTTTTTTTCAAGTTTATATAACGGTATCACAATCCGTGTAGTCATTTCAGATATGCTGGTATCATTCAACAAAGGTTTCTAACATTTGTCCCTGTGCTACATTCGTTTGTGTATCTGTTTTTCTGTTGATGGATACTAGAGATATTTGTAGCATTGCTAGTACTTGCCGTTTACAATCATGCTTGAGCATGCATCACCGTGTAATGGGCTTGCACATTCTCGGGGTGTGCACATGTTCAGGTGTACAAGGTAACGTCAAATTGCTTTGCAAAGTTTTAACACACCCACCAGCAGTGTTGGAACACTTTCTGTTGCTCCATATTCTCTCCAAAACTTCATGGTGAAAGACGTTTTTATTTTGCCTATCTAGTGAATATAAAATAGAATGTCATTGTGATCTTGCTTTGCATTTCCCTAATTACTAGCTGAGTTGAATGCTGTAAAATGTGTTTTTAGAGCATTTTAATATCCCACTATGTGAAAGACCTATTCATGTCTTCTGTTCATTTTTCTACACAATCATTTGTCTTTTTTCTTTTGACGTTTAGGATTTCTGGACACATTCTAGATACCTTGTCAGTTACATATGTTGTAAATATTTTCCCCTAGTTTGGAGCTTGTCTTCCACTCTTTATATTTCTTGATGATAAAAGTTTATATTTTAATGTGATGAAATGTATCTATTAATTCTTTTATGGTTTGTTTGTGTCTTTTAAAAATTCTTTCCAAATTCTTAAGATATAAAGATATTTCCCCTATATTTTTAAAAGCTTTAAAATTGCCTTTCATATTTAACACATACAGAATTTCTTTTTTGTGAATGGTGTGAGGTAGGGTTCAAATATTGTTTCCCCCACATATCGCTGAACAGTTGTCCTAGAGCATGTTTTTGAAGAGGATCTCTTTTCCCAGAGATTTGTGTTGCCAGCCACATCATAAACCAACTGTCTGGCCTCTCTGTTCAAGTTCATTGGTGTTTTTATCTATCCTTGTAATAATACAACAATGTTTTAATTGCTGTGGCATTAAATTGTTATTATAAGGCAAGTTCTCACAAACTATTAATCTTTTTCAGTAGTATTTGCCTTGTTGCCTTTTTATATACATTTTAGAATTATTTGGGCAAGATTTTTCAAAACAAAACAACCCTCATGAAATTGGAATCTTTTATTACATTTGGAAAGAATTATACCTTTTAGGATAGTGAACCTTCCTACCCCTGAACATGGTACATCTCTTCACATAGTTATGACTTCTTTGATGTTATTCAGTAAAGTTGTAAAATTATATCCACAATGATCTACATCTTTTATTAAATTTTTAGATACTGTATATTTCTGTTGTTATTTTAAATGTTATCTATTTGTTAACTATACTTTCTTTATTGTTATTGGTGTAAAATGTAAATGTTTGATCTTATTTTTAGCCAAATTGCTAAACTCTCTTATTAATTCTAATAATATCTCTGTTAATTATTTTGGGTTTTCTTTATAGATAATTATATCTTCTGTAGAAAATGACTCTTTGGTTGTTTTTTCTGTTCCAGTGTTTGTATTTTTAAATTTATTGTCTGCATGTAACTGCACAAGCAAGGACCTCTAATGCAACTCCAATAGAAGCAGATAGTGGACATACTTGTCTTGCCTCTGACTTTAAAGTGATTAACCTTACTTTTAGGGATTACATTGTACTGTTAGAATTTTTTTTTTTTAAGACTGAGTCTCGCTCTGTTGCCCATGCTGGAGTGCAGTGGCATGATCTTGCCTCACTGCAACCTGCGCCTCCTGGGTTCAAGCGATTCTCCTGCCTCAGCCTCTCGATTACTGGGATTACAGGCGCCCACTACCACGCCCAGCTAATTTTTGTATTTTTAGTAGAGACAGGGTTTCACCATGTTGGCCAGGCTGATCTCGAACTCCTGACCTCAAGTGATCCACCTGCTTCGGCCTCCCAAAGTGCTGGGATTACAGGCGTGAGCCACTGCACCCGGCAAAAATGTTTTTTTGATCCAAGTTTTTGGAGCATTCCTTTACTGAACTCAAAACATCCCCTTTTTATTTCTACCTTTCTAGTGATATGTATCATGAGTAAATTAATTTTATTATTGGCCTTTCTTCATCAATCGAGAAGATTTATTATTTTTTCTCCTCTAATCTATTAACATGGTGAATTGTATTTAAAGATATCTTCTACCAAATCCATTTTGTAATTATGGCATAAACTAGGTTTGATCATACATAATGCTATTGTGGTCATATCTCTTTCAAACATTACAGATTATATTTACTGATATTTTGTTTAGGATATTCAGTGCCCTTGGAAGAGCTCACACGCTAATTATCCTTTCTTACACGGACTTGTATACTTGAGTACCAAGGGTATAACTACATGAATGAATACGGGTGACATCCCTCTTTTTCTATCCCACTTTTGTTTACCTGAAAATGTCTTTATTTAAAAGAAAAGTTGATGAGAGAACAGTTCAGTGGGTCTATAGCTCTAGGTTGAGAGTTTTTAATTCTCAGCACATTGAAGATATTATTCTATATTCTTCTGGCTTCCAGTGTTTCAAAGAAACTTGGTGACTCTCAGTCTAATTGTTTTACCTTGTAGAAGATCTGTGCATTCTTTTTCTTTTTGATATCTTCTCCTTTCTTTGAGATTGTTTAATTTCAATAAAGTAGTCTAAGTATGGATTTCTTTACATTTATAGTTCTCTTCATATAATATCAATATTACATATTACATTATAGGTGTAACGTACATATATATCATATATAATAATAACAGGCAATCTCCATGTCTAAATCTGTAATTTGTTTTTCCTGATCATTTTATCTTATGTTGGTATATTTCCTTCTTACTTTCTTAATTTTTTTTTAAATTACACTAATGTTAGGACTGTGAGATGCACAGATCTTAAGTATATAATTTGTCAATCTTTGATAAAGTTACGTATCTGTGAACTGACCTCCAACTTAATATATACATTTTCTTCACCCCAGAAAGTTTTTTTTTGTACTCATTTCTGGTCAATTTCCCCACCTGTAGATAAGCCATTGTCTTGATTTTGATCGCCATAAATTAGTTTTATCTATTCATGAATATAATCTAAATCAAATTAGATTGTCTACACACTTTTGTGTTTGCCTTGTTTTTTCATAAATATGTCTTCTGAGACTCATTCATGCAGCTGCATGTATCAGTAGTTCAGTTTTTTTGTTTTTTTGTTTTTGTTTTTGTTTTTGTTTTTTTTGAGACAGAGTCTCACTCTATCGCCCAGGCTGGAGTGCAATGGCATGGTCTCAGCTCACTGCAACCTCCGCTTTCTGTGTTCAAGCGATTCTCCTGCCTCAGCTTCCCGAGCAGCTGAGATTACAGGTGCCAGCCACCATGCCTGGCTAATTTTTGTATTTTTAGTAGAGACAGGGTTTCACCACGTTGGCCAGGCTGGTCTTGAACTCCTGACCTTGTGATCCACCTGCTTTGGCCTCCCAAAGTGCTGGGATTACAGGCCTGAGCCACCACACCCAGCTAATAGTTCAGTTTTTTATGCTGCTGAGGAGTATTGCTTTGTATGAATGTAAGCCAGCTTTTAAAAATCCATTTTCCTACTAATAGACTTTTGGGTTTTTACCATTTCTTTGCTATTATGAATAAAGCTGCTCTGAACATTGATGTATGTAATTTTTGACATATATTTTCATTTCCCATTGGCTAATACCTAGGAGTGGAACTGCAGTGTCATACAGTAGGTGAGTATTCAACTTGATAAGAAATCACCAGTTTTCTTAAGTAGTTGTACCAGTTCACACTCCCAACTGTGTGCGTACCATTTGCTTCACATTCTTGCCACCCTGGGGGTTATTAGTCTTTAGTTGTAGCCATTGTAGTAAGTGTGAAATGTTAACTCACTTTAGTTTTAGCTTACACTTCCCTGTTTTTGAGTGATGTTGAACACATTTTTATTCTTATTAGCCATGTGTATATATCTTCTCTTCTTGGCCGATTGAGTATCTTCTTTTGTGACGTGTCTGTTCAAATCTTTCCCCCATTATTAATTGGGAAAACAATATTAATTGTTTTCTTTTTTGTTAAGGATTTAGAAAAGTTGTTTATATATTCTGCATACAAATCCTTTGTCAAATATATGAATTGTGAATATTTTCTCCCAATCTGTGGCTTGCATTTTCATCTTCTTAAGGCTTCATTTTGGTGAGCAGAAAATTTTAATTTAGATGAAATTGAACTTATTTTCTTTTATACTTAGTGTCTCTTGAATATGATCTAAGAAATTTTTGCATAATTAGGGTTGTGGGAATATTCTCCTACACTTTCTTCTAGATACAGTACAGTTTTAGTTTGATGTATCCCTTATGCATGTTAGAATCAGCTTGTTAATTTCTACCAAAAAAACCTTGCTGGTATTTTGATTGGGATTTTATTTAATCTGTGGATCCATTTGAACATACTGGATCTTAACAAAAGAAAGTCTTTCAATGCATAAGCATAGTGTATAATATTTAAAATTTGTCCCAGTATAGTTGTATTTTTTTATTATGGAAGGTTTCCATACATTTGGTTAAGTTTATTGCTAAACATTTTATTTTGTTTAATGTTATTGTGAAATAGTTGTAAATTTCATTTTGCACTTGCTTGCTGCATATCTATCTATCTGTCAATCCAACTGAAATTTGCAAATTGTCCTATCTACTGAGACATTGCTAAGTGTACATTGTATTCGTTTTCTATGCTGCATAAAAAATCACTGCAATTCAGTGGCTTAAAACAATACACATTTCTTTTCTTACAGTTTATATGGGTTGGAGTCCATGCAAAGGTTAGCTAGGGCTTCTGCTTAGTGTCTCCCAAGGTGACAAGGTCTTGACTGGAACTGTGCTCTCATCTAGAGGCATACCTAGGGAAGGATCTGCTCCTCTGTTTTCAGGGTTGATGGTGGCATTCCTTTCTTTTTGGCTATAGAATTCATATAATCTTGCTTCTTTAAATCCAGCAATGAAAAGAAACACTCCACAGTGAGTCTATACAACATAATGTAATCACGGAAATGGCACCCTTCACCAGTCATATAATGTAATGTAATCAAGGGTGGCATCCCAAATATTTGACATATTCTATTAGCTAGAGGCAAGCCAGTGAGTTGGCCCATAGCAATAGTGAATTACATAAGGATGTGAACACCAGGAGGTACAAATCATAAGTGCCACTCAAAGTCTGTCTACCACACATATATTATTTCTAGTAGAGGTCTGTAGATCACTTTGGCAGGTTGTCTGAAAATACAGATGATTTTACTTCTCCCTTTTCAATATCTGAGGTTTTTTTTAAATATACTTTTACTTACATTGTTGTATTGGCTTGTACCTCTAGTAAAATATTGAATAAAATTGCTATGATTTGTCTCGATCTTAGGGTAAAAGATTTCAATATTCTATCACCAAATATGCTGGTAACGGTAAGGTTTTTGTAGATACGCATTATCCGATTGATGTTTCTTTCTATTGTAAGTTCGCTGAGAGTTTTTAAATGATGACAGAGTATTCAATTTTGTCATTTTTTCTTGCATTTATTGAGATGCTCATGTAATTTTTCTCCTTTTTTTAATGAATATAGTGAATTACATTGATTGATTTTCAACTATTAAACCAATCTTCCATTGCCTGGACAAACCACATTTCTTCATGATGCATTATCTTTTTTACACATTATGAATTTAGTGTGCAAATATTTTGTGTGCATTGAGGTTCTTGAAAAATATTAATTTGAATTTTTCTTTTTTGAAATGTCTGTAAGATTTTGGTCATAAAGCTATGCTGGTCTCATATGTAGAGGTGTACATATTTTCTCTATTTTCTAAACATATAAATTGGCGTTTCTGCCTTAAATTATAGAATGACCAGTTAATCTACCTGAGACAGAAGTTTTCTTTATGGAGATGTTTTTTATTATGAATTTAATTCCTTTAATATATGTATATTTTAGCTATTCATTTTTTTCTATTTTTCTTGTGCCAATTTTGAAAAGGTGGATTTTTAAGAAGGTTGTCTATTTCATCTAAGTTGTCAATTATTTTGCAATAAAGTTGTTCCTTTTAAAATCTTCTCCATACTGAATCTATTTATTTATTTAGTCTATCATTTATAATTTGTGCTTTCTCTCTTTTTCCATGATTGATGCTGCTAGAGGTTTATGATTTTTTAACAAACGTATTTCAAAGAACCAAATTTTAGCTTACTTAATTCCATCTGTTGATCTTGTTTCTATTTTGCTGAGTTCTGGCCTTTATTATTTTTTCCTTCTTCTTTCAGCTTATTTTGTTTTTCTTTTTCTATTCACTTTAGGTGGAAACATATCATTGTTATTAAATATTAGTATACATTTCCCTCTAAAAACTTTTAGCTTTATCCCACAAATTTTGATGTTTTTATTATTATTCAGTTAGAAATATTATCTAACTTTCTTTGTATTTTTCTTGACTCATGAATTATTGAGATCAGCAAAGTTTAATTTCCAGATACTTGGGGATTTTTGAGATGTCTTATTGTCATTGACTTCTAATTCCTCTGTGGTGACAGCTATTCTATAAAATTTCCATTTTTCTTAATTTATTGAGACTTATGATACAACATATCAATCTTGGTGAACTTTTCATTTTGCATTTGAAACAAATGTGCATTCCAACTGCTGTTGTTGGATGTAGCATTCTATAAATATCATTTTGTTTTGCCCTTTTTCTCTCTAGTTGTTTAATCAATTACTGAGAAAAATATGTTACAATTTTCTATTATCCTGAATTTCTCTATTTTTCCCTTTAGATTTCTCAGTTCTTGCTTATATTTTGAATCTATATTATCAGATTTCACACATTTTTATTGTTATGTATTCCTAAAGAATCAACCTTTTTATTATAACATGACTCTATTTCTTGTCTTGGAGTTTACTTTGTCTTACATTGATATATTACTACCTTTCTTATATTTACGTTTTACATGGTAAATCACTTTCCCTCTTTTTAATCCATCTGCGACTTATACTTATTAAATTTTGTCTCTCATATAAGCTAACATATAGTTGGGCCCTACATTTTTACCCAGTTGGAAAATTGCTGCCTTTTAATTGTAGTGTTTAGTCCATTTATTTTTAACATAATTATTATTTTATCAGGTTTTAGTCCACCATTTTGTAGTTGATTCATCCCATCAGTTTTCTGTTTCTCCTTTCTTGCTTTCTTTTGGATTAAAAGAACATTTTTAAAATTTTAGTTTTATCTAATGGCTTTTTATGTATACCTTTTGTGTGTTTTATGTATATATTATGTTTACACTAGGGATTATAATATGTACAATAAACTTATTATGATCTACTTAGAGTCAGTTTCACTACTTCATATAAAACATGAGAATGTACCACAACACAATTCATACCCCTATTCTTTGTGTTATTGTTGTGATATATTTTAAATCTACATATGTTGTTAACCACAATATAATGCTATAATTTATAAATTATAAGTATATAATTTTTAACTGTAAGTGGCTTTTTAAAGAAATGAACTGTTTGGTAATTTGTGGTTGTTAGCTCATATTTGATTGAATTTAATGTTTGAGAATTCTTAGAGTGCAAATTTGTAACACTTTCCTTCAGAGAAGATCTGAATGCATTTCTAAGAGCTACTGAGTGTTACCAACCATGGATGTGAAGGGTCTATCCTAATAATTGATTCTTAGCTTCAATTACTCCTTATTCCATAATATAATCTCCTGATTTCAGTTCTATTATTAGAGCCCCAAGCAACTCCAGCTTTAGTGTTTGCCTTCAGCCCACCTTTCAGTACTTAGGACATGTTTTTTTTTGCTGTTGTTGTTTATCATTTAAAGATTCACCTTGTTTTCTTAAAAATTCAACAATGGTTGTATGACATATCTGCAATCCAATTGTAATGTAATGGGAGCCTTCAGATTATTTAGTCTATTGTATATCTAGAAGGAAAATTCTCTATCTTCTTTAAACTCTTTAAATTTTTTTGTTTTATATTGCACTACCATGGGAACATTTTTAAATTATAAGGATCTAAAGTTAGAAATAAAAGACTCCCTTCCTCAATCTTCAGATACAAGCATGTATAGAATTTTTATCTTCTTTTGATTATAATTATGATTTTTATTTATATACCTTTACTTACAGTTCTTGATTTATTGACTTCATATGGAATTATTGACTCCCTGCTATGAGAGTTGAGAAACTTACCACTCATATTTTTGCTCCATTTTACTTCTGCCTACCAACTTAGGCACATGATTGTGCATTGTCCAACCTTATAACATTTACGTTGTTCTGTAAAAAAAAAAATGCTTTGTATAAAGGTAATTTTTAAAATTTAAATATTATTTTAAAATCTGCATTTACAGTATTAGCGAATGTAGGTGTTAGGCTTACATAGCAAATTTTATTCACTGTAGTACCAAGAAGTATTTGAACTGATAGTGAAAATAGATAATATAATCATATATCTTTACATCATTAAATCATGTATCACATATCAATAAATTGCTAGAAGGAGAATCATCCAAACATCTCAGACTAATGGATATTCTGTTTTTATTTTATAAGTTTAAATTCCATATTGTTCAATTATTTTATTTTTTGCATTTCTTATCAAGAGGTTTTTTCTGCTTTTTTTATTAGCATAGGAAGCATTGGTAGTAAAATTAGCGAGTTTTTGTGCTTCTAAAAGGGTGTATTTTCTTTGTACCCACATTCCATTTATAGATTGGACGGGCAGATAATTTTATATTAAAATTTATTTTTTCTGTGCTCTTGGAAACCATGACTATGTTATCTTTCAGCATCCAATGCTCTTGCTAAAAAGACTAATGTTAATCTTCTCATCTTTCTTTCTAAGCCACCTAGTTCCGTCTCTGGAAACTTTTAGCATTTTCTCTGTATATATGACGTGTTGAATTTTTTTTCACTTTTTTTTTTTTTGAGACAGGTCCTCACTGTGTTGCCCAGGCTGGAGTGTACTGACACAATCTCGGCTCACTGCAGGCTGGAGCTCCCTGTGAAGTGCTGGCAATTTTTTTATCAAGGAGCATAGTTGGGGTCCAATGGTCCAGCTGTTTCATCAGCAGTTATATAATTAACTATCGTGATGATTTTCCCTCCAGTCCACTCCTATTCCTCTTTTTTGATTTGTAATTTTATAATTTCATTGGGTTTTGGTGGCTCCTTTCGGTGAGACAGTTCTTATCTTCGTTGTTGGGTTACGTATCTCCTACCTTTGATTTTTTTCATTAATATTATTCCATATTTTTTCAAGTAAGTAAATATATAAACATCTAGGCATCTACCACCCAGAATGAGCAACTGTTTTAATTTATTTCAGGTGATTACTTTTTTTAATAAAATAGATGAAGTTGAAGCCTGGTGTGTGCCCTTCCCAATCTAATCTTCCTCCTCTCCAGAGGCCGTCATCACTCATGTAAATTAGGTTTACATCCATCTAGTTCATATCTTCACAATTTTATTTCATACATTCCCATAAACAATATGTAGTATTGTTTTGAGAATATTCATTTACATAAGTATTATATTGTGAATGGAACACACATAATTTTTCAAATTGCTTGTTTTTACGCAGTTCCATCTATTGACACACACACATACACATATTTACTGCATTCATTTTAGGCCATTTTATTCTGACCTTGAGAGGAAAAAGATGTACAGTGTTTGCACAGTGCTCTGTTTTGCACTCTGAGCCTAATAAATAATAAATTTAAAAAATAAGAATTGTTTAAACATGAAATGAATGAGTATAATATTATGGTATATACACACATTGTTATATAGACACATATATACACACAGCTATATATTTACTACATTTAAGTTATTTTTATGTTTTTATATATATATATACACATATACGTATATGTGTAAACTAATGAGATTAGAACTTACATTGCTTGCAATTAAAATCTGTAAATATTTAGATACCTACCATCAAGCCAAAGTTGGGGAGTTCTTTAAAAATGCTATAAATATTGGCTGCGCATGGTGGCTCATGCCTGTAATCCCAGCATTTTGGGATGCCAAGGCAGGCAGATCACCTGAGGTCAGGAGTTTGAGACCAGCCTGGCCAACATAGTGAAACCCCATCTCTACTAAAAATATAAAAAAATTAGCTGGGCATGGTGGTGGGTGCCTGTAATCCCAGCTACCTGGGAGGCTGAGGCAAGAGAATTGCTGGAACCCAGGAGATGGAGGTTGCAGTGAGCCGATACAGTGCCACTGCACTCCAGCCTAGGTGACAGAGTGAGACTCCATCTCAAAAAACAAAACAAAAAATGCTCTAAATATTGAGTGTGTTGGGACACAAACTGTAAACATTTCCTACTGCATCTCCTCAGCAGTGGAAGGTGATGGCTTCAGTTGTACTAATCTCTCTCGTGGGTTGGTTCTGTGTAGGCTCCAGCTGGAGTCTTATTCTCTGATCTTCAGGTGTCCTTGCCACACTGTGAATAAAATTAACAAACGGTTGTTCATTGGCTCAAGGGCTCTTATCAAGACTGCTTCTTTATGGGAGAATAAGGTATATTTATTTGATGTTCAGCCTATTCTTTAACCACTCAAGTCACTGACTTTAGATAATTAGCAGTTACTAAATTTATCTTGAGGCTGACAGGTCTTCCCTACATGTCCTTATCTCGTCCACTGACCTTTCTCTCCTTCATTGGTCTCCTCTCCTCTTTCTGTTCTTTTAGTCTGTCTTCTCTCCATTTTTATTCCTTAAATTTCAGGAGCAATACAATAACATGAAAAAGAGAGACTAGAATCAAGTTTCCATCCCAATATGGTCCTTGTTCAAAAGGTGATTTAGTTCTTCTTGAGAAACATGATTCACATATATGAGATGATGTGGCATGTTTCTTGTTTAGATTCTTTGGAGATAAAATCTGAGTCAGGAAGAGGGTGTGAGGAAGCAACTCTGAGAAAGAAAAATGTGGACTACTAAAAAGTTTTCAGGCCAGTTAATTTTACAAAGGTTTTTTAAACATCAGACATAAGTATATATATGAATATTTAATAGAAATATGTTTAATAGAAAAATTTATATATTTAATATATTTCTATGTAATATAAATAATAAATGTATTAGTATAATAGGTTTAATATGAATATATTTATATAACTAGCAGGGAGTCATGGCACACACCTCTAATCCCAGCTACTCAGGAGGCTGAAGCACGAGAATCACTTGAACCTGGGAGGCAGAGGTTGCAGGGAGCCAAGATGGTGCCACTGCACTCCAGCCTGGGCAACAGAGTAAGACTCTGTCTCAAAAAAAATTATATAATATATATTTGTGTAACTGATTTAATGAATTTTATGTATTTAATAATATACAAGATATACTTAATATAGTAAATTTATTTATTTATAAAATGAGGCAGCATTACCTAACTGCATCGAGTTCAAATCCTGGCTTCACTATTAGGAGCTCAATGGCTTGGAGAAGATTCTTAGCTCCTTTTGCTTTAGTTTCCTCATATATAAATTGTAATGGTGCCTACCTCATAATGTTGCTGATTAAATGAGTTAATTTGTGTAAAGTGCTAAGAAGATTGCTGAATATATAATAAGTCCTATATGAAACATCCTAACTAGATAAAATAAAAAATAAGTACACAGGAAAAAAATTGGACAAGAATGTAAGATACAAATCATATTGCAACAATCTGTTTTTCAAGCATAATTACTCTTGGGTAAGTGTGAAGTTAGAAACTAAGCAGATTTTCAAAGGAAAATGTGGTGTGCAGAAAAATAGTAGAAATGAAAATACTACAATGGCTTTCTATTATACCCACCAAATCACAGTCATTTGTAGCTTAATTTAAAATGGTTCATAGTGTTCTTAATTTAACGTTTACTCACATTCACGTCTTTAGATTCTAAGGATTTCTTTACATAGTCATGCTTCTCCTTTAAATAAAGCCTTTTCTATTGAGTACATGAACAATGCTAATTTTAGCTCCAATTGTTGTATTTCCAAAGAAGCTTTAAAAAGTGTTATGCTGGACTGTTTTCAAAGAACAATTCTGTAACAAGAAACTAGACTGTAGTTTGAAAGTGATTGGTCTTATTAACTAGAGAGGGAAGCATGGTCTGATGGAAAAGGAAAAAAAGGGACAAGGTGATGATTATATCTTACACTTTCATCTTAGGCTTCCCAAAGCACCTGAAACCAAGCCTCATTATCATTTCTTTAAATAGATGAAGCAAGTGAGATAGTGAGTTAAGCGTGCTTCTCAAGGTCACACTGTAACTTGCTAACATAGCGATAAAAATCCAATATACTTGATTAGTGTCGTTGCCCACTCATTCTCTCAGCATCGATTAGATACAGAAGGTAGATGGGCAGGATGGTCTTCGAAGTCTTTCCAGCCATGCCATCTTGCTCAGTGGCCCCTTTTTATTAATCATTGATTGTGCGGAGGAAACCTTTCCTTCACACTTTCTGTGCAGGCAGGATCCTTGCTTGCTGAGAGGTGAGAATGACATATCTGTTCCCCGGCGATCTTTTTGTGCCACTTTGGCTCTTTCTCATATTTTCAACTCTCTGGGAAGAATTTAATTCCACAGGGGTGTTTTTGCTTTTTATGGGTCTTTGTTCTATTGATCACTTTCCCCTTGGAATGCCTGTTGCATTTGTGGTTGGTTTCAGAAGGCTTTGTGGATTTCATTAATTGTGAATGACTTTTGTCTTCTTAATTATCTTGAGTTTAATTCATTGGCCATGTCGTTAAGCCTAGTTACCCATTAGCCATGGAAGCCTATTGAAATTGAAATGGAAAGTAACTAGAATTTAAAATTCAGTTGCACTTGCCATATTTCTTTCTTTGTTTCTTTCTTTTTTTTTTTTTTTTTTTTTTTTGAGACGGAGTCTCGCTCTGTCGCCCACGCCGGACTGCGGACTGCAGTGGCGCAATCTCGGCTCACTGCAAGCTCCGCCTTCTGGGTTCACGCCATTCTCCTGCCTCAGCCTCCGGAGTAGCTGGGACTAAGGCAGCCGCCACCGCGCCTGGCTAATTTTTTGTATTTTTAGTAGTGACGGGGTTTCACCATGTTAGCCAGGGTGGTCTCGATCTCCTGACCTCCTGATCTGCCCTCCTTGGCCTCCCAAAGTGCTGGGATTACAGGCGTGAACCACCGCACCCGGCCACACTTGCCATATTTCAAGCACTCAGTAGCCACACATTGTCTGTGTCACCTTTAGCCTCCTCTCCCTGGAGGGGAAGAATTGGATTAGATCAATGTAAGATTTCTCTGGAACTACCATTTTGTGATTTTTCCAGGGACTTTTCTTGGGTTTGGACTACTACCTTGAGTGCAGTTCTTGAAAGTTTCTGTGAACAGAGATGTATGCGCTCTCTCTCTTTCTCTCTCTCTCTCTCTCTCTCTCTCTCTCTCTCTCTCTCTGTTTCTGTCTCTGTCTCTCTCCATCCAACATAGTGTACCTCTCTTATATTCACCTTGTATGTTGGAACCAAGTGCTTGACAAAGAATATGGTAATGTATTCAACAAAAGCTTTGTGTACTAAATATAGACTGAGTTTTAAAGAGCATTTTTTTTTTCTTTTAGGAGTGTTGGCAGGTGTTTTACTATGAAACAGGTCTCAGAAAGAGATGAGGACATGTTCTATTTTGAGATAAAAGCTTTACCTGAGATGTAGAAATGACACTGTAATAAATGCCATTACAGTTAATGAAATCAGGATAGCAGTTGATTTTTATTTGATTGTTTGAGGCAAATTCTTCCAAATTTTCATGTACAAATTTTGAGCATAAACTGGCAGTACAACCTATTGTCAATCAGTCAGAGCTACTAAGTTGGTCTAAGCTCCATTCCCTTTTGTAGCCCTGGGTTGTAAGAAAAAAAGCATAAGAAAAATAGCTGTTAAAATTGTAGAGAGTAGAATTTACCTTGTCTTTACCATTACTTACATGAAAGGGCAGCAATTAATTATCCCATGAGAAACATTTGTAAAGCTTAGTTTACAAACTAGAACAAATGATTTTTAAAATCCTGTAATGCAGAATTGCTGTTGATACCTTGAAAAGTAAATGTGACAGTGTGGTGTTAATCATCTTAAAAAGGGAAATTTTAAAACCCTGACTGCGGCAGATTTCCAAAGCACTGATTGTGTGTGCTAATTGTCTTTTGCTTGTTATTTCAGTTCCTTAGCTAGGAAGATTCTTAGCTGTGTCTATTTTCCCCCTATTTTCTTCAGGCAGAAATTCCCTTAGGATGACTTGCCTGACAAAATCATTAAGTAGACGTTTTGTGAGTCTAGGTGGGATAACATTTGGAGATGACTGATTACATGATTGCAGCTAATTGTTTGTGGGACTTGGAAAGTCTCTAACATCTTTAAGGGGAATCCTTTCACTTGTAATCCATCAAAAGAATTGCAGTTTTCTCTGAGGATAAGCTTCCTTTGGGGTGTCACAGAGAAATATTTCTGAGGCAACCTTGCACCAGCTTCCGTCTTTTTATTTTCTGATGAAAATAATACGCTCTTTGTCACCAAAATACAATTTATAGCTACCAGGCCATCCCCAGCCATGATGTTTGCCCTTCAACAAGATTATTTGGGACCTCTTCTGGTGGCATGCAGGAAATTATAGACAGTACTAACTTTGTCCCGTTAGAACCCCACTGATCTAAAAGAATTGATAAAATTAACAAACAGGCTCATTCTGAGGGTAGTTTGCTTTTGAACAGAGCTAATTTATGAGTAAATTGCCTTAAGCATGTTCAACTTTAGTGTATTTTTATGCAAAGTATAATTATTACTCTGTATTTTCAGCCTATTCATCAAAGGCTTTGAGATAGTTTAATAAGTTATGGTTAATGAATAACTGTTAACTGTCAGACTACAGTGACTACATCGTGCCTGGAATCCCAGCTCCACATCAAAATCCTATCCGTGATCTTTGTGTTTTATATCTACGACAGGACAATACTAGTAACATAGCAAGTATTCAACAACTATTTTCAATAATTCATTAAACAAACATTCACCAAATACCTTCTATCTATAACACAATGTGACTAACTTAGTCACTGTGGAATTATACACCAATACACAAGCACATATGTGTACATACACCCACATATACACATGCACCCCACCCTTCAGGTTTAAGAAAAGGAAGGTCATCTATGTCTCAATCAAAGCTCTCCTACCTTGTTCTCATTACCACTGGTTTGGAAAAGTGTGTGATATTGAAGTTATGAAAAAATGGCTTTGGTATGTATGTGTTGTGTAGGGTAGTGAGAATTGCAAAAGCATAAAAAATCTTCCTCATTTGTAACCTGTTATACATCTTGTACACAGCTTCCATGGTAATTTCATAAACTCTTGAATTGCAACCCTGAAATAAAACTGGTTTGTGGATGCTGTGGCAAATACAGAATTTGACAACATTTCTGTTCATTGGAGGCCTGAGCATTGTTTGGTGATAAATAGTAGCTGATGCCATGTGGAAGGGATAAGGATGAAGAAATTAGACTGGGGACTGAAGAATGCGGACTGTGGTGCAAAGCCTGCATAGTACATATGTAGTCCAAATGTGCATCAGCCCAGAAATTAATTATTAAGTGGGTAAGAAATTGTACTCAGAGCTGAAAGTGAAAAAGACAGGTGTCGAGACAACTCTGTCAAATAGATCCTCCTCAATCAAGCCTAGCTAAGAACCTGGGTCTTTGGAAGGAGCTAATATTACAATCAGGTAACTTCCTTGTTCTGCCTCCTTTGGAAGCCGTTATACTTTTGCTCTCCCATGTAAGCTAGAAATGGGTCAGGAACTGGAAAGAAAAGCATCCCTAAGGTCATACCACCTTGTTTTCTTTTCTGTCTTCTCATTCAGGCAGACACAGTAGAGTCTTAAGACTCAAGCTCTTTTCAAGGGCCTGAAAAGAAGAATGCTTTCATTATTTTTCCGATCACTAGCTCCAACCTCCTCCTCTCTTTGTTTACCTTGATGATGCTTGGAAGGTAGGTCACACTTGCTTAGCATGCAGACACCACTTTTAACTGCCTTTGAAGCAACAGATTAAGGAAAAAGGAAATGGATATTATATATGCAAAAGGGAGAATGCTTAGCGTCATTCCCTCAGCTAGTTGACCGTGCAGAAAAGTAATTGCCGACAGTGATTTGGGGCCTGCATTTTGCAGGCAGTACATTTAAGTACACGTATAAGCCTTTCTTAGCAAATGATCACAAACTCTGACTCTGTCACTTTTGTATTCTTATCTAGGTTTTTCTTCCTTTCTCCTCAGACACAGTTGTTAGGGTATAGAATTTTAACATGAATACTCAAACTCCATTTCTTGTGCTCTAACTGGAGTGTGATTAAACTTAGAATAGAATGCATTCCTTCCTGCCACGTAAACTGCAATGCAGGAGGAGAAACAGACTCTTCACACCACTTTGCTTGTTCGGATCCCATGAGCGTGCCCTTCATAGAAAGCAATATCCAAACTCTTCAGTTAGCATGCAAATGATGCCATCGATCCCGTGAGTCATTTAGATGGAATCTAAAAGGCCATGTTCATGCCGTTTAGTCTGCTTGCTTATACCACTTTATTCACAGCACAATATCTAGGTGGCCCCTTGAGTCAAGAAAAACTCTAAACCCATACTTCAGAAACTTTACCAAGGAGAAAACATCTCCTGCACAGTTTGTAAACAAAGATTCCTGGGCTAGACCCCAGAATGTAGCAGGTTGACAACAGGAAAGACCCGATCATTGTTCCAGCTCTAACAAACTCTGGGAGGATTCTGATGTTGCTGGTCCATGAGCCATTTGGGGGACACTGCCCCTTGCTGAATGGCCCACATTGAAATCCCCCACAACCAGGTACCTAAAACAACGCACATGTGCACGCACGTGCCCCACCTCCCCACCAAACACACACACAATCTGCTTTTATTTAAGGCAGGGGATTTGGTAGGTTCATTTCAACAGGGCAGTAACACTTATCTTCTTTACAAGACATCTCAGCTGCCTTTAAGGAAATAGCAGGGAGAGTTAGAGAGCCATTAGGATAGACTGTTGAGAACATTCCTGACTTTATTTATTTATTTTTTTATTATACTTTAAGTTTTAGGGTACATGTGCACATTGTGCAGGTTGGTTACATATGTATACATGTGCCATGCTGGTGTGTTGCACCCACTAACTCGTCATCTAGCATTAGGTATATCTCCCAATGCTATCCCTCCCCCCTCCCCCCACCCCCCCACATTCCTGACTTTAAAACCCCAAACAAAGGAGAAGCTGTTAATGCAGACATACATTCTATGCCTGCTAGGAAAAGAGTATTGCTGACACATTGTTTTAGGACCATTTAAAACCTCTAATCAATTGGTAATTATTAATATTTATTACTGCTCTGATGAAACCCTCAACATATATTTACTTTTTAAAGGTTGGTAATAAAAGCAGATAAACTGATAAACAATTACTCTTTTGGGGGACTTTTCCCCTGTTTAATTTGTTTCTCATTCCTAGCTCTGTGTGTGTGTGTGTGTGTGTGTGTGTGTGTGTGTGTGTGCGCACATATGTATTCTAGTTTTGCTATGAGGAGGAAGTAAATTAATACCCATACTCTACTCTGTTCTTATTTTGGAGCCATACAATTACATCATTAAGTTAATCATGCCAGCAATTTAAAATAATCTAGTTATTTGGGAATAGTTATTCAGAATGAATTGCTCCTTAATGCCTCTACACATGGACTGGTTTGATGGGAGAGCAAGAAGTCTGTAGGTCAGTGCAATATTTCTTTCTGCATTTTGCTGTCAGTGGCTTTCACTCTTGCCCTTGAAACGCTCAGAAGTACTGGATAAACAACATTATACCAGTCCTTATCTTTGTTATGGCTATTAGGGACAGATATTCTCATTAACTCTCAGCTTGTAAATTATGGGCCAGCCATTTACTGTACAGAATAATAAATTGTCCAGAACTATGTGTGTGCAGTTATTGGTTCTGAATGTTGGCTTTCCTGCTCAATGCAGTCTAGTTATTTGTAGAAGCCAGTCTGGAGCTCCTATGGATGAATTTATTAATTGAAAATGGATGCTGATTATGTTTTCTGCCATTTACCTATTCTCAGTTTCTCTTGAGCATAATTTTAATGCTGGCATATTCTGATTTTTTTAAATGACTAGAAACTTAAATATATATCAGAACTAACACTTTCATGTTCTTCTTACATGCCTGCTTTTTGGAACCAAGTGATTCTTAATTGGATATTATATTTACTTGACATGAATAGTGGTTTTATAAGACAAATTTTGCTTACAGCAATATATGGTAAATGATAATGCAAAACAAAGTGTGCTTGATTTTCTCAGTGGAGAGGAAATAGAAGGATATTGGGGAAAAAAAACTAGTAGATTCTATGGCACAGTGGGCATTCAATAAATGGGTATTGAATTAGAGATTGACTAATTATTGGATAGTAACCACCAGAATTCAATAGAAGCATTTCAAACAGTGCTCACTTTCATCAAGCTTGAGTTGGAATCTAAGATCTGTGGCCACCCTTTGTGGGCCTTTTCTGCTGCTGTGCAGGTTGCCCCATCGAGGGTAGTTTTAATGAGGTTGCACATGCATAATCAGCTATTGTCTCTGAAAGGAGGCTGTCACCGTTGTAAGGTAGTTAGTCCATTGGCACAATGGCTTTCTTGGATCAGCAATGTATGGAAAGCAGGAGGCCTCTTTTAAAAGAACACAGGGTATATATGTGTCACATTTTCTTAATCCAGTCTATCATTGTTGGACATTTGGGTTGGTTCCAAGTCTTTGCTATTGTGAGTAGTGCCACAATAAACATATGTGTGCATGTGTCTTTATAGCAGCATGATTTATATTCCTTTGAGTATATACCCAGTAATGGGATTGCTAGGTCAACTGGTATTTCTAGTTAGCAAACTATCGCAAGGCCAAAAAAACCAACACCGCATGTTCTCACTCATAGGTGGGAATTGAACAATGAGAACACTTGGACACAGGAAGGGGAACGTCACACACCGGGGCCTGTTGTGGGGTGGGGGGAGGGAGGAGGGATAGCATTAGGAGATATACCTAATGTAAATGACGAGTTAATGGGTGCAGCACACCAACATGGCACATGTATACATATGTAACAAACCTGCACGTTGTGCACATGTACCCTAGAACTTAAAGTATAATTAAAAAAAATTAAAAAGTAAAAAAATAAAAGAATACAGGGAAACCAGATAAGCATTCTAATCATGTAATCACTCTACTGTTCACAGAAGTATAAAATAAGCCGACCGAAAATGGCTGAGGGGGTACAGGAGGAGAAACCTAATGATTCCAGCTCAGAATGGAGAAAGCAGATGTACATTTAGGAGCGTTGTAATAAACAAATGTGCGTTATTTCCTCTTTCAAGGTGCCAAGCCTTCCAAGATTTTGGCAGCTTTGTCCTGTGACACAGCAGGCATTCCATTCTCTCCTAGGCAGTTAGAGCAGATCCTGACATGACTGCTTTTGATACTCATAATCACAACCTGATGGAAAAAACTCCTGAATACATTAGGCATCAACCTGAAGACAGACTTCTAGGAGGTACAAAAAAAAGATAAAAGATGTAAAAGATAAGATATGTTTTGCCAAGGAGGTCATCTTCCCCCATTTCCTTAACAAGGATGAGCAGGGATGATGAAATACTATGAAATACAGGTTGATGTGGTATAATCATGACAGAGTTTATGTTTCTGGTACTGTTTTGTATCTTTGTTCTTTCATATTTGGTCTTTATTTTTTAATTCCACAGCATTTCAGCTTTGCTAAGGGATAGCAAAGGAAGCTATCTGGGTTTGTGATGGGGCCAGGGTTTTATATGGGAAATAGAATGCATCTGGCAGCTGAGACGTTGGTGTGGGCCTTGGAAATCAAAGTGATACATGCATAAAGAGGAAGTGAAACTTGCAGAGCTATCAGAGTTGGGGCTACTTACACCAGCTGCCTCGGGCCTCCTGCCCATTCCCAGTCTGGAGATGCATCTTTGAGAGTCAAAGGGGCTTGCCTTATTTTAATAGAGGTTTTAATATGCCTCATTCCACTGCATCCCAAGACCAGGAATTATAGATTCCAGTGCTATTCTATAAGCAAACTCAATTAAAGAAGAGCAAAGAGAGCAAGGTTATATTGAGCAAAGGCAGAAGATGGGCCCCAGAATAAAAAAGCCATGTTTTTGTTGGGCCTTGATTATCTAATACTCAGAATATTTTAATATGAATATATTTACAATAAATAGCAATAAATCAAAGATCATGTTGGACTTATCTATTGAAAAACTTGTTCTAAGGGCAACGGTATGAGGAAATAAACTGATATTTATTAAGCACCTTCTGTGAGCAATGGGGCTAGAAGCATTCTTTGAACAATGACTAAGGGATGTTAAGAAATCCACCGAAGTTATATAAGTACATCAGTGTTCATGAATGGGTATATAATAAGCCTTCAATAAGAAGAACATTTCTGCAAGTTATTGTAATATTGGCCAAAACATGGTCCTTCCTCTCATGTAGATTACAGTATTGATTGCCATCTTGAGAAGTTTTGATTTTCTTTTTTGGGAATGGAAGAAGTTTGAAATTTTCTTTGTTGAAATTCCTGGCAAGATAGCCGAATAGGAACAGCTCCAGTCTGCAGCTCCCAGCGAGATCAACACAGAAGGTGGGTGATTTCTGCATTTCCCACTGAGGTACCCAGGTCATCTCACTGGGACTGGTTAGACAGTGGGTCCACAGAGGGTGAGCTGAAGTGGGGGAGGGGTGTGTCACCTCACCCAGGAAGTGCAAGAGGTGGGGGAACTCCCTCCCCTAGCCAAGGGAAGCCCTGAGGGACTGTGCCATGAGGAATGGTGCATTCAGGCCCAGAAACTATGCTTTTACCATGGTCTTTGCACCCTGCAGACCAGGAGATTCCTTTGGGTGCTTATGCCACCAGGGCCCTGGGTTTCAAGAACAAAACTGGGTGGCTTGTTGGGCAGACACCAAGCTAGCTGCAGGAGTTTATTTTTTTCATACCCCAGTAGCGCCTGGAATGCCAGTGAGACAGAACCGTTCACTCCACTGGAAAGGGGGCTGAAGCCAGGGAGCCAAGTGGTCTAGCTCAGTGGGCCCCCTATGGAGCCCCCTATGGAGCCCTGCAAGCTAAAATCCACTGGCTTGAAATTCTCGCTGCCAGCACAGCATTCTGAAGTCGACCTGGGACACTCGAGCTTGGTCCGGGGAGAGGCATCCACCATTACTGAGGCTTGAGTAAGCAATTTTCCCCTCACAGTGTAAACAAGGCCACTGGAAAGTTCCAACGGGGCAGAACCCACAGCAGCGCCTCAAAGCTGCTGTAGCCAGACTGCCTCTCTAGATTTCTCCTCTCTGGGCAGGGTATCTCTGAAAGAAAGGCAGCATCCCCAGTCAGGGGCTTATAGATAAAACTCCCACCTCCCTGGGACAGAGCACCTGGGGGAAGGGGCAGCTGTGGGCGCAGCTTCAGCAGACTTAAACATTCCTGCCTGCCAGCTCTGAAGAGAGCAGAGGATCTTCCAGCACAGTGTTCGAGCTCTGCTAAGGGACAGACTGCCTCCTCAAGTGGGTCCCTGACCCCTGTGTCTCCTGACTGGGAGACACCTCCCAGCAGGGGTTGACAGACACCTCATACAGGATAGCTCTGGCTGGCATCTGGCGGATGCCCTTCTGGGATGAAGCTTCCAGAAGAAGGAACAGGCAGCAATCTTTGCTGTTCTGCAGCTTCCTCTGGTGATACCCAGGCAAACAAGGTCTGGAGTGGACCTCCGGCAAACTCCAGCCAATATGCAGAAAAGGGGCCTGACTGTTAGAAGGAAAACTAACAAATAGAAAGGAATAGCATCAACATCATTAAAAAGGACGTCCACACAAAAACCCCATTCAAAGGTCACCAACATCAAAGACCAAAGGTAGATAAATCCATGAAGATGAGGAAAAACCAGCTCAAAAAGTCTGAAAATTCCAAAAACCAAAATGCCTCTTCTCCTCCAAAGGATCACAACTCCTTGCCAGAAAGAGAACAAAACTGGACAGGGAATGAATTTGACAAATTGACAGAAGTAGGCTTCAGAAGGTGGGTAATAACAAACTCCTCCAAGCTAAAAGAGCATGTGTTAACCCAATGCAAGGAAATTAAGAACCTTGAAAAAAGGTTAGAGGAATTGCTAACTAGAATAACCAGTTTAGAGAAGAACATAAATGACTTGATGGAGCTGAAAAACACAGCACGAGAACTTCGTGAAGCATACACAAGTATCAATAACTGAATTGATCAGGCAGAAGAAAGGATATCAGAGATTGAAGATCAACTTAATGAAATCAAGCATGAAGACAAGATTAGAGAAAAAATAATGAAAAGGAATGAACAAAGCCTCCAAGAAATATGGGATTATGTGAAAAGATCAAACCTACGTTTGATTGGGGTACCTGAAAGTGACGGGGAGAATGCAACCAAGTTTGAAAACACTCTTCAGGATATTATCCAGGAGAACTTCCCCAACCTAGAAAGACAGGCCGACATTCAAATTCAGGAAATACAGGGAACACTAAAAAGATACTCCTCAAGAAGAGCAACCCCAAGACACATAATTGTCAGATTCACCAAGGTTGAAATGCAGGAAAAAATGTTAAGGGCAGCCAGAGAGAAAGGTTGGGTTACCCACCAAGGGAAGCCCACCAGACTAACAGTGGATCTCTCTGCAGAAACCCTACATGCCAGAAGAGAGTGGGGGCCAATATTCAACATTCTTAAAGAAAAGAATTTTCAACCCAGAGTTTCATATCCTGCCAAACTAAGCTTCATAAGCGAAGGAGAAATAAAATCCTTTACAGACAAGCAAATGCTGAGAGATTTTGTCACTACCAGGCATGCCTTATAAGAGCTCCTGAAGTAAGCACTAAACATGGAAAGGAAAAACAAGTACCAGCCACTGCAAAAACTTACCAAATTGTAAAGACCATCGAGACTATGAAGGAACTGCATCAACTAATGGATAAAGTAACTGGCTAACATCATAATGACACAATTGAATGCCCACATAACAATATTGACCTTAAATGTAAACAGGTTAAATGCCTCAAGTAAAAGATACAGACTGGCAAATTGGATAACGAGTCAAGATCCATCGGTGTCTGTATTCAGGAGATGCATCTCACGTGCAAAGACACACATAGGCTCAAAATAAAGGGATGGAGGAAGATTTACCAAGCACATGGAAGGCAAAAAAGAAAAAAAAAAAAAGCAGGGGTTGCAATCCTAGTCTCTGATAAAACAGACTTTAAACCAACAAAGATCAAAAAAGACAAATAAAGACATGACATAATGGTAAGGGATCAATACAACAAGAAGGACTATCCTAAATATATATCCACCCAATACAGAAGCACCCAGATTAATAAAGCAAGTTCTTACGTACCTACAAAGAGACTTAGACTCCCACACAATAATAGTGGGAGAACTTAACACCCCACTGTCAATATTAGACAGATCAACGAGACATAAAATTAACAAGGATATTCAGGACTTGAACTCAGCTCTGGACCAAGTGGACCTAATAGACATTTACAGAACTCTTCACCCCAAAATCAAATGAGTATACATTCTTCTCAGCACCACATCGCAATGATTCTAAAATTGACCACATAATTGGAAGTAAAATACTCCTCAGCAAGTGCAAAAGAATGGAAATCATAACAAATAGTCTCTTGGACCACAGTGCAATCAAATTAGAACTCAGGATTAAGAAATTTACTCAAAACTGCACAACTACATGGAAACTGAACAACCTGCTCCTGAATGACTATGGGGTAAATAACGAAATGAAGGCAGAAATAAATAAGTTCTTTGAAACCAACGAGAACAAAGACACAACATACCAGAATCTCTGGGATGCAGCTAAAGTAGTGTTTAGAGGGAATTTTACGGCACTAAATGTCCACAGGAGAAAGCAGAAAGATCTAAAATCAACACCCTAACATCACAATGAAAAGAATCTAGAGAAGCAAAGGCAAACAAATTCAAAAGCTAGCAGAATACAAAAAATAACTAAGATCAGAGCAGAAACAAAGGAGATAGAGACATGAAAAAACCTTCCAAAAATCAGTGAATCCAGGAGCTGGTTTTTTGAAAAGATTAACAAAATAGGTAGACTGCTAGCCAGGCTAACAAAAAAAGGAAAGAGAGACGAGTCAAATAGACACAATAAAAAATGATAAAGGGGATATCACCACTGATCCCACAGAAATACGAACTACCATCAGAGAATACTATAAACACCTCTACATAAATAAACTACAACATGTAGAAGAAATTGATGAATTCCTGGACACATAGACCCTCGCAAGACTAAACCAGGAAGAAGTCGAATCCCTGAATAGAGCAATAACAAGTTCTGAAATTGAGGCAATAATTAATAGCCTAACAACAAAAAAAGCCCAGGACCAGATGGATTCACAGCCAAATTCTACCAGATGTACAAAGAGGAGCTGGTACCATTCCTTCTGAAACTATTCCAAACAATAGAAACAGACAGACTCCTCCCTAACTCATTTTGTGAGACCAGCATCATCCTGATAGAAAAACCTGGCAGAGTCACAACAAAAAAAGAAAATTACAGGCCAATATCCCTTATGAACATTGATGCAAAAATCCTCAGTAAAATACTGGCAAACCAAATCCAGCAGCACATCAAAAAGCTTATCCACCACGATTAAGTTGGCTTCATCCCTGGGATGCAAGGCTGGTTTAACATATGCAAATCAATAAATGTAATCCATCACATAAACAGAACCAATGACAAAAACCACATGATTATCTCAATAGATGCAGAAAAGGCCTTCAATAAAATTCAACACCCCTTCATGCTAAAAACACTCAATAAACTAGGTACTGATGGAACGTATCTCAAAACAATAAGGGCTATTCATGACAAAGCCATAGCCAATAGCATACTGAAGGGGCAAAAGCTGGAAGCATTCCCTCTGAAAACTGGCACAAGACAAGGATGCCCTCTCTCACCACTCCTATTCAACATAGTTTTGGAAGCTTTGGCCAGAGAAAGAAATAAAGCGTATTCAAATAGGAAGAGAGGAAGTCAAATTGTCTCTGTTTGCAGATGACTTGATTGTATATGTAGAAAACTGCATCATCTCAGCCCAAAATCTCCTTAAGCTGATAAGCAACTTCAGCAAAGTCTCAGGATACAAAATCAATGTACAAAAATCACAAGCATTCCTATACACCAATAACGAACAGAGAGCCAAATCATGAGTGAACTCCCATTCACAATTGCTACAAAGCGAATAAAATACCTAGGAATACAACTTACGGGGATGTGAAGGACCTCTTCTAGGAAAACTACAAACCACTGCTCAAGGAAATAAGGAAGGACACAAACAAATGGAAAAACATTCCATGTTCATGGATAGGAAGAATCAATATCATGAAAATGGCGATACTGCCCAAGGTAGTTTATAGATTCAATGCTATCCCCATCAAGTTACCACTGACTTTCTTCACATTATTGGAAAAGACTACTTTAAATTTCATTTGGAACAAAAAAAGAGCTCGTATAGCCAAGACAATCCTAAGCAAAAAGAACAAAGCTGGAGGCATCATGCTACCTGACTTCAAACTATACTACAAGGCGACAGTAACCAAAACAGCATGGTACTGATACCAAAACAGATATATAGACCAATGGAACAGAACAGAGGCCTCAGAAATAATGCCACACATCTACAACCATCTGATCTTTGACAAACCTGACAAAAACAAACAATGGGGAAAGGATTCCCTGTTTAATAAATGGTGTTGGGAAAACTGGACAGCCATATGCAGAAAACTGAAATTCGACCCCTTCCTTACACATTATTCAAAAATTGACTCAAGACGGATTAAAGACTTAAACGTAAGACCTAAAACCATAAAAACCCTAGAAGAAAACCTAGGCAATACCATTCAGGACATAGGACTGGACAAAGACTTCATGATTAAAACACCAAAGGCAATGGCAACAAAAGCCAAAATTGACAAATGGGATCTAATTAAACTAAAGAGCTTCTGCACAGCAAAAGAAACTATCATCAGAGTGAACAGGCAACCTACACAATGGAAGAAAATTTTTGCAATCTATCCACCTGACAAAGGGTTAATATCTGGAATCTACAATGAACTTAAACAAATTTACAAGAAAAAAACAACCCCATCAAAAAGTGGATGAAGGATATGAATAGACACTTCTCAAAAGAAGACATTTATGTGGCCAACAAACATTTGAAAAAAAATCATCATCACTGGTCATTAGAAAAATGCAAATCAAAACCGCAATGGCATACCATCTCACACCAGTTAGAATGGTGATCATTAAAAAGTCAGGAAACAACAGACGGCGGAGAGGATGTGGAGAAACTGGAACCCTTTTACACTGTTGGTGGGAGAGTAAATTAGTTCAACCATTGTGGAAGAAGTGTGGCGATTTGTCAAGGATCTAGAACCAGAAATAGCATTTGACCCAGCAATCCTATTACTGGGTATCTACCCAAAGGATTATAAATCATTGTACTCTAAAGACACATGCACACATATGTTTATTGCAGCACTGTTCACAATAGCAAAGACTTGAAACCAACCCAAATGCCCATCAATGATAGACTGGATAAAGAAAATGTGGCACATATACACCATGGAATACTATGCAGCCTTAAAAAAGGATGAGTTCATGTCCTTTGCAGGGACGTGGATGAAGCTGGAAACCATCATTCTCAGCAAACTAACAGAGAAAAAGAAAACCAAACACTGCATGTTCTCACTCATAAGTGGGAGTTGAGTGATGAGAACACATGGACACAGGGAGGGGAACATCACACACTGGGGCCTATTGATGAGTGGGGGGCTAGGGGAGGGATAGAATTAGTAGAAATACCTAATGTAGATGACGGGTTGATGGGTGCAACAAACTACCATGGCACATGTATACCTATGTAACAAACCTGCAAGTTCTGCACATGTATTCCAGAACTTAAAGTATCAATAATAATAATAATAATAATAATAATAATAATTCCTTCTGTGGGAATGGAACCAGAATTTTTTCCATAGGAATTTGTCCTATGGGAATGGGCTGTTATTGAAATGTTTTGAGATGCTCAACAACTATATGAGAGCTACATTTGAGAAGGATCCTTGTGAATATAGTGCAAAAAATACATTTGAGTTTGGAGGTCATGTGGAGGGAAGACCATGAATTGAGGGATCTGGACATTTTGTGGATGAGTAGCGAGCAGGACATACGTGCCAAGATGATGTGACAGTTGTTGGAAATTCAGAGTCTAAAAAGAGATTCAAGGTGGAAACGTAGAGTGGAGGAGTCCTTCACATGCTGTGCAAAAGTGAAAATGAGGTCAGACCAGTGAACATGGTGAGACAACTCATGGCTCTTTGGCTTTGGGGCTTGTCCCAAGATTAAGCATGTATATTTACTTAAAAAAAAAAAAAAAAACATTGTTCTTATTTATAATGCTTATATTTGGAGGCATTTGCATCTGTGTGACTACCTCACAAAGATCACATTTCAAGTTGAGAGACTGGAAAGAAGTCAAGATAGGTCATAACCTATGACCAGATTGGAATGCTGTTAGTGGAATGTATTGCTGAATGGCATGATTATTTTTAAAAGCCTTGGCTTGATCCTGTCAGTGTGAGTAGAGCAAAGAACTAGGACAAGGTAATTAGAAAGCAGAGTGAGCAGAGGGCATGGAGGAGATGGATCTCAGTGGCAGACCTGGAACACAGTTCCTAAGGCAAGGCTCAGAACTGGATTTGTAAACAGAACTGGGAGAGAGGGGAAGTACCAAAGAAAAAAGTGAACAGGTATCAGAGACTCAGAAGCTGTGAGGGAAGATGGAGAGTAGAGCTGAAGGATCCATGCAGAGAGACTGATGGCACCTATAGAAAGCAGTAGTAAGCACTTTTGGTGTTATGCCAAGTGTTTGCGTCAGCTTAGGTTAGTCGTAGTTTTCGTGTATTAATAGGAACCAGCAGCCTTAGTTGGCCAGCCCAAGTCTTATAAAAAGAGATAAATAGGAGGCAAGGAGCTGGACAAGGCAGTTCTTGACATATTCACTCCAGATAAGACCTCCATATCCTGGGGTAGGGAAGAAGTAATTTCCCTAACATTTTCCCTATTTCCTCCCTTAATCTAGTGCTATAGTTCTTATAGTTCTTAAACTTTGGATTGGGGGCATTTTGAGAATTGAGTGAATGCTAGAGATCCACTCTCCAGACAACTGCAAAGACTCATGTACCCTCAAATATTTCCTATAATTATATGGGTTCACAGACTTCTCTCAGACCTCTGGCTGAGAACACTAGTACAGGATAAGAAGTCAGCTCTCTCTGGAGCACCTTCTAGCTGCTGTTGAGGAGGGCAAGTTAAAGCCTCTGCCTCCTTCTTATATGTGTATAGCAGGCAGAAGATAGAGTGGAATTGAGCTAGTGTCCTCACCTCTTGAGTATTCCTAGCTGCACATGTGTCTATGGACAAGCTGGTCTGGCAGAAGGACATTCTTACTGGGAAGTGTGAGGAAGGATAAATTTGCAGCCCAATCAAACAGCAGCAGCAGCAGCAACACCAATGACAGCTGCCAAGCATCTCAGGCCTATTAAGAGCCAGCAACTAGATTATATACTTTACCTTACTGCATAAACATTATTACACCCAATTTACTGATGTGGAAACTGAGCCTAGAACAGTCCATTTTAATGCATCCAGAGGCAGATAGCTGTGTCTGTCTAACTATGAAGACGCTCATTCTTCCATCTCTCCAATTCCCCCATTTTCCTTGTGGAGATACTCTCTTCTTCCTGCCCTTTACAGAGCAAAAATTAATCTTCACATTTTGGAATTTTCCTATTCCATGTTAGCTGCCAAGCTAAATAGGGCTGCCACTGGCCCATAAAGTGCCTCTGTGTGAATTAGGGAAAGGCACTACACGTCTTCCAAGTGAACACAGCCCTAAGCCAGGGCACGTAGTTGGGTGAGCAAAGCATGAGCTGGCTTTCAGTCCCCTCGCCCCCTTTGGCCAGATGCCCTTGTGAAGTGAACAACCTGCCCAACTCTACATAGCAGGCTTGAGCCAAATTCTTCAAAATGCTATCACAGCTGAAGAGCCAACAACGAAGCTTTGTTCTCAGGAAAAGCTGTAGTGTATTCATGACAGTTCCTCACTGATCTTGATATTCAGTAGCTGTATCTTCTTAAACAAATTGCTCTGGAAGTTTACTCTTTTGAAAAGGCATGTACTATAAAAATGGAAAGATAAAACTCTCAACAGGAAACCAGGGCAGATCATAACTCTGCTGCAGTTCAGCAAATGAAAATATATCAATAATGAGATGAAGCCCAATTCAAAACAACTTATGTTGTCTTTGGGCCTCAAAAATAATCTCTTTCCCATTATTAAGGAAAACGTGAACCTTTTTTTCATTTCTTGTAAATCCAAATCTTGTTTCCAAGAGATGATCATGTTTAGCTAAAATTGCTTCCACTTAGCTATTACAGAGGAATGACAAATACGTTATTGTTGGTGTTTATTGGCATTGTTATTAGTCGGTTGTCAAACCTTGAAGGAAAAATCAGGGACTGAAACCCTGAAAGAGTAATCTTATTTTCATAAATATGTTCCCCCCAAATTATATCATGCCTGACATCCACTTAGCCTTAATATAAACTCCGAGATCTGTTAGGAAAACACATAGAAATGATAAGGCATATTTTGTGATATATTTGCATCTGAAATTATTGTGAACTTTCATGTTTGTATCAGCTGCACTGGTGTTTTTCCAGAGTCTGATGGTTTTCTTCAGAGAACACAATCAATTTACCAATCTAGCCCAGAGGCTGCCCCCCATTTCCTCTGTTTATATACGTTAATCTTAAAGCAAAGAAGGCTGCTGAATTATTTAAGAAACTGAAGGAGGCAAAAATCATCCCAGAGTTAAGGATTACCGATTTTCTCCTTGTTCTCCAAAACAGTCGCCATGAACACATCAGACCAGTGCTAAGTAAGATAACTTTTCTTTGTTCCTAATCGGGTTTGGTTTGGACTCTTTCCTTGCATATGGGTGTGGCTTGTGGGCTGCTAGGTGGTCACTTGCCAGCTCTGAGATTGTGAAAATACTAAGGGGGATTTGGAATTTGGGAGGCTTTATTAAACAAGGATTTGGACTAGAAATGGACAAGTTGTGATACAGGGAAATGGAGCTGGCGGGTTCAGTTGGCAAATGTGATGCTCTTTCATGATCTTAGTGCTGTCCCATTTATTTTGCCCTTAAGTTCCCCGTGCCTGGCTTTTTCATTGCTTATCCTTGCCCTGAGATAAAATTATCCATACTAAGATTGTAGGTTGCCTGTACAAGGAAAAGTTTGATTTTACATAGTCCTTTAACTCCAATGGTGAGCAGAGAGGGAGGAGAACCTTTCTGCCCACCCAGCAGGCCCATTTTAAGGCTCATCTGACATTCACTTAAAATCACTCATTCTGAGTAGAAAGAGGAAAAGCCTCCTCCTCCCAGAAATACCTCAAGTGGGAAATTCTGGATCTGTATTATCATGGGAGGGAAAGAAAATGAGCAGCCGTTATCTGTGGCAAGAAAGATAAACTCTGAGAGGCCAGAAATTCTCATCTATAAGAACAAGCAGAGGCACTGGACCTGAAATAATTCACAAATAAGTTGAGTAAATTATTTTGAACAATGTGATTAAATGAGGGCAAAATAGAGCACATTGTTTGTTCAAGGAACAAAGAGTCTTAGGAACCAAGCATCTTAGGAAGATTCATGAACATGACACAAAAATATAAAAACAGAATTATGGAACTGGCTGAACCCTGACTGTCTCAATGCACTAAGGATGTATGTTAGGGCCATTTCTTTCTTAGGAATACAACAGCTATGACTAATCTTTGAGCTCCTGAACTGGGCTGATTTGTCCCTATATTGCGTTATGACTGCTTTTCTTACTTCTCAATCTATTAGGGCATTTGACAGCCTACAAACTAAACATCAGGAGGCTGGCTGAATTTTTTTTATTTTTATCCAGTGTTTTAGTGTTTCATAACCGCAGAAATCTCTGCTACTTCCTTACCTTGTCTTGATTTTTGTTACTGCTTTAAGTTTCATATTCAAAACAGTTTTTGTTTTTCTCTTAAGAAATTGTGAATCCTACAACTGATTACTGTGGTCCTCTCCCCTCCTCAACTATGGGGCATTAGAAAAATAAAGCTTTTTTTTTTTTTTCTGCCTTATGTAAGGAGGAAAATGTCTTCCAGGGGCTTGGTCATTGACACCCTCATTTATGGACAGGATGGAGCCACTTCAGGTTTGTTAGGCAATTTGAGACAATATAAACCATTTCCTTTTACTGGGGGCTGAGCAATGCAATTTTCAGCCATGAGGACTCTTAGATAGGAAGATAAGATGTGATTCAACAGAGCCCGGAAGTGATGTGATCTTGCATCGTAAGATCACATGAAAGCTGTTATTGATTAGTTTGAAAAGAGAGTGCCTTAAAACCATTATATTTGGTGTGTCATTGATCTTCAGAAACTCTCACGGTGCTGCACCCCAGCACTTCTCAATCAGTTTAATAACAATACCCTGAAGAAAGAAATATTCAGAAGAAAGAGCAGAGGACATGAGGTCCTGGAGGCCTCTCTTGATCTTCATATTTTTGAGCTCTCCCAGCTGTAGCTCTTTGATTCATCACTATTGGGAGATTGGTGGCTGAGGCTGAAATTCACTTCTTGCTGAGAAAAAAAAAAAAAAGGAACTTTGATATAAATAAATAAGTTGCGTGTTTATTTGTATCAATATCTGCTTTATCTCCTTGTGAGAATCTGAGAAGAGATTAATGACAGTAACAAAACCCCTTGAGAAATAAATGACCTACTTGACTGACCTATCTGGCTGAAAGACTGCCTCCAGAAGTGGGGTTGGCAGATGTAGCAATGAAGGGAGGAAGGAGAAAGAATTGCAGCCTGCTCATCAGGAATTGGGTCCTTGAGCTTTATAACTTTTTTTATTTTCATATTTTTATTTTTCTTAGCTGAGAGGTAGAGAACTGGATAAAGTAACATATGCTAATATATATTATTATACCCAAGCACACACACATAGGATGTTGTGGGACAATTTTAGAATAGTGTTCAACAAGAGCATGATAATGTCATCATTATTTTTTGTGAGCAGATAAAATGAGTTGGATTTGCTTAGAAATTAGTGGAGAATAGATTTCTATTTCAAACAACTAATTAGTCAGCTGAAAATATTGTTCAAAATGCATTTTATGGCTCTTATATATTATCCTCAAGGAACTATAAATTAGGTGCCTCAAATTGAACATGCAAACAAGACCCATATCAACTCACTGTATTAGTTAGACTTGACTCTCTAATTCTTTTGTACCTTCTGCCAAGCCCTTCCTCAATGAAGTAATAGAAACAGTGTTCCATGAAATGAAACCCTAAAATGTTCCTCATAAAAATATAACAGGGATTAAATGCTTTTAATGTAAAAATCAGTATTCAAAAAAGTTTCTTAGGCTGGGCACAGTGGCTCACTCCTGCGATCCCAGCACTTTGGAAGGCCAAGGCAGGCAGATCGCTTGAGGTCAGGAGTTCAAGACCAGCCTGGCCAACAGGGTGAAAACCTGTCTCTACGAAAAATACAAAAAATTAGATGAGCATGGTGGCACACACCTATAATCCCAGCTACTAGAGAGACTGAGGTGGGAGAATCCCTTGAACCTGGGAGGCAGAGGTTGTAGTGAACTGAGATCACGCCACTGCACTCCAGCCTGGGCGACAGAGTGAGACCCTGTCTAAAAAAAAAAAAGTTTCTCTTTTGAATTTTGATGATGTGACTCCAAAAAGAGCCTCCTGGCAATTTGTTAGTGACAGAGGCAGTCTGCTAGAGAGATGGATGCTAACCTATGCTAGTGAGAAAGGGTGTGCCTTTGATGAACATGGCTTGATTAGAATCAGAATGTAGAGCAGTAAATGGGTCTCAAAAATAATGAAATCTTTGGCAAATGAAGAAATAACTCAGATCAGTCAAAATCACACTTTAGAGTGCTACAAAACTGAACTATGTGAAATTGGTTCAACCTGATTCTACTGGTCATGATCTCCCAAAATAGCCATTTCACGTGGTTCAACCAAATAGAATCTGAGCTGCCTGTCTCCTGGTCCACTGTTGCAAGTGGGCAAAAGATAGCAGAAACCAAAGGCTTTCATTGTGCCTTGTGCTTGAGTACCTGCCGAGATTCTCCTTCCAAGGTCAGACAGATAAGCGCAGCATGGGCTGGAACAACAACAACAACAACAACACCAAACTGAGGGACTCATGCAAACAGGAAAGCAACAAGAGACATGCATACACACACAAAAAGAGGCAAAGAGATACATGAAAGAAAGGAAGCCCATATTTTATTGAGCACCTACTATGGAACCTGCACAATTCTGGACATACACATATACATAAAATTCTCACAGAAATATTGCTCTGTAAGTAGTGTCTTCACTTCGCATATGCAGAACCTGAAATTCAGAGTTAAAAGCACTTTCTAAAGATGACATTGGTAATATAAACCAGATCATGGCTGCTCCTTTGCTTAAAGAAACAATAATAACAACAAAAACCTATGGCTTTCCATTGCCCTTAAAATCAACTAAACTTTGTGCCATAACCTAGGGGGCTCTACAGGGTGTGACTACTTCACCTCTCTCCTTTCCACCCCTTACAGCACTGCAGCCACATTGCCTCTTCTTTTGTTCCTGGAACACACTGGACCCTTTCTTACTCCGTTCCCTTCCCCTTGCTGCTCTCTGCAACAGAACACTCTTTCGCCAGCCCTTTGCGTGAATGGTTCATTGTCATCCTTCAGATCTCAAATGTCCCATTCTTCTCAGACCCTCTAACTAAAGCAGCACCTACCCCATTCTGCTCCAGTTCCATGTTCATCTCCCTGTTCAGTTCTTGGTAGCACTTACCATGGTCTATAATTACATTTATTTATCTACTCTAGTGCTATCTGCTTTGTGTCTGTTTCCCTCATGAGTTTGTAAATTCCTTAATGTCAAACCATCTGCTTTATTTATCTTTCCCCAGACCCTGGCATACACCTGGCACGTGGTAGGTGTACCGTAAATATTAACTAATAAATGGATATGTTTTGGGGCAAAAATTTAAATTCAGGCTTGCCCCTAAATCATGTATTTCTTCCACTAAATTATAAGGATCTCCTATTGGTGGTTACACAGATCAACAGTTATCTGTATAGGCAAAACGCATTTGCTTGAATAAAAGTTACATACTTGCATGGGAAGGCATTACAAATTTAGGATAATTATACATATGATTGTAAAAGACTTAATTTTTAAATTATTTTTAAATTTTTATATAGTCAAATTGACCTTTTGTGGTGTACAATTCTATGAGTTTTAGCACATGTATGGATTCTTGCAGCAACCTCCACCACTGAGATGCAGAACAGTTCCATAATTCCCAAAATCTCCCTCATGCTACCCTTTTTAATCAAACCTTTGCATCATGCCAATTCTAGGTAACCACTGATCTGTTCTCCATTACTATAGTTTGTCTTTTCAGAATGTCCTAAATTTGGAATCACATAATATGAATCCATTTGAAATGACCTTTTTTCACATAGCATATTTCCCTTGAGGTCCATTCAGTTGTCTGTGTATCTTAATTGTTCTGTGTTATTAATGAGCAACATTCCATTGTATGGATGCCCCACAGTTTGTTTATCTATTCACCTGTTGGGGGAGATTTGGATTGTTTCCAGTTTTTAACAATTATGGGCTGAGTAACTATAAACATTTGTGAACAAGTTTCAGTGTGAACATAAGTTTTCATTTCTCTGGGGTAAATACCGAGGAGTAGGATGACTGGGTCATGTCATTCCTACCACAGGAGTGATAAATATATGTTTAGCTTATTAAGAAAATGCCAAAGTATTTTTCAGAGTGGCAGTTTTTATTCCTATCAGCAATATATGAAAATTACAGTTGTTTCCCATCCTTCCCAGCATTTGTCATTATCTTTTATGCATGCATGTATGTATGTTTATATATGTATGTATATATGTATTTACTTTAGCCATTCTAATAGATGTATGATAGTATACTATTGTGGTTTCAATTTGCATTTCCTTAATGAGTAATAATGTTGAGATATGTTATATGCTTATTTTCATCTATATATCTTCTTTACTGAAATGTCTGTTCAAATATTTTGCACATTTCTAATTAAGTTGTCATTGCATTTTAAGAGTTCTTTATGTATTTTGTAATCACCTCTTTGAATGATATGTGATTTGCAAATATTTTCTCCCAGACTGTAGCTTGTCAGTTCTTCCTCTTGATAGTGTTGTTCTCAGAGCAAAATGTTCCATTTTGATAAGGTCAAATATATCAATATTTTTATTATGATTTTCTTATGCTTTTGTAAGGACTCTCAGCCTAACTCAAAGTCAGGAAGGTTTTCACTGGTTTTATTCTGTAAATTTCTAGTTTTACATTTTATATTTAGCTTGCTGATCCATTTTTTAGTTAATTTTTATATAAGGAGTCAGGTTTAGGTCAAGGTTTATTTTTTGACCCATGAATGTCCAATTACTCCAACACCATTTGTTGAAGACACTATCATTCCTCCATTTAATTGTTTTTTCACCTTTGTCAAAAATCAGTTGAACATACTTGTGCAGATCTATTTCTGGGTTCTATGTTATGTTTCATTTCTATCCCTTTGCCAGAACCACATAGACTTGGTTACTATAGCTTATAGTAAGCCTTAAAATCAGATAGTGTGAGTCCTCCAACATACATCTCTTTCCAAATTGGTTTTGCTGTGCTTTTTTGCCTCTCTAGTTAAATTTTAGTGGCAACTTACCTATATCTATGAGACATCCTCCTGAGATTTTGATTGGTATTTCACTAAATTCATAGATCAACTTGGGGAGAATTGGTATATTCACTATATTGAATTGGTATCTTAACTATATTGGTATCTTAACTATATCTTAACTGTATCTTACCTGCAGTGAAATATATTGATATATCATGGTCATCTATCTATGAACATGATCTATCAGGCCACTTATTAATTCTTTGATTGCTTTCATCAGCCTGTAATTTTTAGTATGCAGTTTTGCAACTCTTTATGGAGTGTTCTACAAATGGGAATTAGATCCATTGGTTGATGGTGTTTTCAATTCTACATCCCTGCTTATTTTTGTTCACTTGTTACAGTGGTAAATGAGGGGAACATATTGAATTGTGACTTGCCTGTTTTTCCTTTCAGTTATATCCATTTCTGCTTCATGTTTTTTGAAGTTCTATTGTTAGGTGCATACACATTTAGGATTATTATGAGTCCTTGGTGAATTGACCCTCTTATTATCATGTAATTTCCTTTTTTATCCACAGTAATTTTCTTGGTCTAGAAGTCTACTTTGCCTGAAATTAATATAACAACTCCAGCTTTCTTTTGATTAGTGTTTGCATGAGTAACATTTTTTATCCTTTTACTTTTAAATTACTTATGCCATTATATTTAAAGTAGTTTTTTTATAGGTAGCATATAATTGGATCTTGTATTCTGTCAATCTTTTTCTTCTAATTGGTGTGTAGACTATTTACATTTCATTACTGGTATGCTTGGTTTTAGGCCTACCATTTTTATTTGTTTTTTTCTTGCTTGTTCCGTTTGTTTTAATTCTTTTCTTTCTTCATATCTGCTCTCTGCTAGATTACTTGAATATTTTTTGTTACTCCATTTAAGTTTCTCTATCAGTTTTTAAATATTTCTCTTTGTATTGATTTTTAGTGTTTGTCTAGGGATTATAATATAGATACTTAACTTTTTATAGTCTATTTAGACTTAATATTTTATTACTTTAAGTGGAATATGGGAATTTTATCAATATAGAGGTCCTTTGGCCCTTCTCCCTTTATTTTGTTGTCTTCATATGTATTACATCTACATACATTGAAACCCCAGTCTGACAATGTTACAATTTTTGCTTTCAGTTATCATTGAAATGGATATTAGATCCAATGGTTGATGGCTCAATCGTTCATATTTAAAGAATAACATGAGAAAAATAGTCCATCATATTAACCAGGTTATCTGCCATTTCTGTTGCTCTTCCTTCATTCCTGAAGTTCCAGGTTTCCCACTCATATCATTTTGTTTTTATTTAAATAACTTTTTTATTTTACAGCAGGTTTGCTGATAATATATTCTCTTAGGTTCCATTCTTCTGAGAATGTCTTTATTTCACCTTTATTCCTGATGTATATTTTTGCTGATGTAGACTTCTAGATTGAGGGTTCTTTTCTTTCAACATTTAAAAAATGTTGTTGCATTGCCTCCTGGCCTCTGTGGTTTAGATTTAAAAAAAAACCCAGCCATTTCAATCATTCTTCTTTATGTATGTAATACAATACTTTTATCAGGTTGATTTTAAGATTTTTTTCTTTGCTCTTAGTTTTTAGCAGTTTGATTATGATGTGTCTGGGTTGGAATTTTTTTAAGTTTATCTTGCTTGGGATTTATGAGCTTCTTAAATCTGTAAGTTTGTTTCCTATGAAATTCAAGATGTTTTGGGTCATTATTTCTTCAAGTAATTTTTCTGCACCAAGCTTTTTCCTTTCATTTTGGGATTCTAATAACTCAAATACTTGTTGGTATTTTCCTGTGAGTCCACAAGGCACTGGTTGCATTTCTCAATTTCTCCATTTTTTCTTAGATTGCATACTTATTATTGATCTACATGTAAGTTTACTAACTTCATTTTGCCATCTGCGCTCTGCTATTGAGTCCATCAAGTGAATTTTATTTTCTTAGGTTGTTATATTTTTTCAAACTTTTTCTCCCAATCTGCTGATAAAACACACATGTACACACACACACACACACACACACACACACACACACACTCCTCTTATGTACTATATACAGCACTTATAGTCATTGTTGGAAATGATCAAAAACTTATGAAGTCCCAAGAACTCACTCAATGGGGATAACACGTAAAATTAGGAAGTCATAAAAACTAACTCGAGTTTCAAATATTTGTGGAGTCTCTACTTCATGTTAAGTAACATGCTGTATGAAATATATAGACTGTTGAAAATGAGAGAAAAACTGAACATTAGGAAGTCCAAAAATATTCTAACTTAAGATTCAGAGTCAACCAATATTTTTTAAGTTTCTACTGCATGTTAAGTACTATGCCAAGTATTCACACAAATATGATTTTCCATCTATTTATTTATTTCAAAATCTTGCCTGTCCAAATAGAACTTCAGAAGACATTCTGTTAAAAAATAAGACTTTTTTGAGGCCATGATGAAATACACATTCTCGGATCCTGTGCAGGAAGGTTTGCATAATATGTCTCGATAGCAGTCACCTTCACAGGTGATTCTAAGATTCAAATGCCCAGCCTTGATTCAGAGTGACTTTGGCTGCCTCATGAATTAATTCCCTCACAAAATTCTGATAAATGTTTACCTAAACATTTAAACATTTCCCTTGGATGTACCACCTCCTATATGTGTAATAAAATTCTTTAGTGTTACAAGAGAACATATGTGCTTTGATTTTCTAAGTTGTTAGTCCTGAATTAGTGTTTCTAGAGATCTTTTTCTCCCTCCAACCCCCACTGATATTAGATACAGTTTGGGGGAATCTTCTTTTTCCTTTAGCCCTTAGTGACTATTTCTAGGACGACATCCTCAAGTTTTGCAACATGAAATATATTCTACTGAGGTTGAGAGATGACTCCCTCATACAGCAGCGAATAATTTTTCCAAACTATTGAATCTTGACGAACCTCTATTACATTGGGAAGCTTCTATTTGCTGTGCTAATTTTCACCATCCTCTAAGTTCTGACCCTTGGATCTTTTAGTGTTTGCATGCTAATTTTCCGTTCTTCATGGTCAATATTAAACGATTAATATAAGTACCTATTAGGTATAGGGTGAGACATGGAAAGTACAAGTTGTGTGATCTCCATCTTCCTGTCTTGTGGCCACAGCAGATATTATTTGTTGGTTGTCCCTGGTCCCTCTGAGCCCAGATGTAGCCTCAGAATCCTCCTAAACACAGGGGGCCAGGCACCCACAAAAAACCATCAAACTTGACATATGGGATGAAGTTTATTTACCATAAATATACCAGGCTATAAAAAGTAATGTGTGTTATTTGGAAAAATAATACCCCCATTGTCATTCTCATGTGAGAAACCTTTATAAGTATGGCCAGGTATTATAGAACAAGAAAGGATACCTTTACCTTGAAAATACAACACTGTTCACCTCTTCCTTTGTTTGCCCTTCTCATTTATCTACTTGGATTTCAGTTTGTGCTGTCCCATAGTAATGCCGTGTGTTTTAGATCTTTAACATTCTGTCCCTGATAACTGTTTTCAATTAATGATGACTTCCTGTAAGTCTTTGCTAAGGGTTTGCCTGTTTACTTTTGATTAATGTAATAGTTTTATGAGGCAAACTAATATGGTTATTATTTACTGGTGTCTTTATGTATTTTATATATAAATAGTATACACACAAATGTGCCATACCATATATAGGTAACATATACATTGCATTATATATGAATGTGTTCATGCATATATACATATACTTTTATATACATATATACGTGAGTGTATATATTAAACACATACACACATATTACTCTAGGTCTAAAATGAAAAATAATTGTCATTTCACTACAAGTTAAAAGAAATGGAAAAAGTAAAAATCATCTTTTCTGGACAAGGAGATTGTTTTCTGAGCACTTTGCAGTCTTTGTGAAAAGAGATTGCCCATGGTTTCACAGCAAGATTGAAACTAATGTTCAGTGGTGGAGTTACACACTTGAGCTGAATAATGGAAATATACTTTCATTCTGAATTGGAAATGACGGTTCTGATGGCTTCTTGGGAGCTCACAGCCCTAGCACATCTTGACATTTTGAAAAAAACTAAATTTTGAGTTGACATTGTGACGCCCCCTCTGGTGCTTATCAGAACACGTCCTATTTTTCTCACCATAGTCTTCAACTTCTCTGTGGTTGCCCTTGGAAATTGCTGATCTCCAAGCTCCCTGGCCATCTATTGCTTATAAGAGCCTGTAAAATAGTCTTTTACTTGGCTTCAGGCATTAACCTAAAGGCCAGGACATTGCCTTTAGTCCATATGGATACAGATTGCCAGTTGGGAGGACATTTTAGAACCTGTGTTTTGACCTGGACAGAGAGGCCTCTGGTCCATGTTCACTTTTCCAGAAAGAAGGAGGACTATTGACCTTGAGGATAAAATATTTCAAGTGCAGTAGGGGAAGTTTTCCTATCTGAGTGAGCACAGAGCTTCACTTATCTGGAGAGATTTTGCAATGTGGCAGCCTGGCAGTTTGACTAGAAAATTTTGATTCTGCATTATCATGCCTCTTGTAATGAGAAACTTGTGGTGGCATATGTTTATTAATCTTAGTTAAAAGATACCTGCCCAGATGGTTTATACCTGGGAAACATTCGCAGTCATCAATCTTTCTCTAATCAGCAACTTTTGCCTTCCCTCTCGGCACCACGCCAATTTGTTGAGATGACTAACAGTTGCTTCTCTTTGGTCATGTGTGGTCCATGCTTTGTAAGTTAGAAGTATGGGGGAAAATGAAACAAATTGCTTAGCCATGAGGAGTGAGTGACCTTGCGTCTCGCCAGCATACCCTCATAGCCCTTGACCTTTTAGTTGAGAGGATTCATTTCACGTTATTCTTTCCCTTACAGTCTCAAAGTCCTGGTAATGAGGTGCCCTCTTTGTATCCTCTCACTCCGACAGGCTGTACTGAGAAGAACAGCTGCACACAGAAGGATTCTAATCACCACTTTGCAAGGGCTAGGACTGACAAGGCAATAGAAGTGGGTGCTGTTTTTTGATTGGAGAGGTTCTCCTCACCATTCCAGCATCCATTACCATTGCTTCCTGGAAACCCCCGGGTACCTTTTGCTTGCCACAGAGGCTAGACGTCTATAAACAGAAACATTATTCTGGAGTGAAATTAGCCAAGGTATTAAATTGATAAATGTGATGGCAAGCAGACCTGGTAGGTGGGAGGCAGAGAATAAGCAGAAATCATCTGTGAAATACAAAACAGCCCAGCCTATTAGAGAAGGAGGGTTGGTGAGTGGTGGGCCTGCCCATGGTAGCACGTTATTTCTCTGCATCCCATTATGTCAAAAGGAGATTTACTGTATTTTTACCTCAATGTTTCCTGCCAGCTTTCTGGTCGGAGGACTGCAGTGTGTGACCTGATAATTTAAACAACCATCATTAGACGATGCACATTTGATGTCTAATTAAATCTCTTATACCACAGGATCACAACCACATATTGTCATCCTGGGATCTTTAGAGTCTGCTACATCCTGGAAAACAAAAATGTATACAATCAATTCTCAGAAGTCTACAGAGCTTGGGATTTATTTCCACGCCAATGCTCTGGGACCTATATGCTAGTTTTAAGTAATCCCTCAGGAGGAAATAAGGGTATGATTCTAAGAATTATCTCCCTTACAAAATATTGTTTAAAGATAATAATGCATTTTATTTTAGTTTTGTCATCATCACCCAGTATGTTCTTATTGATTGACTACTGTGACATGCTAAGGAAGAATGGAATCATGGAGCAAGATTTTGGCATGTATATACCTGACTACTTTTGTTTCTACTGATTTTCCATTTGTGAGAACTTTTGTGTTCTCAAATGCCAAGGGAGCACTGGTTTTCTTTTTCTGAAAAATCCAGATGCTTTAATATCATCCTTCATGTGTCAATTCATTTTTCAATCCCTGATCACTGATTAAACAGTAAAACTTTAAGACACTCACCTTCTATGTGAAAATCTAAAACTCTTAACTTATAAGTATATGCAAAACACATCTGATAAGTATTCCTCTGTGCAGGTTAGAATTTTAGGAAACTATGTAATAAAAGATAGGATCTGACTTGAGAAATTTACAGTCTTTAAAAAATAGACATATGTTAACAATGAAGATTCTTTTCAATATTTAGATTTCCTGAATATTTGTGGCCAAGTTTTTAAAATATGGATTTTAAAATGTATCTACATAATTTCAGTGCTCTGGAAACAAAAGTAAATCTTCTATTTGACAAATTACTCTACCTGCAAATAAGATATTTGGCCAAGTGTGTATTTTTTTCCTCCCTCATTTTTTGGGCTGATAATTGGACTTATATTCTTGAATTCTAGTGTTGATTTCTGATATGAACTTGAAAGATGAAGAAAGGAAACAGGTTACATTGTGTCAGGTTTGGATCACTATACCATCCTCTGAAAAAATAAACCAGGATAAAGCATGTTGTTTCAGCCCACAATTCTTGATTTGATGTATAAGGTCATCAGATGAAACATGAAGTAGAGATGGGCTTTCTAACCAGCTGTGTATTTCTGTTCCAGCTGACTGACAGCACAAAGAAAATGTGTCAGTCATGAATATTAAGTTTCTTTCTAGCATTTTTCTTCCAGATGGAAGCAACATGCACATTGTAGCAATGCTTTTTCCAGCTGATGAGTTTTCTTATTTATATTTTTGGCAAAGCATATTGATTTTCATCTGTGACTTCTACCTTAGTACCCTACTGTCTGGTTTAAAAATATGTTCAGCTTAGTTTTAAAAAAATAGCTCACTGCCTAAAAAATTTACTTATGTCAAAGTCATTCCAGCACAGCCGTTTTAATATCTCAAACCTTTCACTCTTTTTTTTAAATCTTCTTTACTGTCTTTCAAAGTACACATTTATACACCTACCTTTATAAGTGACTGGTAACATTATTACCCAGTCTTATTATCACAATACTATAATAATATTAATAATCAATTTTAATATTAAAACCTTCTATTTTTAATCTTGTCTTTGTGCCAGGTGCTTGAAATATGCTTGATATTTATTACTATTATTAATTTCTCTGACAAGTCTCTGAGTTTAACATGATTATTTTCATCATATGGATGAGAGGACTAAAGACAAAAGAGGTTATATAACTTTCCCAAGGCCATGTAGCTCATCAGTGGCGGAAGCAGGATTTGAAAGCCAGTCCTTTTGAATCCCAACCTCATTCTCTTAAATGCTAAGCTATCAACATTCTATTACATTGGTGATTCTATTAGTCATTAATAGCTGTCTTACATTTTTCAAACAAAAATGCAACAGGAATATAACTGTAAAATTATGTTGAAAGATTGTTCTCTTACTCATTCCAATTTCCAACTTTTTGCAAATTACTTCCAGGCTGACGCCCAGAGGGCCCAAAGAGAATCCTATCTAAAGTGATGGGTTTTATGTTGGGAGACCAGTTTCCATTAAAGAGCTTTCTTCCCTACTTTTATCCCCATAGCAACAAGCATCTGTCTGAATTCTCCTTTGCAATTTCTGCCAAGTGGCAAGGAACTGAACTTCCTAGAGGGGCTGCTGCTGGTTTGAGATGAAGCCGAGTGGCCCAGCACAATGACAATCACTGTGAATGCCAGATGTGGCCTTGGTTTCCTGATATATCTGTTGACAGGAAACAGATTTTTGGAGATCTCTGGAAGGAAAAAGGCTATGAAAGCCCAAACTGCCATCATCATAGTCCTTGATGTCACCATTAGTATTGATAGAAGATCTGTTTCCAATATGTCTGTTACCTTTCAGAAGCATTATGATTCACGGGTTTTAAGCAGTATCTAATTTATGCAGCATTTATGCAGGCTTTAGTTTGTCTAAATCAATCACTGAAAATGAAATCTTGCCTTTTGATGTGTTGCTGGCCCTTATTTGAATGGGAAAAGGGAAACTTCACATTTGAACATTTCAAGCCTCATCATATTTTCCTTTTCCACATGACAGCGATAAACAGATCTTGGCAATACCTGACACAAAGGAAATTTTTAAAATGAACCATACTGTCATTTCTTTTGAATGATATGGCAAATAAAACAATAATTCAAAGGATCACTTCACTGAACATGTAGACTTCTAAAGCAAGAGAGCAGCTCAGACTAGTGGTAGGAGGAAGCACTGTTCAACTTAATGAAGTTTTCAAGGTTAACTTTTTAAAGAAAACTCATATTTTTGGAATGTCTGTGATGATTGGCTGAGAGAAAATTTAATACAGTGAAAAGACATGGGCTTTGGTGATGGAGAAATAATTTTAGATGCTTTATAATTATGAGACCTTGAACACATTTAAATTCACGAAGTTTTGGTTTCCTTAATAATCATACAGAAGTAAAAACTAGCAGCTTGCAGGTTTATTGTCAAAAATAGGATTAGGGTACGTGAAAGTACCAAGAAATGCCGTGTTATGTAACAGTTATTCAGGAAGCTGGCTACTACTGTTTTACGCTCATTGTATTTCCTAATAAGTCATGGTGTTATTACTTGTCTATGAGGAGAGGTGATAGAGTAGATGAGCATTTATTTGGTAGGGGACTATCGATCAGGCCATAATACAGTGAATATCATCTGTGAATCCTCTGCATATGAGGGGGTGTCCTTATGAATCTGAGGACTCTGACTACCACTTGCCAGGCATCAAACTACACAAATCAATAGGCTGAGGACATCTGCCACCTTTCAAAGTCCTCATGTTCGAAAAAATCCATTTATGAGATGGAGAGGGTTGTCCCTCCAAGGGAAGACACTCAGAGAAAGAGATCCAGTTGGATGATCCTTTTAATTATATTTATTGACCCTTCAACTGGAAGTCACCCAGTTCCCAGACAAGGATGCACAAGGGAGATTTTAGGCTGCACTTTTAATGGAAGTGAAATGCTGCAGGGTAAAGCAGAGAGCACAGATGTTTGCAAAGCCATGAGATCTGGGGCTACACTGATACAGGCACCATCTGATGGCCAGACTGTCCCAGTAAACGGGGTCCTGCTCAGAGTTCTGATCTAAGCACTTCATTGCAAAACTGGCAAGCTGTAAACCCCTGGAGTAGCTCCAGCTGAGATGAAAACAAAGGCAGAAAGAATAAACAATTTGGTTAATTGAGTTTGAATGATAGAATTGCAATAAGGGACCACTAAAAGGTGCAATGAGAAGGATGTTTAAAAATTCTAAAAAATCTTGAAGAAATAGTGGTCTTGGAGCTCTGAAAACAACAACAATGGCAAAGCTATGAAATCGTAGCACATTGACTGGAAATCTATTTGAGAATGAGGTTATGGGAAACAGAGAAATTAATGGTTCTTTTTTAAAAATCTGTTTCTGTGACTTCAATTATTTTACAATTACCTTTCAACGGGATTATGTAGAAAAAAACAAACTTTTCCTCCACTTTCACCCCACAGCAATCAACACAGAAGACTTATGTGCCCTGTAGTCACCAAGCAGTGTGTGGGGATTCTCCCTATCAGCAAGAAAGCCATCAATTCTGCAGTAGACTCTAGCTGAGTGTCCTTCAATTCAATTCACTCCTGACACCATCTACCTGAAGATAGCATCAGATCCCACGGGTTGAGGGCTCAGTCCCCAAGACTACCCACTACACCACACTTCTGATGCAATTCACAAGCTCCTACACCACACTTCTGATGCAATTCACAAGCCCACAGGTTGGTTTACCTGTGCTTCTGACTGACTATAAATAAGAGTTCCCACAACCCCTTCTTTGGGTTCAATTAATTTCTTAGAGCAGCTCACAGACCTCAGAGAAACTTACCCTTACTGGCTTATTATGACGGATATAAACAAAAGGATACAGACGAAGAGATGCAAGGCATATGGGAAGGGGCATGGAGTTACCATCCCTTCCCCAGGTGCACCACCCTCCAGGAACCTCGTCTTCAGCTATCCCGAAGCTCCCCAAACACTGTCTTTGGGAGGCTTTATGGAGGCTACATTACATGGGCCCAATTGATGAAACCAATAAACTCAACCTCTTTTCTCCTTGGAGACTGGGGAATGGGCTGAAAGTCCCAACCCTCTGATCCTACCTTTGTCTTTTGGGTGACCAGCTCCCATCTTGAAGCTACCTAAGGGCTTCCAGCCAACAGTCAAGTCATCAGTGTTCAGAAAGACACTTACCACTTTGAAGAGTCCAGGGATTTTAGGAGTTGTGCGCTAGGAGACTGGGATGAAGACCAAATAGATATTTCACAACATCACAGGGATCCTATAGTTACTATGGACTTTGTAACCATTTAGCTGTCATATGTGACTCTGAGGAAGGTCACTTAATTTCTCTGCGCCTCAATGTCCTCATCTATAAAATAAGGATAATAATGCTTACCTTATAGAGTTAGGGTAAGGATAAAAGATTATATACGCATCTATGTGTGTGCTTGTGTGTCTCCATGTGTGTGTAATCTGCTAGGGTTGCCATAACAAAATACCACAGACTATATGAGCTAAACAACAGAAATTTATTTTCTTACCATTCTGGAGGCTAGAATTCTGAGATCAAGGTGTCAGCAGGTTTGCATTCTTCTGAGACCTCTTCTTTGCTTGCAAATGACCACTTTCTCACTGTGTCTTCACATGGTCTTTTTTCTGTACATATGTACCCCAGTGTCCCTTTGTGTCCAGATTGCCTTCTAATAAGAATACAAGTCAAATTAGATGAGAGCCCACCCTAACATCCTTATTTTAGCTTAATCGCTTCTTTAAAGGCCCTATCTCCATATCTAAATACAGTCACATTCTGAATTACTGGGTATTAGGGCTTCGACTTATGAATCTTTTAAAACTGTGTTTGATCAAATGGTATTTCTAGTTCTAGATCCCTGAGGAATTGCCACACTGACTTCCACAATGGTTGAACTAGTTTACAGTCCCACCAACAGTGTAAAAGTGTTCCTGTTTCTCCACATCCTCTCCAGCACCTGTTGTTTCCTGACTTTTTAATGATTGCCATTCTAACTGGTGTGAGATGGTATCTCATTGTGGTTTTGATTTGCATTTCTCTGATGGCCAGTGATGGTGAGGAACCAACCCAAATGTCCAACAATGATAGACTGGATTAAGAAAATGTGGCACACATACACCATGGAATACTATGCAGCCATAAAACATGATGAGTTCATGTCCTTTGTAGGGACATGGATGAAATTGGAAATCATCATTCTCAGTAAACTATCGCAAGAACAAAAAACCAAACACCGCATATTCTCACTCATAGGTGGGAATTGAACAATGAGAACACATGGACACAGGAAGGGGAACATCACACACTGGGGACTGTTGTGGGGTGGAGGGAGGGGGGAGGGATAGCATTGGGAGATATACCTATTGCTAGATGATGAGTTAGTGGGTGCAGCGCACCAGCATGGCACATGTATACATATGTAACTAACCTGCACATTGTGCACATGTACCCTAAAACTTAAAGTATAATAATAAAAAAAAAAAACTGTGAACATATTTATGGGCTGAATTGTGGTCTTCATCCCAGTTATAAGCTGGTTTTGGTCTTCATCCCAGTCTCCTAGTATACAATACAACTCCCAAAACCCTGGACTCTTCAAAGTGGTATCCTTTTGAATACATATATGTGTGTGTATATATATATATATATATGTGTATATATATATATATGTATATATATATATATGTATATATATATATATGTATATATATATATGGAAGAGAGAAAGAGAATAGTTCAGAATTACAGCCGCCTAGTAGAGATCCACAAATAATAGCCCTTGTTACTCTTGGGCATTATTATTATTGTTGTTGTTCTCATATAATTTGATTTTCAGATCAAATATATAAGATGCAAAATATTATTACAGTAATTTTATATATAGGTAGGGAAAAAATGCAGAGAAAGCAAAATGCTTGCTCAATATTATGTGTTATGTGTCAGTTATAAAGCTGCAATTTCACTTCATTTCTTCTGTCCCTCAGTGTTTTTTTTTTTAGCACATTGTGCTGCCACCAAGTATTTGTACAACGATTAGAGAATTGATTTTCCTGTTAAATTCATGACTATCCTGTCCCAAAGCATTTATACTACACCTATTCCAAAGAAGTTGTTCATCGGAGCAGTGCAGTATCTGAACAATTAGAGTATTCTCCGATCAGAGACAAATTCCACTCTCCTTTCGCAGAATTCTGTGCTTGTATCCCAAGGTCAAAACTTTGAAATCTGGGGCAAGGTAAAAAATATATAAGACTTTTCCATTTCTGGGAAATTCTTTATCTTTGTTCAGGATGGAAACCAATAAATACAAATCTACTTCTCCCATCACCAAATCCACCCACGTATCTGCATCTGTCTCCACCCTCCTTACTGGTTATCTTGTTATAGTGAATAAAGTCCCCGAGATCCTACGAATGCCAGATATCTCACCACTAGCTCCCCCTTCTCAAGAACTTTACTCCCACCATCACTTCCCTTCTCTCTGCTCCATCAATTTCTCCCTCTTTTGTGCATCATTCACATTAGTATATAGACATGTTTCATCGTCTGTTATCTCAAAAAAAGAAAAAGAAAAACACCTTTGGTGGCCCTCTAGTTACTGCCCTATTTGTATTTATCCTGTCCTAGTAAGACATAAAAAGTGCCATTGTCCCCAATTTCTCAGCCATCCTTTAATTCTCAACCCAATCCAATCATGTTTTCATCTCATGGCTCCCTAGAAATCCGTAGGTTCTCTTCCTTGTTCTTATGTCATTTGGTCTTTTAGCAGCATTTGACGCAGTTGTCCACTCCCTCCATCCTCCATGAATGCTTCTTCTCTTGGCTTTTCGGTCAGCACATTCAGTGTGTTCTTTTCCCACTTACATCAAGGCTGCTCCATCTCTGTGTCCTTGTTTGACTCTCCTCTGCCAATCTCTGGCAATCCCAAGGATGCAAAACATTGAGTTCCTTTCAGATTCAAGGTTCCAAAAGTATCTTCCCTCAGATTTCATGTTCCTAAGAGATCAGATAAAAATACTCTTATTTTTGCTCTTAATTCTGGATTAGGTATTTTAAAAAGGCTTTAAGTCCTATACACAGATGCTGTCCAATATACCGTATGTCTTTCTAGGTTTATTTACCCTTCTGCTTGAATGGTGTTAATTTTCTCACTTGATTTGTTTTCCTGTTGAAAACAGCTGTCAGGGTTGCCTTTATATATGTGTGTGTGTGTTTGTATTTTAGATATTATCACTGAGAGTCTACACTTTGAAAACATTCTCTTACATAATCTCATGAACTGTCCTTATGAGATAGTGGCTGTTGTCCCTTGAGGGACAGAAACTTGAGGCTTAAAGAGTTGAAGTGTATTATTCAAGCTCAGACAGTCCACGACAGAGTCAGGATCCATCTCCACGCCTGTCCCTCTTGCTGGTGCTCTACATAAACGTGCAATCTTATATTTCACATTTCTGGAGCAAACTGGGACTGGGAAGGACATGACCATTTCTTTTGGATTTGTGAGAATGTCTTGGCAGGAAACAACAGAGAACTCAGTTGAACTGGAATAAATCATAATGGGATTTATCATCTCACATGAACAGAACTCTAGAGGGATGTCACAGGAAGATCAATAGCTCAGGAATGTAAGGACTCAGGTTCTGTTTTGCTGTCCTGTGTGTTGGCTTCCTCTAATGGCCAATTCTCCCCATCATTGCCAGATGGTTGAAGTAATTACAGAAGCACTCCAAAATACATTATCCAGCAATGGAAGAGGAAGGAGTTCTGACTTAAGAAAATTATCAGGGAGGAAAACTCACAGAAACCCCCCAGTCAACATTCTCTGACATCTCATTGACAAAACTGGCTACCTATACACCTGTAAACCGGTCCTTTACAGCAATGGACCCATTGTTAACGGCCTAGACCTATCAGGATTTACGTGATTCATGGAAAGCTGGAAACCAGAAGAAAATCAGGGCTGGGTCAGAATGAAAGAAAGAAAAGTGACTGTTGTATAGAAAACCAAGAGGGTCTACTCCATCTCTCAAGGAATAATTCAGGCAGAATATCTCTGTCTGTACATTTGTGTTTGTGTGTGCTTCATTTTAAAGCTTTTTTCTCTTTTAACAAAAACTCACTTTGTGAGGAAAAGCTTTTCAGCTGCTCTTCATACATACTCTTTTTCCAACAATCTCATTAGCTACTATGTTGGCAAAAGCCTTAAACATGCATCCTGTGGTACCAAGAATGCTTAATTATCCGTCATTTGGTCTGTGACTGCTCTGTGTAAAGCGTCCAATTCTTCAAGATGTACTGAGATGCTCAGGGATTAAGCACACATTCCCAAACCATTCAGGAACTTGGGCAATTATAAAGTTTTCTCCTTGGAAACAAGTTGCCCAAGCTATATAATCTCTGATCGTAACCAACAAGTTGAACATCTTTCAGTAAATTCCCCTTGGATTCCCCGTGACCCAGATGCCCTGTGCTGGTCTCACTTTACTCTTATTTGTAGATTCACATTTTCAGATACTTTTCCCATACTCTTTCCTATGGCTCTAAAATAAACCATATTTTCAAGTGGCATTTTAAAGTCTTACCGTAAAAGTACCTTATCAATCTGCATATTCAGTTGTGCTGCAGATCACATCTTGTCCAAGCTCACACATCAGTACATAACCTCCCTCATCCCCAATAACGTGGAAACAGATAATTATTCTACCCTGACTCTTCATTTTACTTTATGACAAACACTGTCACAACCAAAGGACTTTCAAATGATGAATTCCAATCTTTTCCCAACTGCTCTGGTTGTCGGAGTTACCCATGGGATACAATTAATAGCACCATTACCTCATTCCCCCAGTGGAGGCTGGACAAGTGTTTGTTGATGCCAGTGTTGCATGTCAAAATTGTTCAGCCTATTTCAAGTCCTCTTACCATCTACTGCCTATAGTTGTTAATTTTTGAGAATATAATAAAGTACAAAATAACAACACTTCTCATCTTTGCAGAGTTGACAGTTAACTAATTAGCCCATTAACTCATTTAGCCAGATTTGTACCAGTAAGTTAAGGGCTTTGGGAGGTATATTAATCCTTTAAGGCCACTAGAGCAACATTTGCAGCTAATGGGCCCATATTCCTAACTTACTACCAGGAAGGGACTAGGGTATTGTTAGGAAATAGAAACCATTAATCCTCACCGTACCCAGAGGGGCAGGTGAGAATGACTTTGCACAAATTGATGAGAAAATATGTTTTGTTTTGTTTTTCTCTTTTAAGACCAAAAAGAGACTCTGAGTTAAAACCACTGTTGGAACTCAGTATATCCTGGCAAACAGCCCTATATTCAAATTTGAAATCTTGCCAGAATTTATTTGTTTGCCTGTTGATAGTTTTAGATCCAATACTGAGAGTGGGGAGGCAAAAGGTTTCGTGTTGGGGCATGGGTAATTCTAGCATCTGGAGTCTTTGACAGCAGGCAAGGAAAATTGTGATTTTGTTTCTATTCCATAATGTACTTAAATAAACACTTAGTAATGTGGAATATACATCTAGATGGGTGTGTGTTGGGGAGGGGAGGGATTATGCAAAAAAGACATTTCTAACACAATTTGTGCTCTGCAGAACCAGACAGACTGTGGAAGTAAGGTGTGGGTCCTGCCCTCAACAGCCTGCAGCTTATCTGAAGGAAAAGCCTTTCGGTCCCATCTCTCCTTCTGACTCTGGTTGGACTTGGACAGGGATCTGGGGGTAGCATCTAAAACATGAGCTTATAAACTTGTACACCAAGGCAGTGGAGCAGTCACTTGTGTTAGCATTCTACATGGGGTTTTCAGCCCTGTTTTGCCAAAAAAAAAAAAAGAAAAAGGCATGGAGTCAAGTTACCAAATCCTGGAAGGCCAGAATTGGGAACGGCTAGTGGTAGTGATGGAAGGATGTGCAGCTAAACTTGTCGGAACAGAGAAAAGCGAATCTCTATAGAGAAATGTGGTGCAGATGGCAGCCCCAAATGTCCTTTACGTGGCTTCTGAGGCCATGTGGTATAAAGAGGAGGAGGGAGGTGCCTGGAATGGTTAAGGGTGTGGCCGGGAGCTTACCAACACATTTATAAAGTTATTCTGATTACACATGCAGAGCCATAAATCCTTAAGGGCTCTGTGTCTGGCTGCTGCCTTTTCTTACCCGACAGATTAATCACAGTTACTATTGGGAATAAAGAGAAATTGACTTTTTCTTTCTTTAAAAGTAATATTAAAATTCCTGCTTATATAGGTTCACCATGCGATACTTAGGTTACCTACAAAACCTGCAAAGAATCATTTTTTTTTTTAGCGATTGTGATGTGTTCCCAGGGTCCTTCCTTCCTTCAGTGCAGTTTCTGTGCCAAATCAGAAGGAAAGCTTTCATTTCAACAATAAGTAGCATGGAATGCGGGAGAAACCACATCAGACTCTTTGACGGGACTGCGTAAAAATTCAGTGAAAGAGAAGCTTCAGTGGACTTCTATACAAAAAAGGCTGAGAGCTACAATTTAGAACACAGGAATTGTTCCTGCTTTGCTACTTTCAGTACAAGTCATTTCAAATCTCTGTAATCCATCTTTCTCCTTTGAAAATGAACATATATATGTATTTATGTATTAATAACTCACCTTGTTTCACAAAGGTTGTAAACCTATATCTGAAAGTGTGACAAAAATGACCTCAGAAATACGTAAATGAGAAAATTGGTCAAAAAAATAAAATGAAGCTAAGGTTATTTTGGACATACATAAAGTAATTTCACTTGGTAGAAGTGGCCATGAATGTGCTTTGGAGCTTTCCACTGATAGCTGCCAAGAGGGTAATATGGTTTGGCTCTATGTCCCCACCCAAATCTCATCTTGAATTGCAATCCCCATGTGTCGGGGGAAGGGCCTGGTGGGAGGTGATTGAGTCATGGAGATGGACTTCCCCCTTGCTGTTCTTGTGATAGTGAGTTGCCACAAGATCTGGTTGTTTGAAAGTATGTGGCACTTCCCCCTTTGCTCATTCTCTCTCTCTCCTTCCACCGTGTAAGATGTACCCTGCTTCTCCTTCCCCTTCTACCATGATTTTAAGTTTCCTGAGGTCTCCCCAGCAATGTGGAACTGTGAGTCAATTAAACCTCTCTTCTTTATAAATTACCCAGTCTCAGGTAGTTCTTTATAATGGACTAATACAGTGATTACAATGATGATGACGACAATGACAGTCATGATGAGACAAATAGCCAATATTTATTATTTACTATGTGCCAAGCACTGTGCTAAGTAAGCATATTGTTGGTGTTAACCCATGATATCCCATCTTAAACCCTATGAGCTAGGTACTTTATTATTTCCATCTTTCAAGTAAAGAAACCAAGACTTGACCATGCAATTAACATAAACAGATTTTTCAAAGGAAATAGAATATGGAGCTTGATATTTCTCCAGGAATCACCAACGGAGGTCACAATGCAATTTAGTGACCAATATCCCCCAAAATATTTTTATGGTGAAACTGAGTTAGACAGCATTAGAAATGCATAAAGTTGTTACTTTACATTGATATCCAAGTGAAGTTCAGTTACCAAAAAACCTATCAGAAACTACACAGCTTTGTTTCATGAATGCAGGACTCTAATGCTCTGGCTTAACCCAAAGACGTATTTTAGGGTATCTGGAGGCGTGGATAGTGCTGTTCTCCAAGGAATCTTCCTCAAATTCTATTTCAGGGTTTTTATTAAGTATTTATGCACCCTAACAAATCCTGGAATTGCAGGTGTCAATATCACTTGTCAAGTATAGCACATAGCTAGAGGTGGGATTGATTCTATCTTATCAATGTGGTGGAAACTAACCAGGACAAATAAGCAAACAGGTCATTGTAAATTCACCCAGAGAATATCCTTGGGCAGGTCCAAAACATTCCTGAATTGTTTCAAAGCCCCAGAATAATGTATAATCAAAGATCGATTAATGCATATATTCATGCTCTCATAGAAATTTTATTGGGCATGTGCCAGGTATTAAAGGGACAACGGACCCAGCCCTTGTCATCACTGAACATATGACCTAGTAATAGATACTGATAATTAAATAAATGATTAAAATAAAGCACAGTAGAACCATGATAGGATAGCTTTTTGGCCTCTGGGAACATGTGGAAATGTGTCTCCTTCCTTGTGGCAACAGGTGAGAAAAGGCTTTCCTAAGAAAATGTCATTTAAGTACAAATTAGAAGGAATAATATTAGGATCTAGTCAAGTTATTGTCACAATAATCTGCTTGGGAGAAAAGCATATTAATGCAAATACTACAAAATATTTACCTGGATCACTAGTAAAAATAATCAAATCAGCACCAGTAAAGCACCCACTGACTCTTCAGTATTTCTGTTAGTTGCTTTGTAAAGTGAAGCCTTAGTTAACTGAAAGGGTTGACGCACATCTAGAGCAAATTAACTATGAATCAGTTTAATGTTGACTATTCAATTGCAGGTGAGATTCATATATTCTCAGATTTTGACAGATTCTGGAATGTCCAAGCTTTTTATAAGCTGATATATGCCAAGTCTGTATCTTCACCTGGGACAACTGCCTGTTAGATCTCCTCTTTTATGGCCTTCCCCCCGGGAAGACACGTCATAGAAGATAAGAGCAAGGCTTCTGGATCAGAAATATTCTGGGTTCAAAGTTTTCCTCTGCTCCTAATTAGCTGTGAGACCTTGGCCAAGTGACTTAAATTCTCTGTGGCTTATTTCTAAGCCTCTGGAAAGTGGAAATGACAATTTTAATCACCTGGTGAGAATCACTTCTGAAGAATACGGGAGCTGAAGCCCTGAAGCAATGAACACCATGCCTGTGCAAATGCCCAGAAAGATGCTGGTTGCTGTTGTGACAATTACATCACAAACCAAACTCTGTCTTCCCCCATCTTTCCTCCTGAATGCCTAATTGAGTCACTGTCCTCCTGTTACGGGTTAAATGCTGTCCCCTAAAAATTCATATCTTGAATTTCTAACCTCCAGTACCTCAAAATGTGGTCTTATTTGGAAATACAATTGTTGTAGGTAATTAGATAAATTAAGGTTATACCAGAGTAGGGTGTGCCCCCTACTCCAGTATAACTGGTGCCTTTATGAAAGGGGGAAATGTGGACACAGACAAGCACACAGGGAGAATGCCATATGAAACGAAGGCAGAGATTGGGAAGATGCAACTACAAGCCAAGAAACACCAACGATTGCCAGCAAAATGCCAGAAGTTAGGAGGGAGGCCTTTATGAAACAAACAACTAAGGAAAGAGTATTTGAGATGATTGTCATAAGAATTTAACTGAATAAACAAGGAGATCAAAGCTGTAGTGTGAAGTGAGCATCTGTATCAGTGGCACAGAAATGAAAAATACAAAAAATTAGCTGGGCGTGGTGGTGGACGCCTGTAGTCCCAGCTACTCGGGAGGCTGAGGCAGGAGAATGGTGGGAACCCGGGAGGTGGAGCTTGCAGTGAGCCGAGATGGTGCCACTGCACTCCAGCCTGGGTTACAGAGTGAGACTCCAACTCAAAAAAAAAAAAAAAAGTGTAGCATTATAGATGTGAGACTTTAACTGTAATTTAAAAAGGTAAGCAATGCCTAGATATACTATTAAATACCTATTACACACTCTTAACTGGTAGATCAGATGACTGACTTCCAAAAAGAATTTCTTGTCTCAGGGGACATCAGATGTACATACCTAAAATAACTTGGAATTTGTTTTGACTGGACGGTGCCAAAAATAATGGAATAGAAAGTAAGAGTCCTAAGACAAAGAAAAAAGAGACCACTGCCATACAGAGGAGCCTTGGTCGGAAAAACAGTAGAGAATGTATTTGAGCCCAGCCTTTAGTATGGATAAGATATGAAAAAGTACTTTTGTCAGTCATGAGTGCTGTTCACCAATATTTTTTGTCTCTTCCAGCCACTAGTAGGATTGCACATCCTGACCCCATTGTGGCTGGGTGGGACCATGTGACTAGTTTCAGGAGAGTGAAAGTGGTAGGTATCACTTCCAGATCAAAGCATTTAATGGCCAGTGTGAGTCTCTCCACAGTTCCCTTTATCCTCTGGTATGGCAGCCAGCAACGTTCGAATTGACTGTTTCATTGCTTAACTCTGTAGCATGGTTCGAATTGGCTGTTTTATTGTTTAACTCTGTAGCATGGAAGATGAGGCTAGCTAGCCCCATGCTTGCTTTGGATAGACACGTGACTTGAACGTAAAATAAGTCTTTGTTGTTTTTAGTCATGGAGAGTTAGGGGCTGTTTAGTTACTGAAGATAACCCAACCTCTTCTGACCGATCCAGCACTTGAGAAAATGCAGAAGTGAAAGCATGGATTTGGGAATGCAGAAGCCACAAGTAGGTAAATTCTTTGGAAAGCATAATTTCAAAAAAGAAGTAGGTTCTGAAAAAGAGATGAGGGAGCCCAGATTGCAGAGAATTTCACATGTCAGATTAAGAAGCGGGAACTTTTTACAGGAGGCTATTACTGGTTTTGAGGAAAGGTTAGATGAGAGAAGTTAACTTGATGCTTAATAGGAAGGAAATCATCCTTGGGAATTAAAGAGGAGGACAGGGATGAAAAGAGCCCAGCCAGGCTACAGCAGGATGCAGATGGAAAGTGAAGAGACAAGAAGTTTTCCTGAAATGATGGCATTACCCTCCATCAAACCAGCAAACAAAGCAAAACAAAATACATGCCACTCTGGGGGAGGATTTATAGATTCACTTCTAACCATTTGAGCTATTGGCTTAATATTTTAGATTCAAGGAAAAAGCTCTGGGTCCTTGGATTTCACTGAAGTTCATCATGTTTGAGTTATGGTTCTTGTTAGCCCTGTAATAATGTATTCTTTTTTTTAAAAGTGAAGACTAGTAATAAAATCTTTATTATAATCCAATGCTAACATGACTCTCCCTAACTGAGAATTATGTTTGGCAGATTTAAGCAACCCCAGAAAAGATTCAGGCTAGGAATTTAGAAAGACAAGTTTGGTGAAAAGAACATTCTTATGGATGAATGTTATAGGGGCATTTCCTAAAAATATGCGATTTTGTATCCTGTCTTGTTTTTTGCTTTTAGATTTGGAACTAATGGTTTTCAATGTTTAATTTATTTAAGAATGGCCAGGCGACATATTAACAAACACAGAGCCCTCAGGTCCACTGAAGAGGGATTCTGATTCAGCAAGGCTGGTGGAAGAGGGCCAGGAGCTTTCACATGAAGAAGTAGTTCAGGTGTTGCTGTACAGAGGAGCAGCAGACCACACCTGGAGGGTCACTGCAATGACTCTGAGCTCCCAGACTCGGCCATGAGCTCTGGGCAGGCAGAGGTGTGTTTTATTTATCTTGGTACCCCAGGCGCTTAATTCCTCTGCATAGGAGGCAGAACTGCATAAGGCTGCTTTGCAGTCAGCCAGACAGACCTGGATTTCCATGCTGGCTGTAACTTACTAGCTCTGTGACAAGAGCTTTAACCTCTTTGGTCCCTTGAAAGGTGAAGATAATGACACCTTCCTCCCTGAGGCTTATGGGGCTCACATGAGGTTATGTTTCCATAGAGCTTGGCACAGGGCCTGGGGCCTGGGATTTGGAGTGAATTACTGGTACTGGTACGACAGTGAGATAGCTGGTACTCAAGAATGCTAGCACCAGGGTACAGGACTAAGGAAAAAAGTGCCAAATAGGAATCAAAGTTCTGCTTGATTAAGGGCTGAAACAGCATCCAGTACCCTCTGATGCTGAAGCCAGGTAAAAAGTGATCTAGAGAATGTGGTTTAGACCCAGAGGCCGCTGTGAGGCACCCCAGCCTCCCGGGCAGCCTGACAGAACTAAGTACAGGGTAATCCTACCATGATGACTTGTTTTGAAGGGTTAGTGACCTTTCCTATCAGGAAACCTTGCTCCATTTGTCCTGGACTTTAACCAACGTTCTTAGAAGTTTCTTATCTTTCCTTCAGAAAGGGAGGGAGATGAAGGGGTAGAAGAGAGAAGAAGGAAGCAGACCTTCCCCACCCCCAACCAGGCACATTGGAAGTGTTCCATAAATGGCATCTGTTGGGCTGTGATTATGTACTATTATGACCATAAAACTCTGTGAATGTTGAGAACCGCTGACCTTTACTTAATGCTTATTCTATGATAGACTCTGTGCAAATTCTCCATGTTGTGTCTCAGTGAATCCTCACAGGAAAACCCTGGAGGTTGGTACTATTTTTATCACCATTTAGACGTAAAGGAAGTAAAGTTCCAGAAAGGTTAAATAATTTGTTCAAGTAAGTGGTGTCAAAGCTTGGCTTCTGTCTAATGAACGAGTCTTAGGATGATGTTAAAAATGGATTTCTAGTTAAGTAGAAAATAGAGGGAAAGCATGATTTGCCCTGAGTGTGGGGTCTTTGCTGCCAACTGAGAGCTTGCATGTGTGTTAAGGGGTGAGGGGATCTACTTTGCCTTTGCAGAATGGCAGGCTATCCACAAAACACAAGATGAACAAAACAAATGAAGCCCAAGACTTTAGGCAATTTTTCTTTTACTTGTGTTAGTCAAAAATAAGAAATTACAGTTCAAGTTTTCCTGTAGTCTTAATTATAGGCCTCTGAGCTGTGAACAATATTCCAAATACTAACAATAGAGACCATCCAAAAACAAATTCTCTAGAGATCCCCCCTCCCCCCAACTCCAATGGGTCTGTTTAGGACAAGTGATAAGGAAACAATGTTCTGCATGAAGCAGCAGCAAGCCCCTAGACAGGTGAATCTTTTTCTTGTTAATGAAGTAAAATGAACATTTTTACTGATGTAAAACCAACATCAGAAATGAAAAGCCATTCTTGTTACTTACCTCGGGGCTGCAAAGGAAATATCCACTTCGCATGTTAGCTAAGAAGTGATAAGGCACCATTAGGAGCCCGTGCCACCTCGCCTTGGCAGAGAGGACCAGGAAGAAATGGTCCTATTTTTAAAGGGCTTTTCGACTTCTGATATGATTTGGGCCCTGTTCCTAAATCATCTTTGAATCAGAATAGCAATTCTTTTTCACCTACTTGGCTGGAATGTTAAAGAATCTTTGGAGAATGTTCAATGAATGTCTTGAGCTCTATGTAAATAGGAAAAGTGCAGTTATTTGAGAAAAGAATATCAAAGAAGAACTTAATATTATTCCATTTTTGCTATATTGGGAAGCAAATGCATTTATTACAAAGTGTAAAAAGGCAGAATTATTTCACAGAATAGAGCATCCAGTGGCTGCAACATAGTAGTATTTAAGTTATCTGTTGAATGAATTAATAAATAAAAAACATGTAAATAGGAGACCTCATTAAAAACAAATTAGAAAGTTGAGCACATATAATAAATAACCATTTGTACCTACTATTGAAATTTAGTCTTTTATCACCAAAGGAAAGCATTGTTTAATATGTGAAGAACATTAAGGCTAAAATTCAAAGATGAAAGCATGAGAGAATTAGCAATATCTGAGTCTCAAGCTCAAGTCTCGGCTAAGCTACCAAACTCAATTTCTATTAGATTAGGAAGAATATGCTTAGATCAGACTCAGGCAATGGGGAAATCTTGACCAAAGAATGGATGTGCTTAGGGTGTGAGGCAGGGGTGGTAACGTTAGAATCAGAGCCTGAGGGATGCCGGGGGGTTGGGGTGGGATGTATTCTTCACTACACTTTCTATGAACTGAAGACTTCATTCCTATTCAAGGTCACCTTTGACTCTGACATTCTGAGTAGAGTGGCATCCCAACCTTGCACTAGTTAAAGAACTCAGCCCCTTTTCCTCCATTGCCTCAATCTGCCACCCACACAAGATGTTTGTTTGTATAGAAAACTTTACAGATGGCTTGGGGTGGCAGAATCACATGGAAATCTATTTAAAAATTAATACTAGTCATCCCTGTTCTTCAAATGTTTCAACAACTCCACCACCAAAAGCTTCTTGCGGTCCAATATTTCCCCATATGCCTTTGCCTTTCTCTTTCTTGAAGCCTTTTTTTCCTTTTTACTTCCTCTTACTCCAAATTCAAGTTAGCTTCTTCTAGAAAATATTTGAGCCCTTGCTTTAATCCAGCTCCAACCCCTCCATGCTAAGAATGGAGCATCTTCTATATAAAAACACACCAATGTAGACATGTTACCGAGCAAAACCAGCCCTCCTGAAAAGAGCTCTAAAGTTGACTCTTAAAATAACCTTCCAACACTTTTTTCCTCCTCACTAGCACAAAAAGACAATGATGATCTATCTGCACAGAACGGCAGTTTGCCTAACAATTATTAGCTTGCTAGCAGTTACATTTTCTTCTTCAAGCTTTGAGATCTTTGTTACTCCACCTCCTAAGTGAAACTGTTCCCATTATAAAGTTGTCAACCCATTATGGCATCTTTTCCTGTTTTAGATATGAGGAATTATTTTTGTATTTAAAAATCAACACACACACACACACACACCCCTTAGGCTTTGGTGTTGGGCCTATCTTTGGTAACTGGGAACATATCTTTGATACCCAGCTTAGGATTTGCTGAAAAGCTCCATGTTTTCAGTGACTCTTGGTTATTTGAGCCTGGGGAAGTCTGTTGTAGGATTATCAGCTTCCTATCATGAGAGCGTCTGAGGACAGAGACTTGGGATGGCAGGGCCTGCTTCCTGCTATGCTCTCGTCTGATCACAGTACCTGTGGGATCAGCACTCTCTGCCCTCTAATCCTATCTCTCATCTGGCAGAGGAACTGTATTTAAAGCGCTTGCTTTTGAGACAGTTGGGTATCAAGATCAATTTTGCAATTTACTTTCAGAAGGATAGCAGCCTAAGTAGAGGTTTACAAAGCCCACAGATATCTTAGAATCTGACAAAAAGGAGTAAAAGCAAAAATAGGACAGAAAATGTTAAAAACACAGAAAAATAGTCTGGTATAAACTCTGTATTCAATTTTAGGAGAATCTGCCCCACAAAATGTTACTTGGACTGAATGGAAGGGTATCAAAGGGCCTCAACATGCAGCTCTTCTTCCTGAGAAGGATAAACGCCATCTGCGTACCCCACCACTAACATTGTCACTGAACAAGGAATGAGACCCTGGGGCACAGCCTCCCCACTGGGGTTCCACTCTACTCCTGCCTCTGATATGTAGGAGCCCAACATGTATTTGTTACTCAGTGAATAAAAGCTTTATGTCTTTCTCTATCACGCAGCAATATATTGACTCTCCACTGTGGAAAATGAGGAAATTCTTGCGTCTTTACTTCCCTTGACAACCCCTCAGCTCACTCTATGCCCAGCGTCTACTGGCCTTATCTTCACTCTGTAAGGCTTTTGAACATTCACATCTGGCCTTCAATGTAGCATAGACTTTTGAACTTGTTGTCTAGGATGACTCTAAAAATCAAAAAGCCAATAAACAACATACATAATGTGACCCTGTAAATACTCACAAATGATGTGATTGAACTCACAAACAAAAGAATAGACACAGGTTCCTCTAACCCATGCCAAGGTCAAACGGATTCTACTCTCTTACATTTCTAGTCCTTAAAATAATGCCACATTTTAGTTTGCATCACAGATGGTTGTAACTTTCTCTTTCAGCTTTTTGTTTCTTCTAGGAGTTGCTAATTGTCTTTTATCTTATGGAGAGAATAATTCTATGACTCTTTCATTATTATTATTTAAAATATTCAATCCGTGAATTCTGGTATCTATTGAAAGGTGAAAAATTTGCTCTCCTGTATGTTTCCTTAAAAATATCTGAATTGTCATCCTTGTAAATCTTTTCCTTGCAGACTGTGTTAATTCCAGGGTCTTAGATCCCATCTCTTTTTTATGGATTCCTTCTTATTTATATTAGAATGCTTTTTCAAATACAGTCCTTTTTTCCACAGAGTGCAAAGAAAGCAAATACTCTGATTGTATTACTATTTTTTATTTTACTTATACACTTAATTGATAATTTGGCTAGGTATAAAATTCAATGTTTAAAATAATTTTCCCTCAAAAATTTGAAGCTACTGATTCATTATTTCTAGTCTTCAGAGTTCTGATGAGAAAATCGTGGCGAGTTGATTTTTATTCCATATATCTAATCTCTTTTCAGGTTCTTCCTCTCTGGAAGCATTTGGATCTTGTCTTTATCTTTGGGGTTTTAACATTTCATTCAGACCCCTTAAATTCATTTAGGCCTTTTCAATTTCAATGCACAGTTTTTTAGACTTAGGAAATAGTCTAATTTTACTTTTATTATTTCTTCTCTTTTGGTTTCGTTTCTCTTTGCTCTCTATTGGGGATTTTTTTCAAGATGGATATTGGACATACAGATTCCATCTCCTTGTCTCTTACATTAATTTCTCATATTTTGCATGTCTTTCCCCTTCCCTTTCATATCTGACAAGTTGCCGGGTCCCCACTATTTGTCTTACCTATTGGTTTATTTTCAGGCTTGTCATATATGAGTATAAATTAGTTTCTAAGAACTTCTACTTTTTTTCTCCTGTTCTGTTGTGGTTTAATAGATCACATAATGGATAGTCATCAGGATAATCATAATAATATTTTTAAAGTTGTCTTGTGTTTCTCAAATATTTAGTATTCTTGACAGTCCATTTATATTTATTGAAAAGACTCAGTTTATTAATGTGTGCAGCTAGTGCCGGTCCCTTCTTTCATTACATTCATCTGTCTCTCCAATAAAGATATACCTTGTTTTCATTTCTTATGGCCACAGTGACAAAAGTACCACTAACTGGGTGGCTTCAACAGCAGTTTATTCTCTCATAGTTCTGGAATCTGGAAGTCCAAGATCAAGATGTCAGCAGGGTTGGTTTCCTCTGAGGGTGGGAGACACCGTGCCAGGCCTCTTCTCTTTCGTCTGGAAGTCTCAGCTGTTTTTTGCCTTGTAGATGGGGTTCTCTGTATCTTCACATTGTCTTCACTCCACATATATTTGTCTCTATGTCCACATTTCCCCTCTTTATGAGGACACCAGTCATATTGGATCAGGGCCCACTCTAATGACCTCACCTTAACCTGATTTTCTGCAAAGACCCTATTTCCAAGAAAGGTCATATTCCCAGGTATGGGGCAGTGGGGTGGTGGTTAGAACTTCAACATCTTTTTTTCGGAACGGACACAATTCAACCCGTAACATCTCTCAGTGGGAGAACAATGATGGATTTTGTGTTGATTGGTAAAAATCAGCAGTTGGGCTGGTCAGTACTTCATTGAGAAAGACTAGTCTTCTGAAGCCTCACCCCTAACTAACCCCACCCATCATAGCAGATCATTTAATCACTCAATTTCTTTAGAGAGCAGTTGTCTGATAAAATACTATTGTGACCAGATGCACTACGAAAGGGGAAGGATGGTACAGGAGGGGTCCACTTATTCTCTTTAAAACACCAACCTTTGCCTTCTGCTTAAAGGAGAGGAATTCCTTCTCTTTATAACTTTAAGTTATTTAAGTTTTTTAAGGTCAAAATGTATTTTAAAGAAATGTACTTAAACTTGACTAGATATGCTGTGTTCAAAGCCACAATCCCCCATGAGCCGCTAAGAATCTGGAGGTTTCTACCTGTGGAATGCCTGTCCATCTCCTTCAGGGGTCTGCCTAAGTCCTAGCTGCCCTTAGAAGGGGCAGGGCTCTGAATGGGAATTGAGCAGAAGGTCCTTGTCTGTACATACTAGCCCTAGACTAAATTTAAATCCCCAGATCGTGGCTGCAATGTTCTAACAAGGAAGGCCTCACATATCCTGATGGTGCTTGAATGACAGCAACACTCTAGATAGATGCTGGAAAGCACAAAGGTGACTTGCAATGTGATTAAAAGGAAGGTTTTCAATGGAAGGGTTCAATGGAAGGCCAGACCTGAAAACAACAAAACAGGGCTGTTACTAGAATTCCAGAAGTCACCTTTGGAAATTCTAAAGAGAAATGACTGAGGCAAATTAAGAGGGGCTACTGCTCTGTAAACTGGGAATGAAACTTGAGGGTACCAGTGACTCTAAAAGTCCTAAGCCAAAAGTCTATGCAGTTTACATCAACGTTTGGTTCACGTTGTACTGGGGGGCATTTGCCAAGCAAAGTAGGATTTCACAACAGAAGAATTTGCTGTCCCAGAACATGTCTCTTGGGAGCCTGAGTGAGAACACTGGCCTTCCTGAGCCAGGGATTTGTTTAACAACAGTGATTCATAATTTCAACAACCAAAATGAATGTGGAAGCATGATGCGTGAAGACCCTGATTATGAGGGACAATCGTGCTGCCCTGTTCTCCCTGACCCCTCTTCAGGAGAGCCAGCTGTCCAGGGGAAAGGTATCACATCCCCCACATGCCACAAAAGTGCTCCTGCCCAGTGGCAGACCTATGCTCAACTTTCCTTGGGATGATTTTCTCATTAGATTAGAGAAAAGGCAGTTGTCAAAAAGCCATTTCACATCAGCGCTCCAAGAGGCTTTCTGAGTTTGTGCAAAGATTATTTGGGTATTTGAACTACTCTGATATAATGTTTTTGGGGCATTTCTGTTCCTCCATTTTCCCTTTGATAAGGGTGCTAGGTCGTGTTCTCTCTTCTGCTGGAGATGCGATTCCCGTCTGTCCTTATTCTGCCCAGGTGTGGTACGAGATTCTACCCCTATCTACTGGGTTGAACAGAAAATTAAAACGCCCTCTTGAATTCCAAGTGCCTTTTGTGGTTCAGGCTGTAAACACCATCAGCACCATCAGGCTCTCAGCATGAGTTAAATACCTCCAGAACTAATGGCTGTCGCAACTTCCCGCTGCCCCCAGAAAGGGTCATTGCATTTTAACTGCTGTGTCACCCTCCATGGCTGTTTGGGGGGTGCACGATGTAGGAGAAGGAGGCAGACAGCCTTTAAAATCCATCGGAGGTCAATGTATTCCATTATATACACAGTGCTTCACATTCAGTTTTAACCTTTGGTGAAATTTGCAGTGTTGGGATTTTTTATGCTAGAGTGGACGCAGGAAATCACAGGTGCAACTAATTTCAGCTTTGACTTACAATCACTGTGGGCCCCTTGAATTTTTATATGAAATTCTCTCTTTAGCTTGAATGTAACGTGTCAGAAGTCTGTAGCTTGTCTCTGTAATATACATTAATAGGTAATATTGATTTGTGGAAATTAATTACTAGAAAAATAGTTCTCAGCACTTAACTAGTGTTTGGGAAGATTCGAGAGCCCCCTTGTGGCTATAATCTTCCTTAACTGAAAATCAATGAAAAGCTTTTAGCTGGTTTTTTGTTGGATTTTTGTTGATGGGTCTTCCCCTCCCCACCTTTTTCTTTTGGTTGCAGTTGTTTGCTTGCTTTATGTGTATGCTTTGAATTGTTTTTCATTTAGATTAGCTCCAATATAACACGTCATTTCAAGAAAACACACAGAGATAGCAGCAGATGTCAGCAACAGGTGACCTTTTTTTCTGCTTATCACCAAGAGAAATAATCAACACAAAGGGGCATGTTTAGGGAAGTTCACTAAGAAGGGAAATTACAGTTGTGTTATTCTGTTGCTTAAGGGATGCGCCCCCTCCCAACACACCATTTTAATCATGTATTGATTGCACAAATGAAAAAGCCACCTCTTGTAGCCCTAAGCTACATTTACTTTGAAAGTCTTAAAGATTATTTTATCAGATTTACATATAGCCATGAAAAGTGGGATAGTGTCCCCATTTGAGTGTTTTAAAATCTCTAAGAAATGAATGTTGAAAGCTATTACCTCTGGAAGCTTCAATCATGCCTGAAGAAAAATATTTGCAACTTAAGGTCAGTGCTCCACACTTGAATTGATGAAGAGAACACCCAAGGCAAAGTTTAAACAGAACGAATTGATTTTTTTCTGGGAGACTTAAATTATCATGCATATATTTTTCTAAATGTCTGTCGTTGCTTTATTAATTAGGCAGAATTGCAGCTTCGGAGCCACTGCAGCTGAAAGATCCCATTGAATGTCCATGTGCTAAGCTGGGCTTCTGGAAGAAACTCATGCTAATTATCGTCAATAAGTGGATTTTGAAGAGAACCTGATTAGGGCTCTGCATTATTTCCAGCATAATTTGGTTTTCCCTAGATTAGTTTATGGACTGACACTGGCCTCTAGTCACAAATGAGTTACTAGCCCTGCTTGTTGTTCCTAGCATGGAGAAAAATATCGTGGGTGGGAGCTGAAGAACAAAAAGAGAAGCAAAAATGAAAGACAAAAGCCTTGGTGTTTGGGCCTGGATAAAATACATGAAAGTTAAAGATGGTATCTGTTTCCTATTTTGTCTTCAATGCACAGGCGCAATTAGCAAAAATCTTAGTTACAACACTTGGTTGGGAGTGAGAGAGGAGACTAGTGCACAGGTAATGCTAGCCAAGGTGAAGTGTTGAGCAGCAACCACTTTACTCTTTAGAAGCTGTGGAAAATTCCAAGCTCCCACACTATCCTTCTTGGTCTTTTCTTGATATAGAGCTTTTGCAATGTGCAAGTTCCTTTCAGAATATTCATAAAAGTCTACAAGGGTTGTATCAAAAGAACTCCACATCCATATTGAATAAACTCCCACTAGCCAAAAATTGGATAAATTGAGGATCAATAAGGATCATGACTACAGTGTGTTGAAACTTCTTAAGTATATTTAGATTCATGAGCTTATGGGATACTAAAACAAACAAACAGCAATAAAAATCCCCTTTGGGGGAGACTGTAAGAAAGCAACCCACTATTTTGAAAACTAGTAAGTAAAATGAATCAAACATTCATTTGCCTTTCCTATGTGAACTCTACCTCAGGATGCCAAATAGTTGATAAGGGAAAGTTTCTTTTTATAGAGGCATTCCAGCTAATAAATGAAAAAAGAAATGACAGAATAAGACTTTCACCATTTTGCAACCCCCTTCTGGATGAACATCAGTGGCCACTGCCATCAGAAAAAAAGAGACCCCAGACTTTATTTACCTCCAGACTGAAGTCTGGAACACTACCTACTTAGAAATGAGTGTATTATTTAAGAATGATTCTTCCATAATCAAAAAACATACCAGAAGGCATATCCATATTCTGGCATTTCTGGCTCATTCTCCTGGGTCTCCTTTTTCAGTTGATTTCAAAGAAAAAAATGAGCTAATATCAGTGAAACCTCCCAACTTGTAGAATAAAGCGTTAATTTTGTGTTTTCTTTCTAATTCTTAACTATGAGCAAAATAAGACGGTGTTGGGTAGTCAATTGATGACTCAGCACCTTAAGGTCAGGCCACGCAGTGTACCATTATATCATAAGCACCTCGCATAGTGTTTCTCATGAGACACAGAACCAACACGTGTATTTAAACAAGCAAACTAAATGAGCACAGGAGTTGAAGTAAGAAAAAAAGAAGTCCCAGCTCTACTACTTTTTACTTGTTGACCTTAAGAAAATCCTTGTATATGGCCAGGCACAGTGGTTCACACCTGTAACCCCAGCACTTTGGGAGGCTGAGGTCGGTGGATCACCTGAGGTCAGGAGTTTGAGACCAGTCTGTCACATGGTGACAGACCAGTCAGTCACATGGTGAAACCCCCATCTCTACTAAAAATACAAAAATTAGCCAGGCATGGTGGCAGACGCCTGTAATCCCAGGTACTTGGGAGGCTGAGACAGGTGAATCATTTGAACCTGGGAGGCAGAGTTTGCTGTGAGCCGAGATCGTGCCACTGCACTCCAGCCTGGGCAATAGAGTGAGACTCTGTCTCAAAAAATAAAAAAAAAAAAGAAAAATGCTTGGATATCTCTGAGCATCAGTTTTCTCATCTGTAAAAGTGGACGAAGAATCTTTCCTTTGCTGTCTCTGATATAATCTTGTTATATCAGAGGATCAAGAAGGATCAAATGAAATAATGGATGAAGAAAGTAGTTTGAAAACTTAAAAAAGTTAGACAAATAAAAATTTGCTTTAGGTTGTTTTTTAAATATTCATTAATACATCTTGTTTAATATTTGAAATTTCACTCTATTTGGACAGTTTATGAGGCTCTAATAATCATGGAGAAGGGAGAACGCTGAAGTGCGGAGTGTGTATATAAATGGTGAGGCTCTAATAATCTTGGAGTTTATGAGGCTCTAATAATCATGGAGAAGGGAGAACGTTGAAGTGCGGAGTGTGTATATAAATGGTGAGGATCTGCTAGGTATCAGCTACTGCCGGGCCCTTTATATTCACTTCTTATTCAATAATTCCCACAACCCTATGAAGTAAGTACTGATACTTCAGCTGTTTAGGTGAGGAAACTAAGGCTCCCAGAGGTCAAATAAGCTAACCAAGTCACGCTGAAAGCGAGGTGGGTTTAACGTTGGAACTCGAATCTGTCTGACTTCAAACCTATTTTCTTTTCACTCCATATAAAGTGAAGTTCCCAACATTCTTGAAATTATGCACTCATGCTTTGTCCAAATGAGCACAGTTTGACTTGTACTTTTCTTAAATCTCTTCCTGAATACAGGCTTTGGGACAGCCAACTTCAGGATTCAGCAACCTTCTCTGAACACTTTTCTGAGTCTTCATAGCATTGTATTCAAGATCTGTTTTAAGGCTGAAAAGAGCATTATGGCATGGAATGAGCTTTGGCTTTATTTCAATTCTCTTGCATAGCTATTTTCAGCCTTTATTGTTCTGACATTACTACAGCTTTTGGCTTCTAGATTCTTTAGGTGTGTTAAAAATGAATGCAACTGCAATAATTCTCCCTTGTCTCTAATGCCCCTTCCTCAAGTGTAAATTTGTTACAGCTTTGTGGGTGTGCTGGGCTCAGGAAAACTGTTTCTATAGCTTCTTCTAAGCTGTATATATTCAGAGCATCCTCTGGATCCATGCACTCCTGTGCTAAAGTAGAACAGAGGCCCTGTGTTCCTTCTGCTTCCTGTCCATCCCTGGCCTTGCAAGATGCTGCTTCTCTCTCATCTCCTGCTGTCTCCCTGCAGGTAGAAACAAATCCCTCACCCTGTGATGTTCATTTTGCATCTAGAGCTTTGAGTTCAACAAAGCCTGGGCCACTGCATCATTAAGTCATAAACTGAATTTCCAAGACAGCCTGATTTTTACAAGATGATGGAAGAAACTGCCAAAACTATTATCACTCTGTGAATTACAAACATCATCTAAAAGTAGTACGTGACTCAAAGGGTTGTTTTGATGACTAAGTTGGTGAACACAGACACAGCACTTAGAAATGTACTTGGACATAGTATGGATTCAATAAATGTTGGCCACTATTATTGTTATTCATATCAGTTTTTCACTGCACATGGAACATTCCATATTTTGAGTTAGCATTCCTCTTAATCATTATTGAGGAGATGACCTCAGAGACAATCTTTGTTTGAGACTTGGGAAGGAATGGAATCAGATTGGAATCTCACAAGTATTTTTGTTTAATATGCCAAAATGGTTACCCAGTCCTGATAGCAGAGTGAACAAAAAATCCTAAAACAGAAGTATCCTTCATATAACAGAATGGCAAAACCTAGACAGAGGGGATTAAAAAAATATATATTCTTGTGATGTTTTTGGAAAATATGCATCAGAGCTGTCAAATATAGATTCTAAATATTGGCACACATGCCTTGCTCTTAAATATTCTGATTTACTTCTTTTCCTGTCCAAATTGGCTGGCACTGAGCAATTACAACGGAGACACCTCATGGTTTCTACCTGTGTAATTCTCACATTCCCTAAAAGCAGTGCCTGAGAAATTAGCTAAGACGAGAGCATGGCTGAGCACGGAGGGCCTGATAACACAATCTGAGTGTACTATCTGGTGTTCTGCTTTGCCCGGCTGGGATTAGAGCTGCCAGTGAGACTGAATTGGGCCTTATCTCACTCCAAGGCGGCTCCAGGCTTCAGGTGGATACCCGCATGCATAAACCACAGCTTTGCAGAGAGCCTTGAGACATCCTCATGCCCAAATCCCAGTGATGCAGCGCAAAGCAGGGCGCCTCTGAACCAAATAATCACGGAAGTCCCTGAATAATGAATGAGAGCAGGACCCTCCCTGGCACATTTGAAACTGTACTGGGAGGAACTGTACTCAGCAAGATAGCAAAAACTAGCCCCTAGAACATGCATTCCCTGAAATTTATTCTTGCAGCAGCCACTTGGGGGAAAGTGAAAGCAAATGTGACAACCACCCGAAAATCATGGCATTTTAGTGAGTTCGATGCTCACAGGTTTCCTGTCAATATAAGGCAGCGACGTGACAAGATTTGAAATTTCCTCTTATTGATAAATACCATCTCTCCCTCTAGGGAAGCAGGGGGTTGACTGATCATCATTAAGGAATGACCTGTATGATCGAGAAGCCTCTTCTTTGATGCTTTTGTTTGGTTTGTTTTGTATAATATGTGTCTTCCCATAATTAAAGTTAGCTGACACCCAGCCATTGCATACAAACTACATCTCAAGAGGTTGTTTCTTTGAGGACTGCCAATGAATATAATCGGGTGAGGGACCTCCATCTTTCTGATCCAGATGTTGGCTTTAATATAGCTGCAGTGCTGATGAGTGGGATTTGATTCCACAAATGTTTAGTCTAATTTGACATTCCAGCTGTTCATTAAGTGGAAAATAAACAATCTCTTTGGAAAGTTGTTTCCCTAACATCATGTCACAAGCTCTAACCAGACTGTCCTGGAATGGCAGTCTCAGACCAAGGTTTCACTCAGAGCACCTTCCTCTTCCAGCCAGGAGGGAGCAGCACCTGTCTCCAGCACCCTCTTGGCTCCCAGGCAGCCATGCTCTCTGTGCCCCATGATGTCAGGCCTCATGGAATAGTCAAGTCCTCTCTGGCTTTGACTGTGCCTGGATACTATTGGCAAAAACCATATTGAGTCATTTTGACAATGAAACAGGAGGGATTCTCTTGACTTAGGAATTCTACTCCTAGGAATTTATTCTCTGCACAGATATTCATGGCTTAGAATGTTCATCAGATTCTTGTTTAAAATACACCACCAAAATAGAATGTCCCTAGTTGTCCCAAACTGGAGATTGGCCATACAAATTATGACACATCCATAAATGGAATATTATGCTCTTCTGGAAGAACATTGTATTCTTATGAAAGAATATTAAATAAAATGGAAAAACATTCACCGTCTTTTTAAGTTAAAAACATGTTATAAATATGTTGTGCATTATGAATTCAAAATGTAAACATATTTATAACTTTAAATAATAATCAAATATATATATATTTAACTGTGCCTATGTATGAATAAAGTGATTATAGGTAATTTTTATTTTCTTCTTTTTTTTTCTTTGAGATGGAGTCTCACTCTGGTGTCCAGGCTGGAGTGCAGTGGTGCAATCTCGGCTCACTGCAACCTCCGCCTCCCATGTTCAAGCAATTCTCCTACCTCAGCCTCCCAAGTAGCTGGGATTACAGTCGCATGCCACCATGCCAGGCTACTTTTTGTATTTTTAGTAGAGATAGGGTTTCGCCATGTTGGCCAGACTGGTTTTGAACTGACCTCAAGTGATCCTCCTGCCTCAGTCTCCCAAAGTGCTGGGATTACAGGTGCAAGCCACAGCACCCAGTCTATTTTCTTCTTTTTTACTGTTCTGCAGTTCCCACATTTTCCATAATGGTAATACATTATTGCGTATCCAAGTGGGGGAAATAATAATTTTTAAAAAAGCAAGAACAACTAAATCTAAACTATTCTTCCTTTAAAGTTATCAGATGCATATGTGAGGAAAGCCACCCGAGCCTCTCCCCTCTTGAGGGAAGCCCTGTGGGCACTTCTATCCCCTCATCTTACCTATTGAAGAGAGTCAAGATACATGGGTAGTAAGCAAAATAAAAATGCCTGAGCCCAAAGGGTCTGACTGCCTTCTAAGTCAGCATGAGGGAGAAGGTAATGGCAGCTTGGTGCCGTGCGACGCACATGGCTTCTGTGTGAGGTAAGAGAACCACATGCACGCATCTCCATTTCCTCCTCCTCATGTTGCGGACACCCTCGGAACCAATCGCTGTGACACACACCACTGTCAGCTTCCTAAAGCTCTTTATTATGATACTTCGCAATTCTAGTCTCCAACTTCCCACTGGCTTAGAACATCATTCTTAACTTCCTTAATTTGTTCTCAAGACTTGAATCAAAGGCCTTTTCGTAGCTGTGTCAAAGGGCAGTCTGATTGCTAAGCCTTAACTGCCGCAATACCCCTATCAAATACTGTGCAGGGCAGACAATACTCTAGTGAGATAATGAAGAATGAGTAGCTCATGATGAGTGTGCAGCAACAAAGAAAGCCAAGAAATTAATTCCATTCTGAACATTTGGAAACTGACTCCTGCACACAGCAGAGCAGGGCAGAGGGAGCTAAGCTTCACTTTTTTAAAATGCACACATCAGCTTATGTTTAAGATGTGGTGGTCGCCTGTCCATGCTCCATGGAGAGGATCAAGATCCTCACAAGATCTAAGAATCTCTGAAAGAGTGGCTGATAAATGCTATATATTTATTCACTCCACAAACATTGAACAACTGAACATCCATGATGTATAAGGTCATGCATTATACATCCTGGGGAATCAAAGGTGAGTCAGGCAAGGTTCCCCCTCTCAAGTTGTGTAAAGCCTGTATAAGTCAGACTGGTCGCTAGAATAAAGATAGTGCATGAGGGGATCTCTGGTTTTGTGGGGCAATGGGGGAGAAATCCCTTCCACGGAGGACGTGAGAGCAGGCTGGGTGGAGGAGTTCCTACCTGATCTGGTTTTTATGAATGCATAAAACTGTGGAGTGTGGAGCTATTAATTTTGCTGCTTTGCTTTATGAGGGTTAAGCTGGTGGTGGAAGGAATCTATTTAATAAACTGTTGTGAACCTAGCATTATGAAGTTCTTTCAAGTGTATTCTCTTTGGATAGGCAAGTCATAGCCTCATAAACATGAGTTTGTTTTAATCACCACCAGCAAAGTGATTCCAGGAACTTATACTCTTCATTCTACCATTTGGATGAAGATACTAGCTCTGCCTTTTATCTACTGCAGTATTGAAAAGGAAGGATTTGCTAGAAGGAAAGAAAGAAACAGAAAAGAGGAAAAAGTAGCATAGAGAAAGCTGACAACAGAAAGCCGGGGAGAGCAGTGGCAGGCGGGTGCATGGCATTTCCTGAATCTGTCCTGGATTCTTTCTCCTCAACACCCACAGTTCTGGGGTTGTCTCTGCTGGTCTCTTACCATGGCTGCTGAATGTCTCCTGTGATCTCTACCTACTTTAGGTAGAGATCTTTAATACTGTTTAATACTTTAATACTGTTGCTGAATGAGTCTTTCTAAATTAACACTTTCAATTTCAGCAATTCACAATCACATTCAGAGCCTACGGCAATTGGGTCTCAACATCCTGCTCCAGTCTATGCCCTCCTTCCATTCATTGACTCATTAAATGAACGTTTAGTGAAACACACAACATGAGCTTCCTGGTCAAGTCTCAGTACTCTGCTAGGAACATTCTTGAAGAGCTCTCTTAAATATTCTTTGTCCACTCCTGACCTCTGTAACTTGCTAATGAATGCATTTTTCTACTCTACCACACCTGTGCAGTAAGACTTGAGGGCATTTTCTTCTTTTTTTATGTTCTCAACATTTCCTGAAGCAGTGCCTTACACATAGCGAACCCTCAATAAGCATGTGTTAATTAAATGACTTGCTAATTAAAGAAGAGAACAAATTATACAATAAACTGCTCAGTGAAACATAGGTTCTTGAAACAGTAGGGAAGAAAACCAGTAAGTTTAATTTTAAAAATAAATAAATAAACCTCATTGTTACTAATTACTTGTTGTATAAAATATTCTCCTTTTTGCAGTGAGTCTGTGTTGACTATTTCACTCCATATCACCTACCATCACAATCAAATGACAAGTGCATTAGAAGATTATATATTTTTTACTCCTTGCACACATTTTAGGCATTTTAAAAGGTATCAGTTTAGTTTTAGGAGAGGAAAGAAAGGCATATTTATCAAAGGCAATATTAGACTTAGTTATTAAAATATACTTATTTCATGTAGTGATAATGTTCTTTTACATAGCAATTTTTTTTTAATATCTGCTGTGAGTAGGCCTCTGTAGTAGGTGCTGGGACTTTTGCTAGGGATCTGAGGCCTAAGGTAAGGTTATCAAAAAGGACTTTGGAGGGCAGACATGACCAAGACTGTTACATTTAAGTTAAAAGTGCAGTAAGTGATGCAGTAAACTCTATAGGCTGGAAAGTCAAGGAAGATGGATGTGAGCCTTGAGCTGGTCCAGGGAAGATATGCAGGATACCAAAGAGCAAAGAAAGGGAAAGGCTTTCAACGTGAGAGAAGGCAATCATACCTTTGTGTTGTATTTAGGATTTTTTAACGTGATCGCCTTACAGCAGAACAAGATACTAAAAGTGGTTTGAAACCAGTTATGGAAATGTGTGTATTCCATTTGGTGTAACTTCAAGTAAGCCTTGATGGCCTATATTATAATTATCAGTTAAAATGATTATTGACTTAACCTCATTCCCTAATCTTTCTCAGTACACAAGTGTTTGCCATCATAACCCTCATGGCCACAGAACAGCAGTTCTAAAGAGCTCCAATTGCTTTACAGACATTCTTAAATGAATTCACCCAAGCCCTCAATGAAGTAGGTGACAAATGGAAGATCTGCTGACAGGATGCTGTCACCATGGCAAACAAAAAGCTATCTGTCTGAGGGACTGTTCTGGCCCAGGGAGATTGGTGTAACATTCTCTTAAGTTGGTAGTTAGCATTTCTTTCACTTTACCAAAATCACGGGGTGCCTAAGATCTCCTTGAGGACATGGAATATTAGTCTTTGAGTCCCTGTTGCCTAGTCCCAGTGTTTGGCAAATAGATGGGGCTTAATTAAAGTTTGGAGAATTAAAAAATGAATGAACAGACAGATTGAAGGTGGGGGCATAGGAGTTTGCTTATTTATTGTTTCACTATGTGGGAAGAGCTTAGGTTAACTGTAACGGAAAATATACAAAGAAGTGATACTGTCTATGCATATGAGATGGAATTAAACGGAACAGAAGGTTCTTCAACCCTATTGGTTTATTATTACTTCTAACTTTCTATTTAGTCTGCTTTGCAGGATTGAAACAAACAAAATGTACATGAGAATATGTCTGTCTAAAGTGATTTCCAGATGCTTTTAGCCACTCAGATTCAGAACCATAAGATAGGATGACTTTATACTTCATCAATAAATATATTCCACTAGGACATTTCTATGTTTTGATGTCAGAGCAGAGGTAGTTTCAAGTTGTACCCCCTTGGCTGATAGAACTCCAAGACATAATTTAGGACTTATTTTACTCATGTAAATATCATCCTACAATTTGGCTAGTCAATGTTTGATGCAGTGTTAAACTGAATAAAGTTAAATTTGGAACCAAAACCATTTTAAGCCTAAACCAGTTTCAGTCAGCTTTAAGATTATGTGGAATGAAGATTTCCAGTGGAATGATGGTACTGGAAGGTCCATGGCCAATTTTCTCAACTGAGACAAAAGCCTGAAACATGAACAAGTCCCAAAATAGGACTAAAGCAGGATTAATAATGGCATGCCATATGATATTCAACTACAGTAATATCCACTCTGCACACAACTTTATCATCAGTACTTCCTCTTGGAGCCCAGAAGCTGTGTCAGTCACTTTCTGCTTTCCCTGCTGACCTTTTGGGAAATTTTCTGACACTGATGGAATTGTCATTCTGTCACAGTGAAAGACAACAGTCATGGAAAATGGTGATTGGCAAAAGCAAGAGCTCAGACTGTTCTGTCCTTGGCAGTTTCAATAAATTTCACCTCCTGATTTAAAGGAAAATGAATGTTACTTAAAGATTTTGAAGTTTCTTTAGCACATTTCAAAACTGCCTGGCTTACCTAGTGGTAAGGCTAGACAGTCAAGATAACAGAATATAGAAAATGTATAGTTTTAAATATTGCAGCTGATCAATTCCTTTTGACAAGTAGAATAACATTGTACCCTTACATTTCTCATTTTTTAGAATGTTGCTTTAAGTTGGTGTGTATTTTTTTTTAATTCAGTTTAGCTTGGACAAGTTAAACACATACTAGGTTGAGTTTTTCCTACAAAATAGGAGGTTTTCTTTCTTATAATATAGTGACTATTTTTTAAGTAAATCTGACCAGATTAATCCAAGTTCTATAACTTACTACCAAGATAATCTTGGGCAGCTTATTTTATCTCCCCAAATCCTTAGTTTATTCAACGTTAAGTTAAATAAAAATAAATCAAAATATGCACACATCTCATAGGATTCTGGAATGGGTTAGACTCTTACTTAGTGCCATGCCTGGCACTTCACAAGTTTGCTACACCAAGGGTCTTGGGCACCAGACTATAGGTAAAGCATTTGACATCCAAGTGTTTCAGTGAGTTTATCTAAATAAAAAATTTGCTGTTACAATTTAAAACAAAATTAGAAAATTTCTGCCCCAAGATCTTGAAAAAAGTATTTTTTTCTAAATGGTATAGGAAGTGATCAGTTAGTCTTGAATGAATAAAGTATCTCCTTTAAATCTAAGTCTGCAATAATTTATTCTTTGCCTCTAAAATTATTAGGCATCACTAGAGGCTGAGTTTCCTTTCTTGGGAATTAGGAATGTGTTCTTTTCCATTGATTTAGCTTCTCTACTGAGCTTCTTATTCTCTCTGTTGACTCTTAGTTCCCAGAAACACTCAAAATATTGCATCATTTTCTTTTTCCTTTTCTCTCTTAACCATTCCTTTGAAATCAATGTTAAATTTTCTTACCAAAGCCAATTTTCAGAGTGTGGTGGCAAAGCAGTTCTCTTCTGCTTCAAACCTGTCCTGATGTGATAACATCAACCTTTAAGAAGTGGAAATGAATGTTTTGAGAAGAAGGGGGTAAGAGCAACTTCCCAACTGCTCCAACTTTTTTTTTTCAATTTTTCTTTTTTTTTTAATTTTATTTTAAGTTCAGCAGTACATGTGCAGGTTTGTTACACAGGTAAACTTGTATCATGGGTGTTTGTTGTACAGATTATTTCATCACCCAGGTATTAAGCCTAGTACCCATTAGTAATTTTTCCTGATCCTCTCCCTCCTCGCACCCCCCAACTTCTGATAGGCCCCAGTGTCTGTTGTTCCCGTCTATGTGTCCATGTGTTCTCATCATTTAGCTCCTACTTATAAGTGAGAACATGCAGTATTTGGTTTTCTGTGTCATGTTAACTTGCTAAGGATAATGGCCTCCAACTCTATCCATGTCCAAGCAAAGGACATGATCTCATTCTTTTTTATGGATGCATAGTATTCCATTGTGTATATATACCACATTTTCTTTATCCAGTCTATCATTGATGATGATCATCATTGATGAGCATTTAGGTTGATTCCATGTCTTTGCTATCACGAATAGTGTTGCAAAGAACATACATGTGCATGTGTCTATATAATAGAACAATTTATATTCATTTGGCTTTATAACCGATAATGAGATTGATGGATCAAATGATAGTTCTGTCTTTAGGTCTTTGAGGAATCAGACATCCTTTGATTTAAATATACAGGAAGTCTCTGATTTATGAGGGCTTGGCTTGCTATTTTTAAACTTTACAATAATGAGAATACCATAGGCATTCAGTAGAAACCATACTTTGAGTACCCATACAACCATTCTGTTTTTTTTTTCATTTTCATTAAGATATTTAATAAACATATGAGATATTCAACACTTTTTTATAAAATGGGCTTTATGTTAGATAAATATGCCCAATTGTTGACTAATACAAGTATTCCAAGCACGTTTAAGTTTGGCTAGGCTAAGCTATGATGTTTGGTAGATTAAGTGTACTCAATGCACTTTCAACTTAGGGTGTTTTCGAATTACAGTGGGTTTATTGAAATGTAACCCCATCATAACTCAAAGAGTATCTATAGTCAGGCACACCACCATTTATCTTTAAGTACAAATGCATGCCCTAACAACATACAGGAATGATACAGGGGAGGAATATCTACAACTGCTCCCTTCTTTGCTAACACAGATATTTGAAAAACTATGACAATGCAGTGGTAATCAAAAGTCATTCCTCAATAGACTCCTACTGTCTATCTATCTTATATATCTGTGTATCTATATACATGTATTTATTTTATCATCAAGTTTCTTTGAAGAGCAGACACTGAGTTGAATCAAGAAAAATGACCTGGTTTTGTTCCAGCCCTCTGGACGCCAGGTTGAGGACAGGCATGCTGGGTAATAACTGTTTTCCACTGAGTACATGCTAGGTCACATTGAAGCCTACCTGGCAGCACCAGCCTTGGTTCCTGGGCTCTCTATTGCACCAAGACATTTGTACAGGTGTTAGGGCAGGCCTGGTGTTCTTTTCAGAATATTGAGGGGCTAATTTTTTCTCCCTAGGGGAGCTCTGAGTTACTATGATCTACCCTATATTTCTGGAGCTGGCCCCCCTCAACGAGCCAAGGACTGAACTAAAATTGAATTGGAATCAGACTGGCTTGTGCTAAAGGACAAAAGGCTGCAGTGGGATGTGAGAGTTGGAAGACAGCTTGCGGGCCTGCTCCGCAATGGGGTCCTTTCTATGGCTTCCCTGACAAATGGACTTCCAGACTCTGCTGGAAAGATGGGGTTGGGGTGGGCAGCCCATTCCATTGGTAGGCTTCTCAAATCATGGAAAGGATTGTCCTTATTTTAAACCAGTATTTACTTTCCTCTAATGCCTGCTGTTTCTCTTTCATTTCTCAACTTCTCCATCTCCCTTCCTGCCTCTTAACACTCCCCTTGTCCTTTTAAACCACAGATGTCCTGATCTCTATGTGATTCTTCTAAAGATAACCATTTAATAATGGGTTTATTTTCAGTAATCCATTAGGTGGAATTAGATAAGATCTGTGACTGTAATAACCACAGAACCTGAAAATTAATAGGTGGTCAATACATAGAAATTACAATGTAAATACCAATATGATGTACAGGAAAGCATGGGAGCTTTGAAATCAAATAGGCCTAACTTAGACTGCAGGTCAGGTATTAACTTGCTCCAGTGTCACTTTTCTGAACCTCTGTGGCTTCAGCTTTTATTTTAAAAAGTAACAATAAAACCCATTTTACAAAGTTGTCTTGAGGATCATCTGTGCAAAGCATCCATAAAGCATGTAGCACAGTTCCTAACACATTGTAGGCACCCAGTAAATCCTAGTCTCCACACCCAACGCATCCTTCCTCAACCAACCTACCTCATAATCCCAAGTAGCAGTATAAAGAGATTAAGGAGGCCAGCAGGCACGCTGGCTCATGCCTGTAATCCCAGCACTTTGGGAGGCCAAGGCAGGTGGATCAGTTGAGGTCAGGAGTTCAAGACTAGCCTGGCCAACATGATGAAACCCCATCTCTATTAAAAATACAAAAATGAGCTGGGTATGGTGGCAGGTGCCTGTAATCCCAGCTATTCAGGAGGCTGAGGCAGGAGAATCGCTTGAACCCGGGAGGCAGAGGTTGCGGTGAGCTGAGATTGTGCCACTGCACTCCAGCCTGGGTGACAGAGCAAGACTCCCTCTCAAAAAAAAAAAAAAAAAAAAAAAAAACAGAGATTAAGGAGAATACATGTTCAACTTTGTTCTTTCTAGTCCCATGTCCTTGGATAAATCACTTCACCTCCTTCATGTAACCCTATCGTATAGAACCCCATCTACCAAAAAGGTTTGCTGTAAGGATCAAATGAAACAGCAGATGGGTAATAACTTAAAAATCATGGTGTTTTCTCTAAATGTAAGGTATTGTTATTGCCAGCAGTAATTTATCAGTGAATAATTGCTGAACGAATGAATGAATGAACTATCTATTCTTTCCACCCCATGCTTCCCCACACTGGAGCAAGGAGGAAAAGCCCAACAAACTCAGTATTGAAAATTGGTACATACGTCTTTATGGAAACATATGCACATGCATCAATAGACACAAATGCAGGCGAATACTCTCACATGAACATTTGGCAAAGAGTCCCTTGACTCAATGCCGATGTAAAATTATAAAAATTTAGATACCTCCTGTTAGAGTTGTCAACTACTGATGCTCTTCCTCTAATTTCTTCTAGGAATTTCTATTACATCACAATGTTACGGGATCCAGTGTCACGTTACCTGAGCGAGTGGAAACATGTCCAGAGAGGGGCCACTTGGAAAACCTCTCTTCATATGTGTGATGGAAGAAGCCCCACCCCAGATGAGCTGCCTACCTGCTACCCTGGGGATGACTGGTCTGGGGTCAGCTTGCGGGAGTTTATGGATTGCACCTACAACCTGGCTAACAATCGCCAGGTGCGCATGCTGGCTGACCTCAGCCTGGTGGGCTGCTATAACTTGACTTTCATGAACGAGAGTGAAAGAAACACCATCCTGTTGCAGAGTGCAAAGAACAACCTGAAGAACATGGCCTTCTTTGGGCTCACTGAGTTCCAGAGGAAGACACAGTTTCTCTTTGAGAGAACATTCAACCTCAAGTTCATCTCCCCCTTCACACAGTTCAACATCACGCGGGCTTCTAACGTGGAGATCAACGAGGGTGCCCGCCAACGCATTGAGGATCTAAACTTCCTGGACATGCAGCTTTACGAGTATGCAAAAGATCTCTTCCAGCAGCGCTACCACCACACCAAGCAGCTAGAGCACCAGAGGGACCGCCAGAAGCGGCGGGAGGAGCGGAGGCTGCAGCGAGAGCACAGGGACCACCAGTGGCCCAAAGAAGATGGGGCTGCAGAAGGGACTGTCACCGAGGACTACAACAGCCAGGTGGTGAGATGGTGACCTCCTGCCCTCTCCTCTCTCAGGAGGGGGAGGGTGAGCAGGCACATTGACTTTCTGTTGAGGTACCTTGGAGAAGCTGAGCCATTCTGAGGACATCTGGCTGTGTGTGCTTGATTTGGACATCTTCTTCCTTCTTTGTCTTCATTTTTATCCAGCTGGAGATTATCCGTCTTGTTCTTTTTTTTCTTGACATTTTGCAATTGGTGATATTAAGTAGGGTAGGAGTGCATCCCATATAGGCCATTTTAGAAGGCCAAGGAGAGCCACACCGAAAAAGGAGACAGTTCCTGTGATCTCCTTTGCAGGAGCATAGAATAGTTTGGGTACCAGGAACCCACAGAGGCACACATGAAAAGCCAAATTATGGCTTGGATGTTCTGCTGAAACTGGTCTATGTCATACTGTCTCCTGTTATGAGAATATCAGTTGGTATAAAGAGAGAGAAAGAGAAAAACATTTCAGCCCTTAGATGAGGTCTTACACCAACCCCCACTTGGCTGTTGGCTGTCATCTTGAACTCTATTTGAATGTGACTTAAATCACAAGTAACGTGTTTTGTTGTTGCAGTTGTTTTGAAACAAAATTATCCTATTATTGACCATTGCTAGAGACCCACATCCTACAAAATCCTGACACCATAACCTTAAGCCATGCCTTTCCTTCCATCTTTTAGGGAACGGGGAGTGGATCCAGGACAGGGGAGGTTGTAACCCCTGAGAAATGAACATTGGTAGGAGCATTTAAGAGAAAACTTGCTTATTTGCTAATGCCTAAAGGGGTCTCACTTTACCAATTGTTACTTTCAATGTGAGGAATGAATGATAAATTAAGAGAAAAAAATATCAGGAAGGTCAATATATGCCTAACATTTCTAAACTGGCCACATAACCTTAGATTTTTAAAGGAATATTTCAGAGTTTAATCTTTTTGGAGAAGTTATGTTCTTTAATCGGGTACTACCAGTCTTGAAATTTTGCCACCACAGAAAGAAAGATGTTTTTAAAAGCTTGGCCCAAAGAATAGGAACTTAGCTAGCATGTATACAAAATATATTTGAGGTTACTAAATGAATAAAAACTCGGAATTAGGCCAGGAGACATGGAATACCATTCATGGGATGGTTATCACAGGAGTTTAGAAAGACTCTGCCTCCCAGCATCTTGAATATCTCCAGCCTGTTCACTGTTTTCTTCCTACATGATCTTTACCTGTTGTTAGACTGTGGCCACAGCCAGTAAATCAGGCCAGAGTGTCTCAAACTGGACAAGAAATGTGCTGCATTGCCGAGTTCTTATTTTCACCTTTTCATAATCCCAACTACAATAACAAGAATTTTATTGACTAATAAGGGAATATGTATGGAAGAAGGAAGAGAAAGCCTTTGTCTAGCATTTATTAGGAGGATCAGAGTGAGTGGGAAGTTTCACAACGGATTGATCTGATCAATCCCTTCAAGGAGCTGAAGGCAAAATGTGTAAAACCCCTAAATCAGATTGAAAAGCCTATTTCATTGATATCCAACATGTTTGATGTTTAAGCTAGCTTTACCTAAGCCACTTCTCAGCCTCCAGAATACTCTCTCTGGGGTTGTGAGTCAGTCAGCCCACAAGCATTCACAGAGTGCTTACCTGCCCCGAGGGAAGTCCAGCAGCTCCACCAGATAGAGATCTGGAGATGCTTCTCTCACTGTGCTTGGCTTCATCTGGGGTGCAAGGGAAGGCATTATCGGGTGGCTCCCTTGCTCCAGGAACTGAACGAGGCCCTTTTCATACCTTAAATATATTCTGCACAACAAATGGGTATTGTTAGTCTCCATTTCATAGATGAAAATAGTGAAGCCCACAGAAAATAAGTAGCTCCTCCACAGGTTGTAAGCTAGGTCTAGCTGACTGCAAAGGTCAAGTTCTCTTTACTCCGTCACCATATCCATATGGAATAAGGGCTCGTCCTACCTAAAGCTTCCTGCCAATAATGCAAGAAGCCAGCTGCAATTTCCCAGAAGCATTTGTCTCTAACCCATGTGGGTAGCCCGACCATGACAGCACCACGCTAACAGTGACCCAGAGCCATACTGCCTTGGGTCAGTCCAGCCCCCTCCACATCACTGAGCCATCAATGAGCTGAGAGATCAATGACTTTTTAGGCAGCTGTGTTTTTTAAGCCATATACAAGAGTAAGTTAAAAGGGGCCAAGTAAATGTTGCTTGTTATTTGGTAGAGATTAGGCTCACAAAATATTTCTCCATTTCCAGTGATTTGTTCCTAAGGTAGAAGGGAAGGAGGATTGCAGCTGGGATTAATGTTCGTCTCTCTCTCTCTCTCTCTCTAGCTTCTCATCTCATTGTTAGGATCTAATGTTCTGCCTAGAATAGCAGGACTGCAAATTATCCTTCTGCCTGCCCCTGTGACACACACACACACACACACACACACACACAAACAATCCAGTGTTTTGTCATGTGGAAAATCAAAACAAGTTAGAAAGCATTCAGATTGTTTCTTTTAAACTCACTTTAAAATTTTGGCAAGGAATTCATGCATAACTGAGACTTGGAGGCAGCCCCTGCTCACTTCACGCTGTTCCTTAGGCACCTCGGGATTGGTATCAAAGGCTTCCACTGCCTTCTGCTGAAGGCATGATGTATGCGGCTCCACTTGAGACCAGGTATCAGGATGTTCAGAGGGAGCCAGCTCTTTATGTTGGCCCCAGGCCAGTACTAAGCAAATTAAAAAGACCGACATGGGCTTCCTCCCTCATATCATTTCATTCTAAAGCAGCAAGCTTGTCATACCCATGGGGTCCTATGTTGATAGAAATGGAGAGGTAGGGATACAGTTTATTCTCCAAAAATGGACTGCCCACTTCCATGCTGAGTGATGCTCAGGGAAGTGATGCCCGCAGAAGGCGTCTGGGCCTAAGGATCCATGGAAGTCAGGAGCATTAAATCCCAAACCAAATCAACTCCAGATATATCAGTGTCAAAAGCCCAAGAAAAGACAAAAAAGAAAAAAACAATCCCCAGGGGTTCTATGACCCTATTGACTCCTACAGTTCTTTCCCTTCTCTTGGCAATGGAAGCTCCAGTACCCAGATTGGAGATTAGGATGAGACAACTTTGTGTATATGTGCACGTGTGTGGTGTGTGTGTGTTTTATTAAGGACTAAGATACACACTTATCTATTCTGTCTCCTTCTAGCTTTTAGGCAGCCTACTCTTGGAAACTGGAGGAAACTGCCCTGAGAATTATTAGAATGCTAATAATAGTAATTGGTAACATTAACAATCAGTGTTAGACAACAGTGAGGCATATCATGTGTTTTTATTAAAAATGATAAAGATGTGTTTCTTCTCATCTAAAGGAGGTAACTTTGTGATAATTAGTTTGATTAAAAGTTTGAAGTATGAGGACTCCTTGTTATGCCTTTAAGGTAATTTTTAAAAAAAATCTGAGTAGAGATAGTACTAATATTGGCAAGAAGGTCCCCAGGATAGACCTAGCAAGGAGATAAGAATAGATCATTAAAAAATAAATATAAATGGATTGGATAGAATTCCCATTCAGCTGTTTTAACACAGAAATTCAAAATAGTGACTTAACATGGAAGCTATTTCTCTCTTACTTAAAGGCAAACTGGTTTTACAGCTCTGGTGTGTGATGTTACCAGACGCCTAGGCCCTCTCCTGTTGCTCTGTCATCCTAATGTGCTGCATCCACCTCATGGACCAAGATGGCTGCCACAGCTCCTGCCATCACATTTACATTTAAGATAGTAGAGAGGAAGTGGAGGGAAGTTGCACATATTGCTTCCAGTCACATCTCATGGGTTAAAACCTAGACATTTGCCACATCTAGCTGCAAAGAAGGCTAGGGAATGTCTTTATTATTGATTGTCATGTGCCTTGATAAGCATAGGAGGTTCTGTTATTAAAGAAACAATGTGAAATAATGTGGAAATTAATACTGATAAAGACTATCAGTATCTGATACAAAAGGGAACCAAACGATATTTAAGTGCTTTTTAATGTCACTTACTTCATCATATGTTTTGCGAAAGATAAGACTAAAATTCATCACTTTGTGTAGCATTTAATGGTTTTCAGAACATTTTTGCATGTGCTGTCTCATTTGGTCCTCATTACATTCTTGTGTGCTAAATAGGACCTCTATTCATTACACCACTTGCTAGTTTGGGATGGAGAGTCAGATATGTTGAAAGATTTCCCAACGACTCTAATTTATGAGCAAGAAAGTTGCTTAGAGCCCCAGCCTTTTGACTTCATAGTCTTTCCGACTACTTTATGCAGCTCAGCATCAGTACTGGGATTGGGAACTGCAAGAATATGAAATGTAAATCTTTATTGATTTATATCCTTCCTTACCTTTTTTGACATGGAAAATGCCAAAGACACTGGTCAAGTTTACTCTCAGCTCCCTACCTCCAGTGAGGGGGCCTCTTATTAGGAATGAAATATCCAAGAGATGGGCGGTGCTGCAGGGGAGACCAAAACTCAGAGGAGGCATTCAAACACTTCTAGCAGGTTGTCTACTCCATCCAACTCAAAACCTATTCAATATGAAGGCCGAGGGAATGTGCTCACAACTCCCTATTAAGGGAAATCAATATAAACCCGCCCCCACCAACCAAAAAAAAAAAAAGAAAGAAAACTCTCCCTTTTTAATGTCTTCTTCCCCAGGCTCCTGGTACTTTGTCAGCAACATACTGCTTTCATTCTTAAAGGTTTCATTGGCTGTTAAATGAGTCCCTTTGCATACTCACTGGAGAGAGGAAATGCTTTAAGTTGTCCTAAGATAACATCTGCACACAGAGAGTTTATCTGATTCCTTATCAACCATGATCTCTATCTGAGGTCCTGTATAGTGGGATCATTTAGAGATGGGGGTTAGGGAGAGTAGGAGTAACTCTAGAGAAAATTGTGGCTCCTAAAGGAGGCAGATCTTTCCAAGGTGGAAAGGTAATGAATTAAATATATGACATGTAATACTGAAAAAATAGAAAAATGACTAAGATACAGTCTCTGTCCTCTAGAACTAGGGCAGCCTGGAAACATATGGACTATAATTATTTTAGCTATTTAAAAGAAATGAATGAAGAGGATCTTGAGACAGGACCAGAGCATTGGAATGGTTGTAGGGACTGAAAGCTGAGTTGGAAGGATCAGATCAAAGAGAAAGCTGGGTTGGACTTACACAAGAATACCCTGATCTGATCGCAGCTGTGACTCCAAGGTTTTCCTTTCCCATAGTTGCTGTGACCCCATTGGTCACCAGAGCAACTGCATGTCTTCAGGCTGGGTATTAGGGCTGGCTGGGTCTGATGATTCTACCCATTTTGTGCCATCTGAGGAGCATGCGAGGGTTCTTTCTCCAAGGCACTTTCGGCCTTCCTTCTTCTCCCCTTCCGCCATCTCCACTGGACATAAGCCAATGCCTGCTCTCTTCTCACCACATTCACCTGGACAAATCTGAACTAATTCCTTGAGACTTCAAATTAGCCCTTCTGAGCAAGTGGGCAGGTTCTGAAACCTGTGTGTTTTGTAGCCTAATGAATTGATGGAATGCACATGAACCCATCTTCACAGCATGTGAAAGAACCAACCTGCCTGGCAGAGGTGCAGAAATTTCCAGAGGACTGGCCTAGCTATAAACACCAGCAACATCTGCAACACAAAAGCCCTTGAACTTCTAGGCAAGGACTCATGCTAACCTAGCAGTACTCCAGATTGAGAACGCAGATGGACAGGTGTCTCTTGAGCCTGTGTTCCAAGATGTCTGTGGAAAGGATTGCAACTGTCATCCTTTGGCACACTCAGTGGAACCTGTGTGAGCTACATGTTCTGCTGCATTATGGGAACTCATCAAAGGGCCAGATTGACATCTTGCCAGAAAAACCAGTGTTTTGAGGAGCAAAAGTTTTGTGTACTTCAGTAATTGTCACATGTGTCTTCCACCTCCTTGACATTTATTTGTTAATCATATGATCATTTTTTTTTCACTTTCCTTTTTTTCTTTCTCAGAAGTACTTCTGGGGCTTTGATTGCATTATTTCTCTTTTAATGTATCATTTCAGTGTTGGAAAGAAAAATCTGGATCTTTATGTGGGGACCTATTTTACATGTAGATAGTTATTCAGTAGATAGTAAATTATTTCTCTTAAGAGATATTTCCTTTTATTTCTGTACAATAATATGTATGAACTCAGTTACTAGGGGACTGTATTGTGACATTATCAACCTTTATTGCTATTTAAAAATGATAGTTTGTAGAACTGAAGATTTCCATTGATGTGAAGCACAATTTAATGAATAAGTTAAAATATTAAACTGTTGTGATGTCAAGAGCAATTGTCTTCCCCTGTGTTTTTGTCAGAGACATTTTTGCAAAATGAGCAAAGTCACTAAAACACTTTAAGGGATTTATGGAAATGGAATCCGTAGGATCAGCTTTGTCAAACTCAGGAAATCCATGCTTTGGATGCAAATGTGGTTTTTGGATGTGAAACATGAAAAGCCATAAAAGACAAAGAAAATATGGATTGAAACAATGTAGAGCCTCTGAGGCCAGAGAGGATTTTATAAACTCTCAGAAACATAAGCTTCTAAAACCATGGTTCTCAGTAACTCTTCCCCTCGCTGCCCACACCAGCGCATTGAAATCCACTGTGAAATGTGAAAAAGCCTCCTGGAGATGAAGGGATGAGGTACAGATTTGAGAAACCGTAGTGGGAGAGAAACAGGGATTGGAGCAAAGGATCTGGGAATTCAGTCTAAAAGAAAGAAAGAGACAAAGAAGGAAAGGAGGGAAGGGGGAAGGGGAAGAGAAAAAACAGCAGAAGAAAATCACAAGCACTAACATGGGCCTCTCTCCACAGTGTTAAAGTGTATTTCTCCAACGTGAGATTTTATTTTTAAATAACCAGTTCCTGTAATATAAGCAAAGGAGAAATTTCTAGTATAGGAAAAAGCTCTTTCATTCAAAAATTTCTTGAACAATGCAATTTACTTGATATGGTTTGGCTGTGTCCCCACCCAAATCTCATCTTGAATTGCAGTTTCCATAATCCCCACGTGTTGTGGGAGAGACCAGGTGGAGATAATTGAACTATGGGGGCCGTTTTCCCCATCCTGTTCTCGTAATAGTGAGTTAGTTCTCATGAGATCTGATGGTTTTATAAGGGGCTTTTCCCCAGCTTCATTCTGCACTTCTCCTTGCTGCCACCATATGAAGAAAGACGTGTTTGCTTCCCCTTCCGCTGAACTGTGAGTCAATTAAACCTCTTTCCTTCATAAATTACCCATTCTTGGGTATGTCTTTAGTAGCAGCATGAGAATAGAATAATACATTATTTTTTTTGTTCTGTAGAAGTGGGAATTGTGGATTCCTTTCTTGCTTATGGGTGAGATTTGTAACCTTAGAAAAATCTGACCATGTCCCTCTATCTAATGGGAATCATAGGCAAGGGAACTTGGCTTTAGAACAACCGAAGTAGCCACAGGAAAAGCTCCAAAAGACAGTGAAAGTCAAACACACACAAACATGGCATGCATGTGCACGCACAGGCACACACACACATGCATGCACACACACGGCACAAATACACATGCACACACACACACGTGCACACACAGAGTGAAAGAGGGGGCTTTTGTCTTGCAAGAAAAACCTCAGATAAGAGAAGGACCTAGGAATCCTAAGGTTCACTTCTTTTCCCATTCACCTTGGAAATAGTGTTGAAAATAAGATTGAAAAAATGTTGTAAATATTATTAAAAATCTACTCTCCGTGTAATATGGTTTTACTTTCACAGATCAGTTTTCATATAAAATATAAATTTGCAAATTAATGGAGTATAAAATAATCCAACCTATATTTTTATTTCATATAACGTTAATTTTTTATGATTGTAAAGTAATACATCATCTTAGATAACATGGAAAATACTAGTTTAAAATCCATACATTATAGAGCCAGACTCCGAGATTATTTTGATCAATCTCTTTCCGTACTTTTTATGCATTAGCAATTATGATACAATTTTAAATAACCAATATTTTTAGGAAATTGGAATCATGCAATCTATGCAGTAGAAATACATATATTAACATCTGAATAACTATTCTTTTAAAATGCAATTTTAATAGCCACATGTAATTTTGGATTCCCATATCTTTGGTCATTTTGGTCATTTTCAATTTTTCCACTAATATAAATAACACTGAAATTAATATATTTGTACCTAAGCAGCAACTATGTAGAAGGCTCTGTAAGCCTGTTTGAGATAGGACAGTGGACCACTTTGTTGTATCATCCCAAAAATCTGGAAAGAAAAAAATATTCAAGATTGTCAAAATTGCCTAGAAGCAGCTAAATGAATTGTCAACAAAAAATTTCATCTACGTAATCAAGGAAAATTATATGTATCTCTCTAGAACCACTCCACCTGGCCTAGGACTGAAGTGTTCATTCTTCAAGATGTTGGGAGTGTTGGCTGCTGACCGACAGCTCTCAGCTGAGTCTCTCTCAAGGACTTGCCCTTAGTTAGAGAGAGACACTTCTACCAATGTCATGCCATCTTTGGGACCATCTAATGATATTGCTGTGGAGATGAAGGCCAGGGCTTTTAACTAGAGACGACTCTGAAAGATCATCTTAGCTCCAAAGCTCCCTGTAGGATCAGCTGAGGACTTTGTTTCAAAGCACCTCAGTTCACCATTTCCCTCTGCCCACTCTGGTTCCTTTGCTCCCCACAATGTGTTCCCAATCAACTTTCCACACAGACATCTCCATCACAGACTGTGCTTTCCAGGACACTAGACCATGAACTTGCCAAAGAACCCCAGGTTCTCATCTCCATAGCCTTCTGCCTGAGCTACTTCCGTGTCTGAGTACCTGGAGTTTTGCCCTCCTCTCTTTTGAGCTCAGCTGTTTTTTAACCTATTTTGGCTTATTTTTTCCAGTATTTCTACCTGTTTAAAACTGAAAGAGGGATCTGTGTTAGCTCAGTTGCTCAACTTAATGGAATCAGTCTGCTCTTAAATTTAAAATTTTCCTTTAAGTCCGTGTTTCTATTTTTTTTTTTTTTTTTCATTTTTTAGCTCTTCATCACATCCTTTCCATTTTGAGGCTCTAGATTTTCCTGATTAACTTTCATTGTTTTCTACTTTGGGGAACTTTTCTCTGTGTTTGCTCATCTCTTCCATAAACCTTCCTGTTCACATTCATTCCCTTTAGTAGTATTTTTGTTTCCTATTTGTGCCTATAATTTACTTTACCTCTTTTATTGGTCTAATTTTTATCTTTTTTAAAAAGACAATCAATTTAGTCTCTCTCTTAATGCCTATCTTTCATTTTTATTCATCGTTTATACTCACTTCTCCATCAAAGTTTATTTTAATTTCTCATTGCTGTTTGTAGCTGTTCCTTTCGTTTTTTGAAACAAACTTGTTTATTTCTATTATTTTTAACTAATAGGTAATGCTCAGATAATTTCACCTACAAAATTTTTACTTTTTGAACTACATTGAGGTTCCTTTGGGGTTTTGTATGTGTTCTATTTTTTTTTTTTTTTTTTGAGACGGAGTCTCACTCTGTCACCGAGGCTAGTGTGATCTCAGCTCACTGAAAGCTCCGCTCCCGGGTTCACACCATTCTCCTGCGTCAGCCTTCCAAGTAGCTGGGACTACAGACACCTGCCACCGAGCCTGGCTAATTTTTTGTGTTTTTAGTAGAGACGGGGTTTCACCGTGGTCTCGATCTCCTGACCTCGTGATCCACCCGCCTTGGCCTCCCAAAGTGCTGGGATTACAGGCATGAGCCACTGCACCCGGCCGTATGTGATCGATTCCTATAAAAATTTCATGGATACCTAAAATGAATATGTATTGTCTTTTCAAATTATATCTATATATATACAGACATATATATAAAGTATATATGTAAGTATATATTATATATATAATAATTTGAATTATATATTCCTGTTTATATACACACATATATATGCATAAAATCATATTTAATTTATCAGAGACAGAATGTGTACAAAAATCTCCTTCTATAACTGTGTTTTTATCAATTCCTAACAGTTTTTAGCTTTTGGGGATTTGTTATTTAGTGTTCATGACTTTCATATCCTTCATTGATGAGGCTACCATTCTCAATAAAAATGACTTTTTTGGCCGGGCACGGTGGCTCACACCTGTAATCCCAGCACTTTGGGAGGCCAAGGCAATCGGATCACGAGGTCAGGAGATCGAGACCATCCTGGCCAACATGGTGAAACCCCATCTCTAGTAAAAATACAAAAATTAGCCGGGTGTGGTGGCTGGCGCCTGTAGTCCCAGCTACTCAGGAGACTGAGTCAGGAGAATCACTGGAACTCGGGAGGTGGAGGTTGCAGTGAGCCAAGATCACACCATAGTACTCCAGCCTGGTGACAGAACAAGACTCCATCTCAAAAAAAAAAAAAAAAAGAGAAAAGAAAAGAAAAAATGACCTTTTTGTATCATTTAATACATTTTGCTTTAAATCATTCTCTTGTTTTTGTATTATTTTAACATTTTGTCATTTATGGATCACGTGTAGTTTAACTTTTCTTCACATAATCTAAATCTTTTTATTTGAGAATTGTTATAATTTATAGATTACTGACTTCTGTTGTTTTCTTCTTTTATGATTTTTACTATTTATGCTTTTCTGTTTTATTTTCTCTTATGATAGGCTATCATTTATTTGAATCAATGTTAGAAATGCAACCACATTCATTTGACTTTCCTTTATGTAATTTGAAGATGTTCACATTTATATGCTTCCCTTTTCCTACTTCCAAGTATTTGTTTTAATTATCTGGATAAAAACTCTGGGTTAGAAATAAGACTGTAGATTCATACTGTTGTTGCTGCTATACTATTATTATAGTTAGTGTGGTAACTATATCAAAAGACGTGGGGAAATTATACAAAGAGAAAACTCTCACCCTGATCTGAAAATACTGAGTCACTTTCAAAGTCAAGCCCCACAGTTCTGGGTAATGCTTGCATGTATCTGATCAGTTAAATTATTCAAACAGTTGTTGCATGTGAAATAAGAAGGCATGAAGATAAGGAGGAAATTAGAATCTCACAAATTAGTGCTTAAAAGCCATGGGGACAGCTTGCTTTCACAATGTCATCAGTTCCTTGAATAATATGTTTGTTCAGAGATTAAAAAAACAAAGGAATGAAAATTTTATCAGGACTACAGAAATGCAACTGTTTTCAGGTTTAATTTATGACTAGCTAAGCCCATCATAACATACACAGTGGAGAGGAGGAAGGAAGTGACCTTCTGTAGTAGGGAGCATGATATTTTCTTAGCTTGATAATATAATTTTTAAATATTTCCATGTAAGAACACTGGCAATTTTAATATTACAGTAAGAGTTACTGAATAAATATAACACAAGGCATTTTTTTCTGGAAAGGAAAGACAGTGCCTTCACAAATCCATGGTGCTCATTTTATCTGGGGCACAGCCAGGTGCTAATGTTCTCCCCTGCTTGTCTCCATCCCTACAGGTGTTAGACTACAAGCAGTCATTAAATCCTTGCAAATTAGGGCATCACTCCCAGGAGCCCTGCCAGGAAGCCTGCCAGTTAAGGTATAAGCAGAAGCATATATATTACTGTTCTTCTAAGAAGCCACTGCTAATGGTTAGTATTCACTTGTGCAGCTGTGAGTCGCTGCCATGAATCTCCTGCCACTCCCATCCTGCTCTTCATGAGAAGGTAAAAGCAGAAGCACACACAATATGTTAGCCCAGTCGCCACGGATGAGCCATGATCTTCCACTAACAGCCTCATTTGCTCTGCTATCTAGGAGAGAAAGCCATCCCTAGATGAGATTCTCACATTTAGAAAAGTTACTCAATACATTCAGCATCGCACCATGAAGTTACACATCTTGGTGTTATTAATTACCAGTTTTACTAAAGGTCATAGCTTTCATTAATTTTCAACAGTCCCCAAACTCAGACTACCAAGGTTTATTCCCCCATAATGATCTCTATGACTTGATAGAGCATCAGTAGAGAATCTACAGTATCTTCACAACTTTCTAAATCTAGAACCCAGAATGATAATAATTTGAGTCTTTTCACTCTTTCTATCTTTTTATGATACCTTTTGCTTTCCATTCTAAAAATTTTCACTAAACATTTTCTATTAGCCAAACACAAAACTAGAGGCTAAATTAAAAGAATAGGGTTGTTTTGACCCAAACACTGTTTTTAGCATCTCTTTAGCACTCACAAACCAAGTGTCAGAACAATCTAGAAAAGATTATTCCTTGTCCCTCACAATAACCTTAGAGAAACTCTCCACCCTCAACCATCTGTACCTGCACACTCCACCTTTCTTGTCCCCTGTACACAACTTATTCTAAATCAGTATTTTACTCTGTGCCCAGATGCTCTCAGCCTAGACAGTCTTCCCTCGTCCTTGTGCCATAATCCACAATCACAGACCCAGCTCTACCTCACTGCATGCCTAGCTCAACATCCAGGCATCCAGCTCAGCACAAGCTTGGATTCCTGATATCCCATGATTAAAGGTCAGGGGCATCCTTGACTCTCTTTGATCCTGTACCCCAGACTTTAGATCCTTAAAGTCAGGGACACCTTTTGCCTGTTCACTATTGTTCAATAATTCTGAGCCTGGCACGTAGTAGGTACTCTCAGTACAGTATATCTACTATATCTACTATGGCATATATATATATATATATAAAAAATACATATTATATATATATAAAATACATATATATATATAAACTATATACATATTATATATTATATATATGTTGGAATTATCAGCATCATGATGTGATGCTGAACATATTGGACACCTTTTCTATATACATTGGATGAGTAAATTAGTAGGTAAAAGAATCAATGAGAGGATGAATCCAATATGTCTTCTTAGGCAAGCTAAGCAAATCCCATAGTGTCTTTAATGACCTATATTCTAATGAGTCCCAAATAGACAGTGTTCTCTAGGTCCCTAGTTTTAGTGAATTTCTGAACACTTGCACCTAAATGTCTTTCACCCACCCCTCCAATTCAACTTAACCAAAATGAAACTCATTATCTGCTCTTTTGCCATTGAAAGAAATCTATTCTTGCTTTTGTATTCCATTATAACTCCCAATTGAGTCATGACCTGTACAACTCATGGGGTCACACAAGGTAGAAGCCCTACTCACCCTAACTCCTCTTACCCATCTTCATAACACTGTCTCTAAAGTCTCTCTCCTACTCTCCATTCCCACAACCACCAATCCAGTTTAGAATTTTATCCTATCGCATCCTTTTTGCCAATAGGAGCTTTTAAGACTTATTTTAATCTTCACAGAAATACCAGAAGGCATTATCTTTCTTTCTAATTAGAAAATTGAGTATCAGAGAAAGTAAATAATAACCACCTAATGGTTCCTTAGTTGATAATATTGGAATTAGAATTTGAAGTCAGTTTTGCTTCAACCTAAAGCCCAAGTTCTACTAGGCAATGATTGTTCTTCAAGCCTCCAAAGCCTTTCCTCTCAGCTCAACTTACCGTTTCAAAGACCTGGTCATGTCACTTCCATGGCCAACCTTCTTAATGGTGACAGTTGACCTTATGATAAAGTAAATGCTCTGCAGCATGGCAATTAGGACCCATCGACCCATACCCTGCCCCCAAACCGTGTCATCAAGCTCTCTCTGAAATCTGACCTATGTTCTAGTTACACAGAATATTTGGAGAATTCCCCCAAATGTTCTAGGGAGAAAAATGTCTCAGGGGATCATTGGGTGAGTGAGGGTAGAGTTGATTAAGAAGATGAGGGAAGAAGAAAAAGGACAGCAGAGACCTGGACAACCCTCAGGGTGGTGGGCTTCTGATAGCTGAGTAGGCAACTGTGGTTCTACCTCCAGTGTAGAAGGAAGAGCAGAGAGGAGGAGGGGATATTGAGAGAGAATTCTTTGACGAGCTATACACTCTAGAATCATAATAGCTGAGAATAGTGCAATCTGACATTCAGATACCATTGCAATAATGAAGTCACACGCTATAGGCAGGAGACTATGTCTGTAAGGACATCTGTGACTCTTCTAATGAAAAGTTTTTGTGTGCCTGTTATAACAAGGAGGGACCCACTGGGGAAATTCTGTCCTAGTTCTACTGCATAGCTGTCTTTGGAAAGAGAACCTAAGTATGTATTGTCATCCCAAAAAAACAAAAAACAAAAAATTTCAGCCATCTGCCAAAATTACTGAGGTTAGTGACGAAGAAGAGATCTGATTATGTTTAGTATAATTTTAATATTTCTATTTTTATTTATTCGAGGACATGTAATCCTAACCTAACCTTTGGTAAACCAGATGATTTTAGTTTATATTTCCCACTGATAATACTATTCTTGATTCTTTTGCCTAGATAAGTGGGAGCTTATCATGAAGCAATGTATTTTAGTTTGAGTTTGGCCTTTTAGTTTCTTTTTCTACATTAGGACTCACTATCTTGTTAGCATGTGGTTCCTGGGCTGTCTATGGATTTCTTTGATGAAAACCTCAAGGTAAATTGGTTTGCTTTACCTCCTGAGATGGTAATTTAGATAGACAAGAAGAATCAGAGTCCTGAACACTCTCATTGGCCTTTCATGATCACATCTTCCCGTAAACAATCAGAAACAGGTAACAGTGGCAGATTAACTCCTTGCTGGCAAAAAGAAATCCATTCTAGACTGGGGATCAGCCCAGCTCTCACTTCAGCTCTGCCATCAACTCCTAGAGTGCCTCATCACAAAACACCAACATATTTTCAGGATCAAAAACAGGTATTCCAGCAGAAGCCCTGGCCTGCTGCCCATTCCACTCTTTCCCACCCCTCACTCCATCTCGTGCTGTAAGGGGGATGATCTTAAGTCTGTGGACACCTCAGGCCAGAGGTGCAAGCTGTGGCCAACCCTCCCATCAAACACTTACCCATTGGATGGACTCCCCAGCCCAGGCCAGGATGTGTGGTAGCGTTCCTCACACAGGGGCACCAGCTGCAGGGGTCTGACCCCCAGACCCTGACCCAGCGACGGATGAATGAAGTACACTGACACACAGATATTCTGCTTTGCCAGTCCAGCTGAGTGTCCAAGCCACTTACAGACTCCAGCAGAGTCCTGTAAACAGCTGTGACTGTGGCCCTGACCAGCTAGTGAGACTCGCGTTTATTGGTAAAGATTAATCGATAAAGGCTTGAGTCAACACCACTAGAGGGTAATTGACATTGTGGACTTCCTGAGTAGAAAGCACTTAAGCACCCACGGTACATCAAAGATTAGTCTTAAGACCACATAAGTAAACAAGCTAGCTAGATAACTTCCCCATATTCCTTTGTTATTACTCTAATTTATTTAGCTAGAGATCAGGTTGCCTTCAACCATATATATTATCAAAGTTATGCAAACTCTCAGGCCTTCCAAGAGGGTTTGTGGCTATCTTAACTAATATTTTTCCTACCAGCCTGACTGAACCCCAACAAGGATGGATCTTGGGAAGAGGTTTGCAGGTCCTGTAGGCTGTGAGGGGTTGTTTGGGGCTGATAATTTTGGGGTCCTCAGTACCTGGAACATGGAATAGAATGGGGGAGGGCCACAAGCTTCAGGGGACACATCTATCCTGGCCCCACATTTCTTTTCCCCACAGGGAGGTGCACGGCTGAAGGAAGACCGTGGGGGCTGTGGTTTCTGGGGTCCCAGGGCTGGTGTTCATGCTCAGCCCCTCTGGGCCTCAATGCTGGTAGGAAGTGACAGGATGGCTGGCCCAGATGTCGCAGGCAAGCACTAGTCAGAGACTGCTTGAGAGGTGGAAGAGGGAGTTGATTGTCTAGTTGTGATAATTTCCTCGGCCAATCATAGGACGTACCTAAAGTTCTGTCAAAAGAGATTAACTCCTTTGGGCATTCAAATGCAGAGACTCCCTAAGAATCACATTAAAATATGAATGTCCACAACCCCTGTTCTCTTCTTCTCTGTATTTCCAGGCTCTGGAAATGTAATCTATAAATAAATATTAGATGAATGTAATTGAATGAAAATTCCCGAATGAGGTCATGTCTTAAGGTCTTCTCAGGTAACATCTGAACAGATACTCTTTTCCCATGACGGTTGGCTAGGAGGGAAGGAGGCACTGGAACGGGGAGGCAAGCCTGTGTGAACTGTCACAGAGTAGGCTGCTGCTTCAGATTTTGTTGCACACCTACCCTAGAAATAAATCAGCCTTTCCTAATCCTCTGCATAGTGGGCAGGGGGCTTAGGCAAAGCGGGAGGGGACAGCCCTTAGGGTGACACTTCGCCTGTATAATCACATGGGCCGTCTGTCAGAAGCATGATTCCCAGAGAGGTCAACATGTTCCTTTCGGGCCTTTCAGATACTTTGTAGGCAAGTCAGTGCCCAACATAAGCCATTGGTTATTTTCAGGGATGTGGAAACATTGACTTGCTCTGGTTTCAGATCTAACCATCCTATTTCACAGTACATTTCATGCAGAACCTGCCTCAAATTTTCCTGGCAATAGGGGGAATATGAAGTCTAATTAAATAAGTAAATATCTGATGTATATTTGTATTGGACAGGCTCCACAAACTGGAAGAAGAGGCTTTGCATTAATACCTTTTGGGTTTGTGAACAAGTTTGTTTTCTAGAATGAAGTTGCAGAGTGTACTGCAAATATAAATGGAGAAGTCAGTTCCTTTATTTGAGGCCCCTGACCATCTTCCATTGTCACCATGGAGATGCCATATCTGCTGCTCCTAGGGGAAAACATGGCCCTTTGTCATTATCAAGTTATTTGATCCTCTCTTCTTTTCAGCAGACACACAAGCATACACATATAGGACATTTTAATGCCTTTTTATTGAAGACCATAAGCCTTTGCGTGTAGCTTTGAACCATCCTGTCACCTGGAACATTGGTTTACAGAGGTGGGAACACAGCTCATATAGCTTCTCCTTTTGCTAATATTTTAACCTGTGGTCCAAGATCTAAACATATGGTATTGATGGTCAAGCTCAACATCACCTTCCAAATAGTCTCCTCCAAAGCAAACACTATTGTGAATATCCTTCCTGTGTCTCTGCTGCCATCACAGGGCAAGAAATCAAGGATGCAGATTTCCGTCTTTATCCACCTCCGTCTTCATCTACAATCTCTTCCCAGGCTGACTAGATCACCACCAGACTCCACTCATGTCTACAGCACCGAGTAGTTGAGACAAAGTACAATGGGGTTGATGGTAGACTGTGTGACTGTTCACTGAAGTCTCTGTGCCTCCCTCGGGGAGGTTTATAGTTTACCCTTCCCTGCCCCATCAGACTCAGGCAGGGTCAATGAAATGTGACTGGAGAGAAATGTTGTCACTTCTAGGCTGATGTTTTAAGAGCAAGCACGTGCTTGAGCATTCTTGACTTTGCTCTGCCCAGCAGCCAGCGATGCTCAGAGGAGTGGCTGCTCCACCAGCCTGGCTCTCCAAGTGCAGATGATTACAGGGGTGACTTAGTGAGGAGAGCCCCAGCTGATCTGCAGTAGACAGACAGCGTGAGGGAGAAATACACCTTTGTTGCTTTAAGCCGCTGAGATTTCCACAGCCTTGTTTGAATGATACAGAGTCAAGCGTTAGTTATTTTCAGAATGGAAAAGTTCGTTCCAACTTTGGCTCAGAATACCTGGCTTCTAGTTCTGCCTCTTCCTAGAAGGGAGATATTAGCCAAGGTTTTTAAACTTTGTGAGTCTCTGCCCAGCCTATCAATCTCACAGGGTCATTGAACAAAATGAGATAACAAGATGCTTCTGCTTTACAAATATACTAGCGAGAGTATTAGCACTAGCGAGAGTTTCTGAAAACCAGAAAGAGCAAGAATTCGGGTTCTTTCCCTCCTGAGTCCTCCAAGGGCTTCCTTTCCCTCCATTGTTCTAGGCAGTGAAGGGGAGTGCTGTCCAACTTAGATGTGACAAATGGGGACCTGTCGAGGCTTGATGATAGGATGGTGACAAAGAAAGAGAAAGAATGGCTTCTGTCCTCAGGAGGCTGGCCCCTATAAGAAATAGCACAAAAATCCAAGAAAGTTGTGCAGGACACTTTCAATGGACACGTTTTCAATGGTGGGGGCAAAGCAGAGATGACTGAATGCTGACTCACAACCTGCGGCAGCCCCCAGGGAAACCAACCTATTCTCTTTGGTGACCTGGCCAGGAATCTAACCTACTCTCTATCCCCCGTGAAGGGCAGGTTGCATGAGAGATGGCAGAGAGGGATCACACCCATCAGGGCATTTTATTGGGACAGAAGGAGGGGAAAGGTGCCAGTTTTAACCATGTGCTCTCTCTCTATACCTCTCTCTCTCTCTCTCTCTCTCTCTCTCTCACACACACACACACACACACACACACACACACACACACACACACAGCACTTGTTGAGGTCATTGTCATTTTCTCTATGTTTCTCAATGAGAAACCAGAGGCTTAAATGCTGGCCTGTGTTCTTCAAAGCCCGTACTCTCTAGGCAGCCACCCTCCTGCCTTCCTGGGGACTGCTTTGAGTGGCACTTCCTATCATATGTGGACCTGGAAGTGCCAATGGCATATTCCATTAAAGCTTGTGCCCCCTCTCCTTCCCTCCTAAATTAGGTGGTTAAATTTTCTCTTCACAGGCTGGGCCTTTGGCAGCTTCCACTGCCTGCAAGGCCTAATTGAGCAGGAGTCTCCCGGGGGCTCCGCGCTGCTATTTCCTGATGAGCAAGGGGAGCAGGGAGCCTGGAATGCGACCACTCTCATTACTGAGGGACCCCCCCGTTTGTCATTCGTCTTATTGCATCATCACTATTTTAATTAACCATCTTTGCCATTGGGCCTGCAAGTAATTGTTCTCTGCATTGTTCAAACCACTAGGATGGATACTTTTCAAGGTGCAGGCTTTCCGCTCCATCACCCATTACTAATTAAAGCAGGAGAAGCTTTTTAAACTCTCTCTGCAGAAGGCCTGCATGTCAGGTAGGATGTGACCCTCATTAGCACGGGGAAGATTACAAGCCCTGCTGTTATTATCCAGGCCCCAGGCCCCTTTCTGAAAGTCACCACTTGCTAAGAGGGAGTGTTGATCTGATGTAGATGTTTGACCTACAGAGCAAAAGTAAAAGATAATTTTTTATTCTAGCAACGGGATGAGATGGCATTTACCTTCCTATGTGCCGGGTAATTTTCTAGTTAAGCAGCAGGTAAAAAGCAAAGAGGAAAAAAAAAAACCCTCCAAAGTATGACTGTGGAAAAGGTTATATTAAAAGGAATCCAGTAAAGAAAGTTATACTGCATCTCAGGATTGTGAAGATAAGGACTCTCCTGGGACTGATTCTAGACAGAAGGCTGTGGTGGTACAAGTTCACTGAAATGCTGGCTGTGGAGATAAACGTGACAGAAAGAAAAGCAAAGTAGATGAAAAACTTTATAAAGTGTGTTGTAGAAATGGCTTCACAAAACTGCTTCCAGATCCAAACAATGAAAGGAAAACCAGGTGTGGCTAAAACAAGCAATTTGAATGGAACTGATGACTGATCATTGTTCCAAATCTCTGAGTTCCAAATCTCTGAAACATAGTATGGCTGAACCATCCTGTGATATTCACCAATGATCTATCTATGAGGCTGTGCAAAAAGCAGCAGGTTCTCCTAATCCTTCTGTGACTGGGGTCTCTTAAATCCATTTGTGGGACTATCCGTGATTTAGTTCAGGACCCCATTTCTTCAAAGCTATTCTTTCTTCTGAGAGACTGACTATAGGAACAGACAAGGGCTAGACCATATATCAAAATAGAACTCTGACCTACAACCTGCAGCAATCTGTCCAGGAAACCAAACCATTCTCTCTGGAAACCAGGCCAGCAATCCAACCTACTGTCCGGAAGTCAATTGTGTGAAAGACCACTGTCTCTACTAACGATCCAGGAAACCGAATGATAGCCCCTATATTGATCAGCTTCAAATGGCCAGGACATGATTAATCTTCTACACTTCCCTGATTTTTGTCCCCACTTCCAACTTAGGACCAACCAAAGAATTCAAATATGCCCCCGATATGGTTTGGCTGTGTCCCCACTCAAATCTCATCTTGGATTGTGGCTCCCACAATTCCCATGTGTTGTGGGAGGGACCCAGTGGGAGGTGGTTGAATCATGGGGGCGGGTCTTTCCCTTGCTATTCTCATGATAGTGAATGGATCTCACAAGATCTGATGGTTTTATAAAGGGGAGTTTCCCTGCACAAGCTCCCTTCTCTTGTCTGCCACCATGTGAGATGTGCCTTTCACCTTCTGCCATGATTGTGAGGCCTCCCCAGCCACGTGGAACTGTGAGTTCATTAAACCTCTTTCTTTTCTAAATTTCCCAGTGTCAGGTATGTCTTTGTCAGCAGCATGAAAATGGGCTAACACACCCTCTAAGCAATCACATGGCTGCCCTACTCCTAGTTGGCCGCCCCTGGCTTCCCCAGGCCAACGGCCTCTGTCTGACCAGGGCACACCTGAAGCCATCCCTTGTGCCTGCTATAAAGCTGTCCCACTCCTCTGCCTGCCTTTGAATCTCTGCCAGACACCAGTGATGGTGGCCAGCTCCTTTGCTACACAGCAAGCTCCAGATAAATTGCCTTTGCTTTTCAAATTTGGTTGGTCATTGTTTCCACACTTTTCTCTCTATCCTCTGCTCCAATGCTTCTTGGAGTCTACTTTTTAAAATTTTCTTCTATGTCAGGGTCACATGTTTAACAACTTCTTATTTTCATCATGTAGGACCCTTTATTTCTTTTCCAGTGAAACCATCCCAAGTTATCCCAGGTCAATTGGTGCATTAGTTATCTATTGTGAAAGAAATTACCCCAAATCTTAGCAGCTTAATATGACACCCATTTTATTATCTTATAGTTTCCATGGGTTAGGAATCTGGCCATGGCTGAGCTGGGTGCCACTGTCCCCAGTCTCTCTCAAGGCTGTAATCAAGGTCTCTCCAGGGACTGTAATTATCTCGAAGCTCACCCGGGGCAGGATCTGCCTCCAAGCTCACTCAGTGGTTGTCAGAGGGCTGTATTTTCTCATGGGTTGCTGGTCTCAAGGCCTCAGTTTCTCCTGGGCTCTTGGCCAAGCCACCCCCCGGTTTCTTGCTACATAAGCCTCTCTACAGGGCAGTTCACAGCATGGCATCTGGCTTCACAGAAGTGGGCATTAGAATGAGAAAGTTTCAGCCAGATGGAAGTCACAGTCTTTTATGATCTGATCTCAGAGGTGACATCTCATTACTTTGGCCATATTCTGTTCATTAGAAGCAGATCATCAAATCCAGCCAACGGTCGAGGGGAAAGTATCACACAAGAGCATGAAGGCCAGGAGGCAGGATCACTGGGACACATTTTAGAACACCACCTGCTACAATGAGCCAGGGAGTATGTGGCCTGCTCTCCTTTCAAGCCTATCTGTGTTTCCTCTGTGCACAAAACTCCCCCTTATTCTTGAGCTAGTCCCTCCTACCCACTCCTCCCAAAACGTACCAGTAAAATCTTCCTCTTTTCCCCTTTGAGTAAACATCAAAGGGCTCTATTCTTTTTTAAGTTATTTTGTATCTACGTTTTCACTTTCCCCTTACCATAGAGTGGCCATTATTGTTTCTAGAACTCTAGGGAGATTATTTTGCTTGTGGCCTCTGGCAACAGAGCCCCGGGCAAAAGTTTGGGTTCCCCTTTCCTTCTCAGTGAACTCAGATCACCAGAGACATTGCAGTTCTACCTAGAATCCTGCTTTATACTATTGGAAGGATCATGTGGGTCAAGAGATGTACAAGCTCATGACTGTTTTAAGGTTGCCAAAATTAAGGATGCCACTGCTTTCTGGGCTAGAGTGGTGTTGATTCTTGTAATTGCATTAAGAGGGAAATTTCAATATTTAGATATGATATATAGTTTTCAGCTCACAAACACAGGTAACATTCATGGATGTTCTGAACTGATCAGGGCTCCAGAACTGGTGTAGCGAAATGATGAGGTGGACACAAAAGGAATTTGCCTTTTGCCTCCAGCCAACAGTCACACCACTGTTGAGTGACAAGGGGGAATTCTTCCCACAAGCTGAGGGGATGTTCTGATGTTTTTTAATAACCCTCCCTGGGGCAGAGATTGCTGCCCACAATGAAATTTCTTAATAACCTCCCCATGCTTTAATCCTATAAGGCCCATGGCAAATTTCCATTAGATGTTTCTTCCAATTCAATTGGGAAACAAGGGACAAATCTGTATATGCAAATTAAGGAGACAAACTTCCTAAACAAAGGAACTTCAAAGAAAGAATACGTATATATCGTCCATTTGTCTCCAGTGCAAATCTATAGACATTGGAAAAGGGGATTGACTTTGGCCTACCTCAATCATGAAAACATTTATAATATTAATAACCTCTGATTCTATAAGCATAATGGGGGAAAATGCCATGTGGCTTTGCTAGGGAGTCTGAAACACATTTGAGAATTTTTCTGAGGATCCCCATAACATGCTTTAAGAATGCAAAGACAGGCCGGGCATGGTGGCTCACGCCTGTAATCCCAGCAGTTTGGGAGGCCGAGGCAGGTGGATCATCTGAGGTCAGGAGCTCGAGACCAGCCTGGCCAACATGGTGAAACCCTGTCTCTACTAAAAATACAAAAAAGTAGCTGGGTGTGGTGGCAGGTGCCTGTAATCCCAGCTACTTGGGAGGCTGAGGCAGGAGAATCGCTTGAACCCTGGAGGCAGAGGTTGCAGTGAGCCGAGATCGCGCCACTGCACTCCAGCCTGGGCGACAGGGTGAAATTCTGTCTCCAAAAAAAAAAAAAAAAATAGAATGCAAAAATAATTTATGAATGTATTTATCACACTTATTGAGGCAAAGAAAAAACTCACAGATAATGCAATCTGCTTCTAGTGTATGGCCATTTCCATTTCAAGGAGACTGGATGACTTCTCACATCCCACACTATTCCTTCCACCCATCCTCGATATTCAATGTTCATTCCTGCTGGACTATTTTATCTCTAAGCATTTACTAAGCTCTCCTGGTGCTCAAATTTGGAGATATGAGGACTATAAATTGCAGAAATCGTTATCCTTGGCAAGATCTAGAAAGCTTATTTTAAAATTAGCATGCAATATCCAAAATCGTTAGCTGTCACTACAACTTCCTAGCTACACCCTGCTTCCCAAGTGGCAGAGTTAAATTGCTCATTCTTTTAATGACTCCTCATCCAGAGACCACAGACATCTCAACAAGCCCAAACCAAACTCATCCTCTCTCCTACCATGAATCTCATTCCCCTTCTCTTTCCATCATGTCTTGATTACACCAAACATATAATTAGTCACCAAATTCTGCAGTTTGTTCTTCCATACTTCTCTCACCATGATTCTTTTTTTGGAACTTACAGACTCATCCTTGGTCAACCTTCCCTATCTCTTTCCTGTTTTGTTATCATAGCCTTTTACCTACCCTCCATCTTCCACTCTGAAATTAGAGGGAATTCACAAAACCATAGTTCAGGTAATGTCACTGCAAAATTCTGTTACCGTTTCCAGAATAAGGCTCGAGATCTTTATCTTCTCTTTTTCTCTCATGCCCATAGTCAAACCTTTTAACCTATCCCAAAGTACATCAAGAATTCCACCATTTTGTACCACCTCCACTGCTTCCGCCCTGGTCAAATCACTATCATCTCATGCCTGGATCATTGCAGTAGCCTCCTCTTTGTTTTCATATCCTCTGCCTTGGCCCTTGTAGGACGATCCCATCACAGCAGACAGAGTGACACATTTTTAAACAACATCAGATCATGTCACACCTCTACTTAAAACACTCTAGTGGTTTCCCTTCTCACTCAGAATAAAAGCCCAAAATCCATGAAATAGGCCCATCACAATCAGTCCCCCCTCCTTCCTGCCTGTCACCTTGCTAACTTCATCTCCTACCACCCTCCCCTCCAATCCCACTTCATTACAGTCATATTGGCCTCCTCTCTCTTTCTCATACACACCAGGTAGACTCTCAGGGCCCTGACATTGGCTTTTCCCTCTGTCTGAAACATTCTTCCCCCAGATGGCTCCCTCCCTCACCATATATAGATATATAGATATAGATATATAGATATAGATATATAGATATAGATAGATATAGACATATAGACATAGATATATAGATATAGATATATATCTCCAAAATCGTTAGCTGTCACAACATCTTATACATATGTATATGTCTCATACCTACATTGCATTTATTATCATCTGACATACCATATATTTTATTTGTCTTGTTCATTTTCTCACCCTGTAAAATGTAAACTCACAAAGAAATGCATTTTTTAAAATGAGTTTATAATGTTTAAATGTTCAGAACCTAAGATACTGCCTGGCACCCAGCAGGTACTTGATATCTACTTGTTGAATTAATTAATAAGATATGCAAAGACATCGAAAACCTACCTCAGCAGATCAGCAATCACCCCTCCTCATCACAGATTTATGTTCTTATCATGCTTTATCATTTGCCTTTCTTCCAAAGAATTGTAATTAAAATATGTGTACACATACATGTACCTATAATTTTATTTGTTCATGTCTTGCTGTTTTCTCTGTAATGTGCCCTAGTAGAGAAACTCCTGTTCATCCTTCAAAATCCAGCTCATAAGTCACTCTCTTGCTATATGTCCCCCAGCCTCTTTCTTTCAGCCAGTTACTTGCTCCCCAATCTCCCTCATCAGAATTCTTTGTACCAACCTCTATTACAATATTATCTAATGTTAATACAGTGATTGTTTAGCAGTCTGTCTCTCCCTGCTTCTTCATCTTTGTGACTGCCATAGTACTCAGCCAAAGAGCTAAAGGCTATCAATACAATGGGTATATTGCAAGATAGAATGCAATAAACATTTGTTGCATTATCTATTACATTGAATAAGGGGAAGAGGACTTCTGAGGTGGTTTCTTACACTCTGAGTATAGCCAAAAGAAGCCAACACAGTGCTAGGTGAGTAAATAATACATTCCAGAAGTACTTGTAGAATACTTCATCAAGTGTTCCCAAACATGCCTGGGTATAAAATGCTACCCGGAAACTTGTAAAAAATACAGATTTCTAGGAAATGATCCCTACATACAAAATCAGAATCTCCAGGGGGAAAATCCAGCAAATCTGTGTTATTAACAAATATCACAAAGGAATCTTATGACCAAGAAAGTTTGGGGAACCCCTGGATAAAGCCACTGCAACTAAGGTGGGAGCTTGAAGCACATATGAACTGACTTTTATTTACTTTTACTTGAGGTTAACTATGGGTGAAAAGTTTTCAGCTTTGACTCCTTCCTTAAAAATTCTAGACCAGTGCTCTGAGCTGGTTGGAGCTGAAGCACAGAGGAGCAAAGAACCCTGGGGTTTCCTGAATGCTTTCTCAAGAGTCATGAGTTAACTTTCAGAGATGTGTCCTCTGTTGGCCTCAGTTCACCCATCTGTAAAATGAATATGTTGCCACCTCCTTACAAGGGTATTGGAAAGTTTAATTGTATTTTGAAATTCTTTGCATCTGTCAAAGAGTAAAGACATGCAAAGTCTAATTAGGAGCGATGAGTTAGTATTCTTGGGTTATCATGCCATTAATATCATGTCTGCATGTAAACTCATGGATTAAAGAGCCCCTTGGTTTTCATTTTGAATCACTCCCATATCCACTTGTGTATTGGGGCCCTGCCGCAGAGCCCCTCTTAGGCCAAGGTGCCATTTCTTAGGCTGTTGTTTTTGGAAACCTCGTAGGTCAGCACAATACCAGCACTTAACCAAGCTGGGCTCCAGTCTAGCTCCTGACACTTGAGCAAACTCAGCCTCAGTTACCTCATTTGCAAAATGGAGCAATATTTACTCCAAAGGGCCATAGTGAGAATAAGAGAATAGAAATTAAATAAATTGTAATTGCATTTTAAAAGAAAAGGAATGTTAAGAAACCAAAGATTGAGTACTGGGAGAAAAAAAATTTACTGCCAAGAAAAGAACCCAGGGCAGTACAAAGTCTATATTCCCATAGATATGGGATTTGGGAGAGGAGAAATTGGGTAGATCTTTTAAAGCCAAAATACCCTGAAGTATCTCTTCCCATATCAGGAAAAGAAAGGCCCTGAGTATTGCCTATGCAGGGTCGGGAGGGTATCTGGGCTTACTGCTGCACTCAGCAGCTAGAAATGGTTGTGAATGTGCAGCTCCCATTTCGAGATCTTGGCATTCAGCTCACCTCTGTTGCATATGTGATGTGCTTGAGTTGGGATTTGTATTGCAACGACTACATGCCTAGTTTGGGGTTTACGAATACTATAATGCTGATTATTATTAATAATATTAAACATAACAAATTGTTCTCCTTGTATCTTTTCACCTTCCTCTTAGGCATCTTTTCCAGCTACTGTTCATTACCTTTTAGACCACCCTTATCTGCCGTTACCCCTCAGATCTTCTGAGTATCAGAATTAAACTCCATTTTCAGGAGTCGATATTATATCTCTATTTTCAGGATCCAAGGCCCAGCTGACTAGTCAGAGAAATTTGCCAAACTAATGGCCTCAAGGACAGGATTGCTTCTGTGGACTTCAGTAATGTCCTCTTAGTGATTTTCCAAAACAAATGTGCAGGTTAGCTGGTAGACTGCAGGATAAATAAAGGAGGGGGGATATTTGGGGATGGACAATCTTTTGTCAGCCATCCAACCACTCCTCCTAGGGAGCAGCATATCTGCCCTGTGCAGTAAGAGTGAGATGCTTGTATTAGCCAGGGTTCCTTAGAGAAACAGAACCAAAAAGAGAATAAGACAGAGAGAGAGAAATATTTTAAGAATTGGCTCATATAATCATGGGGGCTGGCTAGCTGCTGAAATCTGTATGGTAGGTTGGAAAGCTGGAGACTCATGTAAGAGTTGCTATTGCAGTCTTGAGTCTGAAATCCGAAGGTCAGCAGGCTGGGAACACAGAAAGGGTTTCTAGGTTGCAGTCTTAGAATAAATCTGTCTCTCCTCTTAATGCTTCCAACGGATTGGATGAAGCCACCTGCATTATGGAGGGTAATCTGTTTTACTCAAAGTATGCTTGTTTGAATGTTCATCAAATCTAAAAAGTACCTTCATAGGAACATCTGGATTGGCACTTGACCAAACAACTGTGCACCATAGCCTAGACAAGTTGACACATAAAATTACCCATCACAATGTTCGACTTCATTCTTATGCTGCTGCCCTTCTGCAACAGAAGAGACCAGTTGCTATCCCTTCTTCTTCTCAGTTTGCCAGCTTCTGCTTTTGTATCAAGGCAGAGTGTGACAGGAAGAGCAAGCATACCGACAAACAGAGGAAGACGGGAGTGAGGGGCAACATAACATGTATGCAAAGCTACTATTGTTTCCGTAAGGAGTCACTTTTTAAAATATACACTTGCTTTAAACCTTCGGATTTGGTGAACTCAATGTCTACTGTCGCCCCCAACTTCAATTCTTTACACTTAGGACAAATTGTCTGAGGAGAGCTAGAGACACTGTGGTTATTTCCTCCAGGGAAGGCAGAAAATAATTTTTAAAGTGTGGCAAAGGATAAAAAATGGAATCCAGCTGAAATGCATGCAGACTTTGGCACACAGTAAAAGTAGCACTTGCTAAGCATCTTTCCCAACAACGTATTAGGTATGGTTCCACCCAGCCTGGAGAAGTGCAATTCTCTTATCTTCTTGGGCCAGCTGGCTCCTGGTATTCTCCAGGCAATAGATTAGAGAGAATTGTTTCCAGCTCCCAACTTCCAACCAGCAACCCAACGGCCTCCCTGCCTTCCCACTGCCTGGCTGGTTCTGCTTATTTCCACAGCCAGTTTCCAAGATGGGCCATACAGATGCTCCTCCACTTACCACAGGGTTATGGCCTAATAAACCCATCATATGTGGAAAATAACAGAAGTCAAAAATGCATTTAATATAGATGACCCTCGAGCAACATGGGTTTGAACTGTCCAAGTCCATTTATACTGTGTTTTTAAAATATAAGTTGTACCAAGTGTGCCTGCCTCTCCTGCCTCCCCTTCCACCTCCTCTACCTCTTCTGCTTCAGTCACCTCTGAAACAGCAAGACCAACTCACCCTTTTCCTCTTCCTCAGCGCACTCAACATGAAGTTGATGAGGAGGAAGACCTTTATGATGATCCACTTCCACATAATGAATAGTAAAATACATTTTCTCTTCCTTATGAGTTTTGATTTTCTTCATAACATTTTTTTCTCTAGCTTATGTTATTGTACAAATACAGCATATAATACATATACAAAACGTATTAATTATGTTATTTGTAAGGTCAATAGTAGGCTATCAGTAGCTAAGTTTTTGGGGGAGTCAAAAGTTACATATGTGGATTTGGGGCTGCATGAGGGGTCAACCCCCCTAACTCCCATGTTATTCAATGGTTAACTACATACCTTACCTACCAAACATCATCACTTAGCCTAGCTACCTTAAACGTGCTTAAAACACTTACCTTAGCTTAGAGTTGGACAAAATCATCTAACATAAAGCCTATTTTATAATAAAGCATTGAATATCTCACATACCACATATCACTAGCCTGGGAAAAGATCAAAATTCAAAGTGCTGTGTCAAAATGTTAATGGTTTTGTAACATATAAAGTTAAAAAAATAAGTAAAGCCACTTGAGGACTGTCTGTACTGAAATAATTGCTTGTGTGAGTGGCGGTGGGTGTCAGCCCCATTTTGCAGACGGAAATATGAAGCAGATGTTGAATTGCTCTTCAATGACAGGGTCAGAAGAAGAATCCATAATAGCTGGTTTCTCCAGTTGATTAATGAACCAGGGCAGGCTGCTTCTCAGTTAGAGCTAAACTAAATTCAAGTTTTATAACATCCAGACAATAACCAGCAATAACTGCACTGGGCTATTTTCTGGCTGTCTGGATGTAAATGGTGATGATGATGATGATGATGATGATAATGTGATGATGATGAAGATGATACCACTTATGGAGCTTCTATTCTGTGGTGTGCACACACTAGCTCATTAAACCTGCCAAGCTGGGAATTTTCATCCTCTTTAGCAAATGAGGAAACTGAAGCCCATGCTTCACGCTCTAAGCACGAGTAACAGAGCATGGGTTCAGACTCTGGTGTGAGGACCCACTCTCCTAAGATGCTAAGATCTGAATGTGTGATGCCCTTGGGAACACTGACTTAATTGCTTTAGAATCTGTGATGTGTGCAAATTATATCCATACATCCATTAGGAAAATAGAGGTTGATTTACCCGATTTTGAATTTATCAAATTAAAAATTGATTTCACGAGATCTTAGATTTCAAACTTGAGGAATTTCCAAGCTAGAGTTTGGCATCAGTATTAATACAGATGAAACATAATATACACATTGGCTTCATTATATAGAGAAAATGCCTAAGCCTAAGGAAAAGGGAGGGAAGCCAGAATTTCACAGAAATATGTCCCATCATTGAATATAGGAGATGCTGAAGTTGAAAAACTTATGCAAATAAGTAATAAACAAGGTGGAAATAACAATGGCAAGAAAGTTTGCTCTTATTGTTTAAGGTACTGTAATATCTAGTACTGTCTGTCATGAAATAAACCACCATCTTTTGTCTTTCCTCACAGAAATGCTAATTTTTATTATTTTTATTAATACTTCTCATTTACTGTGAGACTTTTTCCTGTGAAAATCCCCATTCAACTTCTTTTGAGAGTTCCCATAGGAAAACAGATTTCTTTTTACAAAGAAATTGCCTTGGAATTGTCTTTGCAGGAATGCATGTGCTCTGTTAAGTGATGGATACTGAGATATCGTGGTGGGCTCAGAAATTAATTTCCTTTAAGTTTCATGGCCTTGCACACTGGGTCCCACTGTTGATTGCTACTCATATATCACTCTCTCCAATTATGAACACTGCTTGAGAAAAACTGGCTGGAGGAAACATAAAAGTAGATCAATCATAATATTTATACCTCCTGGGAAGAAATCCATTCTAGTTTCCTGGCCCACAAATACAGTATTAAATTAACTTTCCTTTAATTTGTCAAATGCAAGGCATTTTTGCATTTATGCATTCAGCAAATATTTATTGAGTGCCTACTACATATTAGACACTGTTGAAGTGGCCAGAGACAGAAGTAAGCAAATCAAACTCTTCAAAAATTCCTGTCTTCATAGACCGTAACTTCTAGTGGCACGTGTGTGTGTACACACACACACAGACACACACACATAGTTTAGTTTAAATGTAAATAGATAATAACCAAATACTAACACTTGAGGGGTTAAATTGGTTACTTGGCAAATTTATTCATTAGCTTTCAGAGCCTTCTTTTTTTTTTTTTTTTTTTTTTTTGAGATGGAGTCTAACTCTATCACCCAGGCGGGAGTGCAGAGGCACAATCAGCTCACTGCAACCTCTGCCTCCCAGATTCGATTCTCCTGCCTTAGCTTCCAGAGTAGCTGAGACTACAGGCGCATGCCATCATGCCCAGCTAATTTTTTTTATTTTTAGTGGAATGTAGTTACACCATGTTGGCCAGGCTGGTCTCAAACTCCTGACCTCAAGTGATCCACTTGTCTCAGCCTCCCAAAGTTCTGGGATTACATGTGTGAGCCACCACACCTGGCCTCATAGCCTTAATATTTTTAATAGCAAGGTATAACATATTTATAGAGAAGTGCACAAGTTGTAAGTGTATGGCTCAACGAATTTTCAAAACAACACAACATTGTAGACATCACACATTTTACTTAATTACTACCAGGCTCCCCCTTTTGCCCTTGCTAGTAACTAACCCCTTTCCCCACAAATAACCACCATCCTAACTTCTATCACCATCAATTAGTCTGTTTTTAACTTTATAGAAATTGAGTCATACATAAATGCTTGTTTTTTATGTGTCTGGCTTATTGTATTTAATCTTTTTTGAGATTTCCCTATATGGTTTTGTGTAACAGTCGTTTGTTCATTTTTTGCTGCATATCATAAATGATCATAATTTATTCATTTATTATACTATTAGAATATGGGTTGTTTCCAGTTTGGGGTCATTAATAATAATACTAATACAAACATTCTTTTATCTGCATCTAGGGGTATGTATCTGTGGAATAAAAATCCACAAGTGAAATTGTTTTGTTACAGAGTGGGCACAGGTTCAGTTTCAGTCAATACTGCCAAATGCTTTCCCTTTTACACTCTGAAAAATTATGTATAAGGATTCTATTTCATCAGCATCCTCACCAACACTTAGTGTTTTGCACCTTTTTAATTGTAGCCATCCTGGTTGGCTATATGAGGAATTTTCACTTGGTTAACATGTACATTTCTCTGGTGACTACTAATGTTGTACACCTTTTTATGTCAGGCATTTGGATATTATCTTTTGCAAAGTGCCTCTTCAAATCTTTCATCCAATTTCTATTGTATTATCTGATATTTCCTTGTTGAGTTGTAGGGATTCTTTTTAGATTCTGGATAAGAAGCCTTTGTAGCATTACAACTATCTTTTTTCACCACGCAGCTTGCATTTTCCTCTCTCAATTTGTCTTCATCAACAGGAATTCTTAATTTTAAAGTATGGTAGCCCAGTTTTTCAGTGTTCTTTTTCTACGGTTAGTAATTTTTACGCCTTGCCTCAAAATTGTTTTGCCTTGCCATGGTCCTGAAGATCTTTTTTCATTTTCCTCTATAAGATGTATTACTATTTACATCTACAATTTACCTGAAATTAGTATTTGCATATAACATTAGTATAAATAAGAAGGCATTGTTTTCCTACACTGATATTTTCTGTTGATGTTTGAGGGAAATGAAATAGATAACCAGGAAATGCAACTAAAAATAATATTGAATGATGAAAATAGCAAACACTTGGTGTAGCACTTGTGTGCAAATACTCCCCATACACATCTCACATATGTAACTCATGTTGTATACTATGACTTAAATAATATTATTGTGTTTCCCATTTTTCAGATTAATTAACTAGGATTCAGAGAAGTCAAATAATTTGCCAAGGGTCATACAGCTAGTTAGTGGCAAAGCCAACATTTGAACTCAGTCATTCTGGCTCTGGAACTAGGCTACTCAATATATCTTACATTGTTTATGGTTCATTGTAAGTGGGGTTGCAGTGTCTAAATTTGGACAGCCTGTTCACACAATGCAAATTATATTACTTTAGAGAAATCAAATTTTAAAAATGTGTAACTGCAGGATTTTAGCTGTGTTTTTCTTTTCACCACTCTCTCATTTTGCCCTGATTTTTGTACCTCTGTTTACATTTCAGGCAGACAGAACTATTCTGGGAGCAATTTTTCTTTAATTTTAAAGGGTGTGTTGCTATCTTAGTTTCAAGTACACTGGGCATGCTAAACATGAAGCATTTAGGTCTACTTTTCCATTATATACCTTTCCTTTAGTAGTTGATGCAATTTTACCAGAAAAGCACAGTTTTCATTTCAACTTTCCTTGTTTCCGTGGCTTGAAGCCAGCCCTTTAAAATCAATTTTGCTTGCCCTTGACTCTAGTGGTTGAATTTCTACTTGATTTCTATTTCTTATTCTTTCTTTTATAAAAATTCTGGCTTCTATTCAAAATGGGAGGAGAAATGAGCTTGCTCATTTGACTACTGATACCACCAGCAGATTATAAGGTGACAGCCCACTGCATTGACTCAAGACCTGTACAAAGTATGTCTAGAGTCACCAATGGCCACCGGCTTGTGTGTGGAGCTGGGGTAACCTACCTCAATTGCAACACACAACTCCACCATTAATCCAAGAGAAATGGCCAAGGAATAGTAGGTGATTTGGGGTTTTTAGATGAAATGCATCTGCATGGTGAGATGGAATCAACAGGCAAACCTGTAGGGAAGGTGCAATTGGTCTTTCTCAGACAATTAATTAGCCTGCCTCATACGAGAATGATGCAAATGTTTGGGGCAACCATATTGTATCACACAGCTCTAATTAGGCTCCAAATCAGTAGCCCATATGACTAAACAGTTTATAAATAGAACTTTAGATATAGAAGGCAAAAGCACAAAGCATAAGTCAGGAATGAATGAGTTTGATTCAATTAAAAGTTATTTGAGGTGATATTGAGGGGGTTCCTCAAGGCACCTGGGGAGGCAACTGTTAGTACTAACTTTGAAGCACAAAATTCAAAATGCAATTGTGCTGCTGGAATGAAATCGCTATACTAAGTGGTGGGGGATGAGGAAAGCTATTGCAAAAATCCAGGAAATTACACACACACACACACACACACACACACACACACACACACACACTAAGGAGGAAAAGCAAAACCAGGCATTTGAAGCTTATGTTTTTGGGTTGTTGAAGGTTTGAAGATGTGACAAGACCCTGCCATTTCTGTGGTTCATGGTCTCTAGCTTCCCTATACCCTTTGGGGAAGGAAGGTCATGTGAAGATATCATAGATTCTTCTCTAACTCAGCCCCTCAGCATTTCCGTGACCTCAGAAAGTCATTAACCACTCTCTGACTTACAAACTTATGGAGGGCAAAGATGTGTTTTGTTAAACATGATCCCTAGCAGTGGCCACTCAGATTTTTGTTTTATGAAAGGGGGCACAAAGGAAAAATGAAAGAGATGCAGTTAAATGGTATTGAAGTTTCCTTTGTATTGAATTCCTTAGTATTCTGCTTCTATAGCAAAAAAATTGTTACAATGAGCAGTCCAGGAACATGGTACCTATGTTTATACACTCAAGCCAATGGTTTACCAAGCAGGCGGTGAGGGTGGGAGGAGGGAAAGAGCTGCCCTGGCAGGGGATAGTGTTTAACATTGATATGTTTTAGAATTGTAACTACAAGGTGATAATAAAATGGCTGGCTTTATGTTAATTTTACTATTGTTTTAAAATTGTGCACTCACTATGCACCCACTTATTGGCAGCTCACACTGCCAAGTATCCCCAACCCAAGTAACTCCAGCTTCTTCTTATCTTTTCTTATTCAACATCACAAACTTTATTAAGGTTTTTTCCATAGTGGCTTTCCTAAGAGCAGTTAACTAGATGAGGTAAGAGGAAGCCATATAATGAAATGCTGTTCCGTAGCCTGGGCAGGTGAAGCCCAACACAGGTAATCAATAAATACAACTGCAGAACATTCCAGCAAAACATACACATAAGATGAGTCCTCTCTACAGGGTTATTAGAGGTAATAAACTACATGGTATTTGGAAGTTTTAGAACCAAAGTGTGCTATGGGCATCAGCAGCAGCAATGTTAGGAGACATGGGAACATTTCAAACCTCAAATTTTAGTTTAAATAAGTTGGTCTTTGCTGTACTTTATGGAGCACCAGGGTTGGGCTGGGTGCTTGCAGTGGATGCTTTCCTGACCTAGCTCAGCCTAGGTGCCCCTAAGTCTTCCGCACCCTCTTATATTCCCACTGCCACCAGTGACATTCCTCACAAGGTTCTGAATTCACTTTTCAGAAAAATTGGACATTTTTCAATAACTATTACAAAGACATAAGCAATTGGGTTGACTTTGGATTTAGAGAGGAAAAGATGGTTTTGCTTTACTGATTGTATTTCTTTTCTTCCCTTTTCCCACTCTTTCCTTTTTTCCTGTTCTTCCTCTCAGAAGAAAGCTGCCAGGGGCTTGTGGCTTCCAAGACCCTCATTAGCCCATCTGGGGTGATAGAATCATAGCCAGGTACAGAGTGGCAGGTGGCCTCCCTTGTCTTCCCCTGTTGCAACCTCTTGGTCTCCTCCAGGCTCCAGCAACCAGCAACCGGTTGTTTGTGGAACACTTTTCAAGAGCCCCTCATCACCTTCAGTTCAAAGAGCCAGCATCAAAGAAAGCAGCTCCCAGCTTATTCTGAGGATGGAATTTATTTAAATTAATTGGTTTCTGAATGATAAATTTATTCTTTAAAGGGCATGGATTCTGTGGCAGCAGGACTGATGTACCCACAGGCATTGACAGGTGGTTGGTCATCTGGTCAGATGATGTGGCTGATGTTCATGAAGCACCCTCCACAAATAAATACATTCTGCCCAAAACACAAACACATGTGCATACACACACACACACACAGACTCACACAGATAGGTGTATTACTAAGTAACAATTATACTTTTCCTGAGTTGAGTCACTACATCACCTGGCAGGGGTGTTTCCATCTAAGTGCATTGTGTTGGTGTTCCTTATATGCCAGGCAAACTGCTGGGCACTCAGCCTGGACGGACAGTATAGAAAATGAGAACAATAGCATTAACAAGTTGAGCTAGCACAGAGAAGAGGTAATTCTGCCCAAGGGCACTGGGAAGGCTTCCCAAAGGGAGTAATGGTTGACCTGAACCTTAAAGAATGAGTATAATAAATTCACTTGAATATGTGCATAGCTATAGCAGCAATGAACTCACTGCTTTATTTGATGAGCTGGTTTCTATCTGTTGTCCCTCAGCACAGTTCCAAGTCAAAGGCATGAGAGACAGGTGAGATTTTTCAGGGGAGGGATGAAATTGAGAGGTCAGGGTAGTAGCCTGGGGCTCTGCTGGGGATATGAGGTGGGTAGAGAGACTAAGCATGCAGGTGAGAGGGAACCTTCTCCTATTCCACCCACAACCTCTATGGGATGGGATGTGAACAGAAAGGTCTCAAAAGCTACTTCACATATTTCTTTGGACGACCCCTGTGGAAACATGTTTCTTTATATTACAGGCTTGAATGCTTCACAACAGAGCAGGTTGTTCTGTTTGGAATTCAGGACCACCTCTGAATTTGTGAACCACACATCTGTGACAAAAAATTTTTTTTCTAGGTGAAATTTACATAAAATAAAATGAACCAATTTAAAGTAAACGATTCAGTGGGATTAACTACATTCACAATGTGGTACAAGCATCATCTCTCTAGTTCCAAAATATTTTCATCACCCAAAAGGAAACCCAGTACCCATTATGCATTTACTCTTTTCAATATTCACTCCCCAAAACCCCACGCAACTACCAAACTATTTTCTCTATCTGTAGATTTGTGTATTATGAATATTTTATATAAATAAGTTATATAATATGTAGCCTTTTGTGTCTGGCTTCTTTCACTTGGCATAATGTCTTCGAGGTTTATCACTGCTTCTTTTTTATGGCTGTGTAATACTCTATTACATGTACATGCAAGAATTTGTTTATTCCTCCAGCAATGAGCATTTGGGTTGTTCCCACCTTTTGGCTATTGTGAATAATGCTTCGATGAACATACATGTAAATGTATTTGTTGAAGTGTCTGTTTTCAGTTGTTCTGGTTATGTACTTAGTAGTGAAATTGCTTGGCTATATGGTAATTCTATGCTTAACTTTTTGAGGCACCACCACACTGTTTTCTGCAGCAGCTGCAACATTTTCCATTCCCCTTGGCAATACACAAAGGTTCCAATGTCTCCACATCCTCTCTAATATGTATTACTTTCTGGATTTTTCATTGCATCCATCCTAATGGATGCAAAGGGGTAGCACATTGTGGTTTTGATTTGCATTTCCTTAATGACAAATTATGTCTAGTATCTTTTCATGTGCTTGTTGACCATTTGAAAGTTATCTTTGGAAAAATGTCTACTCAAGTCCTTTGCCCATTTTTTAATTGGGTTGTTTATCTTTTTGCTGGTAAGTTGTAAGGGTTTTTATTTACATTATTTGATATACTAGACTCTTAGCAAATATAAGATTTGCAGATATTTTCCCCATTGTGTAGGTTGTCTTTTCACTTTCTTGATAATAATCTTTGGTGTGCACAAATTTTAATTTTGATGAAGTCCAATTTATCTATTTTTTTCTTTTACTTCTTATGCTTTTGGTGTCATATAAAAAAAAATCAATTGCCAAATCCAAGATCAAAAGATACCCCTATGTTTTTTTCTAAGAGTTTTATGATTTTAGTTCTATGTAGACTGTTGATCTTTTCTGAATTAATTTTTTAATATGATGTAAAGTAGGAATTCTTTTGCTTCTGGATATTTGGTTGTCCAAGCACCATTAGTTTACAAGACTATGCTTTCTCCATTAAATGATCTTGGCACCCTTGTCAAAACCAATTGGCCATAAATGTATGAGATTTTTCTATACTCTTGATTCTCACACCTCTCTATTTTTATAAATCTTTCATGATGAATATTTCAGCCACAGTAAGTTCCATTTTTTTCATTTCTATTGATTACTAGACTTTTGGGAGATTTTCAAGACCTGTAATCTCACCTTCATTTTTCTTCCCTCATTCACTAAAGAATTTCTTGGTCTCCTTTCTACTGGTGCTACCGAATAACACAGTGTATTAATCCATTCTCATGCAGCTATGAAGAAATATCTGAGACTGGGTAATTTGTAAAGGAAGAAGTTTACCTGACTCACAGTTCCATATGGCTGGGACGGCCTCAGGAAACTTACAATCATGGCAGAAGGGGAAGCAAATATGTCCTTCTTGACAAAGCAGCAGGAGAGAGAAGTACTGAGCAAAGGGGGAAAGCCCCTTATAAAAACCATCAGATCTTGTGAGAACTCACTTACTATCATGAGAACAGCATGAGGGTAACTGCCCCCATGACTCAATTACCTCCCACCTCGTGTCTCCCACAACATACGGGGATTATTGGAGCTACAATTCAAGATGAAATTTGGGGGGGAACACAGCCAAACCATATCACCTAGTAACTCCTGAGGACTGAAAAAAAAACATTTTTGAATAGTTTTGAAATAGTAATTGTGGCCATTGGCCCCTGTGCTGATGTAGCACTCATATTGTAAAGTCCGGATGAATGGAGTCTCCTGCATGCTCTTCCATTTTTTTATCTTGAGTTCTCTAGAAAAGTAGCCATTTATTGGAAGTAGGATTATTTTACCTTAAAGCTCTTTTTCTTGTTTTATAGGAATAAAAACAAGGTTTTATTGTTATGAGTTGTCACTTCTATAGCGTTCCTTTTAAATTTCCTCCACCTGCGAGATTCTGTGCCTTGCTCCACATTTGTAGTTTCCTGGTCCCAGATCTATGACTGATTATTTACCTGTTGAAATATTTACATTGACTCTTTGAGGCCACAGCTGCTTCTGGCAGAATTACTGTTTAGCCCCAGTGGGCCAGTATCTGAACTTTTCCAATTGAAAAGGTCAGGCAGTTATGGGGACTGACAATTTTTAATTTTGTAGGCTCTGTGGAAAGCTAGATGGGGGAGACTTAAACAAATAAATTAGTGTGAGCTGGCCAGAAAATCCACTAATAAATAACCATGGGAGGAGAGAAGAGGCAATTTAACTCGAGTGAGCAAAGCGAGGTACTGGGTGCTCCTATGACAGTGTCAAGCTGTGTCATCATGTGAACAGGAGGAAGTTTGAGTTATTAATCCCTTAAATCTACTGTAGGCCTTGTCCAGTTAAGAGCACTTAGCCAAGGTTCACTCAGTTTATTCTGATCCAAAGAAGACTACTTACTGATTTGTGATGCCTCAGAAATACTGCTGTTGGAATGTCAGTATAGCCAAGATAGTCCTTCTAGATGTCTTGACCACAAAGAGGCATTCATTGGAATTTCGTCTTTGATCTGAAGCCCCTTCCTTCTACTACTATGAAGGAGAGAAACATGCCCATGCCATCTCCTAAGATGCTGGGACAGTATTTGTCACTGCAGTTCTTGAATTATTGCTGTGGGCAATGGGAAAAGAATTCAAGGCACCCTGCTCTCTGAGGAGTGAGAAGAAGTCCTCTCTCAAAGCAGACATTTCCTGCAAAACTTGGGAAAAAGATAGATTATTTTTGCACTTCCTGCATTTGTCTCTCCGGATACATATGGAAAATTATAGAGAAGGAACTTTGTTATATAAGTGTTGCAGAGGAAGTCACAGAACACTCAAACAAGTGTTTCTAATGTACAGTTTCTAGACTCAAATTAAGAAATATGGGTCTGGAAAATGGCTTGTAGTATTTCTTTAGCTTCCTTTTATTTAACTCTTTTATAAAATTAGGCTTTCCCACTGCATTTTTCTGCTCTAATGAAGCCGCTCTCTCAAAGTTCCCACACTGGCTTGATCTTTTCCTGAGTCACCTTGAGCTTCCCATCCCTTACCTATTCATTCCTGAAACACTTGCCTCCTTTGAGCTCCAAAACCTCAATCTTTTCTGCTTCTCCTCTTACTTCTGTGATTGTTCACTCTCAGTCCTTCAACGGTTTCTTGTCTTTTGACCCTCAAGCTATATTTCCTTGAAATTTCTGATCTTCACCTTCTCATCTTCTTATCCTGCATGTTATGTCTGTGTGACCCCATCTCTGCCTGTGGCCTTAGTTATCACCTATATCCTGGTACCTTTCAAATATATAGACCTCACTTGTCTACAAAACTCCAAGCACATTTACTACTGCCTTCTGGACACCTCCACAGGAGTTCCCTATGAAATATTCATATGAGTATATCTACAGCACACCTTTCTGAAATCTACAGAAAATATTTTTATTGTCTATATATTACCTTGGTTAAAAGTCATCAACTATATCACCACCTTCTTCCATACCCTAAGAGATATGGTTAGGCTTTGTGTCCCCACCCAAATCTCATCTTGAATTGTAATTCCCATAATCCCCACATGTCAAGGGAGAGACCAGGTGGAGGTAATTTAATCATGGGGCAGTTTCCCCCAGGCTGTTCTCGGGATACTGAGTAAATTCTTGTGAGATCTGATGGTTTTATAAGAGGCTTTTCGCCCTTGGCTCAGCACTTCTCCTTCCTGCCACCTTGTGAAGAAGATGCCTTGCTTCCCCTTCACCTTCTGCCATGATTGTAAGTTTCCTGAGGCCTCCCCAGCCATGCTGAACTGTGGGTCAATTAAACCTCCTTCCTTTATAAATTACCTGGTCTTGGGCAGTTCCTTATAGCAGTATAAAAATGGACTAATACACCAAGTTTAAACATCCTATTAATTGTACTTCCCAAATACATTCATATATTGCCTATCTATGCTTACTGTCATTGCTCCATTTAAGGCCACACAATCTAATAGTCTTCTGACTCATAGCCTATAAGTACTGTGAGGGCAGGAATTTTTATCCATTTTATTCACCACTTACTTCTAAGCACATTGTAGACAACTTATAAATTAACTGTTAAATAAACAAGCAAATTATATTCCTAGATTCTCTTTCCTTTAATTCATTCTACACAACTCTCAGAATTAACTAAAATTAATACATAATCACTTTTTCATTTGTCCAGAACCTTTAAGTGATCACCTCTCATTTATTACAGAATAAAGACCACCATATCTGATTGTAACACTCAAGACCTTTCAAGAATGGCCCTAATTTACTCCTGAGGACTCATTTTCTACCACAATCTGCAGCACCCTACTCACTGGATAGATTAGACTATTCCTGTGTCTTTGATGTCATGGATATTCCCATCTTTTCAACTTTGCTGTTTCTGATCACTCTACCAGAAATACCCTTCTCTCCTTTGTATCTGAGATGGTAGGATCTTTTGTCTATGGTCCTCTGAGTGGTCACGTTTTTAAAAATTAAGAACTAGGAACAGACAAAGTTAATATATTAAGACTTTAGAATATAATTAGATATTAGGAGGAGATCAAAAAGGCTGCCATTCTGAATCTTCCTCTTTAAAAATGACCCTTCTTGCTTACTTCACCCTCAAGACTCAAAGTTCCCTCAGACTCACCTCCAATAACCCAACTGCAGAAACAAAAAGGAGAGGGAATAGAGTGACTCACAACTCACCTCTAAGGATTCTAAGATGAAGGAGGAATCGTGAGGAATGACCAGCAAGGGAATGGTGGAAATCAAGACTCTGAGGAATGTGAGGGGTTAAAGCAAGTAGAGTTCGGGCTGGGGCCTCAAAAGAGAGAGTCTTACAGAGAATCGTGGAATGAGGGAAAGTCCATGTGCTGATAGAGACACCAGGGTGGTGGGGGAGTGAGACCCTGGGTTGGGAGTACACAGAAGTAAGAGTGTCTGCAAGGCTCCCTGCCAGCCTCCTACCCTTGTTCTGTTCTGCACAGTGGTTTTCCACCATCGAGAACCAACAGCAAAGCACTTCATCTTTCTGTGGGGGTGTGTGTAGTGTGCCTATGTACTGTGCAAAGGATGGAGAATAGGTTACCTCCCCGACCCCCATAAGTTACCTACAGCCACTCGAGAGTACTCCATGGAGATGACAACTAAAGAGAGCAAGGCAGGGTTTCACCCACCCAGGTAACCTGAAAAACCGATTTCACTGACTGCTCCTAAAAGCCCTCACCTCTAGCCCCCACAAAACAAAGCCTGGTGACTTAGTTTCATGCCTATCAATTTCCTTCTCACACTTCATCTAGTATTACCTCCCCAGACAGAATTAGTTCTGTCCTCAGGCCCCGGCCGTCTTTCTTGGATCTCTCTGTTCTCCTCAACTAGATCCTGAGTTTGTGAAGAGCAGAGCTTTTGACTCTACCTCAAGATCCTTCAGATCTTCTCTCAGGGTCTTGTGCCTTGTGGCCACTCAATACATATTATTGACTTGTCTTTTACAGATGCTGTCACTGAGGCCCAAAGCAACTAAATGGCTTTTCCAGGGCTCTGCAACTAGTTAGTGGCTGAGCCAGGACTGGGTAGGAGCTCCTTCTTTTAGAGGGAAAGTTCACAGTTTGCAGTCTAAAATTTTTGGTTATTTGCATATATTTACTTAGAAAGAAATTATAGACTGTGCTCAGTGCTTATTCTCATTAACCGTGTAATAATCTAAAGTAGTAGTTTTCAAATGGGAGGTGGCATCATGCAGTGAGGGCAAGCACAGTCTTCAAAATCAGGCAGACCTTCTGATTAGATGCTCACAGGTAAGTTCTTTAACTGCTGAGCTCACTTTGTTCACCCATGAAAAGAGGATACTTGTATTCACAGCCCAGAGCTTCTGTAGGATTAAACATGCTAGGAGGAGGTCTACCAGTTAGCTATTCTTCAAGTATATCATTTGGGCAACAACTATACCAATTACTTATTCACTTTATTTTTGTAATATGAAAATTAACTCAAAAGGAGACAAAAAATCACGGCAAATTACAAATTATAAAAGCTAAAAATTACCTCAAATGTTATAAAATCCAGTATTCTAATACCTTGAAATACCTCTATAATAACATTTTTTATGTATTTTAGCTATATACTTTAAAATTGTTTTTATTGTGGTAAATAAATATAAAATCTGCCATAGTAACCATCTTGAAGTGTACAATTCAGTGACATTCAGTGCATTTATGATGTTGTGCAACCATCACCACTAGCTGTTTCCATAATAGAGCCTGGAAGAGCTATTCACTTAAAACACGACGGGAAGAACACCACCTTGAGTTGTACAGTGCCAAGGCCCAGAACATGCTGCCCTCTTTCACTTCCAAGCTTTGGCACAATTTTTCCCTCTGCCAGAAGTGCCCTAATTCAAACCCTTCTGCTGTTCCTACTCACTTCTCAGTCCCAACCCAGGTAGATGTTTGAAGCCCTTATGGAATCCCCCCAGATTAGATTGGGTGCCCTTCCTCTGTGCTTCTACTCCACACTTACTCAATTGTAGTGATTTCCACACTATTTTGCTTCCATTGATCTTTCTATCCTTCTAGACTCTAAGCCCCTCCAGGGCAAGCACTGTGTTTTATCGACCACGATTCCCTCATGCTAGTGATTGACTAGTGGGTTATTCTACAAATATCTGATGAATAAGTGAATGGAATAGCCTATCACCTACTAGTTTTTAATTTAAGGGCTGCTTGGAAGTTTCCTTTACCCAGATTATTTCCCTCAAATTCACTAATTCATTCATCCTTTCAACAAATATTTATTAAGCATCTTCTGTATGAGCAAAGCACTGATTTTAGATTACAGCAGAGAATAAGAAACAAAAGTCACTGATCTTGTGGACTTTATATCATAGTTGGGAAGTGAGAGAGAATGTGTAGAGAAGCAGAAAATAAATAAGTAAAATATATGGCATTCTTAACAGATCCGTAGGTGATAATATTTGCCTTAAAAATGCAAATACAGCTCTGCAAGGAAATACTAAGACGAAGAGGTAGAGGGAGAAAATGTGTTGGTGTGCATAGTCCTGTGGTAGAAAGTTTGACTTTGGGGGAAGGTTGTGAGAATGGGAGATTGAGGGCATTGGGACAGTACTGGGTACCTCCCTAAGGATGGGGGAAGAGGAAGACTAGGGAAGTGAAAAAGGCAGAGAAGAGGGAGCAAAGTCCTGAAGCCAATCAGTATTACCAAAGTTTGCCCTAGGTCTAGGATTGAGTAGGGGGAAGAAACAGGGGTGAAAGACCTATTGGGAGAGGACTATGGGATACTTACCAAGGGCATCCAAGAAATTAGGCAGAAGATGCTTCCTGGAAGATACTATCCCATGATACTTCTAACCTCGTCCTTTCCAACTGCAGAAGAAAAACAATATGCAATATAATTTTTTAATTGTTAAGAGTCACTGTGTGGGAGTACAGCCTTCTATGAGATGTGGCATCTATAACCCTAGAAATAGTCCTTTAACTTGAACTATAGAATTAAAATATCTTATGTCAGAATAATCACATTTAGAGAGCCTTACAGAAGAGTCTGTAGGTAGTTTGGAAACAGAGTAGCGTTTTTCGTCTCTCCCTTCCCAGGCTCCAGCACAAAGCCTGGATGAAGTGGCCAACAGGGACAACAAAAGCCTGGAAAGAGAAGAAAACATCAGCAGGACTTCTACTGCAAATACCTTGCCTCCACATTTTTCTTTTATACTTGAGACTTTTACTTTCAAATTTATTGTAACATTTTCTCATTATAAAGTAATACATTTCCTTTATATACAGAATGCTTGAAAAATAGGGAAAACATATAACACATTTCTTCAGGTCATGCAAGCTGAAAACCTACTAATAATAATTCATATTTCACTGATTTCTTTATCCTCCTTAATGCAAGTCCTCAAATCCCTGCACAGTTATTGTTCTCTCCTATCCCCCTTACTTCTAGGCTGTGTTAAAAATCTGTATTAGGCAGAGTTCTTCAGAGAAAAGGACTAATTATTTGTATATAACCAGGAATGCACTGACATGACTATGGAGAGTAAGAAGTCCCACAATTTGCCATTGTCAGACGGTGATCCAGGAAAACTGGTGGTGTAATTCCAGTTCAAGACAGAAAGCCTGAGAACTAGGGGACCCAGTGGTGTAAGTCTTTGTAAAAGGGCGAGAAAAATGAATATTCCAGCTCAGGTAGGCAAGCAGGAAGAAAAAGGGTGACTTCCTCCTTCCTCTGCCATTTCATTCTATTTTGGCCCTCATTGGATTGAATAATGCCCACCTATACCGAGAGAACAATCTACTTCACTGAGTCCACTTGTTCAAATGCTATTCTCTTTCAGAAATACCCACACGGGCACTCTCAGAAACAATCTGGGCACCCCATGGCCCAGTCACATTGACACGTAGAATTGACTCTCACAGAATCCCAAAGAGCAAGAGTCATGGACCCATGTTCATAATAGCTTAGGTCATTGTTTGTGGCATTTCGTCCATTCCCTTTCCACAGCTATGGTCACCCTCAATTGTGTCAGCTGCCTACAAAACTGAGTGATGGGATGGGGCTCTTCTTTAAGTGA